>NC_000023.11:143726361-144425606 GCF_000001405.40 Homo sapiens
GCAGGTCCCAAGTCCTGCCCCGCAGGGAGGTGGCTGAGGCCTGGTGAGAATTTGAGCGTGGTGCGGGCCGGCAGTGCTGGGGGACCTGGTGCACCCTCCACAGCTGCTGGCCCAGGTACTACACCCCTCACTGCCCGGGGCCGATCCAAGTGCAGGGCCTGCCGAGCCTGCACCCACCTGGAACTTGCGCTGGCCCGCGAGTGCCATGTGCAGCCCTGGTTCCTACCCGCGCCTCTCCCTCCACACCTACCCACAAGCAGAGGGAGCCGGCTCTGGCCTCGGCCAGCCCAGAGAGGGGCTCCCACAGTGCAGCCGTGGGCTGAAGGGCTCCTCAAGCATGGCCAGAGTGGGCGCCGAGGCTGAGGAGGTGTCGAGAGCGAGTGAGGGCTGCCAGCATGCTGTCACCTCTCAGCAAGATGGGCCAGCATTCAAATTCTGGAAATACAGAGAACACCACAAAGATAGTCCTCAAGAAGAGCAACCCTGAGACACATAATCAACAGATTCACCAAGGTAGAATTTAAGGAAAAAAATGTTATGGGCAGCCAGAGAGAAAGATGGGGTTACCCACAAAGGGAAGCCCATCAGACTAATAGTGGATCTCCCTTCAGAAATCCTACAAGCCAGAAGAGAGTGGGGGCCAATATTCAACATTCTTAAAGAAAAGAATTTTCAACCCAGAATTTCATATCCAGCCAAGCTAAGCTTCATAAGTGAAGGAGAAATGAAATTCTTTACAGATAAGCAAAGGCTGAGAGAGTTTGTCACCACCAGGCCTGCCTTACAAGAGCTCTTGAAGGAAGCACTACATATGGAAAGGAAAAACTGGTACCAGCCACTGCAAAAACATACCAAATTGTAAAGTCCATTAGCACTATGAAGAAACTGCATCAACTAACGGTCAAAGTAACCAGCAAGCATCATAATGACGGGATCAAATTCACACATAACAATATTAACCTTAAATATAAATGGGCTAAATGAACCAATTAAAAGACACAGACTGGCAAATTGGATAAAGAGTCAAGACCCATCAGTGTGCTGTATTCAGTAGACCCATCTCACGTGCAAAGACACACATAGGCTGAAAATGAAGGGATGGAGGAATATTTACCAAGCAAATGGAAAGCAGAAAAAAAAAACAGGGGTTGCAATCCTAGTCTCTGATAACACAGACTATAAACCAACAAAGACAAAAAAAAGACAAAGAAGGGCATTACATAATGGTCAAGGGATCAATGGAACAAGAAGGACTAACTATCCTAATTATATATGCACTTGATACAGGAGCACCCAGATTCATAAAGCAAGTTCTTAGAGATCTACAAAGAGACTTAGACTCCTAAACAATAGTAGAGGGGGACTTTAACACCCCACTGTCAATATTAGACAGATCAATGAGACAGAAAATTAACAAGGATATTCAGGACTTGAACTCAGCTCTGGACCAAGCATATCTAATAGTCATCTACAGAACTCTCCACCCCAAATCAACAGAATATACATTCTTCTCAGCACCACATCACACGTATTCTAAAATCGACCATAAAATTGGAAGTAAAACATTCCTCAGCAAATGCAAAAGAACAGAAATCAAAACAAACCATCTCTCAGACTACAGTGCAATCAAATTAGAACTCATGATTAAGAAACTCACTCAAAACCGCACAACTACATGGAAACTGAACAACCTTCTCCTAAATGATTACTGGGTAAATAACGAAATGAAGGCAGAAATAAATAAGTTATTTGAAACCAATGAGAACAAAGACACTACCGGTAGCAGGATCCTGGGGACACAGCTAAAGCAGTGTTTAGAGGGAAATTTACAGCACTAAATGCCCACAGGAGAAAGCAGGAAAGATCTAAAATTGACACCCTAACATCACAATTAAAAGAACTAGAGAAGCAAGAGCAAACATATTCAAAATCTAGCAGAAGAGAAGAAATAACTAAGATCAGAGCAGAATTGAAGGAGATAGAGACATGAAAATCCCTTCAAAAAATCAAGGGATCCAGGAGCTGGTTTTTTGAAAAGATTAACAAACTAGGTAGACCACTAGCCAGACTAATAAAGAAGAAAAGAGAAGAATCAAATAGACGCAATAAAAAGTGATAAAGGGAATATCACCACTGATCCCCCAGAAATACAAACTAACATCAGAGAATACTATAAACACCTCTATGCAAACAAACTAGAAAATCTAGAAGAAATGGTTAAAGTCCTAGACACATACACCCTCCCAAGATGAAACCAGGAAGAAGTCGAATCCTTGAATAGACCAATAACAAGTTCTGAAATTGAGGCAGTAATTAATAGCCTACCAAGCAAAAAAAGCCTAAGACCAGACAGATTCACAGCCGAATTCTACCAGAGATACAAAGAGGAGCTGGTACCATTCCTTCTGAAACTATTCCAAACAATAGAAAAAGAGGGACTTCTCCCTAACACATTTTATGAGTCCAGCATCATCCTGTTACCAAAACTTGGCAGAGACACAATTAAAAAGGAAAATTTCAGGCCAATATCCCTGATAAACATTGATGTGAAAATTCTCAATAAAATATCGGCAAACTGATTCCAGCAGCACATTAAAAAGCTTATCCACCACGGTCAAGTCAGCCTCATCCCTGGGATGCAAGGCTGGTTCAACATACTCAAATCAATGAACGTAGTTCATCACATAAAGAGAACCAATGACAAAAACCACATGATGATCTCAATAGATGCAGAAAAGGCCTTCAATAAAATTCAACACCCCTTCATGCTAAAAACTCTCAATAAACTAGGTATTGATAGAACGTATCTCAAAAAATCAGAAGCTGAAAATGATCATTCTCAGAAAACTAACACAGGAATAGAAAACCAAGCACCGCATGTTCTCACTCATAAGTGGGAGTTGAACAATGAGAACACATGGACACAGAGAGGGGAACAACACACACTGGGGCCTGTTGAGGGGTGGAGGGTGAGGGGAGGGAACTTAGAAGATGGGTCAATAGGTGCAGCAGCACCATGGCACACATATATCTGTGTAACAAACCTGCATGTTCTGCATATGTATCCCAAAACTTAAAGTAAAATTTAAAAAAAAAGAAAAAAACTAAATGCTGCTAATTTTTGTACATTGCTTTTGTAACCTGAAACTTTACCAAAGTCATTTATTAGGTCTAGGGGACTTTTGGCAGAATCTTTAGCAATTTTGTGGTATAGAATCCTATTGTTAGTGAAGAGACACACACATGCTGAGTTACGGTAAGACAGTGCATTACTGATGGGCATTTGAATTGTAAATTGTTATACATTTCTGGAAATTATTGTGACAGTATTCATTAAGGCCATTAAAAGAAGTCATATTCTTTGATTTAGTAGTCATCTAGCAATATAAAGAAAATAAGTAAATATGTGGAAAAAATGGATGTACACAATTATCAGAATAATTCAAATAATTAAAAGTAGTAAACCATCTAATTATTGAACAATACACTGATTAATTACATTATTATCCATTCATATGAGGTCTTGTGTAAACACTAAAATTTATATATTTTGTGAACCCTAGAAAAACCATTTGTCATATTTTATGACAATCACAAAATAAAGAAAAATATACATGAACATTTTAATAAATGCAGAAAGCATCCTTTTTGAAGAATGCTTAGTAACATGAGAAATTCTATCTGCGGTGAACAGGCTGTAAGGTGGTCCCTCATGATCCCTTCCTCCTGGAGTTTACGCCTTTGTATAATCTTTCCCCTTGAGTATGGTTAGTAACTATGGCTTTCATATAATCAATAAAATACAGCACATGTGACAGAATATCTTTATTGTGATAATGCTCCACAGTTCATAGCACCAATCTTACTAGAGGACATAAATTCCCTTTCTGGATTTGATAAAGCAAATTGACATGAGATTTTCCTATAGAGAAAGCCACATGGCAAAAAAGTGAAGGGTATCTTCAGCAGATGGCCATTGAGAAATTTTGGCCCTTAGTCTGATAGCCTGCAAAAAATGGAATGCTGCCAGCAACCACTGGAGCTTGAGAGGAAATTCTCCTCTGGTTGAGCCTCAGATAAGACCACACCATTGGCTAACATCTTGACTGCAGCTTTGTGAGATGCTGAAAGAGAGGATCCAGTTAAGCTGTTATCAAACTCCCGATCCCTAAAAACTGTGTGATGATAAGTATGTATTCTTTCAATCAACTAAGTTTGTGCTGACATTTTTAAGTGGCAATAGATAACTGATATATTACAAAATACTAAGTGAAAAAGCAGGATGAAAACAGTGTATTGTGCCTGTATTTCTTCTCAATAACAGCCCCCAAATCTCAATGACTTACAAAAAACATCTACTTTGAAATTGCATTACATGTTATAAGTTTCAGGGCACTGGTAGCTACTGTGACTCTGCTTAGTTTTCCTTACTTCTGATTTAGTTCCATATATGTTCTGATTCCGGGACCTTGGCTAAAGGAACAGCCCCTGTGTTAGGCGTTCCTATTCTTGTCCTAAAAAGGAAGAGCGTGAACTATGAGCTTAATCTGAACCACACAGTAACATTTAAAGCTTCTGCTCAGATGGGACTTACGTTACATCAGTTTGTTATGGTTATAGGATTGGAATCCCATTTCTCAGCTGGAGTATCAGGCTCATCTCCTACAGGCTTCTCACAGTCCCTTGTTATGGGCCTTCTTGTAGGTCTGGTCTCAACAGTGAGCAGCAGGATTTCTCACATTGAATCTCCCTCATGATTCAAATCTCTCTGTCTTCCACTTCTATGAGCAGCCAGAGAAACTCAGTGCTTTTAAAGGGTTCACCTGATCAGGTCAGGTCCACTCAGATAATCTCCATCTATTGAAGTCAATTTACTTGAAACTTGAATTGTATGTGTAGAAACCCATCATAGTAGTACCTCAGTTCATGTTTGATTGAATAACCAGTGATGAGAATCTTGGGGAGGGAAGGCACCTTTAGAATTCTGCCCACCACACTTATGTGTTACTTTTGTTATCAGAAAAAAAAACACATTTAAAAGATTCGAAAATACACTGCCAATTAAAACTGAGAGGAAGCAGGGAACAAACATTCACTTTGGAATCAGACAAAGCCATTTTCAAATCATGTTTTATTCACCTACCTATGTGCACTTTGGATAACTTATTTGACATGTGGGTACAGTAATAATGAACTCATTTGGTTGTTTTGGATACTACGTGGGATGATGTTTGTAACATGCCTAGCATAGCTCCTAACTCTCCAATTGAAGGCTTCCCAGTATTGGAAGCTCAGATCTTGATTTTACAGTAAATTTTACATCAAATAAATTCCTGATGGTGACTGTGCAAGTAAAGAAAGTCAATAAAAGATTAGATAAGTAGACAGATCGATATATTTATATGGTAAATATATACTTAAGATATATTTGCGACTTGATACAACCTGTTTATTAAGATATTATAATTAAAATTATTATAGAAAGTGCAGGATTCCATCTGTATCACATGTGTTTTTCTTATTCTTGGCAAGGAGGTTGAGTGTAAAAAGAATATGAGATGTTTCTTTACTCAGGCTATGCGTAGTTTTTCTTCACAGTGCCTTGTAGCATGTGCCAAAAGAGATGATGAGAAACCAGGTCTGAAATAAAACCCATTTTTTTCATAAAGAATTACAATTCATCTTTATTTCATTTCCAAGACCATTGCCTTGGTGTTTTAAAATAAATTTTACTTGGAAGATGAGCAATAATCACGGAAGGAAAGGCAATGAAATATCTAATCAATGCCACTGATACACGGCTGTCTAACTGGCAAATGCAAAGCTAGAAAAACAGTCTAAAATGTCAGTTCCATATTATGTATCCACGGTAATAACTTTCATATCACCAAAATGAAATAGCACCACAAATTAGAAACTTATCACAGTACATATGGAAGGGTCCTGAGAAATATTCAAATTTAATGTCATCATTTCTCAGATGAGGAAACTGAGATGTGGAGAGCAGAAGGTGTCTGCTCAGTACTTCACATCAAGTTCTTCTCTTGAGTTCTTTTTAGAGCAGTGGGGTAAATAGAAACCTTGTCATCTTTAGCAAGGTAATGACTGGCTCATCATTTCTTTGTTAACAAGATACTTGTCTACTTAGAACATTTCTTCCTCATAGTAATTTATGACCAGCTAGGTTGGGCATATGGTCAAATACAAGAAATGCATATTCAATGAGTTTATTTTCTTCTTTCTGTTCTCCTTTCTTTATTCTATGTTCATAAGGTCTGCCCATACCCCACCCAAATAGAATGCCAGTAAGCACATGTTTTATTCTGCACCTCTTCTCTCTTACCTGAATCTCAGGAAGGGTCATGATATACTCATTCACATTGAGATGTTTTCAATTGATAAGGCCTAAGAAATCAGTTTTTCTAGACATGTCTATGTGTTCATAGAAGACAAAGGAATGCACTTTATAATTGGAGAATCATCAGGTATCAATTAGCTCAACTGGGAGAGGAGGATTTATTCAAAGTGGAATGGGTTTTTAGACTAGTACAAATCATGGGCTGGAAATCACAGGAAAACACCATCTTTTCAAGCCCACTGCTAAAGCCTGTTGATATTTGGCAGGCTATAAATCTATGATTTGTATAACCCAAGGCTTTGCCAGAGGGCGATTCTCTGGCAATGTTTCCTTCCGGACACATGCAAATTACCTCACAGGAGTTGTTACACTGCCAGTTATTTTGGATGAAGACATAGCCATAAAATGGAAAAAGACCATGTGGAGAGAGGAGTGCTCCTCATCAGATGGAAGTGCCCTAAAAAGGTTATGCCATAGTTGGATCAATGCTGACATGTCTCAGATATAAAGAGGATGAAAAAGTGAGAAGAAAGCTTACCTTTTTTTTCATTACATATACCCTTTGGACAGTATATCCCCATTCTTTCTTACTTTCAAGGTCCATATTAAGTCCCATTTACATCAGAGTTCTCATAAACTTCTCAGAGTTAACATGTTCAGTTAGGAGCAAGAGCCAGTAGTATATTGAGGACTTGAGACGGCTATAGAGTGTCTTTTGCCCAGCATGACAGTAGCCATAGCAGTGACCTGCAAGGTAGCATGGTCTGTCCCAAGAAATATAGTGCGAGCTGAGTGACCAAATACAAAAAGCATGGATTGAAAGAAGTTATATTTCCACTTAGGATGTAGAAAGCTGCAAGAGTGTGTTGCTTCTATCCTAACAATAATAAAAAAACAGCTAATTTACAAAACCATAACTATTTCTGAGTTGCTCCGTTTGCAAAGGTTTCAAAGCAACCAGATGAACTAAATTCCAAAGAATGACAAGCCCCTTTGCCTTTGAAGAGAGGCAAAGAACATACACTATTTTATCTTTTAGAGAGCATGGGAGAAAGGGGTGGCCCACAAAAAGCAGGTAAATAGAAAATAACTTGAATTTTAATTGATTCTTAAAAATCTACTGTGGGCTACTAATTAATCTAGAGCACTTGAAAGACTCAGACAAAATGAGAGTCTGTCCTCACTCATAATATGTTTTTTCCTGGGCCTTCACTAGCTGCTCATAAGAAAAGTTGAAAGCAGTAAGACCTAACAGGATGCCCTTTATCTGTGTTGCAGGCAAATAGGTGGTGATAAGCTGCCACTGGGAGAGAGGCAGAAAATCTTGCCTACTTTCCTGGACTTTGTTCACATCCCAATCATAAGCCACCTGCTACAGGAAGAAGGGGAGGAAATCCTACTGTCCCAGGACAAAGTCCTGTGATTTCTGGAAGAAAGGTAGACACAAGTTTCATCTGCCTTTGGGAAAAGAGTAGAAAACATTCTCAATCCTAGGAGATTAGCTACCACTGGAAAAGGGGCAGAAAACTTTCTTCCATCCAATACACTGACTGATATGACAGAAAGATAGAGATTGACTGTCACCAGTAAAGAAGGCAGGAGCACTATGAAATCCCCATCTCTGAGGCTCATGTGCACAGTGTTAAAAACTGAGGATGCAATTGAAGAATGAGGACCTCCCCTGCCAACAGCACAAGCCTCTTACTGAGTAACAAGGAAAAGCAGTCTACTGCTGAGACAATGCAAGCATGCGGAGAGAGAACACTCTGTTGCACAGGCATACGAGGCTTGCCAAAAGCTGAGGGTGGAACAGGAATACCAAGAAAATCCTTCAAGCATTTTGAGCTCAGCTACTGACTAGATTGACTCAACACCATGTATTAACAACAGCCTGACAAAAGAAATGGAATACACATTTCTGGGCAAAAATACTACTACCTAATTAAGGAAATACAAATTAAAACAACCTCAATTATATATCAGCAATATGTACTAGAATGGTTACAAATAAAAGACCTGGCAATAACAAATGCTTGTATGGATGCAAAGTGAAGAGATCTCTCATAGATTGCTGGTGGGGATGCAGAATGGACAACCACTTTAGAACACAGTTTTGCATTTTCTTATAAAGTTAAATATAGTCTTAACACATGGCCCAACAGCAATTCCACTCCCTGGTAAAGAAAATTAAAATTTGTATTTACACAAAAACCTCTATATGAATGGTGGGAGTGAATGTATTCATAATCACCAAAAACTGGAAGAGGCCATTTTCATCAGTTGGGGAAAGGATAAGCAAAATGTGGTATATTCATTCATACAATGCAAAAATACTCTATATTGAAAGTGATAAATGACTGGTGAACTCAACAACATAAATATATCTTATAAAAATTATGCTACATGAAAGAAGTTAAAAAGACTACATAATGTATTATTCAATGTATATAAAATTAAAGGAAAAGCAAAATAAGATCAGTAATGTCAGAAAATTGGAAAAATAGGAGTTCTTGCGCTTTACTCCCCAGCACAGAAATTCAACTATCAACTACCCACAGGCAAGAATCCCATCCCAAATATCCCAGAATGTGGCAATGAGACTGAGCCACTTGGATGCAAAACTGAGAAAAGCCACAATGAAATTATAAGAGAAATAGTTATTTTTGATCAGACTGCCCCTCTTCCTAGCTAGCACAGCACCACACAAAAAGAACTTGCCTGGTCCTATGGTTTCTACAGTGGGAAAAGTGAGTTGGAGGTGCCCATGAAGCTTCGCTACCATGCTGAGGCCCTTCAAAGGAGGGTCACTCATGTCTCAACCCACAAGCAACATTAGGAGTACCAGCAGTGCTAGATCACCCGGGTTCAGTTAGAAATAAAGAATGCCGGTGAGACACACAGTTACCAGTGTGTGGATCCAGATGATTGCTATGCCTTCTGGCCAAGAAAAGCACCACACTAGAGAAGCTAACCAACAGCATCATGCTGCTGGAAACGTGGTCCATTGGTCTTACAGGTTTGAATCCCTAGCGAGGTTCTCCACACAACCTAGGTGCTCTTGATAAGTATTCCTCAGGTTGAGAGGCAAGTGTACGTTGGCGATTACCCATAGAGGGAGCATCTGGACCCCACTCAACCCTAGTAGTGAAGAGGTAATCTAAGCTCCGAGGCTCATGTTAATTCTTCCCCAGGTTAGAAAGCATTTGCAGGTCAGTGATTACATGTGCGGTGAGCATGCGACCATGTTTAATCTTAGCAGTGAATAGGTAATCCAACCAAGTTCCAATGCTTACATTCAATCTTTTTCAGACTGGGAAGCAACTGAAGGTCAGCAATCACCCACAGAGAAAGCATCTGGCTTCACCCAACCCCAGCTGCAGAGTGGTGACTTCACCAAATTTCAGTGCTATACTGAAGCCTACCCTAGGCCAGGAGGCAAGCCCAAGTCTAAACATATCCACGGACCACAGCCTCTGGGTTTTCCCACCCCATGTGGCTGAGTAGTAACCCCAAAGACTTCAACCAGTCTTGAAGTCCACCACACATACCTGCTCAGCTACAGATTCCAAATAACAGTACCATTGAGCCAGGGATGACGGCCTTCAACCTTACCTGATCAGAGAAAATTACAGATCACTGGCAATAACATCATTTGGTGGCAGAGTATAGTCACTGATTTCACCAGACCATGGAATACAGCCAGCATTACCATTCAACCTCAGACCATAGGAGGTGGTCCAGCCCATCTAGAGAATCTGACACGAAGGTCTGCCTGTTAGGCATTACTGCCAACTCATACAGAAACCCAGGACAGACTAAATAGTAAATATCTATCACCACCAACGGGCACCCGCAAAGGCTGGAAGAGTCAGCCGTTTTCTCAAATGTGCAGGCTTCAACATAAGGACACAATAATAATGAAAAATCAGGGAAATATCACACCACCAAAACAAATTAATAAAGCTCTAAAAATGGACCCAGGAGCAATGAAGATTTATTAGATGATTGACGAAGAATTCAGAATAATCTTAAGGAAGTTCATGGAACTATAAAAAGTAATGGTAGAAAACTAAAAAAAAATTTGGAAAACAATTCATGAACAAAATGAAAAGTTTGGCAACATATTAGAAACAATAAAAAATACAAATAGAAATCCTAACGATAACGAATACAGTAGCTGAACTAAAAAAATATCAATAGAAAGCTTGAACAGCAGACTTGATCAAACAGAAGAAGAATCAATGAGCTTGAAAACAGAACATCTGAAATTATTCAATCAGAGGAGAAACACAATATAATAATAAAGAAAGCCTATGGGAATTATGAGATACTATCAGTTGAACTGCCTTTTGCATAATAAGAGGTATTGAAGGAGAAGAAAAGGCCTAGAAAGGATATTTAAGTATATAATGGCTGAAAATTTCCCAAATCTGGGGAATGATGACAGCATCCAGGTACAGGAAGCTCAGATGTCACCAATCAAATTTAGCCCAAAAGATGCACCAAGTGGCATTATAATCAAATTACCAAAAATCAAAGGTGAAGAACACTGAAATTAGCAGCAGATAAAAAACACATCACATTTAAAGTAACCCCAATAAAACTTTCAGGGAATTTATCAGCAGATAATTCCCAGGAGTTAGTAGAGCGATATATCCAAAGTGCTGAAGGGAACAAAAGAAGGAACTGCCCACCAGGAATACTTTGCAGACACAGCTGTCATTCAGAAATGAGGATAAAATTAAAACTTTCCCAGACAAACAAAAGTGAAGAAAGTTTGTCACCAGTAGGCCCCCTTGATTAAAATTACTAAAGGGAGTTATTTAATCTAAATGAAAGGCTGCTAATTAGTGACAAAAGCATTTGAAAAAATTCATTGATGTAAGTAATACATAGTTACACTCAAAATTCTCTAATTCTAAAAGCAATTTTATCCCTACTAGGAGGATTAAAAGAAAAACCTAAAAGTAACTACTATAGCTACAGTAAATTGTTAAGACATACAAATTACAAAAGTAAGTGTAAATGTTGACATCATGTTATAAAAGGTTAGAGAGGTAGTGAAAATGTGAAGTTTTGTGTGCAATTAAAGGAAAGTTATTATCAGCTTAAAGTAGCCTGTTATAAACACATGAACACATAGAGTGCAAGAATACACACAGGGTCTTTCGTAGGGTGGAGGGTAGGAGGAGGGAGAGGATCAGGAAATATAACTAATGGGTACTAGGCTTAATACCAGTGATAAAATAATCTGAACAACAAACCCCATGACACAAACCTGATCATGTAGCCCTGAACTTAAACGTTAAAAATATATTTTATGTAAGCCTTATGGTAACTACAAAGGAAAAACCTATAGTAGTTGCACAAAATACAAAAAGAAAGCATTCAAAGAATACAGAAATTTATTAAGCCACAGGGAAGAGAGCAAGAGAGGAAGAAAGAAATAAGTGACCTACAAAACAATCAGAAAACAAATTATAAAATTTCTGTAGCAAGTCCTCACCTAACAATAATTACCTTGAATGCAAATGAATTACATTTGCCTATAAAAAGACATAGGACCAGAAATACCATTTGACCCAGCAATCCCACTACTGTGTATATACCCAAAGGAATATAAGTCATTCTGATCTAAAGATACATGCACACTTATGTTCATTGCAGCACTATTCACAATAGCAAAGACACGGAATAAACACAAATGTCCATGAATGATAGACTGGATAAAGAAAATGTGGTACATATACACCATGGAATACTATGCAGCCATAAAAAGGAATAATATCATTTCCTTTGCAGGAGGATGGGGAGAGCTGGAAGCCATTATCATCAGCAAACTAACACAGGAACAGAAAACCAAACACCACATGTTCTCACCTATAAGTGGGAGCTGAACTGAGAACACATGGACACAGGAAGGGAAACAACACACAGTGGGGCCTGTTGGAGGGGTGGCAAGAGGGAGAGCATCAGGATAAATAGCTAATGCATGTGGGTCTGAATACCTAGGTGATGGGTTGATAGGTGCAGCAAACCACCATGACACATGTTTACCTGTGTAACCTGCACGTTGTGCACATGAACACAGAACTTAACATAAAATTTAAAAAAAGAATAAAATAAAAGAGAACATGACTTTGGCATTTTACAAAAGGCAAAAGAAGACATAAAAGTGCCTGAATAAATTTTTTGAAAAACTAGATCCAACCATATTCTGCTTATTTACCTTTGTAGTAGAACACACATAGACTGAAATTAAAGGGATTGATATATTCCATGCAAATAGAAACCAGAAAAGAGTCACTATGTTTATATCAGACAAAATAGACTTTAAGTTGAAAACTATAAAAAGAGACAAAGAAGGTCATTATGTAATGATAAAGCGGCTAATTCATCAAGAGTACATAGCAATTGTAAGTATATCTACATCGAATATTGGATCACCTAAATACATATAGCAGTTATTAAATGATCAGAAAGGAGAGATAGCCTGCAATACTATAACGGTAGGAGACTACAATACCCCACTTTTAGGTCATCTAGACAGAAAAGTAATAATTAAACATTTGTCTTGAGTTATATGTTAGACAAAATGGACCTAACAGACACATATAGAACATTCCATCCAACAGTAGCAGAATACATATTATTCTGAAGTGCTCATTGGATATTCTCCAGGGTAAATTATATGTTAGGCAACAAAACAAATATTAAAAAATTTAAAGATGGAAATCACATCAAGTATCTTTTCAGATCACAATGAAATGAAACTAGAACTCAAAACCAGAAGAAATATTGGAAAATAGAAAAATATGGCAAATTGAACGACATGTTCCTACACAATCAATAGGTCACAGACAAAATGAAAATGGAAACTAGACAATTCTGTGAAACATGAAAATGGAAACACATTGCACCGTAACTATGGGATACAGCAAAAGCTAAAGCTATCTTAAGAGGGAAATTTATAGTGATAAAAGCCTGTATTAACAAATAAAGATCATAAGTAATCTAATGTTACACCTCAAAGAGTTGGAAAAGAGACTAAATTAAGCCTAGTGTTAGCAGAAGGAAGCAATTTACAAAGATCAGAGCAGACAGTAGAGACTAGAAAAACAATAGAAAAAAACAACAAAACTGTTAGTTTTTTTGGGGAAGGTAAAAAGATAAAAGATAAAGGTTTGTATAAACCTTCATCTAGACTAGGAGAAACAGAGACTATCCAAATAAACATGATTAGAAATGTAAGTGGAGACATTACAACTGATGCCACTGAAATACAAAGGATCATAAGAAACTAATACTAACAATTATATACCAACAAATTGAATAACCTTGAAGAAATCGATAAATTCCTAGACCCATAACACTTCAAAGACTGAATTATGGAGAAATAAAAAAAATCTGAATAAACCAATAATGAGTAAGGAGATTGAATCAGCCATAAAAATCTCCTACCAAAGAAGCACAGTACTACACAGCTTCATTGCTGGATTCTACCAACCATTTAAAGAAGAACTAACATCAATTATTCTCAAACTCTTCCCCCAAAATTGAAGTAGAAGTAATTTTTGCAAACTCATTTTAGGAGGCTGGCATTGCCATGACGCCGAAGCCAGACAAAGACACTACAGAAAAAAAAATGTGTATCATGTTATCACAATTTTAATGAGACTAGTTTTATAATAGCAAATCATGTCACTGCACTTGGTTCCTTGAACTTTTGATCAGAAAAGCATAGTATAAATTTAACACTTAAATAAATGTCATGCTTAATGTGCTGGAACTCTTCCAAGGTCAAATTAAATAGCAACTATTGGCAGAAAGTCTACAATCCCCAGACTATGCAGATGTGGCTTGTAGACAATGTTCAAAACTACTCAATATAGTTGATATTTAATAATGATTTTTATGTGAATCCATGTACAAATGTTATCAGATCTGAACCTATTAGAATGAAAGTCTTACTATAGAGAAAGAGTCATCTAAATTTTAAGAGTGTCACCTTACTTTAGAATAACCAAATACTTTAAGTGTCCAGGGCACATTCATTGTCTCTTTTATTTAACTGTGAGGAAGAAATATGTTTGCAAGTTACCTGAAGACAAGGGAAAATTTCATTTAAATCAGTTACTTCTTATTAATAAAAATAGTCCTATGAACAAGAGGTCAAATGTTTGTCTCTCTGGTATATATGATGCAGACTAAACTGAAAATAGGTTAAGTAGAAATGCCTGAGTATTTCCATAGAAGTAAATGTATACACATATCTATATATAGAAAATCCAACTGTTCTGAAGATAAAAATCTGTAGTGCACAGAATAAAGAGTGCCTTTTTTTTTCAAAGTATTTTTTTCAAACACAATAAAGCATTGTTAAATCAGACCCATTAGAGAGACAGTCTAAATTGGTGAAAAGTCTTCAGTATTTAGAATTTGTTTATATAAATTTCTTGCTGTAATTAATTTAAATAATAGTAAAGCATAGTTTAACAGAACATTTAATGAGTTTCATTTTAATTAATATATAATAATAATTTGTAACTGACTCATTGTTTGTATTCAAGTTGATTTTGCTAAAGTCCTTGGAAGCATTTATTCCTCTAAGCAGTTTACTATCACTTAATATTTTTCTTTAACATTATAAATAAGATTGCATTTTTCTGCATACAGAGCCTAAAAAGAGAGTTAAGTCCACGATGTATTAAATTATTATAAAATTAAATAATTAAGACTTGAGTGACTTTAATAAAAAATACCTTCATAATGTATTGATTACATGCAAGCAAGGCAAAACTTCGGAAGTATTGGAAAATAATAAAAAAGAACTAGACATCTAGCAAATATATTGTGCTAGACAGTACCAACATAACTGGTTTATTTGAACAAATTAGCATATTTTGTTAAAAGAAAACAAAAAACTCTCAAGTTGTTTGACAGAATTAACTCATCATTTTTCTTTTTTCTAGCTGGCTGATCCCATACTCTCAAGGTAGCTGAAATATATTTGGTTTCTTAAAATTTATGTTTATTTGAACCAATAGATTTTTTTAAAATGGGATGATGTGATTGTCTTTAAAAAGATATTTTGAAAGCCCAGATTATTCATCAGTTCTCAAGAAATTATGTAGGTCATTTTGTGTGTTGCAGACAAATTTTTTCGCTAGCTTTATTGAGCAGTGGTTGACAAAATTGGTATCTCTTTAAGACATAAACGATGATGATTATATATATGTATATATTGTGAAATGATTACCACAATCAAGTTAGCTAACACATCCATTGCCTCACATACTTACCATTTTGTGTGTGTGTGTGTGTGTGTGTGTGGTGAAAACATTTAGTGTCGACTCTCTAGACAAATCTCAAGTATATAATGCAGTATTATTGACTATAGTAACCATGCTATAAATTAGACCCCCAGAACTCATTCATCTCACATTTGAAAGTTTGTACATGTTGACCAAACTTTCTCCCTGTTCCCCCAACCCATATCCCCTGCGAACCACCATTCTACTCTCTGTTTTCATGAGTTTGACATTTTTAGTTTCTACATATAAGGTCACATAGTATTTGTCATTCTCTATCTGATTTATTTCACTTACAATAATGCTCTCAAGATTCATCCATGTTGATGCAAAAGGCAGGATTTCATTCTTTTTCATAGCTGAATGATATTTCACTGTGTAGATATACCACATTTCCTCTGTCCATTTATCCATGGATGGACATTCAGTTTGTTTTTCTATCTTGGCTAGTGTGAATAATGCTACAATAAACATGGGAATGCAGATATGTCTTCAATATACTGATTTCCTTTCTTTCATATATATACCCGTAAGTGTGATTTCTAGATAATATGGTAGTTATATTTTTAATTTTTTGAGTAATCGTCATACTGTTTTCCGTAACAGCTATACCAATTTACATTCCCACCAACAGTGTGCAAAAGTTCCCTTTATACCCTCACAAACACTTTTTATCTCTTGTCTTTTTCATATAGTCCTCCTTACAGGTGTGAGGTGGTTTTGATTTTCATTTCCATGATGATTAGTGATGTTGAACATCTTTTCATATACCTATTGGTCTTATGCATGTCTTTTTGGAAACATATCTATTTGGGCTCTTTGCTTATTTTTAGACAAGATCATTTGTTTATCTATTTGGTATTAGGTTGTATAACTTCCTTATCTATTTTTGGATAGTAATCCCTAGGGCAAAATTTTTCAGATCTTGAAACTTCAAGAACATAAGGCTGCTAAGAATATAAAGAAGCAGTATATATACATACATGTAATAATTAGAGAAAAATACAGAGTAGCCTTAATCCATTCATTATTTTATTCATCTATTCAACTAACATGTTTCAAGTGCCTATTGTAACAAGTTCTAAATTGTAAAAATGCATAAGGAAATTATTTGTTATCTAAGAGCACTCAGTCTAGTGGAGAAGGCAGACTTATGAAGAGATAAGTGAAATATAATGAGAGGTAGGCATAGTAGCCAGGTATAATATTATGGAATTCTTTGTAAGAGATGATAATGACCTAATATGAGGAGATGTCTGCTGGGAACGTGAAGAAAAGATAGATTTTGAGAGACACCTAGGGAACAGCATTGATAGTATGTAGTGATCCTATGATACTGGAAGAGAAAGGGATAGGGTTTTATCAGTTTTCTACTTTTGTTTACTAGGCATTCATCTGCCATCTGCTGAGACAGGAGACTCAGATGGAGTGGTAGATTAAGGTCTGAGTGCACAAACAATGGGTTCATTTTTTGATATGTTCACATGAAGTGTTTGTGGAATATTTAAAACTATATATCAGGCTGGGTGCAGTGGCTCATGCCTGTAATCCCAGCACTTTGGGAGGCCGAGGCAGCCGGATCACGACGTCAAGATATCAAGATCATCCTGGCCAACATGATGAAACCCTGTCTCTACTAAAAATACAAAAAGTAACTGGGCGTGGTGGCTCATGCCTGTAGTCCCAGCTACTTGGGAGGCTGAGGCAGGAGAATCTCCTGAACCCGGGAGGTGGAGGTTGCAGTGAGCCGAGATCGCACCACTGCACTCCAGCCTGGCGACAGAGCAAGATTCTCTCTCTCAAAAAAAAAAAATCTATATCTATATCTATATCTATCTATATCTATATCTATATCTATATCTATATCTATATCTATATCTATATCTATCTATCTATCTATATATATATCCAGCAGATGGAACGATAATAGATATCTGTAAATGGGTAGAGCAATCAGAAATATGGTTATGAATTTGGGAATAATCAGTGCACAAATGACAGGTGAGGCCATATAATACTAGTGTGCCAAGAGAAAATGAAAAAGTCTAGAGAAATACTTATTTCAAGGAACATAGAGAGGAAGATGAGCCCCCAAAACAGACTGAAAAAGGCAACTAGAAAGGAGGAAATTTAAATGAGTGCGATATCACAGGAATCAAGTTAAAACACTGTTTTGAGGAGAAGGGAATAGCCAACTGTGAAGGCTGCTGCTAAGAAGTCAAGATGAAGATTGTACAATATTCTTTCACTTCAGAGTCATAGAATTCTTCAGTGACATTTATGAGTTTCAACAGACTTGTGCAGACAGAAGCCAAAATGAAGTAAGTTGAAGAGTGAGTAGGAAGTGAGGAGGCATAGATGTTGAATTTAGACAGCTCATTAAAGACATCTGGCTGTGAAATTGACTAAGAAGGATAACCTGTAACCTGGATGCTATAAAAAAGAATCCAGGAAGGTTTTTGTTTGGTTTGGTTTTGGAAAAAGACTTGAGCAAAAATACTTGTTGATAAGAAAGGCTTATAGAGAAAGGCTAAATAATCAAGAGAATGGATATAGGGTAAAGTAAGGGGATTTAATTTTTGCAACTTCTTAGTGACTTAAGATTTTTGGTGAGCTTTTGCTCAGACATTAGGCTTTATTTATGCATTCAAAAACATTTACTAAAAATTTCCTCTGTGACAGGCTCTGTGTGAAAATCTAACAATCTAGTGATGTTTGAGTAAGGGGAAAGATAAACAAAGCAACAATTTCTGTAGAGTATACTAAGTGCTCGAGCTAGTGTTGAGAAAAGCAGGGTGCTACAGGAATGGTGAGTGACCTTCAATGTTGAACTTGCTCTCCTTATACTTTGAGGTTTATAAAAACAGCTTAGGTTACTTCTGTTGACATTCCACTAGTCAGAAATCTGTCACAGGTACCTTACCATTACTTCCAGGAGACTGAGAAATATTGTTTTCATTTAAACTCAGGAAGAAGAAATTCTGATGAACACAAAACAATTTATCACACCATCTTAGCTTAAATTCTGCTGAATGCTGAGCCCAAGATAAAGACCAAAGTGCAGGTAGTTTATCTGGGAGTCACCAGGAGCAGGAGTAAGGGAGCAGAGAGAGGAAGATAGGAAGGTGGAAAAACAAATATGCCAATCTAAGGTATATAACTGAGACCTTCACTGTGGGCAATAGGGGCTCAATTGTGTTGAGACTTCCTGAAAAGTGCACAGAATGACTGCCAGAATTTTCCACCTGATGAACAGAGGCTATATAACATCTCTTGTCCCTCACTGGTTAAAAATTACTCTTCAGGCTAATCATCTCCCATTTCTGATATGTGGAAAGAATGTTCTTATTCCTGTGCTATTGGAGAAGGCCCTGGGAAGAAAGCAGAGAGATGTTGTGGCAAACTTTTGAGGTGAGGTGCTGCCAGCATGAGGTGAGTCTGAGCTCACATGAAATTGTCCACTGAAGCTGCAGGTGAAATAAGATGTGGGCTGAGCAGACGTGATGTGGAGAATCAGAGGAATCAGCTACACATTACAACTATGTTTTAACGAAAGTAAAGGAAACAAAATATTTTTTGTCTAAAGATGTCCCGGATAGTCACTGTGACCTGAAAGCATCTGAATAAATTGTTTTAATATAACACTTTACTTTTATGATGAGGACCCTGTCTTGGTTATATTTTTGGACTATGAAATTAACTGGAAAGTAAAATAGAAAACTGAGCATTTGTTGAAGCAGTGTGATTACATAGATCACTCATCCAGGTGACCTAGACCCAAACTCATTCTGCCTTTCTAGGTCTCTATTCCCAGATTGTTTACTTAATTATCTCAGTTCTTCATTCCATTCACTTCTGTAGAAATTGTTGAAAGATTCAGTTCTCATTCCTTTCTTTAACTTGATCTACAAATGTGTTTGTTTATTAGTTATTCAAATGAGGGTGGGGGAAGATCTGTGGAAATTTCCCCACATTTTTTTCTTTAGAGGTACTCTATAATTTGTCTTTTATAATTTTAGATTTGAATTTGACAGGTAATTAGTCACATCATGAGGCAAGGTAGTCAAATCCAGCAAACGTAATGTAAGATTCTCTTTGTGGTTTTAATGAATTATCAGTATACCTTTCAAAGTGCATATTCAGCGTGGTTCTGAGATAGTGCAGCCATGCTCTCTTTTCTCTCCTCTTGTCATTGCTTCTGGTTAGTGCATTCTGGTTTGTTTATGATTGATACTTTCAAAGATATATGATATATTGATTCCAGTTACGTTGCTGAATATTCACAGTAGCCTTACCACATTAATGTGTGTGTTTTTGTGTATGTGTGTATGTAATTTTCCATTTAAATAAGTCTATAAAAGTCACCCTTCATCCAGTTGGTTGCGGATTTTTTAAAATGGAAATTTATATATTATTGATATAGGTTATTTAAAAAAAGCCTTAAATTGTATCTAATTGGAAAACTTCCAAATTGTCTGGCTTCTTCATTTCTATGCTCCTGCAGTACCTGTTCTTCAGGATCTGTATCTCTACCATGCCCTTGTCATGTTTTATTATAATTGTTTATTTTCTTATTTGTTCCTACATTAGACTTGAAACCTACTATCTCAATGACAATTAGTAGGGCCTCAGTAAATGTTTATTAAATGAGAAAATGATTAAATAGTGGATAATTTGAATAGCTGGATTTTTTTTTTTTCATTTAGAACACCATGCTTCTTTTGGGATGTTGCTCATGAATAAATCCATACTGGATCCTCTAAAGGATTACAGAAGTGTAAATACACAGAAAAAAGCCTACAGCTGATCCACATGAGAGGAGATAAAATCCATTGAGCTGTGCATCTGAACGGCATCTTATGAATGTTCATTTTATACTTGAGGGAACTGAGGACCTAGGACAGCGATCTTCCAAGGTCATAAGACTATTTAGTGGCAGAGGAAGGTTTTCAATTCCAATCTACCATAAACCATCAAAGATGGTGGCTAAAAACGGTGATAAAAATTATTTAAAGGTAGAATAATGTGGTTCAAAGATCAATATCATTTAGACTCTGGTGAGTTCGGGCTCAATCACATCCAGAGTGTCAAGACTGACCCGTATCTCATCAAAAATAATTCAATAAAATGAAAACATTGAATAGAATCTATGAGCTTGGGAAGAGGGGAAAACAAGTAAGCCAGTCACTTTATTTCTGAGATTCACAATTTTTCGTTTCCTGAAATTAGGGTGGATCTTCTTATCAAAGGGATCTATGAAGGTCTTTTTAAATAACGTCTTTATTTATTTATTTATTTTTATTATACTTTAAGTTTTAGGGTACATGTGCTCAATGTGCAGGTTTGTTACATATGTATACATGTGCCATGTTGGTGTGCTGCACGCATGTACTTGTCATTTAACATTAGATATATCTCCTAATGCTATTAAATCATGCTGCTATAAAAACACATGCACATGTATGTTTATTGCGGCCCCATTCACAATAGCGAAGACTTGGAACCAACCCAAATGTCCATCAATGATAGACTGGATTAAGAAAATGTGGCACATATACACCATGGAATACTATGCAGCCATAAAAAATGATGAGTTCATGTCCTTTGTAGGGACATGGATGAAGCTGGAAACCATCATTCTCAGCAAACTATCGCAGGGAAAATAATATCTTTTATTTGTATACAGCTATAAATTACAAACTTGTTTTATTATGCTTTATTTTTTTCGTTATTTTTACTCTGCTTACTCCCTATCTTTCATTTATTCACCAGCAGTTTTCTCTGACAGAATAAATGTATGAAGGTCTTTAACCTGGCCAGTGACATTTTGAATGAATTAGGTTTCTCCCGCTCTAACCAATCTCACCTAGCAGAAAGATGATCCATCTATGAAGGGAAGCGAACTGATGAATTATTGTATGCGTTTGTGCTGAATGGAAGTCATTCTGTAGCACTGCCTAAGTATTTATTTTTCTAAAAGGACTCTTTGTATTAAATGCTTCTCCATTGTATTATTCCCAATTAGTGGAAATTTATTGTGAGTATTTAAATCTCAAAGATGAGCTACATTCTGAATCTACATCTCATGTTTCTCAGCTGAGTCTCTCCTTCAAATTATATACGCATTTTCTGTATTTATATTCCGACTCATTTTTCACACTTTCACAGTCTAAGATGAGAACCATACATTTCATAGTTCTTGACCTATTTTAAAGTCGTATCATTTTTTTTAACCTTTGACTTTGTCCAGCAAGAGCCACCACTTTAGACTGAATCACATTACAATTATTTTAGTAAACTAAATCCAAATTGGATTGCAGTGGTATTTTTGTGCCTAATCAACTTAAAATAAGTATTTTTCAACTAATTCTGCTTTTATGTTTTTTCTTTCTAGATACATTTGCTCTTATTCTAAGGGCTTTGTCAGTTGAAACTGTAGAACACAGCTAACACTATAATGTCCTGTTCAACAATTATTTCCAGCATGTTTTAACATAAACCTGTGAAAATATTTGCTGTCATGTTTCTAGCCCTCTGTGGCCTCAAACTGTCATGCTGGTGATTTCACTTTCTCCCATAGAAATCACTAGAGTTTGATAAGATTCTAGAGAATATCCAATTCAATATCCTTATATCATAATCAAGAAAACTGATGTCCAGAGGGGTTAAGTAAATTCTCCAAAGTCACACAGCTTGATAGTAACTGAATCTAAATTAGAACTCAAGGCTCTTAACTTCTGCATTGGGGCTCTTTCCATTCTAATGTCGTGTATTGATATGACTGTCTAATAGAGACGCTTTAAGCTCCAACGTATTTGTAATATTATTTTAACCTTTTAGTTTTGTGAAAATAAATATAATGTAATCTACCCTGATCCTATCATCCCAAATCATCTACACTGTCAATAAAAGATATATTAATTCCCATGTATGGCAGAAAGTACATTAACTAAGCATTTTAATTTGGATTAATGACACCACTTAGAAAAGAAGACCAGATCATGTATTATAACTGGTCTTCATAATAATTTCAAGTAAAGCCCAACAGATGTACAGTTATAGCCATGTTGTGTTATGAGTGTTTCAAAATAGTAATTAAATGAGTGGTTCTGGACAAGACATTAGAACCAAGATGATAAAGTCAATAACGCAGATCCAACCTTCAACCTCCCCCACACACACAGTCAAAGCAATCCCTGTATTAAGTACTGGTAGTATTGTTAAGTGTTACTATTTTTGTTTTCAGAAGTAGGGTACTCCCCAGGTTTCCAAGTGTTAGCATAAATTTTTAAAATGTTTTATGAATTAAGACGAAAATTACATGTTGTTATAATGACATTCAGAGGCATTCAACAACAGAGTAATGTAACAATTCTATGGTTTTGGAACACAGAAACCTCTGGCTTTCCATTAAAAAAATGTGTAACCAAATAGAAAAGTGAGAATGGTTATGTACTCATGGATACTAAAGAAAACACACCCTGTGTTTCTAAAACAAGTGTGTATTTTCTAAATGAATGATACATTACTAAGATGAGCAGAGTATTGGCTTATAGCTGTGATGCTGTCCATCTGCTGTCCTTAAAGTCTCCATGCAGTCTTTGAGGTGAATACAAAGGCAAACTCAACGGAGGTAAGTAAAATCTTTTTCAGGAAAAGAAGGGTATATATGAAAATGAATCTATCAATTAACAAAGCAGGTTTACTTTTGTTTATGTACTCACATATATTTTGAGAGACTAAGTTGCCATTCTGTCAATACATTCTAGTTTGTCTCTAGCTTTTAAACAATCAAGAGGTAGTTTTATCATATGGAAATAAGCAAAGCTTTTTGTAGAGCAATAATGACCAAAAGCCAATGCCTCAGATTTTGTTTATTCTATTAAAGAATAACTTGTATATTCAAAAAGAAGAATTGAGGAAATTACCTGGAGAAGTCAATTATCACAGCACCCATCCCTCTATTATGTGGACAGGTCATCAGAAAGAACATTTTATCAAGTGAAAGGCAAGCCAAATTATTGAGATAATTGCTTCAATTTCCCCGCTCATTTTTCACGTGTAAGCACAATACTTTGTATTCTATACTGAAAACATTGTTTTTGCTATTTGTTGATGTTACTGATGAATTCTGGCATCTCTTCATGGTCATTACTCGGATATGAGAGCATATGTTTTAAAATAGAAGAAAGACAAACTTGAAAACTAGAACAAAATATTTGTGGGAGAGGACATTGTGTCAAAAACTACACTAGTGCTTTCAATCAATATACTGGAAGCGTCTAGAGAACATGTCAAAATACAATTTTATTTATATATATATATGTATATATATATATATATATATATATATATATACATATATATATATATACCTTCTCGTTATGGGATACATAAATAATATGTATTTGTAACCAGCTGTTCAGGTGATTCTGATGCATCTCGACCGGCCAACATCAATTAATGTTTGGGAATTATTAAACTACATCATAGCAAATATTTAACAGTTGAGTTTCACTAGAAGGATTCTTATATATTTGATAGTTTGCATTCAAGCATTTTATCTGAATCCTGTTATGACACTATTTATATATCATGGAAATTGATAGAGAGAAAACTATTTTCTCTAAAACTCCTGATCAGAGCAGTCCCAGTCTGGTATTTTCATAGCAGCACAGCTGGAGATTTGAGTACTTCAAGATCTATGCAAACTGCTATCTGGTAGAAGGGCTATTGGCTTGAAACTTCTCTTTGGAGCAAACTTCAAAAATAGGTGGTTGGGTACAGACTGACTGCTTTTTGGTAGGACTAAATGAATGTATTTTCACATTTGTCATAACAACCTTCTCTCACGAAAGTACATGTTGACATTTATGAGATTTCTGCACAACTAATCTGATACAGTTATCAAGATGACTAAATTAACAAAATTACCATAGTTGTTATACACAAAATTACTCAAATTCTTAGGCAACTATTACTGAAAAAATATACAAATTTTCCTCCAACCATTTGTGAAACTGTGACTTGGAAAGCATCATATTTTAATTAAGAAAATAATAATTTCATTTTCAAATTTTGATGTAATTGAGCTATTTCATTTGTTTGAATTAATGACATATTTTCACGATTTATCACGTTACTGATGTAGTCAAACATTTTGCAGCGGTATGTTGGTATCTTGAAATGACAAGCTTTCTGGAAAGAAAAAATGTGATATGTATCATGTAACCAATTTGCGTGGCATTTTCAGTCACCCTGACTTCTTTCAATCCACCAAAATGATGTCACTCTGTAAAGAATCAGGAAGATACGAATACAATTGGCTCTCAGAAGCTGGTGTGATCTGTCTTCAATACAACATTGGCTGTCTGTTTTCAAAGGCTACAGCTATCAAATGGTAAATAAGGCATGATTCTGCTCATTTCCTCATACTATCAAACCAAGAATTGTTGTTAGCAACTGGGAAAACATGAAGAAGGGACAAGGGGAGTTGTAAAAAGATTCTCTGAGGAAGTAATATCTTAACTGAATCCCATAAGATAAATTTGTAGACCACACTTTTATAAACCTCACATAAGGTGTTTGGTTGGAGAAAGAAAAGTAGGGGAGTACCAAGGACCAGGTCCTGGAGGAATTTGAATGGTATGATTAGGAACTTGGATATTACATATGTTGTTAACGGAAGACCACTGAAGTGTTGAAGATGACTGGATGCAGGGTGAGATAACACACTGGGCGAGGTGGAAACAGGAGTGCAGGCAGGAAGTGATATGAGGCAAAATTCAAGGAGCTCATACACTGTTTATGGAGATAGACTTGTAAAGAGAGGTTTACCTTAATACAAGGCAATAACAGTTTTAATAAAGGCATAAGGTTGTGAATTGCTTTCTAGTTTCCTTTTATGTGTGCACAACAAGATTATAAGCTTCATGAGTTGAATGTGAGAACTTTGAATGTTACCAATTGCACAGATATATCTAAATAATCATATGGTGGTATTGAAAAGCAAAATATACAGGTATGTTACTGAATGTTTCCATTTCAGCCTGTAGTATAATTTCATGGAGAACATCTCCACCTGATACTTAAAGAAATAATGAGTTTTATCAATTAAAAGCACATGGAAATCAACATGGACTATGAACTTATTAACTTGTTAATATATAAAAATGATAGATATGTCTATAAATTTATTACTGTTTACAAATTATTTATACATTTATGTTCTTTCTTTGCAAAAGGGTGATCAAGGTTTCTGAATACTCAGAAATTTTCTAATTATGAAGGAATAATTACACTATTTTAATAATACTGGAAAAGTAGCTTATAAGTACACATGTAATAACATACTATAGAGAAATGATTTGGATTTGGTTATCATCTATATACTTGGTTCTACTCCCAAGTCAATTTCTCATAACCAAGTCCTCTATTATCAACACAGGTATTACTCAGCTCTACAACTGACTAAGTAAAAATAGTATGTTCTCTTTGGAAAGCATTTGAAGAATTGGATGTATTTATCATAACACAAAATGCACCCACTTTTGTATTAAATGCACTAAACATAGTGCACAAAATTCACTAGCATTAGAAGGTAAACTGAATAATTATGTAAAAAGCCCTGTTGTATACAAAATACACATAAGATGGAAACAAATTTGATATTTGGACTAAATTTTTCTTGGTGTTTTAGCCTGTGCCCCATGTTACATAAATGATGTTTTAAATATTCTTCAACCTCAAATGCTCGGTTAAATGAAGAGAAGGTAATTCATATGCATAGGACAGAGTATGATCCTTATGTGGTGGAAAGCCTTTCTATAAAAAAGGATAAATGTAATTGATACTATGCTGAAGTAACAAAATCAAAAATTTTAGTGATATATTACAACTATGGCTTATAATTTGCTCACTCTGCATGCTCAACACAAATAGGGAGTAAGACAGGGTGGATAGGGTAGTTCACAGCTAAATGGATGGTTCACCATCTCAGGATGCCACCATTTCAACTGGGAGCATCCAGTGTATCAATGTTAGGCAAAGAGAGAGCATGGACACTTTCACCTAATATTGACTTTCTTGGAAGGGAAGTGATGCTCCAAGAGCAATGCCTTATATGATTTTGTATCTCTAATGGCTATGAAAATGCCTGACACACAAGCACTCATTAAAAAAAAATTGTTACATGATTATTTTACCAGAATCCACAGAAGAGTGAGAGTTAGAAATGTTTAAATGGAAGTGGTAACTTCACTGAAAACCATAAAAATACTAGATTCATTAGACACAGAAAAAGATAACCAGTTAATTATAATAAGCTGATATAAATCAATTTTGTGTTAAGTTAATCTGCTCGTTGAACAAAATCGCCTTTTTTTTTTTTATGGTCCCTCCTGGTTCTAATTGTTTCCTGTGTGGGGAGAAACAATTAGTTAAAAGAAATCCAAAAGTTGGATGACAAACTGAATTGACATAGCTAACTAAAGAAAGCTGTCAACAGCCCACTGATTCTTAACATAAATTCCATCAAACTTGCTGAATCACACAATCTGTGCTGTTTTGGTACCCATGAAAGTGTAACTCCAGAGACGGAAAGCACCTTAGAAAGTATTCAGTGTAGAGATCGTACTGGCAAGGCAGCACTCCACAATCCTCTGCTTGTAAGTGAACTGATTTCCATAAAGATAATTAGCTATATATACATATATATATACTGTGGGCTTACACTGTGAAGGTGCTATGCTATGAACTTTATATGAATTATCTAATGCATTCTTTATGGCAAAACTGTAATGTAGGAAATATTCGTCTTATTTTACAGGCTTAGAGATGTTAAGTAGCATGATAATGGTTAGAGTTGATAACTGGGTCCAGAAAAGTTTGACTCCAAATCTAGTGCTGTTAACCCCTGCACCTAGCTGTTGTGTTATAATGCAATCATGATAGAGGACAGTGACCATACTGAACCAGGATACTCAGAATACAGTGACTCAAACAACGTCTTCCAATCAGTGGGGATTGCTTAAAAAGGTGAAACTTATTTTCCTTCCTTGTCAACTCCCTTAATTTACATGAGAAAATTGGAGCCCACAGACAAACTTCTCCAAGGTTAAGGGAGACAGTGTTAGAAAGAGAAATAGGAGAACTCAACAATCCTGATTCAGAAATGTGAGGCTCTTACACCAGGATATCCAGTGAGATCTCAGCTCCAGCAAGGGCACTGATTCAGAAATCAGGGACACTCGTTTTTCATCTGAAAATGAACCTGAAATGGGGCACAGAGTATTCAAACATTTCTAGAAGACTCAGTGAACGTGTCTGCACATGTTTACCGTCATGCATTTAGTCACACATATTAGGTTTGCCAAGGGTCATGCACAATTTCAGGGATGGATCAGTGGTTACTTTAGTGTGATTATCTCCAACTAAGCTACATTGTGTCTGGTGCCTCAGGTCACTTGACAAGGCTGACTCACAGAGAGGAAGGAAAGCCAGAAAGTTGTAGAAAGGAAAATGCTAAAGAAGAGGAAGAGGGAATAAGAAACAGAAAGGAGAAGAAAACAGAATAAAAGGTAAAGTTATAAAAGAGATGTGATGCTTGTTGGTAGAGAGAGGCTTCACAAAAACTCTCATGCCATCCTTGTTCTCAAAGTTATTTTTGCCCTCGACTTTATCACAGACGAAGTATATCACTTCAGCACAAGGTGTCGCTTCTTCAGTGCGTTTCAGTGCAAGATCTCCTTTTTATTTTTTTAATTACTAGTTTTGCATGGCCGAGATTTCACCTTTTCCTACCTATCCATTCTCCAGTTTGCTAGGTCACTATTTTGAGGGCCCTAAACTGTACCAAGGGCCCTTAATGGCAAGCTAAGTGCCTGTTGTCTCTCTCAGCTGGAAGCTACAGGGAGTACTCTCTTCTGATGATTTTAGAAGCACCCTCCTGCTCAGAAATGAGAGCTGTCTTTGAATGAGTAGTTTCAGGTTTGTAGAAGTACACACTCTTTCTAGCAAACTCTTTGGGTTTTTTAAATTGATGGGTTACAAGAAATACGGTTGCTGAACGTCTTCACAGTAACTTTTCCTACAATCCATTTTCTGTTCATGCATTGCCCTTTGCTAAGAAAGCTACAAGAAAGCACCTCTTTCTCTGGCATCACATTGTGTTAGCAGAACAGAATTGTTGAATGAAAGATGGAAATTAGTGGGAGAAATTCTACATTATCCTTAAGAGCATTTGACAGAACATCAAATTCTGTGTAATTTAAATAGCTGAATAGAACAGGCAGAGTTTAATTAGAGGAAAACTATGAGCTGCAAACTTCAGAAAATGATTCTAAAGGGTTCTGAACAATATTTTCACTTAGCTAATTTTATTTTTAAGACTCTAAGACTATTATTCTGAGTATCTAACATCACAAAGTTAAAAGAGTTGTGGATGTCAGCCTTGGCAAAACACATTCCAATATGCAAGTTTTAAACTAATCTTTCTGAACCATTGCTGATAAAGTATACTACTCCTGTGTCAAGTAGGAGTGTGTGTGTGTGTGTGTGTGTGTGTGTGTGTGTGTGTGATTATGAAAAGCTCAATATATATTTCAGTGTTTCCAATAGAAGCCCTATTGAGAGAAATAACTTTAATGAATTCGCTATAGTCCAGTGTCTGGGCTTCAGACTCAGTGTCAGAGATTGTCTCATTTTTACACTTTCTTGGCAGGGGCACTCTCTTTATAAATGTGTTAATATCTTCAGTCAAGTCTAAGGACCTGGGGGTCAGATTCACTTCAAAATGACTCACTTTAAAATCTCTTCTGTGAACCACTGTGTGCTGATTTTACTGTCTCTTGGCCTCATTTTCTAAGAGCAATGTTATTTTCTTGTCTTACAATGAGACATCTTGGAAAATTTTTCATGGTGGAGGTTAACTTTCATCTCAGATAAATTATGTGAGAACCACTTTTTTAGCTACTAATGGTGGAAAAATGAGGAGCCTTAAACTAAGTTGCTTGTGGAGATCGTAATCTATATAAACTTTAATCACATGTATTCTGGATAAAGGAAGAAAAACATACAAAATGTCTTGAACTTAAACTTACCAATGAAGTCTGAACTTCTGAATTAGCAGGAAATGGCATTATATTACCATTCTTTCTGAGTCTGACACTCTTGGTACATTTGCAGTTTTTTTTTTTTTTTGAGACGGAGTCTTGCTCTGTCGCCAGGGCTGGAGTGCAGCGGTGTGATCTCAGCTCACCGCACGCTCCGCCTCCCGGGTTCACGCCATTCTCCTGCCTCAGCCTCCCGAGTAGCTGGGACTACAGGCACCCGCCACCACGCCCGGGTAATTATTTTTTGTATTTTTAGTAGAGACGGGGTTTCAACGTGTTAGCCAGGATGGTCTCGATCTCCTGACCTTATGATCCGCCCGTGTCGGCCTCCCAAAGTGCGGTACATTTGTATTCTTGAAAGGACATTTTCCTTTTTACTAAAGCTCAAACTTTGTGATCCTGCCTGTTCACCTTGGAAATAAAACTGTTATCTTATACTCAGTAATTGGATCCATGGTTTTTCTCCCCGTTTGTATGTTCCTCACTTGTTTGCTTTCCTTCAAGCTTTATAGGATTTAGAATTAGGAATTAGAGTTTCACTTTGTATCACTTAATCCTTCCAGAAGTGTGGCTGTTGTGACTTAGCCCTCTGGCTCAATAATGTCTGTGATACCGGCTGCATAATGCCAGAATTCTCTGGTACTGACTATCCGTCTAAACTAGATTTCTGTTTATACCTGATGGCTAGACCCTATTGGTGCATATGCATTCTTGAGAGGGCAGCTTCCTGTTTTCTAATCACTGGACTCTTTAACTCTATTGGACTTCCTCCCAAAGTTTTTTCTATTCCCTGACAAAGGGACTGCTCCAACTTTAACTATCTTGACCCTGTGGGTTATGAACACCAAACATGGAGAATTTGAAGAGAATTTGTTGTAATACTCTTGCCATGGAGCACTGAATGTGATTTTTCAAATGAATGAAACTGTATTTTTTCTGCTGATGAAATCAATAGTCCATATGAACCACAACAATTTTTAGCATTTTTTACCTAAGAACTGATATTGGTTTGTGCCTCAATGAACTTTCTTAGTGCATTCGCACTCCATTTAATCTTAAAATATAGTTTTCAGTGTATAAAATAGGGGAAAGGGGGCAGTAGTATTCTGGGGGCATCCTAGTAAAAAACTCATGCTTCAAAATTGACTCCTCAGAGCCTTACTTACCATATCCACGTGCCTATCTCATCCGGGCACTCCCGCAGCCCAAAGTGAGCTCGTCCCAGACAATCAAGAGGGGAAGCGAGAAAGAGACGGAGACCTGCTATCATGGCCAATGATCCCGGGAAGAGGGAACGGTGGTCCACGCACCGGATTCAGACTCCGATCAAGCCCAGCAGGCGCCAGCCTGGCCGAGTGCGGGGCTTGCTGAGCCCGCGCTCACCTGGAAACCGCGCCGGCCGGCCTCGGCGCGCAGCCCCGCCCGGCTCCCGCCCACGCCTCTCTCTTCACACCTCCCCGCCAGCAGAGGGAGCCAGCTCCGGCCTTGGCCAGCCCCAGAGAGGGGCCCTCATAGCGCAGCGACAGGCTGAAGGGCTCCTCCAGCGCGGCCAGAGCGGACACCGGGGCCGAGGAGGCGCCGAGAGCGAGCGAGGGCTGCTAGCACGTTTTCACCTCTCAATACAAGAAGCTACTTCATAGAAGAAGCAAACTTAGAATACATTTAAGTTTGCGTTCAAACTCTTCACTTCCCAATACCAGGTAGGAGAGCTGATGCTGCTTTCTCACTCTCCCAAAGTCTCAAGTTTTCTGATGACTAACTGAATATAATTGGAAGCCACCAAGCCTCTTTCATCCTGGTCACCTGCAGACTTAACATCTGGTGGAAGCTGCCAAGGTTTACCGTGTGCATTCTCTAGAGCAGGGGCACCAGCAGTACCTGGGACCGTTTAAACCATGGCTGGTGCTGGAGCGGTGAGGATGTAGGGAGCAGCTTCCCAAGGCAATCCAAGGCGATAGCAGCCCCAGGCCTGGACGCCAAAACCATTCTGTCCTCTTAACGCCTCTGCGCCTCTGATGGGAGGGGTGAACTTGAAGATTTCTGAAATGCCTTTAGGGACTTTTTATCATTGTCTTGCCTATCAGCACCTGGCTCCCTCTTATTTGTGCTAATCTCTTTAGCAAGTTGTTGATCCACAAAATCCTTGGATTTATTACCTGAGAATCTTCTTCTCTTCTCTACCACATGGCCAATCTACATATTTTTCAAATTTTTGTGTTCTGCTTTTCTTCTAATTATAAATTCCACTTTTAGTTTACTCCTAGATGCTGCACACCCAGGAAGCTCAAAAGTTCCCAAATAGATTCAATCCAAAAACGTTCTCTCTGAGATTCACTATAATAAAGTTGTCAAAAATTAAAGACAAAGAGTGAATTCTAAGAAGAACTGGAAAAAAGGATCAAGTCATATATAAGGGAATTCCAGTTAGATTAATAGTAGCTTTTATAGCAGGAATCTTTCAACATGCTACTACTAAGGACCAATTTTTGGTTTCAGTCCGTTTGTATTCCTAGTCCACAGGGCTGGGTTATTGCTGCAAATCCGTCACTTGCGGCAGGGCACAGCACTGGTCTGCCTCCAAGGATAAATGGGCATTCTGGATGTTTGGACCTGGGGATCAGGGTGTGGTTGCAATTTGGGAACCTGAGCCAATAGAGCCCAGTGGAAACTCAGGTCCTCAGGGATGGGGCACTGCTAGTGGTAACTGTAGTCCCTGGAATGGTGGGGTGCTGCTATATCCTAGACTCTCTGTGAGGCCAGGTGTAGTGGTAGCAAGAACCTCAGAATGGCAGAGCACAGCTATTGTTTACACCTGCGGGAGCTCGGAGTAGCACAGTGATTACTCCTCTACCCAGATAGAGGTTTCTCAGAAGCTCAGACTCCGGGGGCCTAGTCCAGCTTCAGGGATGAAGGTTACTAGAGTTGTCTGGCTTGGGGGACAGGGTATTTTAGCTCAGCCACTGCTTTTTTTTTTGCCCTGGGATGTGGGATGCTATGTCACCTCAGCTCTCGGATGCATAGTTGCTCAGCTAGGCCAAAGCACCACTTCCCCTAGGGAAATGTTCTTCTTCAGCTCAGGCTCAGTGTGCGTGACTGCTCTTGGAAGCCAAGGCACCATTTCCCTAGGATACAGGGCATTGCTTCAGCTTAGGTACCAGGGTGAGTGACCACTTTTGGAGACCAAGGTACTTTTTCAAGGGAGTCAGGTTGCTGCTTCAACTTAGACAGTGGGAGGGGATGACTGCTCTGGGTGGCCATGGTTTTGTATCCAGGAGGCAGAATACTTCTTTAGCTCAAGCACAGAGGGGGGTGACTATAATGGACAGCCAAGGCAAAGTTTTCCCAGAATGACTGGCATTGTTTCAGCACCAGCAAGGTTAGGGTAGGGTGCAGCAGCAACTGGCAGGTTATTTATTGTTGTTGCTGTTGTTATTGTTTTTAAATTTCTCTAGAGGAAGTGTGTAGCTTCAGCTCAGGCCCCTATGGACAGGGTGTAGCAGTGACTTTGAAGGGCATATGGAGCAACTTAACCGAGGCACCATTTCCCAGGAAGGGGGTGTGTAACTTAGGTTGGACCCCAAGGGGCAGGGTGCAGTAGGGACTGGGAGAGGTAGATGGAACAGCCCCATGACAGCATTGTTTCCCTAAAATGAAGTGTGCAACTTTAGACCTGGTTCCCAGGTGCAGGGTGCAGAATCACTGACTATAAGGAGTAGATGGATCAACTCTGCCAAGGCACTTTTTCCTCAAGAAAGAGTGCTGTAGCTTCATCCCAGGCCTGGGGGCACAGGGCACAGCCACAACTAAAATAGGTGGATGGAATGGTTCTACCAAAGCATCATTTCCCCAGGAGGGAGTGTGCAGCTTTAGCTCAGGTCCCCAGTTGCGGGGCTCAACAGTGACTTGAAGAGGTATATGTAGCAATTTCACCAAGGAAAGGTTTCTTTAGGAGGCAGTGTGAGGCTTCAGCTCAAGCCCCTAAGGGCAGGAAAGAACAATGATTGGGAAGGGTAGATAAAGACGTTAACTCTCAGTTCAACAACAAACAAAATATATATGCATAACTAGTATCTGTCAGAAAATTTAATTATGAATTAACTGGAACATCATGCCCACTGAAAGTTTTCTCCAGAGAGGCATTATGGGTCAACCCACCTTACGGGATATGTTAGTTCTTCAAATACTATTGCTGCTTTAAGCAAAATTAGCAAAGTACAAAGCAAAGTATCTGAAATCCACTTTTTTTTTTTTTGAGACAAAGTCTCACTCTATCCTCTGTTTCCCAGGCTGGAGTGCCGTGGTGCGATCTCAGCTTACAGGAGACTCTGCCTTGTGGGTTCAAGAGATTCTCGTGCCTCCACCTTCCGAGTAGCTGGGATTACAGGCACGCACTACCATGCTCAGCTAATTTTTGTATTTTTAGTAGAGATGGGGTTTTGCCGTGTCAGCCAGGCTGGTCTCGAATACCCGACCTCAGGTAATCTGCCCGCCTGGGCCTCCCAAAGTGCTGGGATTACCGTGAGCCACTGCACCTGGCCTGAAATCCACTTTCTAAATCAGCATTCTTCAATGGTTGGTTAACGACACTTTGCCCTGTACATATATTAGCTGTTCCACAGGTAATATAGTGATGTCAAAAGAAACAAAATTAAGAATTAAAAGCAAGATTAATCATAATTTTTACAGAAATCATCTTTCAAATTTTATTATGTTATTAAAATTTCCACATGTACTATAAGATTGCACTGATTAATCTCAATGGCACCTCATTTAGCAGGCATAGTTCATCTAAGTTTATATACTTGTATGTCATTAACAAAACATTTTGGCAATGTATAAGGTACACATAACAGGCCAGGCACAGTGGCTCATGCCTGTAATCCCAGCACTTTGGGAGGCCGAGGCAGGCAGATCACGAGGTCGGGAGATCGAGACCGTCCTGGCTAACACAGTGAAACCCTGTCTCTACTAAAAATACAGAAAATTAGCCGGGCATTGTGGCGGGCGCCTGTAGTCCCAGCTACTCGGGAGGCTGAGGCAGGAGAATGGCGTGAACCTGGGAGGCGGAGCTTGCAGTGAGCCGAGATCGTGCCACTGCACTCCAGCCTGGGTGACAGAGCCAGAATCCGTCTTAAAAAAAATACACATAACAAAATGCAAAAATACTAAAAGTATCCAAACAACACTAAGTAAACACATCCATGTAACCAACACTTTTATTAAGATATAGATTATTACCAGTAATCCATAAACCTCACTGGTACACCCTCTATCTCACTATCCCGACAAATATAAGCAATTTTTCTCGCTTGTATCACCATAGATTTTTATACTTGGAAATATACGAGAATGACATTTTAATGTTATTTCTCGTATCTGTTATATATGTCTTTTTTATTACAAATAATTAAAGATACATCCTCAATCCACAAAAATGCAGCAACAGACACAAATAGTGCAAAGGTAGTAACACAATGGTAATATAAATAGTACAATTCAGAATTATACTGTGAACATAACTAGAAAATAGTATACCAGTGATAAAACGAACATATATCTTTGAATTCAAGAAGAAAAAGTAAATATATTAACCTAGTAATTTCATTAGAGGATCCAGAAGAGTAACTGGTATTAGAAAAAAATACAAAGAATGTTTGAAAAACTAGATTTTATTTAACTGGTGGTGAATGTTCTTCTAGTTCCATAAATTCATTGTCACAAAAAGTTGGTAAACCATAACCTAAAGCAATTCATATTTTTAAAGAAAATACAATGACCTCACTGGTAAACTAATCTTTTCTTAATCAAGTTTGATATAAATATATCAAGAAATTCATAAATTTGTTTCTTGAAAAAGGGGAGGCACAAAAAAATGGGCATCTTTCAACATCATAGTCATCATGAAAAAATAGGTACAATAATATACAATTAATGCTCTGTAAAGAAACCATCTGCATGGTACCTCTCATGAAAAAATACTGGTATGAGAATAGCTCACCTGCTACAAATGACTAGCAAACTGGACAAAACAAATGAAACAACTTTTTTAAATACTGGGCAATAGCCAACACAGCACTCTGAGAAAACGGAAACAGACAGTTTGATTTTTACAAGTCTCCTGAATTTTTTTTTTCACTTTGATTAGTGGTTTACTTTCAGTTGAGTTTTTTTTTTTTTATTATACTTTAAGTTTTAGGGTACACGTGCACAATGTGCAGGTTTGTTACATATGTATACATGTGCCATGTTGGTGTGCTGCACCCATTAACTCGTCATTTAACATTAGGTATATCTCCTAAAGCTATCCCAACCCCCTCCCCCCACCCCACAACAGTCCCTGGTGTGTGATGTTCCCCTTCCTGAGTCCATGTGTTCTCTTTGTTCAGTTCCCACCTATGAGTGAGAACATGTGGTGTTTGTTTTTTTGTACTTGTGATAGTTTGCTGAGAATGATGGTTTCCAGGTTCATCCATGTCCCTACAAAGGACATGAACTCATCATTTTGTATGACTGCACAGTATTCCATGGTGTATATGTGCCACATTTTCTTAATCCAGTCTATCATTGATGGACCTTTGGGTTGGTTCCAAGTCTTTGCTATTGTGAATAGTCCTGCAATAAACATACATGTGCATGTGTCTTTATAGCAGCATGATTTATATTACTTTGGGTATATGGGATGGCTGGGTCAAATGGTATTTCTAGTTCTAGATCCCTGAGGAATTGCCACACTGACTTCCACAATGGTTGAACTAGTTTACAGTCCCACCAACAGTGTAAAAGTGTTCCTATTTCTCCACATCCTCTCCAGCACCTGTGGTTTCCTGACTTTTTCATGATCGCCATTTTAACTGGTGTGAGATGGTATCTCATTGTGGTTTTGATTTGCATTTCTCTGATGGCCAGTGATGATAAGCATTTTTTCATGTGTCTGTTAGCTGCATAAATGTCTTCTTTTGAGAAGTGTCCGTTCATATCCTTTGCCCACATGTTGATGGGGTTGTTTGTTTTTTTCTTGTAAATTTATTTGAGTTCATTGTAGATTCTGGATAATAGCCCTTTGCCAGATGAGTACATTGCAGACATTTTCTCCCATTCTGTAGGTTGCCTGTTCACTCTGATGGTAGTTTCTTTTGCTGTGCAGAAGCTCTTTAGTTTAATTAGATCCCATTTGTCAATTTTGGCTTTTGTTGCCATTGCTTTTGGTGTTTTAGACATGAAGTCCTTGCCCAGGCCTATGTCCTGAATGGTATTGCCTAGGTTTTCTTCTAGGGTTTTTATGGTTTTAGGTCTAACATTTAAGTCTTTAATCCATCTTGAATTAATTTTTGTATAAGATGTAAGGAAGGGGTCCAGATTCAGCTTTCTACATATGGCTAGCCAGTTTTCCCAGCACCATTTATTAAATAGGGAATCCTTTCCCGATTTCTTGTTTTTGTCAGGTTTGTCAAAGATCAGATAGTTGTAGATATGTGGCATTATTTCTGAGGGCTCTGTTCTGTTCCATTGGTCTATATCTCTGTTTTGGTACCAGTACCATGCTGTTTTGGTTACTGTAGCCTTGTAGTATAGTTTGAAGTCAGGTAGCGTGATGCCTCCAGCTTTGTTCTTTTGGCTTAGGATTGACTTGGCAATGTGGGCTCTTTATTCGTTCCATATGAACTTTAAAGTAGTTTTTTCCAATTCTGTGAAGAAAGTCATTGGTAGCTTGATGGGGATGGCATTGAATCTATACATTACCTTGGACAGTATGGCCATTTTCACGATATTGATTCTTCCTACCCATGAGCATGGAATGTTCTTCCATTTGTTTGTATCCTCTTTTATTTCATTGAGCAGTGGTTTGTAGTTCTCCTTGAAGAGGTCCTTCACGTCCCTTGTAAGTTGGATTCCTAGGTATTTTATTCTCTTTGAAGCAATTGTGAATGGGAGTTCACTCATGATTTGGCTCTCTGTTTATCTGCTGTTGGTGTATAAGAATGCTTGTGATTTTTGCACATTGATTTTGTATCCTGAGACTTTGCTGAAGTTGCTTATCAGCTTAAGGAGATTTTGGGCTGAGACAGTGGGGTTTTCTAGATATACAATCATGTCATGTGCAAACAGGGACAATTTGACTTCCTCTTTTCCTAATTGAATTCCCTTTATTTTCTCCTCCTGCCTGATTGCCCTGGCCAGAACTTCCAACACTATGTTGAATAGGAGTGGTGAGAGAGGGCATCCCTGTCTTGTGCCAGCTTTCAAAGGGAATGCTTCCAGTTTTTGCCCATTCGGTATGATATTGGCTGTGAATTTGTCATAGATAGCTCTTATTATTTTGAGATACGTCCCATCAATACCTAATTTGTTGAGAGTTTTTAGCATGAAGGGTTGTTGAATTTTGTCAAAGGCCTTTTCTGCATCTATTGAGATAATCATGTGGTTTTTGTCATTGGTTCTGTTTATATGCTGGATTACGTTTATTGACTTGCATATGTTGAACCAGCCTTGCATCCCAGGGATGAAGCCCACTTGATCGTGGTGGATAAGCTTTTTGATGTGCTGCTGGATTCGGTTTGCCAGTATTTTATTGAGGATTTTTGCATCAATGTTCATCAAGGATATTGGTCTAAAATTCTCTTTTTTTGTTGTGTCTCTGCCCAGCTTTGGTATCAGGATGATGCTGGCTTCATAAAATGAGTTAGGGAGGATTCCCTCTTTTTCTATTGATTGGAATAGTTTCAGAAGAAATGGTACCAGCTCCTTCTTGTACCTCTGGTAGAATTCGGCTGTGAATCCGTCTGGTCCTGGACTTCTTTTGGTGGGTAAGCTGTTAATTATTGCCTCAATTTCAGAGCCTGTTATTGGTCTATTCAGAGATTCAACTTCTTCCTGGTTTAGTCTTGGGAGGATGTGTGTGTCGAGGAATTTATCCATTTCTTCTAGATTTTCTAGTTTATTTGCGTAGAGGTGTTTGTAGTATTCTCTGATGGTAGTTTGTATTTCTGTGGGTTCGGTGGTGATATCACCTTTATCATTTTTTATTGGGTCTATTTGATTCTTCTCTCTTTTCTTCTTTATTAGTCTTGCTAGCAGTCTATCAATTTTGTTGATCTTTTCAAAAAACCAGCTCCTGGATTCATTGATTTTTTTAAGGGTTTTTTGTGTCTCTGTTTCCTTGAGTTCTGCTCTGATCTTAGTTATTTCTTGCCTTCTGCTAGCTTTTGAATGTGTTTGCTCTTGCTTCTCTAGTTCTTTTAATTGTGATGTTAGGGTGTCAATTTTAGATCTTTCCTGCTTTCTCTTGTGGGCATTTAGTGCTATAAATTTCCCTCTACACACTGCTTTGAATGCGTCCCAGAGATTCTGGTATGTTGTTTCTTTGTTCTCGTTGGTTTCAAAGAACATCTTTATTTCTGGCTTCATTTCGTTATGTACCGAGTTGTCATTCAGGAACAGGTTGTTCAGTTTCCATGTAGTTGAGCGGTTTTGAGTGAGTTTCTTAATCCTGAGTTCTAGTTTGATTGCACTGTGGTCTGAGAGACAGTTTGTTATAATTTCTGTTCTTTTACATTTGCTGAGGAGTGCCTTACTTCCAACTACGTGGTCAATTTTGGAATAGGTGTGGTGTGGTGCTGAGAAGAATGTATATTCTGTTGATTTGGGGTGGAGAGTTCTGTAGATGTCTATTAGGTCTGCTTGGTGCAGAGCTGAGTTCAATTCCTGGATTTCCTTGTTCACTTTCTGTCTCGTTGATCTGTCTAATGTTGACAGTGAGGTGCTAAAGTCTGCCATTATTATTGTGTGGGAGTCTAAGTCTCTTTGTAGGTCTCTAAGGACTTGCTTTATGAATCTGGGTGCTCCTGTATTGGGTGCATATATATTTAGGATAGTTAGCTCTTCTTGTTGAATTGATCCCTTTACCATTATGTAATGGCCTTCTTTGTCTCTTTTGATCCTTGTTGGTTTAAAGTCTGTTTTATCAGAGACTAGGATTGCAACCCCTGCCTTTTTTTGTTTTCCATTTGCTTGGTATATCTTCCTCCATCCCTTTATTTTGAGCCTATGTGTGTTTCTGCACGTGAGATGTGTTTCCTGAATACGGTACACAGATGGGTCTTGACTCTTTATCCAATTTGCCAGTCTGTGTCTTTTAATTGGAGCATTTAGCCCATTTACATTTAATGTTAATATTGTTATGTGTGAATTTGATCCTGTCATTATGATGTTAGCTGGTTATTTTGCTCGTTAGTTGATGCAGTTTCTTCCTAGCCTTGATGGTCTTTGCAATTCGGCATGTTTTTGCAGTGGCTGGTACCGGTTGTTCCTTTCCATGTTTAGTGCTTCCTTCAGGAGCTCTTTTAGGGCAGGCCTGGTGGTGACAAAATCTCTCAGCATCTGCTTGTCTGTAAAGTATTTTATTTCTCCTTCACTTACGAAGCTTAGTTTGGCTGGATAGAAATTCTGGGTTGAAAATTCTTTTCTATAAGAATGTTGAATATTGGCCCCCAATCTCTTCTGGCTTGTAGAGTTTCTGCCGAGAGATCAGCTGTTAGTCTGATGGGCTTCCCTTTGTGGGTAACCAGACCTTTCTCTCTGGCTGCCCTTAACACTTTTTCCTTCATTTCAACTTTGGTGAATCTGACAATTATGTATCTTGGAGTTGCTGTTCTCGAGGAGTATCTTTGTGGTCTTCTCCTAGATAATATCCTGCAGAGTGTTTTCCAACTTGTTTCCATTCTCCCCATCACTTTCAGGTACACCAATCAGACGTAGACTTGTTCTTTTCACATAGTCCCATATTTCTTGGAGGTTTTGTTCGTTTCTTTTTATTCTTTTTTCTCTAAACTTCTCTTCTCGCTTAATTTCATTCATTTGATCTTCCGTCACTGATACCCTCTCTTGCAGTTGATCGAATCAGCTACTGAGGCTTGTGCATTCGTCACATAGTTCTCGTGCCATGGTTTTCAGCTCCATCATGTCCTTTAAGGACTTCTCTACATTGGTTATTCTAGTTAGCCATTCGTTTAATTTTTTTTCAAGGTTTTTGACTTCTTTGCCATGGGTTTGAACTTCCTCCTTTAGCTTGGAGTAGTTTGATTGTCTGAAGCCTTCTTCTCTCAACTCGTCAAAGTCATTCTCTGTCCAGCTTTGTTCTGTTGTTGCTGAGGAGCTGCGTTCCTTTGTAGGAGGAGAGGCGCTCTGATTTTTAGAATTTTCAGTTTTTCTGCTCTGTTTTTTCCCCATCTTTGTGGTTTTATCTACCTTTGGTCTTTGATGATGGTGACGTACAGATGGGGTTTTGGTGTGGATGTCCTTTCTGTTTGTTAGTTTTCCTTCTAATAGTCAGGACCCTCAGCTGTAGGTCTGTTGGAGTTTGTTGGAGGTCCACTCCAGACACTGTTTGCCTGGGTATCAGCAGTGGAGGCTGCAGAACAGTGGATCTTGGTGAACAGCAAATGTTGCTGCCTGATGGTTCCTCTGGAAGTTTTGTCTCAGAGGAGTACCCGGATGTGTAAGGTGTCAGTCTGCCCCTAGTGGGGGGTGCCTCCCAGTTAGGCTACTCAGGGGTCAGGGACCCACTTGAAGAGGCAGTCTATCCGTTCTCAGATCTCAATTTGCATGCTGGGAGAACCACTACTCTCTTCAAAGCTGTCAGACAGGGACATTTAAGTCTGCAGAGGTTTCTGCTGCCTTTTGTTTGGCTATGCCCTGCCCCCAGAGGTGGAGTCTACAGAGGCAGGCAGGCCTCCTTGAGCTGCAGTGGGCTCCACCCAGTTCGAGCTTCCTGGCCGCTTTGTTTACCTACTCAAGCCTCGGCAATGGCGGGCGCCCCTCCCCCAACCTCTCTGCCGCCTTGCAGTTTGATCTCAGACTGCTGTGATAGCAATGAGCGAGGCTCCGTGGGCATAGGACCCTCCGAGCCAGGCACGGAACACAATCTCCTGGTGTGCCATTTGCTAAGACCATTGGAAAAGCGCAGTATTAGGGTGGGAGTGACCCGATTTTCCAGGTGCCATCTGTCACCCCTTTCCTTGGCTAGGAAAGGGAATTCCCTGACCCCTTGTGCTTCCCGGGTGAGGCGATGCCTCGCCCTGCTTCGGCTCACACTCAGTGCACTGCACCCAGTGTCCTGCACCCACTGTCCAACACTCCCCAGTGAGATGAACCCGGTACCTCAGTTGGACATGCAGAAATCATTCGTCTTCTGCGTCGCTCACGCTGGGAGCTGTAGACTGGAGCTGTTCCTATTGGGCCATTTTGGCTCCACCCCCGTCTCCTGAATTTTTATCTGGAGGCATTTTCAAGTATATTTCACAGAGATGAGGAAACCTGGTGACAGAGGCCAGAGCAGTGGTTTGAAACAGCGTCTGATCTGAATGAGCATGCAGGCACTTGCCATCGTTCCTCTTCCTAGTTCAATCCAGAGAAAGGTGATAAAATTCAGCTCCCAGCTTCTTCCTCAAGGAAAAAGGAATTGAACCACATATCTGGTACCCCAACTTGCCTGGCTGCTTCTGAAAGGACTGGATTCTAGCTCTCTTGTCTTGTGGCACTGAAAATACTTCACATATTCTAGTTTCTTGGGAGTCATTAAGGAAAAATACTATAGTTTAAATGAGTACAAAGGTTTGAGAAATACCAAGAATCTCTGATGGGGCTTAATCAGGGTGAATTGGCTCAAATGACAGAAATATAATTCAGAATATGGATAGGAATGAAGATGATCAATATTCAGGGGAATAGCAAAACCCAACTCAGGGAAATGAACAATCACAATAAAATGGTGAGGAACTGAAGGATGAAATACCCAGTATAAAAAAGAACCTAAGTTATCTGATAGGACTGAAAAACACATTACAAACATTTCACAATGCAATCACAAATATTAACAGCAAAATAGATGAAGCTGAGGAAATCTCGGAACTTGATTGGCTCTCTAAAATAAGACAGTGAGACAAAATTAAAGCCAAAAGAATAAAAAGGAATGAATAAACCTTTGAGAAATATGCAATTACGTAAAGAAGCCAAATCTATGAGTCATTGGTATTCCTGAATGGGACTGAGAGAAAGCAAACAACTTAGAACATGTATTTCAGGATATTGTCCGTGAAAACTTCCCTAACCTTTCTAGAGACACTGACAGTCAAATTCAGGAAATACAGAGAACCCCTGCAAGATTCTGCACAAGAAGTTTATCCCCAAGACACATAATCATGAGATTTTTGAAGGATGAAATAAAAGAATGTTAAAGGAAACCAGAGAGAAAGGGAAGGTCATCTATGAAGGGAACCCCATCAGATTAACAGTGGACTTTTCAGCATAAACCCTCCAAGCCAGAAGAGACTGGAGGCTTATATAGAACATTCTTAAAAAAAAGTTCAATGAAGAACTTCATATTCATCTAAACTAGACATCTTAAGTAAAGGAAAAATAAGATCCTTTTCACATAAGCAAATGATGACAGAGTTTGTTACCAGCAGAACTACTTTACAAAAGATCTTGAAAGGAGCACTAAATATGGAAAGAAAAAACCATTACTAGCCACTAAAAAAATACACTTAAGTACACAGATGAGTGACATTATAAAGCAACCACATAAACAAGCCATCATAATAACCAGCTAACAACAAAATGATAGGATTGAATCCACACATATCAATACTAACCTGAATGTAAGGCTAAGTTCCCCATTTAAAAGACACAGAGTGAAAACCTGAATAAAAAAGCAAGACTCAATGTTATGCTGTCTTTAAGAGATCCATCTCATATGCAGTGACACCCGTAGACTCAAATTAAAGAGATGGAGGAAAATTTAACAAGCAAATGGAAAACAGAAAAAAGCAGGGGTTGCAATACTAATTCAGACAAAACAGACTCTACACCAACAAGAATGAAAAAAGAAAAAGAAGGGCATGACATAATGGTAAAGGATGCAATTCAACAAGAAGACCTAACTATCCTAAATGTATATGCACTCAACACAGTAGCACCCAGGTTCATAAAGCAAGTTCTTAGAGACCTACAAAGAGACTCAGGCTCCCACATAATATTACTGGGAGACTTCAACACTCCACTGATAGTACTAGATAGATCATCGAGGCAGAAAACTATCAAAGATATTTAGGACATTAACTCAACTCTAGACCAAATGGATCTGATAGACTGCTACAGAACTCTACACCCAAAACAACGGAACATACATTTTTCTCATCACCACATAGCACATACTCCAAAATTAACCGCACAAGTGGATATTAAATAATCCTCAATAAATGCAAAAGAACTGAAAACATACCAAACACACTCTTGTACCACAGCACAATAAAAATAGAAATCAAGGCTGGGCGCAGTGGCTCATACTTACAATCCCAGCACATTGGGAGGCTGATGCTGGAGGATTGCTTGAGCTCAGAAGTTTGAGACCAGCCTGGGCAACATGGCAAAAAGCCATCTCTACAAAAAATACACACACACACACACACACACACACACACACACACACACACAAAATAGCTGGGCATGGTGGCATGTGCCTGTAGTCTCAGCTACTCTGGAAGCTGAGGTGGGAGGATTGCTTGAACCTAGGAGGCCAAAGTTGCCCTGAGCCAGATTCGCACCACTGCACTCCAGCCTGGGTGATAGAGTGAGACCCTGTCTAAAAAAAAACAAAAAAACAAAACAAAACAAAAAACCCCAGAAACCACAAATAAAAAATTGCTCAAAACCATGCAATTACATGGAAATTAAACAACCTGCTTCTCAATGACTTCTTGGTAAATGATGGAATTAAAGCAGAATCAAGAATTTGTTTGAAACTAATGAAAACAAAGATACAACATACCAGAATCTCTGGCACACAGTCAAAACAGTGTTAAGGGGAAAATGTTTAGCACTGGGCCCCCACATCAAAAAGTTAGGTCTCCAACAACCTGACATCATAGCTGAAAGAACTAGAGAAGCAAGAGCAAACCAACCCCAAAGCTAGCAGAAGACAAGAAATAACCAAAATCAGAGCTGAACTGAAGGAGATCCAGACAAGAAAACAAAATTCAAAAGTTTAGCAAACTCCTAAGCTGTTTTTCTGAAAAATTAATAAGATAGGTAAAACCGTAGGTAGCCTAGTAAAAAGGAAAAGAGAGAAGACCCAAATAAACACAATATGAAACAACAAAAGGGATATTACCACTGACACCACAAAAATACAAACAACTACGAGAGACTATTGTGAACACCTCCATGCATACAAACTAAAAATCCTAGAAGAGATGAATGAATTCCTGGACATATACACCCTCCCAAGACTGAACCAGGAAGAAATTGATTCCCTGAACAGACCAATAACGAGCTCCAAAATTAAATCAGTAATAAACAGCCTGCCAACCAATAAAAACCCAGAAACAGACAGATTAACAGCCAAATTCTATCAGATGTACAAAGACAAGTTGGTATTATTGCTACTGAAACTACTCCAAAAAACGAAAACAAAAACAAACCAAACCAAAACAAAAAAACCTGAGGAGGAGGGATTCCTCCCCAACTCATTCTATTAGGCCAGCATCATCCTAATACCATAAACTGGCAGGGACACAACAACAGCAAAAAACACAGCCATATTATCCTTAGCAAACTAACACAGGAACAGAAAACCAAATATCGCATGTTCTCCCTTATAAGTGAAAGGTAAATGATGAGATTACAAGGACACAAACACAGGAGCAACAGATACTGTGAAAAGAGGGAGAGGAGCAGAAACAATAACTCTTGGGTACTAGGCTTAGTACCTGATGGACAAAATAATCTGTACAACAAACCTCCATGACATGAATTTGCCTATATAACAAACCTGCACCTAAGTACCCCTGAACCTAAAAGTTTTAAAATAATAATAATTTTTTATTTTTAATTTTTATTTGAGAATTAATTTTAAGACAAAAATGACATCTTCCTTTTGGTTTTTAACTTGTTGAAGTAAAATACACAACAATAATAGCACAAAGTATGAGAGTGGGAAAATAGAAATACACTATTTTAGGTTCTCATATTATATGTGAACTTATCTGAGATTATTTGAACAGATAATGTAATAGCTTACAATAGGTTAAGTCTCAAGCAGCTAATTAAAAAGAAAAATAATAAACCAAGTAGGTATGGTCTATAAGCCAAAAAAAAATTGCCAAATTAATGATAAACATTATACATAGTAAAAAAAAAAAACAGAAAACCATTTTGGAAAAATATGATAGATACCACTAGAAATCTCATTATGTCTATGACACACAAAGTTTATAAAATAAATACTTGTCACACATAAAAATATTTTTTTCTAATTTTCTTTACTGATTTGCAAAGTATGAATCAGCGTCCTGTATACATATCATACATATATCTTGAAGAACTTCTAGATTACATGTTTTATTTATCACTGAAAACCCATGGTACAAGAGAAAAAAATTAAAATTCTCATTTAATCAATGATTCTTTTGTAACCAATATTAAGACAAGAATATTTTCATTAAGAGTATCTGTGATGGAGCTAGTGCTAGTTTGTTATGACAGTAAAGTAGCACTTGAAAATAATTTCACAAACTGCTTTAATCACATAAATCCCTTATACCTCCTGAAGTTGATCCGGTGAAAATTATGAAACTAATCAAATAGTGGCCAATGAATGGATTTTTTTGGTATGGTTTCTATAGAAATGGTAAAAATCATCTTTCACATAGTGATGTATGCTTGCTTTTAGGGAAAAAAATATGTACATAAGAGTTTTTGAAGGGAAAGATGAAATAAAATACTGTCTTCACACCAGAATAGTGGCACATTCAGTGTCTTGAACAGCCCCAAACCAATGATTTTATGGACAAAATGGAATTAATTTATAATACTGTCGATAATGTATCAAAATATCTTAAAAAGAAATGGCTTGCAAAAAGATTACCAACAGCTTGGCTCTTTCTCCAAATCTAAACATCTTCCTCACTCACTGCAGAAGGAAACTGATAGCATATCATTAGGCATAGTTAAAACCGACATTTAAATGCTGTAACAGAACATGTTGAATATTTTTCAGAGCCAAATAAAACCAGAAACTGGAATTGGAATCTATTCTCTGACATCTAAGTTGAAATATCCAACCTTCCAGCTGTTGAGTGTAATGTGCTTGTCAAGTTCACATCTAACGGTGCACTGATAATAGTTTTTATTCAGACATCTCTATATTATTCCTCAGTCTTCATTTCATCTTAATATTGAAGTGCATCCAAGAGAGCCATCAAATACTTGCTGCCATTTGCCAACACTCTATAATCGTGAATTCATGTTTTCTAATTTTAAATCAATAAAGACTAAGAAACTGACCATCTAGCTGTCTATCCATAAGTCAGATACAGATTTTTGGGTGAAAGACTCACATCTACAGATAAAAGACATTAAATGAGAGTTATTTATTTTGTTAATGGGGACATAAATGATCAAAATTGATTTGTTCAATATCATTATGCATGCTGTGTGTCAAAGGGACAAGAGGGTGGCAAGAATGTATGATCAGGTTGGATACTGTTTTCAGTGCTTTATGAAAATGATGCAGCAGAGATCGAGTTAAATAGGTAGAGTCAAGGCAAAGGTAGTAAACCTATGGTACATGGTGAGGATAAAGTGAAAGAGAAGAATCAAATTAAGTCTCATGTTTTTGCTTTTGTAGGTAGTTTTACCTTTTACTGTAACTGGGAGCACAGGAGAAAAAGCAAGTTTCTGGTGACAGAAAAACTTTCTATTTTAACACATTGAGTCTGAGGGCTGTAAAAACAATGGGAAAATGCCCATTAGAAAGTTGTTTATATGAACCTGCTGTCCAGGAGAAAGATTTAGATTGGAGAATAAGATTATGAAGTCATGAGATTATCTATGATAATTAAAACCATAGGTTTGATAACATCATTCATGAAGCATGTGACTGAAGTAAGTATAAGGCAGATATCTGAGGGACAACACATTTAGGGTTAAGGTAGAGGAGATATATCAAGAGAGTATAATGTCAAAGAAGTCAAGTGAAGAGTCTTTCAAGAAGGAAGGGGTACAGAATCAACTGAGGTGTTAGGTCATTCTTGCATTGTTATAAAGGAGTACATGAGATGGGGTAATTCATTTTTAAAAAGAGATTTATTGGGCTCGTTGTTCTGCAGGCTGTATGAACATGGTTACAACATCTGCTTGGCTTCTGTGGAGGCCTCAGGGAGCTTTTACTCGTAGCGGAATTTGAAGCAGGAACAGGAAGGTCACATGGCAGGAACAGGAGCAAGAGAGAGAGGGAAGGTGCCACACACTATTAAGCACCCAGATCTCATGAGAACTCACTCAGTATTGCAAAGACAGCACCAAGGGAATGGTGCTAAGCCTTTCATAAGAAATCTGCCCCCATGATCCCATCACCTCCTACCAGGCCCCACCTCTAACTTTGGGGATTAAAATTCAACATGCGATTTAGAGGGGACAACATCCAAACTATATAAACTGAATAGTGTTAGAGAGCAATGAGGTGATATGAGGACTAAGAGCATCTGTTAGAATAAAATAGGGTTCATCTATGTTGATTTTGAGCAGTAGCTTTATAGTCATCGAAGTGGATTATAGTCTAGATTTGGTTGAGAAATGAATGGCCAGTGTATTGAAATGTAGACAGCTTTTTAGTGGAGAATTTTTTTCCTAAGAAGGACTGCATTAGGATTGACTGAGGTAGTGAGATCAAGAGGAAATTTTAAAAAAATTAACATGTACCTGCGGATGAGAACAGTTCAGTAGAAAAAGACAGATAGTAATACAAGAATGATGAAAAGGTGGGAGAGTGTGGAATCCCAAGCACAATTTGAATGATATTATTTGGATGGGAGGAGGCATGCCTCTTCCATTCTAACTGGAGGGAATGAAAAAATAAAAGGTATGGACATCTCTAGATTTTCAGATGGTGAACTCATCTGCTCAGAGTCATATGTGATAGACAGACATGTTTTTCAACTTCTATTTTAGATACAGCTGGTAAGTGTACAGGTTGTTTGAGTTAGCATATTGTATGATGCTCAGGTTTGGATTATAGATCCTGTCACCCTGGTAGTGAACATAGTATGGAAGAGGTAGTTTTTAAAATCTTATTCCCCTCCATACCTCCACCCTCTAGTAGTCCATAGTATCTTTTGTTCCCATGTTTATGTTCATAAGTGCTCAAAGTTTGCCTACCGCTTATAAGTGACAACATGTGGTATTTGGTTTCCTGTTGCTGCGTTAATTCACTTAGGATTATGGCCTCCAGGTATATCCATGTTGCTGCAAAGGGCATGGTTTCATTCTTTATATGGCTGTGTAGTATTCCATGGTGTATATGTACTGCATGTGGTTAACCAGTTATCACAGCACCATTTATTGAATAGAAAGTCTTTTTCCCATTTATTATTTTTGTTGATTTTGTCAAACATCAGGTGATTGTAGGTGCATGGCGTCATTTCTGATTTTTCTTTTCTGTTCTATCGCTCTGTATGTCTATTTTTGTATGTCTACTATGCTGTTTTGATTACAATATAGAGTACAGTTTGAGGTCAGGTAGTGTGATGCCTCCATCTTTGTTCTTTCTGCTTAGGATCACTTTCACTATTCAGACTCTTTTTTTGTTCTTGTTCTACTAGTGAATTTTACACTATTTTTAATCTAATTCTATGAAGAATGATGCTGGTAGTTTGGCAGGCATAATGTTAAATTTGTAAATTGCTTTGGGCAGTATAACCATTTTAATGATATTGATTCTTCCAATCCGTGAGCTTGGAATGTGTTTCCATTTATTTTTGTCATCTCTGATTTCTTTCAGCAGTATTTTGTAGTTCTCCTTGTAAAACTCTTTCAACTCCTTGGTTAGCTGTAGTCCTAGGTATTTCAATTTTTTTGTGGCTATTGTAAAGGTGATTGTGCTCTAGATCTGGCTTTCAGTCTGGACATTAATCATCGAAAGAAATGCTACTAATTTTGGTACATTGATTTCATGTCCTAAAACTTTACTAAAATCATTTATTTGTTTTAAGAACCTCCTGGCAGAGTCTTAAGCATTTTCTAGGTATAGAATAATATCAGTGAAAAGAGATACTTTGACTTTTTTTTTTCTATTTAGATGCCTTTTATGTCTTTCTCTTGCCTGATTGCTCTGGCCAGGACTTCCAGTACTATGTTGAATAGGAGTAGTGAGAGTGGGCATCCTTGTCTTGTTCTATATCTCAAGTGGAATGCTTCCAGCTTTTGTCCATTTAATATGATGTTGGCTGTGGGTTTGTCATAGATGGTTCTTAATATTTCAAAGTATATTCCTTTCATGCCTAGTTTGTTGAGTTTTTTTTTTTTAATCATGATGGGATGTTGGATTTTATCAAAAGCTTCTTCTACATCTATCGAGATGGTCATATCATTTTTGCTTTTAATTCTATTCATTTGGTTAATCATATACATTGATTTGCATATGTTTTAGGTAACCTTTCATCCCAGGAATAAAGGTGACTTGATCATGGTGAACTAACTTTTTGATGTGCTGCTGGAATCACTTTTCTACTATTTTTGTTGAGAATTTTTGGGTCTATTTTCATCAGGGACATTGGTCTGAAATTTTCTTTTTTCATTGTCTTTGACAGATTTTGGTATCAAACTGATGCTGCCTTCACAGAATCAGTCGGAGGAGCACCTCATCCTCGATTTTTTGGAATAATTTAAGTAGAATTTGTACCAGTTCTTCTTTATATGTCTAGTAGAATTCAACTTTAAATCCAAACAACAAAACAAAAATTTTTTTGGTAGATATTTTTATTGCTGATTCAATTTCAGAGCAAGGTATTAGTTTATTCAGGGTTTCAATCTCTTCCTGATTCAATCTTGGGAGATTATGTGTTTCCAGAAATTTATTCATTTCCTCTAGATTTTCTAAAATGTATGCATAGAGTTGTTTAAAGTAGTCTCTGAGGATCTTTCATATTTCTGTGGGATAAATTGTAACATCATCTTTGTCGTTTCTGATTGTATTTATATGGATCTTCTCTTTTTTCTATGTTAATCTTGCTAGCGGTCTATCAATCTTGTTTATTGTTTCCAAAAAACAAACCTTTGGTTTTATTGATCCGTTTTTGGATATTTGCATCTCAACTTTATTCAGTTTTCTAACTTCAGTTATTTGTCTTCTGCTACTTTGGGGTTGGTGTGTTCTTTTGTTTCTAGTTGCTTTAGGTGCAAAGTTAGATTATTAATTTGAGATCTTTCTAATTTCTCAATAAAGGAATTTTAGGGCTGATGTTCCTCTTACCATTGTTTTAGTTGCATCCCAGAGATTTTCGTAAGTTGTTTCCCTATTTTCATTAATTTCAAATAATTTTTCAATTCCTGCCTTAATTTCCATGTTCACTCAGGAGTTATTCAGGGGTAAAGTGTTTAATTTCCATGTATTTGTGTAATTTTGGGAGATCTTCTTTATATTGATTTCTGTTTTTATTGCACTGTGGTCTGAGTCTGTCTTTGGTATGATTTCAATTTTTTGAAACTATTGACACTTGCTTTATGACTAAGCATATAGTTGACCTTAGAATATGTCTTATGTACGGATGAGAAGAATCTGTATTCTGTGGTTGTTGGTTGGAGTGTTCTGTTTATATCCATTAGGTACAGTTTGTCAAAGGTCAAGTTTAAATCTAGAGTTTCTTTGTTAGTTTTCTTCCTCAGTTAACTGTCCAGTGCTGTCAGTGTGATGTTAAAATCTGCCACTATTATTCTGTGGTTGAGTCTTTTTGCCTGCGAAGAAAAACTTGTTTTATGAGTCTGAGCACTCCAATGTTAGGTATGTATAGACTTACGATAGTTAAGACTTCTTGTTTGATTTTACTCTTTATCATTATTTAATTCCTTTTTTTTTGCCCTTCTTAATTTTTATTGCTTTAAAGTCTGTTTTGTCTTATATAATATTAGTAACTACTGCTCTATTTTGTTTTCTGTTTGCATGCTAGATCTTTCTCCATCCATTTACTTTGAGCCTGTGGGTGTGGTTGTATGTAAGATGGGTCTCTTAAAGACAGAAGAAGTTTGGTTCTTGTCTTTTTTATTCAGCTAATCATTCTGTGTCTTTTAAAAGGGGCATTTATCGTCTTTAAGTTTAGAGTTAGTACTGATATGAGAGATTTTAATCCTATAACTGTGTTTTTGGCTGATTGTTATGTAGATTTGACTGCATAGTTTCTTTATAGTGCCTGTAGGCTGTGTGCTTAAATGTGTTTGCCTGGTAGCAGGTCTCATTCTTTCAATTCATTGTTTAGCACTCCCGTAAGGAACTCTTGTAAGGCTAGTCGATTTGAAACAAATTCTCTAAACCCTCCAATACTGTTGGTGTCATGTGAATTATTACAACCACTATAAAGAACAGTTTGGAGGTTCCTAAGCAAACTAAAAATAGAGCTATTATATGACCCAGCAATCCCACTCCTAGATATGTACCAAAAGAAAGGAAATTAGTATATCAAAGACATATCTGCACTCCCATGTATATTGCAGCACTATTCACTATAGCCAATATTTGGAAACAACCTAAATTTCCACCAACAGATAAATGGATAAAGAAAATGTACATATACACAATGGAGTACTACTCAGCCATAAAAAAGAATGAAGTCCTGTCATTTGCAAAAACATGGATGGAACTGGAAGTCATTATGTTAAGTGAAATAACCTAGGCACAGAAAGACAAACTTTACATGTTCTCATTTATTTGTGATGAAGCAGAAGATATAAAAAGAAAAACAAGTTTTCCTGTACTAGGCTGACTCCCTCCAAGACCCAGGGAGGGGCAGGGATCTGTCAAGGCTTTGATAGCATTATCTGCAGAGCTGGGGCACAGAAGGGATGGGCTTCAGAGTCTCTCCCTCCCATCCTGGAGCAAGGTTGGGAAAAACAAGTTTTTCTCTTTCAGCTTCCCCCTTACCTGCTTACTGTTCGCACAATTATCTTTGCAAGTTTTGTAAGTTCCTGTTTTTCCCTTCTGTGCAGCACAGTGAAGGTCACAAGATATGCCTGAGTTGCAACACCTGGCTTGAGTTGTAAAACCTGTCACTGATAAACTGCCTTTGTTCTGCTTCTGTAAGCTTGGTTACCTGCCTTACAGGTTTCATGCCATTTTCAGATGTATGTATAAAAGTCAAGCCCTGTCTTTGTTTGGGGCTCAGCCTTTGGATGTTAATCTGCTGGGCTGATGGCCACCTAAATAAAATCCTCCTGTTCCACCCGTTGGTCTCTCCCATCCCTTAATTCCCACAACATTTCGAGCTAAAATTTTAAACAATTGAATTCATGGAGATGGAGAGTAGAAGGATGGTTATCAGAGGCTGGGCCGGGTAGCAGAGGGTGGGAAGAAATGAGGATGATTAATGGGTATAAGAAATAGAAAGAATGAATAAGGTCTAGTATTTGACAGCACAAGAGGATGACTGTTGTCAAAAATAATTTAATTGCACATTTAAAAATAGCTAAAAGTGTATAATTGGATTGCATTTTAAAACACAAATGCTAGAGGTGATGGGCGATCCATTTACGCTGATCTGATTATTACACATTTCATGCCTGTATAAAAAATCTCATACCACAAATATATACACCTACCGTGAACACACTTTTTTTTTTTTTTTTTTTTTTTTTTACAAAAGAAACAAATTTCCTTAACTTTTTCTTGTCTGAGAAGATTTTAATTTCTTTTTCACTTATAAAGCTTAGTTTGGTGAGATATAAAATTTTTGCTTGTAATTTCTTTTATTTAAGTACACTGAAAATAGGCCCCCAAACTCTTCTGGCTTATAAAGTTTCTGCTGAGAGGTCTGCTGCTGATGAGGTTCCCTCTGTATAACCCTTGACCGTTCTTTGTAGCTACTTTTAAGATTGTTTCTTCTGCATTAACCTTGGTTAAACTGATGACTATATATCTTAGGAATGTTCACCTTGTATAGTATAAAGCTGGTGGACTCTGTATTTTTTGAATTTGCATGTCAACCTCTTAGTGAGAATTTTCCTGCACTATATACCCAAATATATTTTCCAAATTACTTATTCTCTCTCCTCTCACAGGAATGCCAATTAGTTGTAGATTTGGTCACTTTACATAATTCCATGTTTCTCAGAGGTTTTAATCACTTTTAATGCTTTTTTATATTTGTCTGAGTTGCTTAAAAAAACTCTTCTTCAAACTGTGAGATTTCTTCCTCAGCTTGCTATATTTTGCTGTTAGTACTTCTGCTTGTATTATCAAACTCTTACAATGTCAACCATATCAGAGCAGTTTGAATCTTTCTTATAATGGCTATTTTGTCTTCCAGCCCTTGGATCCTTGTACTGGATTCCTTGAATTGAGTTTCAATATTCTCCTCAATCTCCATGAGTTTTCTTGCCATCCAGAGTCTGAATTCTCTGTCTGCCATTTCAGTCATTTCTGACTGGTTAAGAACCATTGCTGGGGATCTGGTGGACTTATTTGGAAGTTAAGAGAACACTCGTGGTTTTTAAATTGCCAGAGTTCTTACATTGATTCTTTCTCATGTGGAAAGGTTGGTGTTCTTTTTACTGTATTTTGAGTATAGTTAGTTGGCTTCATTTCTGGATTTTTTAGAGGGCCTAAGCTCTGTGCAGGGTCTTTATTTATGGCTTCATTCTTGCCTTTGGTTTTACAAGGGACATATTAGCAAAATATTTTTGACCTTGTAGTTTGGGCTCTGATCCAGTAGATAGTGCTTAAGAGTAATGCATGGTAGATAAACTCTTACTCAGCCATGTGGCTCCATTGTATTTCCTTGTGTTTACAGCCATGCTTTGCAGTGCAGGGGACAGAGAGGTGACCTTCTCACTTAGTCCTCTCCTGGGCCTTGGGGGAGACCCCTCCAATCATTGGCACTGTGCCCACCTCTCTTTTGTGAGGTGTTCCAGAACTCTGGGATCCCTGGGAAGAAGCTGCAGAAGGGAAATAGGCCACAACCTTTCTGGGCTAACCCTGTGGAGGGATACATGGCTTGCTCCTGCTCTAGCCCATAAATTCATGCAACTCACCCCTCTCAATGCTCTGAGAGTATGGGCTCCTCTTCCTCTTGAGTGCTGTTCACTGGTCTCTGCTTGGCATTCCTGAGCTGTGAGTCACAGCCCTGGGGTACTGAGATCAGCTAGTGGCTCCATCCTCTCAACCCTCACAGTTAGGTTCTGGGTATGCTGAGAGATCTGAAATTCTCCCAGGCCACCAGGAATGTAATCAAGTGGAGAAGCACCCAGGCTTGGTAGCAGAGATTGTGCTGTGCACATGCTCCTGCAGGGTAGCTATAGAGGGGTCCTTTGAGAGGTTGTTGGGCAGGATAGGCTGCAGAACAGACATGCCACAGTTTTGTGGGGAAGTAGGCCTCATTTTCTTCTGGCCTGTTGGTCAGCTGGGGCTAGAGCGTTTCAGAGCGAGTTGGGGAACCCTAGGTGGTTGGCGTCTATAGCCATGCTTCCCCAGAGCTGTATAATACTTTAATTTTATGCTGATTGAAGCTCCATGTCTTTCTACTCTCTGGGCTGATCCCCGTCAGCTCAAATGTCTATGGAGTATGTGGGACCCCTGTAGCCAGGATCCCTGTGGTCCACAGTGAGGGTGAACAATCATATACTCCCTTTACTTGCCAGTTTCCCAGGAGGCATTTTGGGTCAGGAACTAGCCCCAGTGTTTGGGTACCCCACGTAGTGTTTCCAGCCTACTCCATCGTCAGCTTCAGCATCTACATCATGTCTCTACCCACTCATGGCATTTTCCCTCCAAATATCTGTCTAAATTTTGTTGTTTTACTCAAAACCTTGGTAGTCTCAGTAGGAGTGGCACTTCTGGCTGTATCTAGTTGGCCGTCTTGTCTTGTGTCTGACAGATTTTTGATGTAGGAAGTTTCAGGAAAGTGGGGAAGATTTGTGATAGTCATTGTAGAGAAGTAGAGAAGCAAGCAGATTAGAGAACCTTAGTAGGATGGCTACTTAGTATTTGGGCTTCAGTTAAGGCTGGCAATGATTATTTTTAGTGGTATCAACAGCCAAGTGTTGTTACTTTTTCCAATGTTGTTGCAAGAGTAGAGGAGGTGAAATGTACGTTTATCCACGGTTAGGATATTACCAGATGTATGTGAAAGTGGGGAGATTAAAATAAAATAGTAGTTGAAGTGATGAGCCATATCAACTCTATAAGATAAGGACAGAGCTAAAAATTAAGAAGGAATTTGAGGGAGGACTAAGAATTTGAAGTTCCTGTAAGTTCAAAAAACAATAGTAGAAATAACAAATAAATGAATATACTAGAGTTTTCAAAAACTGGAATGATTTGGAGGAGAAATACTTTTGAGTGATGGTCCTCGTGTGTGATTGCACAAGTCAGTTGAAGTAGCCTATAGAAGAGATGAATTGGATGTCAAGAAAATGAGAGACAGGAATGTTGAACAGCTGATGTGTATGTACATAAAAGTTACATGGGATAACAGCAAAGCTTGGAATAACTAGAAGTCTGTACACCAGGTGCCTTTGCCTTGAATGAATAATTGGAAGAGGAAAGCTTGTGATGGGGAGATGTGTGAATACAATAAGAAGTGGGAGAAGATGGCTTGGTTAGAAGACATGAAGCTCACAAATAGAAAGATGTATTTTTAAAAATAAAATATGGATTAATAATATTTGGAAAGCAATTTTGTGAAGCTAGTAGAATATCAATCTCAATTCTAAAATCTGAATGGTGGAGGACTGTGGGTGTATGAAGAGCTTCCTTTTGAGATGAAAGACAGTGCTTCTAACAGAACTGGATTTACATTGGGACAGAAATTTATGTTTAGTGAGTGGGACATTTGAATTAATGACTTTAGAAATGAAGCATATTTAGGTGATGACAATATTCAGCTTATGCCCTTAACAGTGGATGGCAAAAGGAAGGAATTTTTATATAAAACTAGGAGTTGAAGGAACTTAGAAACTAAGATGTTGAGTAGATTCCTGACACAAGAGAGTTCTTTTCCAGGATGTTAAAAAAATTCAGAGTAGAGAGGAATAGATTGAACCAGTCTGTAGATGACAGTGACAAGGTGGCAGAATAGGAGGCACACAGATGGACATAATTGAACCAGTCTGTAGATGACAGTGACAAGGTGGCAGAATAGGAGGCACACAGATGGACATAATAAGTCTCAAAGGAGCAAAAAAAATTTATATTATTATGGTAAGAAGAAAGGCCTTATTACACTCATAGGAAAGAAGAATGATGGATATCCCTTCCTACTCTGAAATAGATGAAGAGCCTCCACTTGAAAAGGGATATTACAACTCAAAAGGACACATATGCTTTAGTTAAGGCAGCTTGTGGAGAAAAGTGTTATTAATAATTTTGTATAAGTAACAGAGGGCATGGGGAAGGATTTGTAATGAATAGCTCTTATCTTTGAAATCCAGAACTATACATCTAAATATCTGGCTACCATCCTCACTTGGTTGTATGAAAAACAAATTGAGGTAAATGCATCAAATATTTAATGAATGATCTTCTCTCCATACTTCCACTCCATCCCCAAATTCTATTTTTCTTGTACAGTGTTGTGTGTCTGTCATCATCTTTCATCTGAACTTCTGCCTTCTGATTTACCCTTATTTACATTACTCTCCCCACAATATTTCTTCACGTTGTAGTAGTGTGCTAATTATCAAAACTCAAATGTCTTGCTACTGCTCTGAGAAGCCAAAATTTAAAAATTATTATACAAAAGCCTGTATTTTCCAGCCCCTCACTATTTCCAAGGCTTCATTTAGTAATGTGCTTGGCTCCCTCTGCATCTTAGCCAAACTGGTCTTGTTTCGGTCTGTCAAATGTCATATTCCTCCTACTTTAAGTTTGCTCTTACCTGCAGTTTTATTCTTTCACAATGTTAGCCTCTTCCCTTATGCAACTTTTTGCCCTGTTATTTAGGATAGATCCTTTAAATCTCAGCTTAAGCATCAAGGACTGATTCACTAAGGCTACTTTGACAACATTTCTTAAACATGAAGGGGAAAACAATAAAGCTTCTTGGAGAACATAGGAGAATATCTTCATAGTTTTCATTCAAGAAAGAGGAAGCATTGCAGATCCTTGGGGGGATTATTTTCAATTAGTAGAGCTGGAATAACTATGTATCTCTTGGGGAAAATCAAATAGGATACTTGCCTCACAATATACACATAAGAACATTCCAGGTATAAACAAATATATATGTATTTCATTTTAAGAGCATAGATGAAGACTTTCAAGAGGCTAGGGTAGTCAAACATTTCTGAAACAGAACAATAAAAGACAAGACTAACGAAATTTTAGCTCAACATCACCGATCATTAGAGAAATGTAAATCAAAACCACAGTGATATGAACAGACACTTCTCAAAAGAAGACATTTATGCGGCCGACAAACACAGGGAAAAAAGCTCATCATTACTGAACATTAGATAAATGCAAATAAAAACGACTATAAGGTACCATCTCATGCTAGTCAGAATGGCTATTATTAAAAAGTCAAGAAACAATAGATGCTGATGAAGCTGTGGAGAAGTAGGAACCCTTTCACACTGTTGGTGGGAATGTAAATTAGTTCAATCGTTGTGGAAGACAGTGTGGCAATTCCTCAAGGACCTAGAACCAGAAATACAATTTGACCCAGCAATCCCATTACTGGATATATACCCAAAGGATTATAAATTATTCTACTATAAGGACACATGCACACATATGTTTATTGCAGCAGTATTTACAATAGCAATCACATGGTACCAATCCAAATGCTCAACAATGATAGACTGGATAAAGAAAACGTGTACATATACACCATGGAATACTATGCAGCCATAAAAAAGAATGAGATCATGTCCTTTGCAAGGACGTGGATAAAGCTGGAAGCCATCATCCTCGGCAAACTAACACAGGAACAGAAAACCAAACACCACATGTTCTCAATTGTGGGAGCCAAACAATGAGAACGCTGGGATACAGGGAAAGGAACAACACCCACCAGGGTGGGTGGAGGGCAAGGGGAGGGAGAGCATTAGGACAAAGACCTAATGCATGCGGGGCTTAAAACCTATATGATGGGTTGATAGGTGCAGCAAACCACCATGGCATATGTATAGCTATGTAACAAACCTGTGTGTTCTGTACATACATCCTGGAGCTTAAAGTAAAATTTTTTAAAAAAGTAAAAATAACAAGAGTTGGGAGAGATGTAGAGTAACTGGAAATCTTATACATTGCTGATAAGAATGCAAAATCTAGAGCCATATTAGAAAATAGTTTGGCAGTAAACGTACATCTACTCAATGAGCCTGCAATCATATTCTGAATATATGCCCAAGAAAAATGATTGCATGGTTTCCCAAAGGATATGTACAAGTATATTCATGGTGGCTTAATTTATTATAGCTATAAACTGAAAATAATCCAAATGTGCAACAACAGTAGAATGTATAAATAGTTTAACATTCATATAATGAAAAGCTATGATAAAAATAATGGGTTACTGCTACATACAAAAACATGGATGTGACACAAACATAAAATCCAAACATAAAAACCAGACACAAAAGAATAAATATTGTATAACAGTTATACAAGCAAATGCTAGTCTGTCATGATAAAACAAGGAAAACTAATATATGGTGATAATTACAATAGTGGTGGCCTTGCATGAAGGAGAATGAGATGGTATTGACTAAGAAGGGACATGAAGACACCTTCTAGGATGCTAGAAATATTTTATCTCTTGCTCTTCTTGGTGGTTACATGGGTGTATAAATACAAGAAAATTAAGGTATACGTTAAGATTTCTGGATTTTACTGTTTACATGTTATATCTCAATAAAAATGTTAGAAAATACTCTCAAGAGCTTGTATTGGTGCATTATTAGAATTCTTGTAGAATGTAAGATTCATAAACCTAGGAATCTTGTCAATCTTATTCAGAAATGAATGAATCAATGTGAAAATAATTTGAAGGCACAATCAAGAGAAAAGCAGCCCAGGATATAAAGTTGAGAGAATTTGACAAGATATGGTCCTTGTACTGTTTGCAAATTTCAGATTATAACAGAATTCATTTCATAAATTCCTATGCCCTATCCCAAAAAATTTTGATTTCATGTATCTGAGAGTATGGCCCAAGAATATGAGGTTTTAACAAATGCCCAAATGACTCTGATGTAGATAGTCTTAGATTTGCATATTGAGAACATTTTTTAAAAATTATATTGTGAGAAGAGTCTAAAATTATGGAGGAAAAACTGCACTTAATAGGGACAGTCAAGCTTTGAGATAGAGTTGAGCACCCCTTTCACTCAGATCTTCAGCGATGCCCTCTAACGTGAACCTCACAGATAACTACTGATTGTGAAGAGATTTGGTGGCTACAGTTAATACTAGCAGAAGGGCAAGCACAAATAGCTGGGGTCATCACACAAAATATGGGCTATAGGAAGTGTTTATTAAGAAGAATAAATAGATTGATTGGATTGGAACAGGTGTTATGGAAACAGGTGTTATTGGAACAGGTGTTTGGTGGCTGATTCCACCAAATCATTGCATTACCAAAGCATGCTTTCTTCCTACTTCAATTCTATTTAAACTTTTTCTTTCTGCTCTCACTTCTTAATTTGTGTTAGTCTTCTTTGTTTACATGAGTAGCTTGGCCTTTAAATTATGAAATCCTTGATGGCAGAGGCTGTATCTTATTATTTTTAGTATTGTATGTTCCTAGTATGGAGTATGCACATAATAGTCCTCAACTGGTTTTCATTTAATGAGTAAATATTTGAATTTCATAGAGGCCAGAATTCAGAGAAAAGTGAGGTACCGAACGTAAGTTTCAGGGAATAGTATATACATACCAGGATATATGTGTGCATAGGAATGGTGAGACAAGATGATCTGGGAAAGCTGAAAAACTTTTATGGCTTAGCAAGGTACATGTAGATACCTGCAATAACTGTCATATTAACAAAGGTCATCTCTGTGTATGTTGAGTATATCTCTTAGAGAGATGCAGAATTATGGTAGAGGCCACATTTTGATTTGTTATAGCATGGTATTAAGCATAATAAACAACTCAGAACAAAATGCTTATTTCCTACGAGTTATTAATTAGGCATTACACAACTGTGTGTTGTCAGTATCAAGTGTTTTTTGTCATTAGATTTCAAAATAATTTTTTATCTTGTTTCTGCTAGGGAATAAGTAAATTCAGTAACCATGAATATTTCAAAGTGCTTGTAATTAAAACTTAATGTGCTTGGCACAAAAACGTTTTTCAAAGATTGAGCCAATTTTTTGCTGATTCTGCTGTCAGTCTGCACCCATGCATGCTAACAGCTGGCTCATAAACACTGCATGGCATTGCTTCTCAGCTACTGTGTAAGTAATTAAATCTTTTCTTGTATATCATCATTTATATTCAAGGCAAAGAGTCAAATGCTCATGTGGCGTTTTCTATTATGGTTTCCACTGGGGACAAAATAAGCTCACCTGAAGATGGAGATAGGCATTTTTAACAAGTTGGGCTGTGACAAAATAGAATATGGCCTACTAGTGCTAAAAAGCAACATGATGGTTTTATTCACTTCCTGGTGAATCTAAGGGAAGGCCGAGCTGTGCAGAGTCCTTAGACATGTGGTGAGTGTTCATGTACAAACATAGAGTAGGATGGTGATGACCAATAATAGTGATATGTGCGGCAGCTAACAAACAAATGCAGGGGTTGTTTACTGTAACTCACTTGAGTCAAAGTCAAGGTAAATAGTCCCAAACTGTCTCCAATATAAAGGTCTTTCTTCATCAGCAAATTTAACACTAGATTTTAAACAGGGCGGAGAGGAGTATAATACAATAAATGAAAAAGTAATCTAGATGTAGATAGGTCTGGAATATATCCTGAGGCATCCCTCAGGTGGAACGCAAACACCCGTGGTAGCTCTTCATGTCTTTGTAAAAGGACTTCCTTGTGTGATTAAAAGGAGAAATTTGGAACAGACAGATCACCTATCTTCAACCATGCAATGTGAAGAAAGACTAGATTCAGAGGTAACTATCAAAGTGCCCTGTTAGAAGCTTGCATGTATACTTACAGAACTCCTCTCAGTTGTCATGTCTTTTCATTCTAAATGTTAACCACAGACGGTAGGAAAGCTACTGAGATGTATTTATTTCATAATCAAAGTGTTTAAGAAACACAGGCCTGAGCTATTATAATTTCCTCCAGCAGATGGAGACAGAAGTACTTGGGAGGAAGTGGGAACAATGGGACCCTGTCCTGCTTCCCTTTTCCTCATGGGTCTGCAACTTTGGCTGAGTTTACTGCTTTTTCTGAGCCTGCCTCTTGATCTCATTTATTGTACTCCTATCATTGAGCCACCAAATTAAAAGTATTTCTTTCCGGTCTTGGTGCTCTGTTGATTACAAAGTTTCGTATCTGGAGAGCAGCTTTCATTAAATCATTTATAATAACAGTATACCAAGGTCCATTCAATTTACAGTGTGATATACAGTTCCTTTATTGTTTCTTCTACAATTTATAATTATTTTCTTTCAGGAGTGAAGGCTCAGGGTAAGGTGCAATAGTCTGCAATTTTCTCTAATTCTCAGTATAGTAAGGTCTAGGTATACACTGATTTAATAGTCAATCAATTTTCATAATTATTCTAAATAGTCTTCTGAATTTGTAAAACCAAAGTGTGAAGCCTTGACTTTTTCAGCCCTACTCAGCCACAGGGACTGTTTCATCAGATTGTAGGCTTTGTGCCACCAGGTGATGGGCCAACACTGGAAGATTTGTCCAAACTAGCAGAATATTAGGAACCCTATTTACATCATAGGCTGGAGTCTGAAACTGGTCTTGCTGTTCTGAGCACCGAAATATCTACCTCACTATCAACACTGGGCATCTGCCATAATTCCTTTATAGCTGTTTAGTCTCCCTTTGGAGCTGTGTCCCCAAACTCTTTTCCATTTAGATTCAGCCCTATTTCTCCATCCAGCCCTTGCCAACGTCTCATCTAGTAGCTGGACCCTGTCTTCTATTCACAAGTGATGGCTTGGGTTCTGTATTAGTCTTTTCATGCTGCTGCTGATAAAGACATACCCAAGATGCGACAATTTACAAAAGAAAGAGGTTTATTGGACTCGCAATTCCACATGGCTGGGAGGCCTCACAATCATGGCAGAAGGTGAAAAGCACGTGTCACATGGTGGCAGACAAGAGAAGTGCTTGTGCAGGAAAACTCTCATTTTTAAAACCATCAGATCTTATGAGACCCATTCACTGTCAAGAGAACAGCATGGGAAAGACCCGCCCCTATGATTCAATTACTTCCCACTGGGTCCCTCCCACAATACATGGAAATTCAAGATGAGATTTGGATGGGGACACAGCCAAACCATATTAGGTTCTATGCCAAACAAGGCATTCCATTCTGAATTAAGACATTACCTCCTATTTAAATGCAGAGTATCTTATCTGTGGAAGAATCTTATTCTTGTACCCTACTGCACTAGCATGTGTCAGAGTTTTCCAGAGGGACATAACCAATAGGATAGGTAGATACATAGACAGACAGACAGACAGAGAGACAGATAGATATGAAAGGGATTGGCTCACACAATCACAAAGACAAAGTCCCAGGATTGGCTGTCTGCAAGCTGGAGAATGACAAAAGATGGTAGGATGGCTTCCAGAGCAGCTGGTAGTGTGGCTCAGTCCATGTCTGAAATCTCCAAACTAGAGAAGCTGACAGGGCAGCCTCCAGTCTGAGGCCGAAGATGTGAGAGGCCCAAGGAGGCCTCTGGGGCAAATCCTGGAGTCCAAACGCCAAAGAACCTGGAACCTGATGTCTATGGGCAGGAAAAGAAAAAGGGTTTCCTGCTCCTGAAGGGAGTGATAGTATGAAGAAAAGAATAAACCAATAAGCTGAAATGTCCTTCTTCTTCTGTCTGCTTTATTGTGGGAGTGTTCCCAGACTATTGGATGGTACCCACTCACATGGAGGGAGGATCCTCTTCTCATTCCACTGACTCACATTTCAGTCTCCTCTGGGAACATCCTCACAGACACATCCAGAAACAATGCTTCACTAGCCATCTAGTCATCTCTCAGTCTAGTCAAGTTGACACCTAATACTAACCATCACACTTATTCACTACATTAAAAACTTTTTCAATATCATTATTTGTTCACATTACCCCTGACTTTACCATGTTTACAGAAGACTACATCCCTCAGAGACTAGCAGTAAAGTTGGGTTAAGCCCCCAAACTCTAACCCAGATAATCTATTGCAACGTCTCCTTTCATTCTAGCATGTCAGGAGATTGGAATATGACACGGGAATTGTATTAGACTTTAAGATAAGTTCACTGATTTCCGAGAAAAATAAAATTAGAAAAAAAATAACTCTTTCTTCTGTGTACACCAAGAAGACAAAGATGACATATTCACCAAGGTGAACAGCAGGGACAAGTTTGACGAAGCTGAAGGACTGTTATTTCCCAACTTTCCCAGTCTCAGCCCCAGCCCCACTTAGTTGCTCCCATTATACTTCCAAACTGTAGGTTTAGCCCCACTGACTTTTTTTGAGTTTATAATAATCTTACCTGGCAGAATATCAGGAATCAATTGAATGGAATCTAGAGGTGATAATGCTGTCTTCAGTCTGACATGCCATGTGCCTGGAAGTGTGTCTTGAATACATAAGTATTTGCTGCTTTACAGTCATCCATTGTTCTCCTTCATTTATGCTCAACCCATATTACAGCCTTCCATCTTTGTTTTCTCAATTTGTACTCTGAATTCCTAGAAATCTGTTCCAAACTCTAGTGTACTTCCTCATTAATAGAACCTCTATTAATCTCATGATCTCATGCTACCCAACTTCCCTCAAGAGTTAAATCGAGTTTCCTTTATGCCTAGTTCTTAGCCACACGCCCACACCCAACATCCAGAATGCATGCTGCTGTCACTGGTCTGACTCTCAGCAACATTACATCTCAAAAATGCCTACTGCCATGTCTTATCCGTCATATCAGTCCTTATTGACTAAAAACACACTGATTACTCTAGGCTGAGTTAAACATCCCCATTGAATATCATGATCTAGATGCTTTAACTGTATCAGTGGCTAGCCCTGAAACCAAATTCATCCCAGTTCTGGTTCTAGGTTAACCCAGCTCCATTCAAGTCTAGCTTTCTTTCCTTACCGTCTGGCCTGTCATTATCCACACCTAGGATTTTTTTATACCTAATCTTTTCTCACCAAAATAGGATAGTCTCTGGTAGTAGCAGACATTATCCATACCATGGGAATCCTTATCCCATACAGTTTGCTGGAAAATATAGTTGATATATTTTGATTATGCTTAAACAGGATTTTAGTGTCCTTTGTTTTTCTCTCTTTTTTAAGACAGTCAAAAAGGCTCCTTTTTTTCTCCTTTCACTATAGGCTCCACCACTCTGTATTGTCTTATAACTGGTCTGCCTTGCCCATTTAGCACAACTGCCTGGGGCTGAGGCGTGAAGGCTTATGACGAAACCTAATTTTGAGTAATGTTGAAGAAAAGAAAAAACCTGGCTGGGTGCGGTGGCTCATGCCTGCAATCCCAGCACTTTGGGAGGCCGAGGCAGGTGTATCACCTGAGCTCAGGAGTTCGAGACCAGCCTGGCCAACATGGTGAACCCCATCTCTACTAAAAATACAAAAATTAGCTGGGCGTGCTGGTGGGTGCCTGTAATCCCAGCTACTCAGGAGGCTGAGGCAGGAGAAACTCTTGAACCCAGGAGGCAGAGGTTGCAGCGAGCCCAGATCGTGCCTTTGCACCGCAGCCTGGGCAATGAGAGCAAAACTCCGTCTAAGAAAAAAAAAAAAAAACACAGAGAGAGAGAAAAACCTAAACTAAGCCTCTGAAGAAAGAGCAATTACAAAGGAAAATAATTAAGCTTTATTATTTATAAATTTTTCAATTTGATTGCAAATTGGCCTTATGTAATACAACATGCTAACATTAATCAACATTATATGGAATTAACAGACCATACATTTGAATTATAAGAATTTGTAGCAGGGGATATACCTCTAGTATAAAGTTCAAGAAGAATTATTTTGGACAATTTTTGAGAGAGTAAAAAGATCATGGTAGATGATTCTGATTATGATATAAAACTAAAAATATGAACTTGATTCAGTCACATTTCATTTCTATGAACAACAATTGAGAGTCAAAGAAGTGGTTTAAGGACAGTGGTGGTCATATGTAGCATTGCTTTTATTTTATGGGAAATGTAATCTTTGTGTTTCAACTATGGGAAAAAGATTGGTGCACCTATAAAAATTATGTATGAGACACACCAGACCAAATACATTAGCTCATCCCCAAACATGTTATTTTCCTGTACTCATTCTGAATTCTTCTGATTTTTCTTCATATCTGATCAATTCAATTGCCTCCTATTATGCCAATCTCACCTCTCTCTGTCTCTCTTAAATCCTGAATTGATTTATTTCTCTCCATCTGTACATACAGTGACCCCTAACTGTTGTGTTGTCTTTATTCTGGATTCCCTTCTTTCACTATATTGCAGCCAGGATGATATTTTTAAAATTGAAATAAGCCTTCTCAATCTCTATATAAAACCTCTAATGGTAGTTTCTTTTGCTGTGCAGAAGCTCTTTAGTTTAATTAGATCCCATTTGTCAATTTTGGCTTTTGTTGCCATTGCTTTTGGTGTTTTAGACATGAAGTCCTTGAACAGGCAACCTACAGAATGGGAGAAAATTTTTGCAATCTACTCATCTGACAAAGGGCTAATATCCAGAATCTACAATGAACTCAAACAAATTTACAAGAAAAAAACAACCCCATCAAAAAGTGGGCGAAGGATATGAACAGACACTTCTCAGAAGAAGACATTTATGCAGCCAAAAGACATATGAAAAAATGCTCATCATCACAGGCCATCAGAGAAATGCAAATCAAAACCACAGTGAGATACCATCTCACACCAGTTAGAACGGCGATCATTAAAAAGTCAGGAAACGACAGATGCTGGAGAGGATGTGGAGAAATAGGAACACTTTTACACTGTTGGTGGGACCGTAAACTAGTTCAACCATTGTGGAAGTCAGTGTGGCAATTCCTCAGGGATCTAGAACTAGAAATACCATTTGACTCAGCCATCCCATTACTGGGTATATACCGAAAGGATTATAAAACATGCTGCTATAAAGACACATGCACATGTATGTTTATTGCAGCACTATTCACAATAGCAAAGACTTGGAACCAACCCAGATGTCCAACAATGGTAGACCGGATTAAGAAAATGTGGCACATATACACCATGGAATACTATGCAGCCATAAAAAATGATGAGTTCATGTCCTTTGTAGGGACATGGATGAAACTGGAAACCATCATTCTCAGCAAGCTGTCGCAAGGACAAAAAACCAAACACCGCATGTTCTCACTCATAGGTGGGAATTGAACAATGAGAACACATGGACACAGGAAGGGGAACATCACACACTGGGACCTGTTGTGGGGTGGGGGGAGGGGGGAGGGATAGCATTAGGAGATATGCCTAATGTTAAATGACGAGTTAATGGGTGCAGCACACCAACATGGCACATGTATACATACGTAAGAAACCTGCACATTGTGCCCATGTACCCTAAAACTTAAAGTATAATAAAAATCTCTAAAATGCTTTTCATCTCTTCATCAAATATATATATATATACACATATATGTGTATGTGTATATATAATCTTAACTCCTTATATATATATATATATTCTTAATTCCTATGCATAAGATTTTATATCTATGTGTATGTGTACATACATGTGTATTTGTGTGTGTGTGTATGTATATGTATAATCTTAACTCCTTTTTTTTGACATTATCATGGATTCCCTTTACTGGACCCAATCACTCTTCCAGCCTGGTTGTGGGCTTCTTTATTCTGCTCTTAATGCAACATAGCACCTTATTCCATGCAACCTATGTTTCATCCCTCAGCATATTTCACATTTTCTTTGAGGCCTAGAAATAGTCTATTCCCTTTCCTGTAATGTACTTCCTGCTCTTATGTACTTAGTACACTCCTAGTTAGAGCATCTCTTCCTTAATAAATCTTTCCATCTCTCCTTTCATAAGATTTAGTAGGTCCCTTCTTTTTGCCTTTATTGCTACTTTTTCATTTATGTAGTGCCTAATATAGAATAGGCATGATGGTAAAAGCTAGTGATCCCAAGATAAGCTAAGTAGACTTCTTGAAAAGAGTTCATGATTCAGTGATAAAAAACAGATGGTATAACATATGATTGAATATAATGAAATAATGTCTCACTAAAGGAATAGGCAGAAACTATGGGAATATCAAAGAGAAATAAAGTCAGCCTAGCAAGAACAAAAAAGCTCTCTTGGAAGTGAAAATCTCTATGACTGCATGAATCACTTTGTATTATGTTTATGTATGTGGGGAGGGCACACATACATGCACACACAATGCACATGCTTACCTAAGAATAAAGGACACCATAGTCTATCAACATTGTACTGAAACTGACACATAGCAATAGACATTGGGTTCCCCATGATGATGCTGAGGCAAAATGGGAAGATTCCAGAAAAGATGATTCTATACACAGACTACGTGGGCTCAAATCTTGATTCGTCACTTAGTAGCTATATAACCTTTAGCCGAACACATAACCTTACCAAGCTTAGTTTTTAACTTCTGTTAAAAGAAAAGAAAAGCAAAATGCTATTACCTTTCTCATTTGGTTGTTGTGAGGGTTAAGTTGCTTAATATATGGAAACCTCCTAGCACAATGCCAGACATAATAAATACCCAATAAATCTTAGCTATTCTTGTTGTTTTTGTTGATGATGTTACAGTTACTATCGGTACAGGCAGCTACTCAGAGTTTTATATCATCGTGTTCAAAATTTGAATTAGTTTTTACCTAGCATGCACTCTGAGCTCAGCCAGAATATGGAATGTATTTGTCTCGATATGTTTTAGCTCATTGGACATGGAATCTGGCAAGAGAATCACAGTATCAGAATTAGGCAAAACCACATAGATTAATTGATCAAGCCTTTTAGATTCAGTAAAGCAATGTTATCCAAAATCGTTTGAAGCCCTTAGCATAATTACAAGTTTGAATATTATTTAATATGTATAGTATCAGCCCTACATCAACATGCTTAATCTGCTTGCTTCAAACTTAACTGAAAAATATATAGACAGAAAGTGAAGAATAAAAAGAAGATGATGAGAGGAGATGGAAAGAAAAAAATAGAGGTGGCAAGATGGAGGAATGAGGTGAGAGAAAGGGAGGGATGGAAGAAGCTCAAAAGAAAGGAGAAAAAGAAAACTCCAAGAGGACAAAAATACTCAACATGACAAATGTGGTACAAACCAGTTTCCTTGAAATGGATATATTTTAGGCAGGGATTATATTTAAAATAGTTAACAACCCTAAGGTGCAGGAACTGACTGGTCAGATGGGCATTCTGTATACTCCCCAGTATGACTCTACCAGCTAACCAGGAGTTTTTATCTTAGGCCACACTCTAACTCAGATACATGTCTCACTGTGTAAATAGCCACAGTGAGAGCAATGCTCACTTTCTTAGAGAGTTAATTTTACTCAGTTTTTGAAATGGTGGATGAATCCATTACATGGCATTTAATGGAATTAAATGCCAAATTTATAATTATATCTAGCATAAAACTTGGGACTTCAAAAAGATACTGAGTTCACTTGTCCACTTAAGGCTATATGCCCAGTCTTTCTGGAGGATATGTTCTTTCTTCACAATTTAGGGAGAGGTTTGAGAAATATTTTAAGATGTCTGTGAAAGGAATTTATTAACCCCATAATGCTTGGATCTAACAAGGAAGAGTAGAAGCATTCATTCTCTCCTTCGTGCCTGTGTGATTGGTTGTATCCCATATCTCATTGAAAAACTTATATAAACCTTAATTCTTGGATGGGGGAGGTCTTGGCATGCTAGAAAAGAAAGTCACCACATGAGAAAAATGTGCTAGGAGAAAGGAGCACATAGAGGAATTTGTCATAGATTGGATTCTGTATAAAGCAGATACTGAGACAGAGATTAGTATGCAAGATGTCTAATAAGGAATGTCTTTGGGATTAACACCAGTGGAAGGGAAGAGAAAGAAGCTGAATTGGGTAGAGGGAAAAGTTGGTCTGTGAGTCTCAACAAAGGCTTCAGCCAATGCCATGAGGAGTTCTGAAGCTGGGATGATCCTTTAGAATGTTCTGAGTTTGGGCAAGGGTTCTGGGCTTTTGTACTGCTGCAGTAATTATTAAGGGGATATGGGCTGCCCCAGGAAGATGGGGATGTGACTTTAAGAAAGGTGGATCTCTTCAGTTGAGGCAATTCCAGTTGAGGACTGACAATTGAGTGCTACCTTGCCGCCTACACTCTTGTTAGTTGGAGGAATAAATCTTTCAGTTCTGAAGGAAGGATCTGAGTGAAGCATCGCAATACTCACTGTAGGACAGTTCTACGCACGTTGGGGCATTACCCAGCTGGGATTTTCAGCAGTCCACTTTCCAAGGGTTAAATTAAGTGTGGCTTGTATGCAGATGTACTGATTCTGGAGCTCTCAGATCTCTGCAGCCTCAATTGCAGAACTTATGGTCAAGAGACTAAATGTTCCTTTCTGTAAAATTCCGCATTCTCCTTCATCCAAGAAATAAGTATTGAGTGTGTAAAATGTGTCAAGCACTGCTCTAGCTACTTCTAGACACTTGGGATGCAGCAGTTGAGGAAGGCAAACATGGTTCTTTCCCTTCAGGTGTCTACAGATTTTAAGGGAATAAAATTTGTTCTTGAAATAGCTAATCCTAGTAATTTGGTAAATGTCAGCTATTCTTCTCGTGAGCTAAGCAGAAATAAAAACAGAGAGGTAGAAATGGGTCATTCCATGTGTATTTTTCAAGGATTTGAGAAGCTCCAATTTAAGATGTCATTGAAATGAGCGAAAAGACTGAATGGGTAACAGGCAGATTGGGTCAGTTGATTTGTTTTTCCTTCATGCATTTATTATATATATGACTTTGGAAAAATTACTTGATCTTTCTGTCCCTCAGTTTCTCCAATGCGTAGTGCATAGTAGGCATTTCTGCAATGTTAATCTTCATTTTGTCAAAATCCAAATTCGATAGTTGAAAGAAAATCATGTAAATATCTACTTTCAATCTTTTTATAACTAACATTTCTTTCTCTTTAAGCTGCCAATGCTGCCGCCACATAATTATTTGGTTTTTATCTCAGACTTGGTGGATTTTACTAAGACCCGAAAGATTTGTTCTCAAATTAGTATCTACATTAGCAGACATCTAGGGTGAGAAAGTAAAATCTAGTGTTAGCCTAGTTTCCCACCCTGGATGGGAATGCCCAGTTACCTCAGTAACAAAGCTAAATTGAAGCTTGGGAGCCTGAGACATGAACTTTAAAATTGAATAATTAAAATTCCATCACTTTCCTGTCAGATATATTAAGAAATGCCGTATATAACTTAAAGAAATCATAATCAAGCTGTATGCATACACAGGGCTGTTTGATCAATATTTTAGGCTTAATTAACCAGCCAATTTTTGTTTTTCTATATACATGGGTTGTTCTGAGTCACTGGCTTGGGAGTGCCAGTCAAAAAGTAGTCAAATCACAATCAAGCACTTGCTATTTTCCCCCAAGTATCGACTGGCTGTTTTGGAGACACAGCCTCAAAGGCATTTAATACAACTCAAAGGAAAATGAGAAGTGATAGCAACTGTCATTTACTGAGTTCTTCTCATGTGCCAGGCTCTTGACATGCATCTTTAATTAGCACTCACATCAATCCAGTAAGGAAGGACTTTATTAGTATTTAATGTTAGTAGATGAGAGAAGTGAGACTTAGTGAAATAACTTTCCTGAAGTCCCAACAACTACTGAGTGACAGACTCAGGATTGGAACCCAGGACTGCTTAACTCATAAACTCATGTTTTTCTTCTGTGCCAAGCTGTCTTTCACTTGAACCCATGACACCCCTTCATACCATATAATTCGTTATTGGTTTATAATATACACACTTGCAGCTGTGGGTGTGTTTTATCTCTCAATATGTTTGTCAGTTGATGGATGCATAAATGGGGTGAATTAAAGCAACAGCAATCTCCATCACTAACATTTAGTTGCTACCATGTGTCAGTCTAGTTTCTAACCTGAATACATACATTATTTAATCCTCACTACAACATTCCTCAGAAGGCACTTCTAGTCTTCCGTTTTACAAATGGAAAACCTAAGGCACAATGAAGCTAAAGAGTACTTGTTTTAAGGTAGGGATCAGCAAGCCTGCCTGTGGCCTGCTTTTGTACCTCCTGGGAGCTGAGAACGGTTTTAGCATAGTTAAAGAACAGAAAAATAACAAAACAAAAACAAAGAATATATGACAAAAAAGCTATGTACTCCACAAGACTAAAATATTTACTATTTTTTACTTTGGAGATGTCTTCCATTTCCTGGTATAGAGTCTAAGCCATGCAGAGAGTTAGTAATAAAAATAGAAGTATATTTCCTTTGTATCCCAACCGTGGCTGCTATTATAGTGTTTACGGTATAGTTTAATAATAATACTAACAACAACGATAATACCAGTAGCAATTATCTATTGAGTATTTACTTTGTGTTAGACATATAAGGATGGACTTCACATAACATATAGTTTCATTTACTAATCAGAATACCCTGAGGTGTTTTTCATTCATTGTTTGCCTTGTCTAGCTTTCATTTTTTCTTTTATTCTTGCCAAAAGTATCCCTAGTTTGTTCAGATATCTACCACCCCCCAACATGGTAGAACATGGGCAGCCCCATTGTTTCCTTAGGAGTTAGTCTTGGTGGACTAAGGCTCAAGGTAGTCTCAGTTTCCTTGCCAATCAATAATTATCAGGAGTGGAAATGTGACACAATTCTGGCCAGCAAGACAGAAGGAGGTTCTGCTGAGTAGGAGGTCTTCTGGTATAGGTTCACTTATTATTAAAAGAGACACTGTTAAGAGATGGTCTCTCTCCTTCCTTTGGATGTTGGCTTCTCTGGATAGGATGCCTTGATATCTGGCAGATGCATTGCTCTCAGTCTGAGAGATGCAAAGCCAACATAGAGAAGAGGACAGATAATTTCAAAGAAATAAAGCTAATCACTGGCATATCTTACTTGGAGGCTGCCCTACTTCAGGATTTCTTTCGGTTAAGCCAGGTTGAAAGTCAGGGCTTTCTCCAAACTCATCAAATTTTATACATTAAATATGTGTGGGTTTTTTTTTTTTTTTGTATATCAGTTATACTTTAATAAAACTTTTTTTTTTTTTTTTTTTTTTGAGACAGAGTCTCACTCTCTCGCCCAGGCCAGAGTGCAGTGGCGCTCTCGGCTCACTGCAACCTCCGCCTCCCGGGTTCAAGCGATTCTTCTGCCTCAGCCTCCTGACTAGCTGGGATTACAGGCGGGCACCACCACGCCTGGCTAATTTTTGTATTTTTTAGTAGAGACAGAGTTTCACCACGTTGGTCAGGCTGGTCTCAAACTCCTGACCTCGTGATCCCCCCCTCTTGGCCTCCCAAAGTGCTGGGATTACAGGTGTGAATCACCACGCCTGGCCGATAAAACTTTCTTTAAAAAAAAAAAGTCAGGGTTTTCTGACACAATTGATCTCTGTAGTTAATATTATCCCTCACTTTAGAGTTGGTTAAATTGAGCACAGCTTAATCTGGAAGAGCTGGAATGTGAATCCAAATGTTTTCTACCCTAAAGCCTGTAATTTTGTTTTCCAATTATATGTTCTGGCTTAATAATAATATATGATAATTTTGACGTACAAAATGATAAATTCTATACAGTTGAGTGATAGGAAAATTTATGATGTTTGTACCTACCCAGTTGTCATTTAGATATTATAATACATTTCTCTGCTAGGCAAGTATGAGATTACAAAACACTCATGGTGTTTCATATACAAACACATCACTGAAGAGGATACCAGATTGTGTGTATTCCATGAATACATATGAATAATTCAAAAGGATTTAAAGATCAATCTGTCCTCAGACTGTGACAGAACTCCCATTAATGAGCAGTGGCTCACAGGGCTGGGTTGGCTCAATGTAGTTAACCCCATCCTTTTGCAACTGAGGGCTGATTGATTCGTATTCTCAAGTTGAATATCATGTGATTCTATTTCACCATTAGAATGATGTTGCCCTATACAGAAAGAAAATGACATTGCAAAGATTCTCAAATTGTGTGTCTTTTGGAAGCATTATCTGATATAATGCTGAAATCATAATTGAGAATTCCATTTTTAAATATTCTGTCTTATAAACCTAAAAACATCAATAATACTCAAGATTTATGATTGCCAACAAAAAGTGGAGAATACACATAAATTTAAGTATATGTAACTTAAATTGTTTAAGTTCCTATATCATATCTATTTGATTTGAAAATCATAACTAAACATTCTTGTTGCAATTTGTATCATATATTCTTTTCATACACACAAATACATATGCATATATAACTATATAAACACTTTCCTTGTTTTTTCCTAAGCCGTTCATATTTGGAAACCTAAAAGTCAAATATATGACATGTAAAAGAGCATTCCAATATTTATTCATTATTCCAATCTAGATATTTAAAAAAACAGAGATTTGCTGGATTTTAAAACTTTTTTTTAATAATGAGTTTTGTCAGACTGTTGTGCTTTGCTTTGCTAATTTCCATTTGTATGAATTTATAATGTCTTTAAAATTTAATTTGTATCAAATTATGGTTTTTAAAATTTTAACATGGGGAAAGATTACTCTATAATTTCTTCCAAGACAATAAATTTATATACATGATTTTCCACCACAAGTGAATCATAATTGTCTCTTTTTTTAGATGTATCATTTAATTTTTTTTTTTTTTTTTGGTTTGAAAACATTAATTCCTGGGTAGTGATGATATGAACTGCTAACCAAAGACATGCTGTTTGGCTTCCAGAAGTATGAAAAACAGATAGCTTTGGCACACTATAATGCAGAAGAAAAGAGAAGAAGGCTGGGAGCGGTAGCTCATGCCTGTAATCCTAGCACTTTGGGAGTCTGAGGCAGGCGGATCACTTGAGGTCAGGAGTTCAAGACCAGACTGGACAACATGGTGAAACTCTGTCTCTACTAAAAATACAAAAATTAGCCAGGCGTGGTGGTAGGCACCTGTAATTCCAGCTACTTGGGAGGCTGGGGCAGGAGAATCGCTTGAACCTGGGAGGTGGAGGTTGCAGTGAGCTGAGATCGAGTTACTGCACTCCGGCCTGGGTGACAGAGTGAGACTCTGTCTCAAGAAGAAGAAGGAGAAGGAGGAGAGGGAGGAGAAGGAGGAGAAGGAGGAGAAGGAGGAGGAGGAGGAGGAGAAGGAGAAGAAGGAGAAAAAAAGACAGGAGTGGGAGAAATCTGTAAATGTTTACCATGATTGAATGATCTTTTGAAAACCATCGCTTCTTTTTGCCTCAGCTAGCAGCCAGTATGTTCAGAGACCAAGAAAGATTGGAAGTGCACAGTGCTCTACAAAAGGCAATATTTAAAACCAGCCCAGAATCTTACTTCACCATCCTTTTTTAATATTTATTTTTTCCAGTTTCATATTAATGCCAAGCCAATGGTGTTTGATGTGATGCTTCAAATGATGCAGATTGTTTAATGGAAAGTTATCTATTGAAAGAACCTAAAAGGGTAGAAAAGGCGAGAGTTTGGTTTTTGAGACTGTTATTCCCATGTCATACTTAAAGAATGAAGGCACATGAGCACAGAGTACTTCTAGGAATAGAATCAAAGGTACAGATAAATTTAACAATTTTTTTTCTATGAAACTGCCAGGAACATTTTTCTTTCATTCATAGGACTTTACTGAGAGCTTTAAGGGTCAGATGATAAGTTTATTAATTAGATAGCATTCTAGGACAATGACTCCAATTCTGGTTTCCTGTTAATGTCCACAGATGTATATAAGCATAATGAACTACCTTCATTTAGCTGAGAACACATTACAGTCTCCCTTGGGTGCCTTTTCTGTGAGGTCCCATAGCACCTTGTTCTTCCCACTGAGAAAGTTTCCTCAGCTACACTGTATGTACTATTCCATTATCTTGCTCAGTACCCTGCTGCAACATTTCCGGCATGGAGAAGACATCCAATTAATTGACAATGGAATGAACATATCTCCAGTCATCCTATAGTCTGTCATGAACTTTATCAAAAGCAAATTAATGAGTAGGCCAGAGGCTTCTGAAATTGAATAAATATAAAAGTGTTATTACACAAAGGAGGAAATGTTGGAAATCACTTCAAGAAGACTAGCCCTTCAGAGTAAAGAATTCATTTTATTCTCTTTAATTTCTTAGAAATTATTCATTCATTACTTTAAGTAACTTATAGCCCAGCAGGGATGAGAGATATTGAAGAAGCATTTGCAATACAGTGTGATGGATGTAATGACAGGGGACTTCGTTTGGGTTGACTGTAGAAGTATGACACAGGGGGACTTTACCTAGACCAGGAGGTCAGGACAGCTTCTGTCTTAGTTGGTTTGGGCTGCTATAATAAACAAGTTCAACCATGTGGAAGTCGGTGTGGCGATTCCTCAGGAATCTAGAACTAGAAATACCATTTGACCTAGCCATCCCATTACTGGGTATATACCCAAAGGATTATAAATCATGCTGCTATAAAGACACATGCACACGTATGTTTATTGCAGCACTATTCACAATAGCAAAGACTTGGAACCAAGCCAAATGTCCAACAATGATAGACCGGATTAAGAAAATGTGGCACATGTACACCATGGAATACTATGCAGCCATAATAAATGATGAGTTCATGTCCTTTGTAGGGACACGGATGAAGCTGGAAACCATCATTCTCAGCAAACTATCACAAGGACAAAAAACCAAACACCGCATGTTCTCACTCATAGGTGGGAATTGAACAATGAGAACACATGGACACAGGAAGGGGAACATCACACACCGGGGCCTGTTGTGGGGTGGGGGGAGCGGGGAGGGATAGCATTAGGAGATATACCTAATGCTAAATGACGAGTTAATGGGTGCAGCACACCAACATGGCACATGTATACATATTTAACAAACCTGCACGTTGTGCACATGTACCCTAAAACTTAAAGTATAATAATAATAAAATAAAAAAAAAGAAAGGAACCTACACTGGCTAGTTTATAAACAACAGACATTTATTTCTCATAGTCCTGGAAGCTGGGATGTCCAAGATCTAGGTACGAGCAGATTCAGGTCATTTTACATGCATGCATGCAAGTGCACGGGTTTCTCATTTTTTCACCGAGTGGCATGAATGCATATTTCACATTTTTCAGACTCATTCTTCTGAGAATAGATTTTCAAATGTTGGAAACTTTTTACATCACATTTAAGCTCCTTTCAATACAAAATTGAGATCCAGTGTTATAGAAAAGAAGACAACTAAAATCTTTTGAATTGCTCAGGAAACTCATTGAAAATGACATATCAAATTATTCTTTAGGCAGAAAAGACCTGGAGGTTTTAAATCTACCACCACACCTTGAGGAGCAGTTTAGGAGGAGCCACTATTTTGGAGCACTGTTCTTTTTGAACTAAAAGCGGCTTATGGATACTGTTCAAAGACACCTTATCTTATAGAAAACTGAAGTCAATAATCCAGAACACATTGTCTAAATGGTTGAGTAAGCCAGGGAATACAGAAACTGATGTCAAGAAACATGGATAAATGCATTGGAAAATGTAGCACATTTAAGAACTTAATATACATAGGGTATTATTACTACTATTATTTCAGTTTCTTAAATAAACTATTGTCCACCTCAGGGCGAACATTTTATCTGGCTAGCTCCTACTTTTCATTGATATGTCAGCTTAAATACTTCTTACTCTAGAGAAACGTCTCTGACTCCCAGCTAAGTTAGCCAATGCTCCTTATACATGTTATTTTTCCTGGGATTTATCATAATTTTAATTTATTTTTGTTAATATGATTAATACTTTTTTACTAAATTGTAAAGTTTAGTAGTGTAGAAATTATGAATGCCTGGTTTACTGTTATATGCTCAACATCTAGTACAGTGCTTGGCATGAGTAAGCACTCAATAAATCTTCCAAGAATGAATAGATGTATGAATATATAAAGGAACCAGTGATTTCATGAACAAGCAAGAAGGTGGTTTCCTAGCAAATTTCTGGGATCGGCAGTGTTATGGCCTGCCCATCTCCTTTATGTCCTTGCTACCTGAGAGATCCTGCTACATTTAACGATCCATGAATGGGGGTTCAGGGTTTCTTTTGAAAGTGAAGAAAAATTTCTGGAAATAGATAATAGTAAGTTGTACATGAGTGGTAATGTACAACTCTGTAAATATACTGAAAACCACTGACTTGTGCACTTTGGTGAATTTTATGCTATGTGAACTATATTTCATCATTATTTTTTTAAATCCATTAACTCATCATTGTGAGTGTCCATTCACTTTAGTAGTGTAGGTGTTGTCTGACTTGACATGCTTCCATAGTCACCCAGAAGACAGTTACATGGTTTCAACAATTACATTAAAAGGTAACATGGTGTCTATTTTACTAAAAATTGGAGAATTTACTTTTAGTCGTATGATACCATGACTCTAGGGTTTACACCACTCAGCACAGGCCTTGCAAAATCTCTGCAATTGTGTGATATTTCTCAGAACCCCAATGCATCCATCTGTAAGCTCCCACAGTATGAAGGGCATATGAAGAAAAGGATGTCATAAACGATTCTAGTGTCAATTTACTGCCTGCTTCACTTCCACTCTCTCCCCTCTTATACTGGACACTGATTCTGCAAAGAAGAAAATCATTGGCGAACTGAAATTTCTGGTCCAGATCCTTATTTCCTGCCCTCAGGAGGATTTGCTACTATGACTTTTTCTTCTGCCTAACCTTCTTTCTCACTGCCATTCAGCCTGATTGCCGAAAGGCTTTCAAGGTAAAAACCATTTGAAACAGACAAGCTCACCCAGAGGCTTTGCTTGGCTATTGGGAGGAACAGTCTTGATTTTACTCCTACTCTTTGCTCAAGTACCTCAGTATGAGCCAGCAGCCTCAAAGCCACATATTAGGACCTGGGGAGAAAAGCACAGAACACAGAGCAGCTGTTATAAAGAATGTCCCAGTGGTCTTTTGGAAAGCAAGAGGTATTTTAGCCCCAATAAACAACTAAACCTGAAGATCATAGCAGAAAACTTCACCAGACTGTAAACCTCTATGGAGTAGGGAATTGTCTTAATTTATTCTAGGTGCCAATTACTAACATTTTCTCCTATATTTATATATTTATTAATTAGTGGCTCCTTTCACTCTCAAAAGTGTCCTTGTGTATATGAGGATTTATATGATCACCTTTGCTAAGAACCACGCCTGACATATGATAACACATAAGTGAGAGCTATTATTATTATTCAAAGTGATGCCTTGTTTTCTTATTGACTGTTACCTTTCAGCCACTTCAAACTGTTAACACTGTTAAAAGAAAAAGTATAATTCAGATTATCACCAGCATTTAGATAAATCATTTATCCTTTTTACTTTTTCAGATGCACAAGGAGACAACAAAGTCGTGGTTAAAAGACAGATAGAACCATAGCAGAATTGTCTCAAGCTTATGTGACGTCTTAAACTATTTCCTCTCTCCCCGAATACTCTTAAGTGATTTGTAAATTATTTTCTTTCTTTGTAGCATATGGCAATCCTAATTTGTAATGCCATTTAGTAATATTGGGGAAATTTAACATTAATTTACAAGAAGTTTCTTCAAGAAATACAACACGTGTAGTTCATTATCACAGTTTTGTTTCATTGCCTTTTTAAAAAATCGTAAGTAAGCAAGAAAGAAGAATAACAGTACTGATTCTTTCTTTTCCGTTACTGATGGCTTCTAGTGGGTAGCTCTAAAAATCTCTGTAAAATGGAAGTCATACTGTGTCATACCCCGCTTTAAAACAAATGGCTGTCAATATGTTTCAGAATAAAGGCTGCACTCCTCCTAAGCTGGCACTCAGCAACAAGGTCATGTTCATTTTGAGACCAAGATCATGAAGCGCAACCACATGAAGCCACGTGAGTTTGAGTCCAGCTTTTCTGGAGCTGGAGATGAACTCGGACCTCAAGCCTCAGCTCAGGGAACTGAATATAACAACAACCAAGGAAATTGAAATTGTTGATAGTTGGAAAGTTATTATAATCTTTGTTCCCATTCCTAAACTGAAATCTTTCCAGAAAATCCAAGTCTGGCTATTACATGAATTGAGAAGAAGTTCAGTGGGAAACATGTTGTCTTTGTTGCTCAGAGGAGAATTCTGTCTAAGCCAACTCGAAAAAGCCACACAAAAAATAAGCAAAAGCTCCCAGGATCTTCTCTCTGCCAGTGGTGCAGAGCAAGGAGGACCATGTTGCCAGGCTATGGATTGCAGCCTATGTCTTTTTGTAAAATTTCTTTTAACTGTGAATATACATTTTTTAATCATTTTTGTTTGCAACTATGGGAATTCAAAATGAACATCCTTGCTCATGAGCTTCTTACAGACATCAGAAAAAGTTTTCACCTTGAGGTCCACATGTTCTGCTATGGTTTGTCCAAAGGAACCTTTATGCGTTGGCCATTCAGTGTCAGGAAGATTCCGTTGCCCACAATTTCGATTATGTTATTTTATATAATTTTGTGTCTTTTAAAGTACTTGAGAGAATAAACATTATTGTTATATTAGCCTTCTTATTTATGTTTCTGGTTCTCTTCATTTCTAGCTGTGGATTTAAGTTACTATCTCATACAATTTTCATCTTATAATGAAGATCTGTTCCCACACACTGCCTTCATGTCATTACTGTCAAATATATTACATTTTTTTACATTGTAGACTCATCAATACCATTAAATTTATAGTGTTTTATTCAACTGCTTTTTCAATCAATTAAGCAAAGAAAAGAAATACGCAATTTTATGCCACTTATAATTGGCTCAATAATTATCTTTAGAAAAACTCTGTTTTTTGCATGTTAATTTGAATTTCCACTTGGATCCACTTGCTTTCTTATAAAGAACGTCCTGTAATCTTATTATTTTTTGTAAGTAGTGTGTGCTAGCAACAAACTCTCATGATTTTTGTTTATCAGGGGATAGTTTTTATTTTGCCTTCATTTGTTAGAGGTGGTTATTCTGCATATAAGAGTTTCAGTTGATTCTTTCTTTCAGCACTTTGAATATGTCACCCCAATGCTTTCTGCCTTTTTCTTGTCAACTTGGCATGCATATTCATTTTTATAAATAATACTAATTTCCAAATAAAGACAATAACAAGGTAATAGTTCACGTGACACAATGGAACTATTCTGTGATTGTTACTTTGGGGATTTTTAGACATTAGGGTGTTTATACTTTAGGGACTTAGACATTAGAGATTTTGATCTTTCAGGATTTCAACATTCGGGATTATGATGTTTAGGATTTTGCTTTTCAAGATTATGATTGGCTACCACTAAATCCATTATCTAAAATATCCACAATTCTAAAAAAATTACAATACAACAGGAAAATGTGAGCCATAACCAGAAAAAAATGCAAACAATAAAAGCTGCCTCTGATTGGACACAGATTTCAGACAACATATTTCCCACTGAACTTTTTTTTCTCCAGTTCATGTAATAGCCAGACTTGGATTTTCTGGAAATAAATTTATCATAAATTTATTGGAGGAGCTAGTATAAGAAAGTATCAGTGAATTCAAAGAATATCAATACAGATTGTTCATTCTAAAGAGCAGCAAAATGAATGAACAGAAGTAAAAAGCACATCCGATAAATGTGGGACGTCATTAACTTATCAATGTACATGTAATGGAGTACCAGAAGAGGACAGGGACAAAAGAGCAGAAGTAATAATGGGTGTTATTATCTTTTGAAATTTCAATGCTTGGGATTGTGTGTTTTAGGATTATGATCAGCTCCTTATCAGCATCTTCCCATCTCTCCTCTTTCCTAACCACTCAAATTCTCTGGTAACTATCATTCTACTCTCTACTTCTCTACTTTATTAGATTTCACATGTGAGTAAGATCATGTGGTATTTGTCTTTCTGTGCCTGACTCAATTCACTTAACATAATGTCCTCCAGGTTCATCTGTATTATCATTTGTTTTTTAAGTAACTTTCCTGAACTTAATCTGTGGTATTTTTCTTCCCTGCTCTGTGTGGTCACTGATGTTTATATTCAGTTTTTATTTTATGTCATTTTAGTGTAGTTTAGTTTGAATATGTTTGGATTAGTTTAGCATATTTGCCTGATTACCTATCGGTAACCTTTATTTCTACATGGCTTAGTGGTTTGGCAACAGTTGGTCAGAATTTTTTATATATATATATATATATATATATATATATTTATTATACTTTAAGTTTTAGGGTACATATGCACAACATGCAGGTTTGTTACATATGTATACATGTGCCATGTTGGTGTGCTGCACCCATTAACTCGTCATTTACATTAGGTATATCTCCTAATGCTATCCCTCTCCCCTCCCCCAACCCCACAACAGGCCCCGGTGTGTGATGTTCCCCTTCCTGTGTCCAAGTGTTCTCACTGTTCAATTCCCACCTATGAGTGAGAACATGCGGTGTTTGGTTTTTTGTCCTTGCGATAGTTTGCTGAGAATGATAGTTTCCAGCTTCATCCATGTCCCTACAAAGGACATGAACCCATCATTTTTTATGGCTGCATAGTATTCCATGGTGTATATGTGCCACATTTTCTTAATCCGGTCTATCATTGTTGGACATTTGGGTTGGTTCCAAGTCTTTTATCAAACACCTTGAGTCAGTTAGTCTTCCATCTTTTGACAGTGGATTTGTGTGTGGTTCAAGGGAGGCATTTCAAAGTTCCCAAACTTCTCACATTATTTTCTTCTTTTACTTTCCTCTGGGTCCTCTTAGTTTTCTCTTGCATATTTGCAGTGTCTCAGTCAGGTTAGTAATATGGGGAGGCTTTGTGTTCTCTCAAGTTTCTCCTATTCGTACGTCCAGGCTCTCATTCAATCATGCTTCTTTAAACAAATTGGGTTTTCTTGTGCCTCTCTTGTGTATTTGGGTGAGTTGGCCAGGCATGCGTGGAGTGCTTAGCTAACCTTTCTATGATTTGCCCATTTCCAGAATCTCCCAGTTACATTTCTGGCTGTTTTTCTAATCAGTTGTCACACCCAGCTGAGACCACAGCCTCCAGTTAGCAAAGCTGCAGATCTTCCCTGTTTACCAATGGGTATGAGTTTCCCACCCTTTGCTGTCAATCAAGTCAGCCCAGATTAGCAATAAAGTTTCTGTTTCTTACAGCCAACACTGTCCTGGTGTCTCTACTGTTCTGATTAAACTCATGAGGGATAGATATAGCCTCAGGCCACAACACTATAGACTCCTACAGTTTTTACTTGATTTTTAGGAGTAAACTATTTTCATTGTGTTGTTTGCCTTAGATCAATTTCCACAACCCTTAAATGGTTATTATCAAATACTTGTCCAATTTTGTACTATTTTAGGGAATAGAGTTTTTCACCTTGTTCATTCCTTCAAAGCCGTGAGCACCATCCCTCCATGAGTTTATGAATACATAATTGAGGTCATATTCTTAATAAGATTTTATATCCACATATGTTCAATAAACTTAGAATTATTCATGTCATTGTAAATGCATTGAAACACGGTTTTTAAAAGTCACATGGAAATCCTTTGTACTAAGTCATCATAATTTAACCATCTACTATTGGCAATTTAGGTTAAATTTTTTGCCTCTATGAACTGTGATGGATATTTTTGCATATAAATTCTTTCCTAAGCCATTCCTGTCACTAGAAGTATTGTGTCAAAAATATAATTTTTAAAGGTTAAAAATACATATTGCGACAGTCTTTAAAAAAAAAAAAGACCACAAGGATTAACTCCTCTAGCACCGTAGTGCTGTTTATTATACCCTTACCATTATTGAGAATTAACATTAAAAATATATGCACTTTGATAATAAGATAATATAAAAGCTCTGGCAAATTTTGAGTTGCTTTTCTAAGTGTCTTTATTCAGCTCAACTCTGTAATTCTTTATTTAGGATTAATAGATATAGATATTTTCCCCTTTTTTGGCTGTTTCATTCATTATCTTTTCTTGCAGTAGAGCAGCATATCATTTCCCATCATTGCGTGCAACATCTACCCCTTTTATCTTTCTAATGGAGCTATTTTTAGAAACAGCATTTTCATTATCAGTTCTCCATGACTGTAAATTGATTCATCCAATTCCTATGTCTTAAATTTTAATTAGATCACAGAAATATCTTCTGGCTTTAAGGAGTACAAACTCCAAGTTCCTTTGCAAAGTAGCTGTCTAGGTTTTACAAAATGTTTGAAGGGAAAGGATGGATAATACATTGCATTTTAAAACATTTTGCTTTTATTATACTACTTTTTGAACAGAGACTAAAATACATTTGATTTAATCTACTGTAGATATACATTGGGTGAACTCGGTGATTACCTTTTTTGAGACTATCTGAACGTTTTCTTTTAAAGCTTTTTTCCAAAAGATATTTATCTTTGCTAATTCTTTTTTAACTATGATGGATTGAATCTAGAAAGATAATTAGTCTAGACTATGCCACAGCACCTTATGTAAACTTTTAGCAATAGCCATGACATTGTTCATGCAGAAATGTCTAGTAATATTTATTAAACATTTTGAAGACAGTTTCTTCCTAAACTAATCTTCTACCTGAGGTATCTGCTTATGTCCCAGTAGAATCATTCACCTCACAATAGCCAGAGTAATCTTTAAAATCATCAGATTATATGATTCCCCTTTGAAAAATCATTTAGTATGTGGTAAGTTTATGACAATTTCTCCCATCCCATTATGTATGTCCTTTTGTAATGGCTTTGTCACTCCTCATTTGAAGAGTTAAGGTCTGTTTCCTTACCCCTTCAATCTGAGATAACTGTGTGCCTTGCTTTGTGCTAAAGAATGTGATGTATTTTTCTAGTTCTCTGAAGAATGATGACGGTATTTTGAAGGAAATTGCACTGAATCTGTTGACTGCTTTTGGCAGTATGGTCATTTTCACAATAATGATACTACCCATCCATAAGCATGGAATGTGTTTCCACTTGTTTGGGTCATCTGTGATTTCTTCCAGCAGTGTTTTGTAGTTTTTTATTGTAGAAATATTTCACCTCTTTGGTTAGGTATATTCCTAAGTATTTGATTTATTGTTTTGCAACTGTTGTAAAAGGAATTGAGTTCTTGATTTGATTCTCAGCTTGGTCGCTGTTGGTGTATAGTAGTGCTACTGATTTGTGTACATTGATTTTGTATCTGGAGACTTTACTAAGTCTAGGAGCTTTTTAGATGAGCCTTTAGGGTTTTCTAGGTATACAATCATATCATCAGCAAACAGTGACAGTTTGACTCCCTCTTTAGTGATTTGCATGTACTTTATTTCTTTCTCTTGTCTGATTGCTCTGGCTAGACTTCCAGTACTAAGATAAATAGAAGTGGTCAGAGTGGGCATCCTTGTCTTGTTCCAGTTCTCAGAGGGAATGCCTTCAAATTTTCCCCATTCAGTATTATGTTGGCTGTGGGTTTGTCATAGATAGCTTTTATTACATTAAGGTATGTCCCTTGTATGCTGATTTTGCTGAGGGTTTTAACCATAAAGGGATGCTGGATTTTCTCAAATGCTTTTTTCTATGTCTATTGAGATGCTTATGTGATTTTTGTTTTTAATTCTGTTTATGTGATGTATCACATTTATTAACTTGCGTATGTTAAACCATCCCTGCATCCACAGTATGAAACCCACTTGATCATGATGTATTATCTTTTTGATATGCAATTGTATTCAGTTAGCTAGCACTTTGTTGAGAATTTTTGAATCTATATTCATCAGGAATATTGGCCTGTAGTTTTCTTTTTTGTTATGCTTTTTTCTTTATTTTGGTATTAGCGTGATAGTGGCTTCTAGGGAGGATTCCCCATTTCTCCATATTTTGGAATAGTTTCAGCAGAATTGGTACCAATTCTTCTTTGACTGTCTGATAGAATTTATCTGTGAACCTATCTGGTCTTGGACTTTTTTGTTGGCATTTCTTTTATTACTGTTTCAGTCTCACCACTTGTTATTGGTCTGTTTAGAGAAATAAAGCCAACTACTTACATCTAACTGATCTTCAACAAAGCAAACAAAAACATTGAGTGGGGAAAGGACACCCTATTCAACAAATGGTGCTTGGATAATTGGCAAGCCACATGCAGAAGAATGAAGCTGAATCCTCATCTTTCACCTTATACAAAAATCAACTGAAGATAGACCAAAGACTAAAATCTAAGACCTGAAACCATAAAAACTCTAGAAGAAAACATCAGAAAAACTCTTCTAGACAGTGGCTTAGGCAAAGAGTTCATGACCAAGAACCCAAAAGCAAATGCAACAAAACCAAAAATAAATAGATGGGACATAATTAAAGTAGAATGCTTCTGCACAGCAAAAGAAATAATCAGTGGAGTAAACAGACAACCCACAAAGTGGGAGAAAATATTCACAAACTATGCATCCAACAGGAGGCAAATATCCAGACTTGTCAAGGAACTCAAACAAATCAGCAAGAAAAAAAAAAAAAACAAATAACCCAATCAAAAAGTGGGCAAATAACTTGAATAAACAATTCTCAAAAGAAGATACACAAATGGCCAACAAACGTGAAAAAATGCTCAACATCACTAATTATCAGGGAAATGCACATTAAAACCACAATGAGATACCATCTTACTCCTGCAAGAATGGCCCTAATAAAAAAAAATGATAGATGTTGGCATGGATGTCGTAAAAAGAGAACACTTTTACACTGCTGGTGGGAATGTAAACTAGCACAAGCACTATGGAAAACAGTATGGAGGCTCCTTAAAGAACTAAAAGTAGAACTACCATTTGATCCAGCGATCCCATTGCTGGGTATCTCCTCAAAGGAAAAAGAGTCATTATATGAAAAAGACACTTGCACACGGATGTTTAAAGCAGCATAATTTGCAATTGCAAAAATATGGAACCAGCCTAAATGCCCATCAATCGACATGTGGATAAAGAAAATGTGGTATATATACACCATGGAATACTACTTAGAAATAATAAAAAAAAAACCAATATAATGGCATTCACAGCAACCTGGATGGATTTGGAGACCATTATTCTAAGTGAAGCAACTCAGGAATGGAAAACCGACGTCGTATGTTCTCACTTAGTGGGAGCTAAGCTATGAGGACATAAAAGCATAAAAATTATATAATGGAGTTTGGGGACTTGAGGGGAAGGGTGGGAAGGGGATGAGAGATAAAATTCTACACATTGTGGACAGTGTACACTGCTCTAGCGACAGGTACACCAAAATCTCAGAAGTCATCACTAAATAACTCATCCATGTAACCAGAAATCACCTGTTCTCCCAAAATTTTTGAAATAAAATAAATCTCATGTACCACATAAATATATACATGTATGTACCTACAAAAACTAAAAATAAAACATTATAAAAGAAACAAAAAATGTGATGGAAATGTTATACAAGTGCAAGAGCTTTGTTTTAAAGTTGCATTGCAGCCTCTGTTTACAATCTCTTGGAATGTTGTATCAAGTTTGTCACATAAGGTAGCTAGTCTAACGTATTGAGGAATTAGAGGCCCTGTTGAGTGTAGCAGAGCCTCCAGAGCCAACAACCATCAGAAACTGCTGGACATGCAAGTGAGAGAGACATCTTGGACCCTGTAGCCCATCAGCTCCTCCAGCTGAATACTTCTACATAAATTAGCTCTGAAAAAACCAGCAGAGGAACTGACCAGCTAACTCACAGAATCTCTCTCTCTCCATATATATATATATATATAAAATCAATATATATATTGATTACAGAATCATCTATATATATAGAATCTACATATATAATCTATAATCTATAATACATATATTATAATATATTATATATAACATATATATAGAATATATATATATATATATAGTAATTTTAAGACAATAAGTTTGGGGGTGGGTTTTGCTGCAGCACTAGCTAAATGATACAAGTAACTTTCCATCCTACTGTGTATTTTACTCTAATTTTTCTTTTACCTTTGCCCACAAGTCCCTTGGTTATCTATAATTTTCTCCCACGATATCTTTTAATATGATTCTTCCTATTTTTTTAATATGATTTTTATATGATTCTTCCTATTTTTTAAATATGATTCTTCCTATTCTTTGTTGCAATATCTTTTTTTATCGATTTTAGATTGCTTTTTTTATTATTATTATACTTTAAGTTTTAGGGTACATGTGCACAATGTGCAGATTTGTTACATATGTATACATGTGCCATGCTGGTGTGCTGCGCCCATTAACTCGTCATTTAGCATTAGGTATATCTCTTGATGCTCTCCCTCCCCCCTCCCCCCACCCCGCAACAGTCCGCAGAGTGTGATGTTCCCTTGCAATATCTTAAAAGCTAAAAATTCTCCTTGATTCCCACTCTTTATCCCCCTATGTTAGTATGTCATATTCTCTTGCCACTGATTCTGTTATGGCCAGAGACCAGAACATGAGCTATTATCTCACAAATAAAAATAAGCCACAGTGTTCAGCTGGCCTGTCCTCCAATAATTCCCACTGGCAGTGAAACTCAAGGCACACCCCTTCTGATAGTTCATCAGCATAGGTAATTTAAAGTTTACCAAGATTCTGAGGATGTGGGCCAAGGGAAACAGCAGTACACTGTTGATGGGAATGTAAATTAGTATAGCAAATTAGAAAACAGTGTGAAGCTTCCTCAAAAATGTAAAAGAGATCTACCATATGATCCTGTAATCCTACTACTGGTTGTATGTCCAAAATAAAAGAAATCAGTATATTAAAGATAGATCTGCACTCTCATGTTTACTGTAGACATATTCACAATAGCCAAGATGCAAAAGCAACTTTTCATTTCTAACAACATGAATGAAGCTGGAGATCATTATATTAGGTAAAATAACCCAGGCACAGGAAGACAAACGTTGCATGTTGTCACTTACTTGTGGGACCCAAACATCAAAACAAATGATCTCATGGGGATAGAGGGTAGAAGGATGGCTACCAGAGGCTGGTAAGGGTAGCGGGGGTGGGGGTAAGTGGGGATAGTTAATGAGTACAAAAATTGTGAGAAAGAATAAATAAGACTTGGTATTTGATAGCACCACAAGGTGACTATAGTCAAAAATAATTTAATTGTGCATTTAAAATAAAAATAGGCTGAATACAGTGGCTCATGACTGTAATCACAGCAGTTAGGGAGACCAAGGCAAGTGGATTGCTTGAGGTCAGAAGTTTGAGACTAGCCTTTGCAACATTAAGAAACCCCCATCTCTACAAAAAATACAAAAATTAGGCAGGCATGGTGTTGACTACCTGTAGTCCCAGGTACTCGGGAGGCTGAGGCAGGAGGATCGCTTGAGCCTGGGAGGTTGAGGCTGCAATGAGCGAAGATTGCACCACTGCACTCCAGTCTGGGCAACAAAGTGAGATCTTGTCTCAAAATAAATAAATAGTAAATAAAAATAAATAAAATAACTAAAAAATATAATTGGATTGTTTGTAACACAAAAGATAAATGCTTGAGGTGATGGGCACCCTGTTTAACCTGAAATTATTATTACTCATTGCATGCCTATATCAAAACATTTCATGTAACCCATAAATATATACACCTACAATGTACCCACACAAAAGACTGGGAAATAGAAAAAAAAAAAAAAAGAAAAACATTACTATTGAGAATCTCTTATTAAGAACTCATACAATTAAGTATCTCCCATTGAGTTATTGCCTAATACTCCTGTCTCTAATCGACACTGCTTATCATATAGTCTCTCAGTGGAGGCAGAAGTAAAATCAGCTGTTCACTGGAGAACTGGCAGCATCGTGGGAGGAGGTAGGCCTTGATACTTAGGTACAAGGAAGAGCATCAGAAACACCTTGTGTGGAGTTTCTAAGCATAGAATCTTGGCTTAGCAGAGAGCCACAGACTGAGAAATTGTAGAGAAGCAAATAAGACAATGAGCATAAAGATTTGTACAATGTTAAAATATTAATAAAAATATGAAAGACAGCAATACATAACTATACATATGCATATGAAGAAAAGAAACACTGGAATGAGAAATAATATTAAGTAACACCTTCTATATCCCAAACACTGTACTTGGTAGGTGATGGATATTATTTTGTTTTAAACATTCAGAAAACCTGGGAAGTTGATTCAGTTGTTCTATTTTACATAGAAATAAATCAAAGATGACAGAAATGAAGCACCTTATGCAAGGCTTAAAGATAACTAAACTCTTTAAGGCAGTATTCAAAATCAGGTATCTCTAACTCCATTTTTTTTTCCATTCTGTTACATTGTGCTGCTTTGTTATTTCAAGGCCAAAAGAGGCAAAACAAAGATTTAAATGGACTTATAGTCAAGATTAATATGTGAGCATATAAATTTGTCTCTTGTCATCCCTATTCCCATTGAAATAACAAAAGAAATATTAAAATATGATAAAACATATTTAACTTATTCAAGGAGTATGTGGATGTTTATGGTTCTATCTGATGTAGGAAACTTTTAATTTTTTACCAACTTGGATTAAATCAGAAAATTACATTCATCCTTTAAAAAGAATGATATTTATCATAAGGAATGCATTTATTAGATAGAATATCTGGAGCCAAACTGCCTGGGTTAAAATCCTATCTCCTCCAATTATAAATTATATAGTCTTTTTTCAAGTTATTTAAACTCTCCTTATCTTGTTTTCCACATATGTAAATTGAGGTTGTTATGAGACCCAAATGAATTAATATTTGTGAAGATGTCAGAATGGTTTCTGATGTATGATAAATGTAAATTAATAGTTGCTAAATAAAAATAATTTGAGTAATTGTTGTTTTTTTGTCATAGACTTCTGTGAAGAAGGCAACATTAACACCAGAATCTAATTATTGCTCTTTTGAATTCTTATCTACATGACTGTGAAAGGCTAAATAATGGCTCACAAAGATATGTAGGTCTTCATTCCTGGAATCTGTGAATGTTATTTATATGGGAAAACAGAAGTTTATATATGTAATTAGGTTAAATATTTTGAGATGGGGAGATTACCTGAATTATCTGGGTGAGCCCTAAATGTAAACACAAGTGTCCTCAGAAGAAGGAGGCAGATAGAGATTTGAAGACTGAAGAATAAGAAGGAAGAGGAGAAATATTTGAAGGAGGAAGAAGCTATGTGATAATAAAAGTGGGGGCAGGAAACACCATATGATAAGGAGGTATAAGCGAAGGAATGAGGACGGCCTATAGAAGCTATAGAAGAAAAATAAATGGATTATTCCATAGAAACTTTAGCAGCATCACAACCCAGCTGACATTAAGACTTCGGTATAGTGAATTCTATTTTGTATTTCTGGCCTCCACAGCCATACAAGAATGAATTTGGCTGGGCACGGTGGCTCACGCCTTAATCCCAGCACTTTGGGAGGCCGAGGTGGGTGGATCACCTGAGGTCAGGAGTTCGTGACCAGCCTGGCCGACATAGTGAAACCCCGTCTCTACTAAAAATACAAAAATTAGCCGGATGTGGTGGTGTGGTGGTGGGTGCCTGTAATCCCAGCTACTTGGGAGGCTGAGGCAGGAGAATCGTTTGAACCTGGGAGGCGGAGGTGGCAGTGAGCCAAGACTGTGCCATTGCACTCCAGCCTGGGCAACAAGAGTTTTTGAAACTCCATCTCAGAAATAATAATAACAATAATAATAAATAAATAAACTTGTGTAAATTATTCTGTTGTTGATAATTCATTACAGCAGCAATAGAAGACTAATAAAAATGACTGGCTAAGGCATATGAGTGGAGGAAAATCTACATTAATGCTAAAGACTAGAAAAAGGTAAACAATTTCCACTCAATATAATACTGATGTGACCTCTTTGAAGGAAGACAGAGGGCTGACATTTGACATACTCTGTAATAAAAGAACAGTATATCTAAAATTGAATTTGACACCTCTTATTTTATGGAATTCACATCTGGAGATGAAAGCATGGCATGAGATGTCAGAACACACGACTTGGTCTTCTCTTCAACAATATGGGTAAATCAACACAATGTGGAGTCCAGTAGTGTTACTTGGTGAACCCAGAAATCATTTATGGCCGAAGCTCCTATAATAAACAGAGCTTTGGGAGAGTAGCAGCAAGGCTGAGCTGAGAGTTGAATGTTGCTTCCTGACATGGTCTCCTTGGCAAAAACAGAGGCACATGTGAAAGTCCCCACTGAGCATATTCTTGTTCCTAACTTTTTCTAAACTTCTGCCAGTGAACTAGATCTCTGAATTTAAAGAACATATTTCTAGCAAGTGTAATTTTTCCTTTTCCCCTCACTTGTACCATTAAAATTTGTCAGAATCCCAGTCTATTTCACAAGATATCCATTTCAAATCAACTTTATTGATAGTAAAAGAATATTTGGAATGCCTAGACATTTCTCTATAAGAATGCAAAATTAAAGGAAAATCAGTAGACCCAAAGGCATGTGTTGCAATTCAAAAAGCTCCCCTGAAAAATTAGAACAACAGTCTTCACCTGAAAGAGATGTACTGTAAGAAACAAAACAAAATCCAGACATTAAATCTACGACGTTAGACCAAGCAGCCACAATGAAAGAATAATCAATGAGCATAAAACATTGAGGAAGGTGAAAACTATTATTGTCAAAAACTAAAATAATAGAAGTCATAGCTAAAGTCTTTTAGTAAGCCTCTTGAAGTAATAGTAGTGGGCTATTAGTTATTTGTCTCTCATATTTCAAAACACGGATCAATGAAATTTAAAGATTTTGTCATAAGTATTGAGTGAATGCATAAATATGATTTTTGATAGCACTGTAAGCGTACACAGGAATTTCATTTACTGGTTGTTTGGTGCCTTTTATCCCTGTTTGAATGTTTTCAGTGTAGTTAACAGTGTATTATAGACATTCACATTAAAAAAAATGACATGAATTAACAGCTCCTGATACAAACCAAACCAATAAAAAAGTAAAAACTGACAATTTCACTGGAAAGTAATCCTTTGGGAAAACAATTTGACAAATACGAGAAAAGTTTCCAGTTACTATAAAGCTGATAGGAATCTATTGAGAAAAATTACTTTGAATTCACTTTATGATCTACTCATACATTGCTTTATGAAATATACAATCTGATTTTAAAATGGCCAACGTGTTTTGTTTATTTCGTGCTACCTGATTCTCATTCATAAAGTGTTTCATTTTGAAAACTGGTTAGTTGTCATTCTATTTCACAAGCACCTCTTTGTGATGCCACCAGAGTATTTCCTCAACCAGTTTTCTACAAAATATTGGACACTGTAGTACTTTAAAACCAAAGTTCCAGAAGGTCTGATGGCAGTGTCTTGCACTCTGATAATTACAGTCCTCAAAAATAGAGAGATACTTCAGAAATAATAGAATGAGAAGCTCTACAGATCTTCTTCCCAACCAAACAATTATAAATTTTAAAGAAATCTTTCTTTAAAGTCTCTAAAAATTTTTCTGAGGGTATACAACAAATAGATACGTTTACTTGGGAGAATCTCAGTGTTTTTTAAAAAGTGAGATACTGTGGCATTTGAGACACACTCACACCTCCAGTTCAGTGCAATTGAAGCTCTACTGCTGATAGGTGTAGGTAAGAATAAAAGACTCCTTCTACCCCCATATCTCAGTCTAGGGCTCCACTGGAGGGGGAGGATGCCAGCATTTCTTATTCCCCAAAACTTCATGTTGCAGACTTCATGTTGCAGAAGCTCTCTTCCGGAAAAGATGGTCTATAAGTAGCTATACTGAAAAAGAATGAATATCTCAAATAAACAACCTAATTTCCCATCTTAATTTATTGTAAAAGGAAGAGAAAAGTAAGCCCAATGCAAATATTTTAAAAAGTTGTTTCCTCGGAAAGATTAATAAAAGTAGCAAAACTTTAGCTAGTATGACCACAAGAATGAGAGAAAAAATTCTAATTGCTAAAATCAGAAGTAAAAGAGGGGACTGTACTAAAATCTTTACAGAAATAAAAGGAATTATGAAGAAATACAATACTAGGAACAATGTATGCCAACACATAAGACAACTTTGATAAAATGAACAAATTCCTCGAAAGACGCAAATTGCCAAACTGACTCAGGATAAAATAGAAAATCTGAATAAACATATAGTAAGTAAAGGGATTGATTTAGTAATCAAAATATAACCACAAATAAAAGACCAATCCAGATATCTTTGCTTCTGAATTCTATGAAAAATTTAAAGAATAATTACTATCAATTTTTCACTACACCTTCTAACAAGTAAAAGATAAATGAACATGTATGATTCATTTTAGGAGGCTGGTATTACCTTGATACTAAAACAGACAAAGAATCAAAAAAAGAAAAGAAAAAAAGAAAAAGAAAAAAATACTACAGGCCAGTTGGGGTCCTTATGTGCTGATGCACTGCAGATGGAAATGTAAAATGTTAGAGCCACTTTAGAAAACAGTCTGGCTGTTTCTCCAAAAAAAAGTTAAACATAGAATTAACATTGACCGAGCAGTTCCACTGCTAGATACATACACAAGAGAAAAAAAAAGCATGTATCAAACAAAACTTTTATACGAATATTAATAGTAGCATTATTCATAAAAGCAAAAAAGTTGTAAACCAACTTAAATGTACATCACCTGATAAATGGATAAACAAAATGTTGTATATACAAACAATTGAGTATTATTTGTCCACTAGCATTACTAAATAGAACTAATCTTACAATTAAGATGGAAATATGAGTTGAAAAACTAAAAAAACTAAAAAGACAACTAGACCTCATAGGAATATATGAAAATTTCCGCCCAATAATAGAAGATTACACATTTTTCTCACAGTCACACAGAACATTCTCCAGTATAGACAATACGTCGGGGCATAAAACAAGCTTCAATATTTTTTAAATGATTCAAATCTTAACGTATGTTCTCTGACCCAAATGCAATGAAATGATGAATCAAAACAGAGGAAATTCACAAATATAGGAAATTAAACAACATACTCCTAAATAACCAATGAGTCAAAGAAGGAATCACAAGAGAAATGATAAAATATTTTGATATGAATGAAAATATAGACGCAGTATATCAAAATGTATGCTAAAGCTGTACTCTGAGAGAAATTTATCATTGTAAATGCCTATATCAAAAACAAAACACACCTTAATAATTTAACCTTCCACTTCAATCACCTGAAGATGTTACCAAAACAAACACCAGGGGTTCAGTCTAGGTTCTGGGGCTTGCAGCAGAGAAAGCCAGTCACTCAGAAGAATTATTGCAAAGAATGAAGGCCTCAATTGGGTGCTGCAGCCAAGGAGATGGGATATCAGTCTAAAATCCGTCTCCCTGACTGAATAAAATTCGTAGTCTAGATAGCAGGGAATAAATGTAACTATGTGTGGGAAAACAGGAAATGAAGAGAGGTAAGGAAGTAATCATGGTAAATGAGGGGCCTGGTGTCTTATTTTCTGGATGCAATGATCTAGTGAGTTTCAGTTCTTTGATACTTTCTGAGAGGCCTATGGGTCCTTTCCTGAGGAAGAAACTCAGAGAAAACAAATATAAGCTTTGTTTTCAAGCTTTAAGCTTTAAGACCAGAATAGTCAACTTCTATGCAAAAACAAAATCAAGAACAACAAAAAAACTGTAAATGGGACTATTAGGTTGGTTTCAAAGACAATGAGAAAACAAAAAGCAAAGAAAAAGCCTACAGAAGGAAACGAGATTAGCGAAAAAATTCATATAATAGAAAACACAGATAAAAACAATAGAGAAAATAAACAAAACCAAATTTAGGCACTTTGGAAAGATAAATAACATTGACAAACTTTTAGATAGGCTGACCAAGAAAAATAGAGAAAAAATCAAATTACTTTATTCAATAATAGAATAAGGTACGTTGCTTGTAACAAGTCCCAACTAATTCCTTGAGATATGCATAGCTCTGATACCAAATTCATAAAGATATCACAAAAAAGAAAATGACAGACCCGTATCTCCTATGAATATAAATGCAAAACTTCAACAAAATTCTCAAACATAAAATCAAAACTTAACAGGGATTTCAATGAATTTGTTTTGGACAGTATTCTTTTCACAGCATAAATTAATAAGCATATAATGTTTTCCCATTCATTTAGGTATTCTTTAATTTCCTTTAGCAGTGTTTTGTAGTTTTTAGTGCACAAGTATTTCACCTCTTTTTAAAAGTTTTTTTTCCCTTGGTATTGTATTATTATTAGGATGATATTTTAAATTGAATACTTTTAAAATTTTTTTGTTTTTCTTTGCTAATGTATAGAAAGATAAATAATTCTTTCACACTTATTTTGTGCCATCCAACATTCTAAAATAATTTGTTACCACTAATAGGTTTTTTTTTTTGTAAATTCCTTGGGTTTTCTATATATAAGATCATATTATCTGCAAACAGAGAAAGTTTTTACTTCTTTTCTATTTGGATCCCTTTTATTTATTATTGGCCAATTTTTCTGTCTAGAATGTCCACTAAAAAGTTGAATAGCAATGGTGAACCCCCACGTTTATTGCAGTACTATATAGCTAAGATATGGCTTCAAGCTAAACATCCATCAATATACAAGTGGATAAAGAAAATGTGTTATATATACACAATGCAATACTATTCGGCCATAAAATGAATGAGATTCTGTCATCCCTGGCAACATGGATGAGCCTGGAAGACATTGGATTAAGCAAAATCAGTCAGGCACAGAAATATAAATATGATGTGATCTTACTCATATGTGGGAGCAAAAATAAATTTTGAGGTTATAGAAGTTGGGAGTAAAATTGTGGGTATTAGAGGCTGGAAAGTGAGTGAAGATGGGGAGGTATTGGCTAACAGATGCAAAATTACAGCTAGATAGGAAGAATGAGTTCTGGTGTTCTTCAGAACTGTAGGATGATTATGGTTAACTGTAATTTACTGTATACGTTTAAAAACCTAAAAGAGAGGATTTTGAATATTCCCAACACACACAAATCACCCGGATTTTGTCATTATGCAATGTATGCACATGTTGAAGTGCCATTCTGTATTCCCCAAATATGTACAATTTTTACATGTCAAATAAAAATAAAAGGAACAAAAACCAATGAGCTATTATCTCACCTTTTTGGATAGCTATTATCAGAAAGATAATACAACAAGTCTCGATGAGGTTTTGGAGAAAAGCAAAGTGTTGTACGCTGTTGGTGGGAATGTGAACGCATATTACCTTTATGGATAACAGTGTAGAGATTACAATTAAAAAATACATCTAGCTTATAATTCATTAATCTCACTTCTTCATAGATATCCAGTGGAAATAATATTAGGATTTCAAAAATATATCTGTATCCCTATGTTTAATATTGCGTTATTCACAATTGCCTAGATACGGAAACAAACCAAATACCTAATGATAGATAAAGAAAATGTGGTGTAAATACACAATAGAATGCTGATGAGCGTTAAAAAATAAAGAAATCCTGTTATTTGTGGCAACATGGATGAATCTGGAGGACATTATGCTAAGTGAAAGAAGCCAGGCATGGAAAGAAAAATATGTAAGATCTCATTTATATGCGGAATTTAAATCATCAAACTCATGGAAGCAGAGAGGAGAGTGGTGTTTTCCAGGGGCTGGGGAGTGAATGCGGAGAATACGGGAGATATTTGTCAAAGGGTACAAATTTTTAGTTATGCAAAATGAATTAGCCCTGGAGATCTAATGTACAGCAATGTGAGTATAGTTAACAACATTACATTGTGTACTTGAAATTTGCTAAAGGTGTAAATCAAGTGTGGTCACCACAAAAAATAAAAGGAAAAATAAAAGAATAAATATGCGGGGTGATGGATATGTTAATTAGCTTGTTTGTGGCAATTATTTCACAATCTGTACATATATCAGAACATCGCGTTGTACACCTTAAACATATACAATTTTTATTTGCCAATTATACCTCAGTAAACGTGAAAAAAGAGAAATAAGTTTTTCCAATTCATTTATACCTATAAAAAAGCTCACAGATAAAGACCAATACCACTAATATATATACATGCAAAATTCCTAAATGAAATATGAGAAAGATAAATACAATAAAAATAATTTTTCATGTCCAATTGGTTTATTCATAACATTACAGCTTAATAAGACTTAATATAGTAATCACAGTATCAATGGGTTAAAGGATTATTATTCCGAATAAATCAGATGACAAAGAGACATTTAATAAAATTCAATATAACTTTCAAATGTAAGCTCTCTTCAAATAAAATCTTCCTTTCTTAACAAAATCAAAGAAATCTGTCTTTAAATTATGATGAATATCATTTGTTCCAAAGAAAATATAGAAAATGTATGTTGCAAATCAAAGATTACATGCAGAGTCTAATAATCACCTCATTAATTTACATTATCTGGGAAGTTCTGATTCACATAACAAAATTATAAAAATAAGTAAACTAATTGAAAGTGGGAGATAATATCTTTATTTGCATAGGATATTTTCTACCTAGAAAATTCAAGAAAATCAACTGAATTCTGTTTTTTTTTTTTTCGGAGACGGAGTCTCGTTCTGTCACCCAGGCTGGAGTGCAGTGGCACGATCTCCACTCACTGCAGCCTCCGCCTCCCGGGTTCAAGCGATTCTCCTGCCTCAGCCTCTTGAGTAGCTGGGACTACAGGCGCATGCCAACACACTCAGCTAATTTTCTGTATTTTTAGTAGAGATGGGGTTTCACTATGTTAGCCAGGATGATCTCGATCTCCTGACCTCGTGATTTGCCTGCCTCAGCCTCCCAAAGTGTGGGATTACAGGCGTGAGCCACTGCGCCTAGCTGAATTCTTAGAACTCATACAAAATGTGTGTAATCTGGTTGGATACAGAAAAAATCACTGAAAAACATAACAAAAACAGCAAAAAAAAGTAAAATTGTTTAATAACACATTTAACAAAATATATGAAAAGTCTTTATGTGTGTATAACTTTATTTGAATGTATAGTCAAGGCATGTGCTTGGCATGGAAAGACAATATTTTAACATTCTGAAATCCTCTCTAGTTAATGTATAGGTTAGAAATTCCAGTAAAAATCTCAATAGCATTTGAGCACTAACAAAAAGCTTTACATACATGTAACTTTATTGGAACGTAGAGTGGAGGTTTGTGCCTGGGATGGAAAGATAATATTTTAACATTCCAAATTACTCCCTAATTAATGTATAGGTAAGAAATTCCATTAACAATTTCAATAGCGCTTGAGAACTAACAAAAATATTCTGAAGATTATCTGGAAAAACATTCCTAAACATAGCCAGGAATAAATAAAAAGTTAAACAGTAGAAAATTTCTCTACAAAATATTAAAATAAGAGAGTTCTAATAAGTTACAGTACAGTAGTATTCATCTAATTCATTGAGAAAAGAATCAGAAAAAACCATACATGAAATACGCTATCATTCAATAGTAATAACAGAAGTACAAATTGTAACAGTATAAATTGTACTTTTTCAGTGGGAAAATGACCACAAAAACACCTTTGAAGACTATATTTATTATTGGTGAAGATTGGAGGAAATAAACTTTTCATATATCGACTACTGTAGGAAGGTATGTTCATGTGTATAAAAAATCTTATATATTGCAGAGTGACAATACTACCTTTGATTCTTTCACAGTTTGCACTCAGTAAGGAGATGTCTATATAAAGGACCTAAGAGCTACTGAATTCCCCAGAAAAGGCTATTTAGAGCCATTCTGCCTTTGGATATTGCTTACCTTTTTTGCTAATAATTCAAGGAATATCAGTAAAAAATAGAATTCGGCACACAAACTTGCAAAATGCCTGACAACTATTTCTTCCTTGAGATTTTCTGTCTTTAGTTTCATCTTGTCATAAATGTTTAAACTTGCAAGTTCCATAAAATAAAAATCACAATTATGTCAGTAATTACTTTGTTTTCCAGTCCTGTTTAATAATAAGCAAACACTGAAATAATTGAAGGGACAAAATGATCAACACGTCTCTGAATTTAATCAGGTGTTTCTAATTGCCATCAATTACAAATGACATTTCGTTCTTTTTCTAACTCAAGTTACTCCATCTTTATCCTCATCAAAAGAGTGCATTCTTCCAAACTTTTTAACTTTCATAAGAAAGAAAATGTGAGGCAACAAAAAATCTGTAAGACCACAGTAAGTTGGCCCTATTAAAATTCACGGCAATTATATTGGCTTAACAATATATTTATATAAAGACATAGTGGCTCCTTTATTATCATCTCATTATCTATCAATTTTGGACAAAATTTTAATTTCTTAAAAGTAGAGCTAAAAACATATTTTTGTTGTTAAAAAACACCTATTTTACATGGCCACAAACTTCCTAAACAAGAGTAGACAAAAGCAATCAACATCTTGAGAGATGATGAAGTAAAAATGTGCATCTACAGTTATTGTACTATTAAGTCTGTACATCTTTGATAGTAGTAATCCAAAATCTTTGGAATATTAAAAACATGTTTTAGTTACTGAATGGAGTTACATGTTTCCAGTTGAAACTACATACTTTGTTTCAATTAAGTTCTTCTAGCCAAAACATCCTCTTACTAAGTGGACCAGGTGGAGTATCCACTTATCTCTAAGTATGGGGTTTCAGTTCTCTCATGGCCTCAGAATTATTTAAACAAGCCAATCGTTTTTTTCTACTGGAAATAGGGAGCAGTGTACCCTCTTGATCCTAGGAAGCCTGCTTCCCATAGTCCCTGGTTGTTTACTTTGTTCTTGAATGCAAACCCCAACCCCATGTGGCCTGTGATGCCTTCCTCTTCCAGGCTTTGAGTATATGTGACCAATAAATTGCTGTGGATATCATTTATTTAGTATCAGATGTTGTGTGTTCGGCTGTCTCAATAACCCTAGGGAGGGAATTCCTTCCTCACAAATGGGGTGAATAAAAACAAAAAATAAATAAATATGATTCATGAGAAGTGTTACGGATAGTCAATAGTAGTTAGTATATCAGAACAACTCATATACATATGTTAAGTATTGACATTGGATAAGCAAGTAATTTATAAGACATAGTCAAAATTCAGAATACAGGCATGCCTCCTTTTATTGTGCTTCACTTTCTTGTCTTTCACAGATAATGTGTTTTTTACAAATTGAACATTTGTGTCAATCTTGCATCCAGCAATCAATCAGTGCCTTTTTCCCAACAGAATGTGCTGACTTCATATTTCTGTGTAATATTTTGGTAATTCTTATATTTACAATTTTTTATTATATATTCTGATGACCTTTGATCAGTGATTCAAAGCAATTATTCTAGTAATTGTTTTGATGTACCACAAACTATGCCCATATAAAATGGTAAACTTAATCAGTGAATGTGGTGTGTGTTCTGACTGCTCAACCCACAGGCTGTGCCCCTATCTCTCTTCATCTCCTCAGGCCTGAGACAAAACAATGTTGAAATTAGGCCAACTGAGAGCCCTATAATGGCATCTAAGTGTTTCAGTGAAAGGAAGAATCACATCTCTCACTTTAAATCAAAAGCTAGGAATCATTAACCTTAGTGAGGAAGGCATGTTGAAAGCCACGATAGACCCCTTGCAACATGTTATTAGCCAAGCTGTGAATAAAAAGGAAAAGTTCTTGAAGAAAATTATAAGTGCTACTCAAGTGAATACATGAATTATAAGAAAGCAAAACAACCTTTTTTGCTGATGGGGAGAAAGTTTGAGTGGTCTGAATAGAAGATCAAAAACTAGCCTCAACATTCCCTTAAGCCAAAGCCTAATTCAGAGCAAGGCCCCTAACTCCCTTCAATTCTATGAAAGCAAAGAGAGCCAAGAAAGCTGCAGAAGAAAAATTTGAAGCCAGTATGACTTTTAAGTAAAGATGTCTCCCTGACATCAAAGCACAATGTGAAGAAGCAAGTGTAGAAGCTTCAGCAAATTTTCCAGCTCTCACTAAGATAACGATGAAGGTGGCTACAATAAACAACAGATGTTCCATATAGATGAAGCAGCCTTCTATGAAAAGAAGATGCCATCTAGAATTTTTACAGCTAGAAAGGAGAAGTTGATGCCTGGCTTCAAAGCTTAAAAGGACAGGCTCACTCTCTTGTTAGGGGCTAATGCAGTTGGTGACTTTAAGTTGAAACCAATGCTCATTTACTGTTCTGAAAATTCTAGGGCTCTTGAGAATTAATGCTAAATCTATTCTGTCTGTGCTATATACATGGGACCACAAAGCCTGGATGACATCTCCTTACAGCATGGTTGACTGAATATTTTAAGCCCATTGTTGTGATACGCTGCTCAGAACAAAAGATTAATTTAAAAATATTACTGCGTATTAATTATTCACTTGGTAACCCAACAGCTCTTGTGGAACTGTATAAGGAAATTAATGTTGTTTTCATGCCTGCTAACAAAACATCCCTTCTTTAGCCCATGTATCAAGGAATAATTTCTACTTGCAAGTCTCATTATTTAAGAAAGACATTTGTAAGGCTATAGGTGCCATATCTAAAAATTCCTCTGGGAAACGTAAATTAAAAACTTCCTGGAAAAGATTCATTATTCTAAATGCCATTAAAAATATTTGTGATCCGTTGGAGGTCAGAATATCAACATTAACAGAAGTTTAATGAAGTTAATTCTAACCCTCATGGATGACTTTTATGGGCTCAATATTTCAGTGGCAGAAGCAACTGCAGATGTGGTAGAAATAGCAAGAGAACTAGAATTACAAGTGGATCCTGAATATATGGCTGAATGGCAGAAATCTTATAATAAATCTTGAAAGCATGAAGAGTACCTCTTAAGAATGAGTGAAGAACATGGTTTCCTAAAATGGAATCTACTGGTGAAGATGCTGTGAACATTGTTAAAAAGACAACAAAGTATTTTGAATACTACATAAACTTAGTTGATAAAGCAGTGGCAGGGTTTGAGAGGGTTGACTCCAATTTTAAAGAAGTTTTACTGTGGGTAAAATGCTATAAAACAGCATTGCATGTTACAGAAAAATCTTTCTGTAAATCATTCAAGGCAAAGTCCATCAATGTGACAAACATCGTCATGTTATTTTAAGAAATTGCCACAATCACCCCAACCTTCAGCAACCATCACCCTCATCAGGCAGCATACATCAACATCAAAGCCAGATCTCCCCTCAGCAGCAAGATAATGGCTCACTGGAGTCTCAGATGATTGTTAGTGTTTTATCAGCAATAAAGTATTTTTAATTAAGATATGTACATGGTTTAGACAATGCTATTGCCCACTTAATACAGTATAGTGTAAACTTCATATGCACTGAAGAAACAAAAAACAATGGTGACTTGTTTTATTGTGATATTTACTTTATTTATGTGGTCTGATATGAAACCTGAAGTATGTCCAAGATACGCCTGCATTTAATTTGTTATGTGGGCCTTTGTGTTCCATGACTTCTGGGATAACTTACTTGGCAGTAAACCTGGATGCCACCATTACATCAATGTAATTTCCTTCATGGCACTTTTTCTGACACCTCTTACTTCTCGATTCTCTATCCAATTTTAAAAAAAGAAGGTGTCACACCTCTCACCACTTTTTATTACTATGATGTATTCTCCCAAAGTTATTAAAAACTACCAGAGTACCAAATGAGGGAATGATTTGAAATACTGGTGATAGTGTTGAGAAATTGAATGAGTGAAAAGACTGACTAAGCAAGGTGATTTTCGTTTCTTTTTTAAAGCAAAACTGAAAGAGATGCATTGGAGTTTTCAGCTGACAAATTGTTTTTATATTACTCAGAGAATGTTTTTAAATAATTGTGTCACAACTTTTCTCAGAATGTGTCTATAGAAGCAAATAAAATGGCACAAATGAATAGTTGCAGAACCCTGTTTTATTCAAAGCTCAAAAAATGACATTCATTTAATAAGGGATTTTTTCACAAATAAATGAATTACTTAAAAAATGCTCTATTCATCTCAATAACATGCATTTTCTTTCCATGTTTAATTGTAATGTATCAAATTTGTAGTTTAATTTTGTTGTTTTGATCAATGCTATACTAAGAATTACAATGACAACTTAGTACATGTGTGATTTTTAAAAGTTAAAGTTTAGAGTTATAGGATACTAAGACATTTCCAATGAGTATGACTTTTAAACATAAAATATATGTAATTAGGATACAATTCTGTTATGAATTAAGTGGTAACAAACATTCAAAGAGAAAAAAGTTTAAAGATATCCATGCTTTTTCTTATAAGCAAGACCTTGTTTATATATTCAAATCAACATGGTGACTAGAATTTAGTGAATATATTGGAAAGAGCAGAGAAACTATTTTGTTACTAATGAAGTAACAATGAATGAAGGGCTGTGGATGAAGGTTGGAAGTAGGTGTGATTCCTCTCACCAAGACAGCTAACAACCTAATAACATAATTTTTGGTTTATGTTCTGGCAGTTTTAAGCTCTGCTGATTCAAATGTTTCAGTTTGCATGAAGTGAATATTTCTACCAGTAGGCACAACAATGGTTTTATTCATTTGGATAGTAAGACTTCCACCTGGACATTTTTGGTCCTTATGACACTCAATTGACAGATGAAGGAGGAGTTAAACTCCTGGGTGAGGTGATTAATTCCAGTTACTCATATTTCTTAGTACTTCTATATGCAACAGTAAAATTTAATAAAAAGGGTAGGACGGCTCATTATGAATCTATGTTCTCTTTACTTTTAACCAACCATTCTGGTGATCAGCTATGGTCTCATGGCTGTTATAGAAACAAGAAACAAAGTAGGTCTGCACATGAGTTTTCATACTTATAGAAATATTTTCTTTCTCCATCTCCCCTATTATTTTGTTTAGGATATACTTGTAGTGGTTAATTTTATAATTTAAAATTTAGATGAAATAATATACCTGTGGGATAAATACTGAATTAGAAGAATTAACATCTTACAGTGTTGGATTCTGAGGTTTTGAGTCTTCATTTTTGGTGGGAGAGTGTGAGACAATCTTTGTTTTCATAAAGAACTGTTATAGAAGCACAATGTTCTTGTTATTTTTTGTTACATAGAATTTTAAGTGAGAGAAGATGGTAAGAATGGATTCTAAGCAGCCAGGTTCGTGGACTGTGTTAGGCATTTCTATTTGCTTTATTTCCATCCTTTCATGCCTCTTTTTGTATTGCAGGGTGTTGGACACTTGCAAACTAATTTCCTGACATTCTTGCCAGTTAGCTTTTATTCAGGATGTGTCTATTGGAGGCACAGAGGGAGAATGAAAGGCAGAAGAAAGAAAGACATTTTTCTTTCTTTTCTTGGGTTTCTTATAATGCCTTTGAGAATGTCAGAAGCAGGATGGACAACCTAGTATTCCAGGTTCTGCTTGACATTAAAGTTCCAGGGGACATTATGGCAGCTGATGCTCCACCAGTCTTGGTAGTGTAGTGCTTGTAACCATTGGCTCTGGCAGCAACAGCAATAATGGGTGACTCCAGGCTCTCTGTATCTTTCAGGGTCAGCATAAAATAAGTGATTTAATGTATTTAAATTCCACTTGACATAATTACGTGACTGATGTAAACTGTTCGTTTTAAAATTTCAGTATTTTAAATATGTCTTTCTCACTTTATACAAGTATGAAAAATTTTATGTGTCAATGTAAAAATATGCAAACACTTTTAAAGGCTAAACAGGAAAAACTAAGACAACTCTTCTGCAAGCTCAAGGCTGCCTCATAGTCACATCTCTAATTTGGTTCACAGGACAGACAAAAAGAGGAAGTTCAGGGCGACAAAATTCCTTTTAAGTAAGTGAGTCAGAAATTACACAGATTGTTTCCACTAATTTTTCTTTTGAGGTAATCTAGTGACCTGGCCATAAATAATCAAGACTGAGAGTAGGACACTTAATATTTTACTCAGGTAAAATTACTGACTTTATGAAACAGAGAGAAGGTTTTTATTGAAAAATAGCTGTCACTCCCCACAATATGTTCAAAAGCCAATATCAGAGTCTTTAATTTACATCTGAAATACCTAATGAAGTTTCTATTTTCTGGCTTTCAAAGTTCTCTTAGCCTGTAGAGCTTGCCTATGACCTAGAATTTCCTGTTCTAGAAATATACATTCACTTAACAAATATTTATACAACTTTTACTATGTTCCCAGCACACTTTTGGGTGGTAAAGGTGTAGTTATGAATAAGGAAAACATGATTCTTACCCTCATGGAGCTTACAATCTCCTGAAATAATATATAACTATATATTATAATAATATATAATATAATATATAATATAATGTAATAAAGATGAAGAAAGATAGTACCAAATAATGAAAAGTGTTAGAATAAAAGCAGACAGCACCCTGCCTAAAATTTTCAGGCCTAAGACAAATTGCAAACAGAGGCTCTGCATGATTATTACATATTTAATTATGTATTCTTCAAAAGTGTCCTTTGAATAGTCATAAAATTAGAGTGTATAATGCTACATATTGTCTCTTCAAAAAGTAGAAATAAAGATAGATAAAATTATTTGATTACAGAATACACAAAGAGTCTTACATCCCAAATTTAGAAAAACAATTAAAAAGTAAATTCTTGGGTAAAATAGGCAATAAAAAAATTTAAAAATTCATACAAATTAATTATAATAACAGTATTAGGGCCTGTAGAGGACAGCTAATGGAGTAATCAGAGAAAAATCAATAACCTTAAATGTGTATATCAGTAAAAAAACAGATAATTGAAATAGACATCTGGCTAAGATAAGAAAAAATAAAAAAAGCAGAAGGAAAGTATTAATAAATACAAAAGCAGAAATGAATAGAATAAATAACAGAACATATAAATAATTCTAAATTGTGATTATTTGACTAAAAACGAAAACAAGCAAATCTTTTTTAGGTTTTTATTTGTTATTAATTAGCACATAATAATTGTACATATATATGGAGTACAGTGTGATGGTTTGATACATATATACAGTGTGTAGTAATCAAATCAGAGTATTTAGCACATTTACCACCTCAAATGCATATCATTTATTTGTTACTAAAACATTTAACGTTCTTTCTTCTAGCTATTTTGAAATATACAATACACTATTGTTAACCATAGCCAACCTACTAAGCAATAGAAAATCTAAACTTATACAAATGCAAAATGCACTGGAAACTCTCAGCAATAGAATCAAACAAGCAGAAAAAAGAACTTCAGAGCTTGAAGATAAGGTTTTTGAAATAACCCAATCTGACAAAGACAAAGAAAAAAGAATTTAAAAAAAATGACAAAGCCTCCAAGATGTTTGGGATTATGTTAAATGACAAACCCTAAGAAAAATTGGCATTCTGAGGAAGAAGAGAAATGTAAAAGTTTGAAAAACTTATTTGGAGAAATAATCGAGGAAGACTTCTCTGGCCTTGCTAGAGATCTAGACATCTAAATACAAGGAGCTCAAAAAACAACTGGGAAATATATCGCAAAAAGATCATCGCTTTGACACATAGTCATCAGGTTATTTAAAGTCAGTCAAGATTAAGGAAAGATTATTAAGAGCTATGAGGCAAAAGCACAAAGTAATCTATAAAGGAAAACCTATCAGAGTAACAGAGGATTTCTCAACAGAAACCCTGCAAGCTAGAAGGAATGGGTGTCCTATCGTCAGCCTTTTTAAACAAAACAACTATAAGCCAAGAATTTTGTATTCCGTGAAACTAAGCTTTATAAATGAATGAAAGATGACCAGGCATGGTGGCTCACGCCTGTAATTCCAGCACTTTGGGAGGCTGAGGTGGGCGGATCATAAGTTCAGTAGTTCAAGACCAGCCTGACCAGCATGGTGAAACCCCATCTCTACTATAAAAAAAAAAAAAAAAAAAAAAAAAAGAAAAATTAGCCAGGCGTGGTGGTGGGTGCCGGTAATCTCAGCTACTCGGGAGGCTGAGGTAGGAGAATTGCTTGAACCCTGGAGGCAGAGGTTGCAGTGAGTTGAGACTGCACCACTGCACTCCAGCCTGGGCGATAGTGCGAGACTCAGTCTCAAAGAAAAAAAAAAAAAAAAAAAAAAAGAAAGATACAGTCTTTTTCATACAAGCAAATGCTGATGGAATTTGCTGCTACCAAGCCAGCACTGCAAGAACTGCTAAAAGGGGCTCTAAATCTTGAAAGAAATCCTGGAAACCCATCAAAATAGAACCTTCTTAAAGCATAAATCTCATAGGACCTATAAAACAACAACACAATAATAATTTTTTAAAAAGGTATTTAGCCAACAAATAGCATGATGAGGAGAAGAGCACCTCACATCTCACTACAAATGATGAATGTAAATGGCTTAAATGCTCCACTTGAAAGACACAGAATCACAGAATGGATAAGAATTAACCAACCGTCTGCTGCCTTCAAGGGACTCACCTAACATATAAGGACTTACATAAACATAAGCTAAAGAGGTGGAAAAATACATTGCTTGCAAATGGACACCAAAAGTGAGTAGGAATAGCTATTCTTATGTCAGACCAAAAAAAAAAAAAAAAACTTTAAAGCAACAGCAGTTAAAAAAGACAAAGAGGGACATTATATAAAGATAAACAGCCTTGTTCAACATGAAAGTATCAAAATCTTAAATATATGCACCAGTGGTGGAGCTCCCTAATTTATAAAGCAATTACTACAAGACCTAAGAAATGAGATAGACAGAAACACAATAATAGTGGGGGAATTCAATACTCCACTGGCAACACTAGAAAGGTTATAATAACAGAAAGTCAACACATAAACAATGGATTTAAACTATACCCTGGAACAAATGGACTTAACAGATATTTACAGAAAATTCTATGAAACAACCACAGAATACACATTCTGTTCATCAATGTATGGAACATTCTCCAAGGTAGACCATATGATAGGCCACAAAACAAGTCTCAATCAATTTATGAAAATTGAAATTATATCACGTACTCTCCCTGACCACAGTGGAAAGAATTGGAAATTAACTCTAAAAGGAACCTTCAAAACCATGCAAATACATGGAAATTAAATAACCTGCTCCTGAATGATGATTGTGTCAACAATGAAATCAAGATGAAAATTTAAAAATTCTTTGAACTGAACAATAATAGTGACAGAACCTATCAAAACCTCTGGAATACAGCAAAGGTGGTGCTAAGAGGAAAGTTGATAGCCCTAAAAGCCTACATCAAAAAGTGTGAAAGAGCACAAACAGACCATCAGGTTTTTTGCCCACTTTTTAATGAAGTTATTTGCTTCTTGCTATTGAGTTCTTTGAGTTCCATATATAATTTGGGTATTAACAGATTATCAGATATATGATTTGCAAACATTTCTCTCATTCTGTGGGTTGTCTTTTCACTTTGTGAGTTTTCTTTTTTGCCGTGCAGAGGCATTTCAGTTTGATGCCATTCCACTGGTCTAACTTTTGTTTTCGTTGTCCATGTGTTCAGGATTATATCCAAACAGTCATTACTACAGCAATGTCATGGAGCTATTTCCTCATGATTTTTTAGAATTAGGTTTACAGTTTCAGGTGTTCTATTTAAGTGTTCATTTTTTATGGCTGCATAGTATTGCATTGTGTATATGTACTACATTTTATTTATCCAGTCTATCATTGATGAGCATTTAGGTTGATTCCATGTCTTTGTTATTGTAAATAGTGCTGCAGTAAACATACATGTGTGTGTCTTTATAATAGAGTAATTTCTATTCCTTTGGGTGTATACACACACAGTAACAGGATTGCTGAATCAAATGGTATTTCTGTATTTATGTCTTTGAACATGTCCCTTGCAGGGATATGGATAGAGCTGGAGGCCATTATCCTTAGCAAACTAAAGCAGGAACAGTAAACCAAATACAGCATGTTATCACTTATAAGTGGGAGCTAAACGATGAGAGCACATCAATACATAGAGGAGAACAATGCACACTGGGGTCTATCGGAGGGGGGAAGGTGAGAGAAAAATAACTAATGGATAGCAGACTTAATACCTGGGTGATAAAATAATCTGTACAACTATCCCTTATGACATATGTGTACCTATGTAACAAAATTGCACATCCTGCACGTACACTCCTGAATGTAAAATAAAAGTTAAAAAAATACATCTTCAATTCATTTTGATTCAATTTTTTATATGGTGTAAGAAAAGGGTCAAATTTCATTCTGCTGCATGTGGATATCCAGTTTTCTCAATACCATTTATTGACGAGATTCTCCTTTCCCCATTGTATGTTCTTGGTACCTTTTTCAAAATCGGTTGACTATATATGGTTTAGTTTATTTCTAGGTTTCCTATTTTGTTCCATTTGTCTGTGTTTTGTGTTTGTGCCAGTACCCTGCTGCTTTGATTACTGTAGCTTTGTAATATATTTTTAAATCAAGGAGTGTGATGCCTTCAGCGTTGTTCTCTTTGCTCAAGACTGTTTTGGCTATGTAGTCTCTTGTGGTTCCATAGCAATTGGAGTATTTTTGATGGCAGCAGTGGCCCATCTGGAGTGGCCATTGCCAAGATGCCACTGCAGTAGGCAGTTGTGGCCAGGACTGTACACTCCATGGAGCAGGCAGGAACCCCATGCCCCCAGGCTCAGGCCTCCTATTCCACAGAGAAGGCTGGAGCCCTACCACAGCTCCAGACCTGAGTGTCTCTGTGCTATTGGGTGCCTGGGAGGTTCCCCTGCCCCCAGCATGCTCAGAAGTGCCTTCTCCCACAATCTGGCTTCTCCCCACTGTCGGTGTCTGCTCCGATATCAGAGGTGTGGCTGGAAATGCATGCTCCACAGAGCCAGTGGGAGCTGTGGACAAGCGGGAGCCCCACCCTTTTGGAACTGGCTAGGCAAGAGGTCCTTGGATGCAGCTGCAGCTGCCCAAGCCAGGCTGCAGACCCAGACACCTCTGTGCTCTTGGGGAAATGCAAAGGTCTCTGTGCCCCCACCCCCCAGACTCAGAGTTGCCTTCTTCTGCTGCCTGGCCTCTCCCCTCTCCCAGAGCCTGCTCTAATCTTGGAGCAAGGTTGGGCTGAGCTGAGTACTGCTGCAGCCTACCTGGGTGGGTGCATGCTCAGGGCAGCGCTGACACACTAGCCCCCTGCCACCTTCGCCCCCTCTGGATTTTGGGCACTGACAAGCATAGGAGGAAAGCCAAAGGTGGGGGGGGGAGTTGAGGGCAGCACAGTGCTGGCCTGCAGGTGCCACTTGGCACAAGCAGCCTGGGCACCAGAATGGCAGTGAGAGACAGACTCCTGGGCAGTTTTTGAGGGTGCGCCCCCAGTGAAGCCCCACCTTCAGGCCAGGGAAGGCCTGTGCCTGGGAACTGGTCTGCCAATCCTGTGGACCGGAGGTGGACTGGTGATGCTTTTTTCTGGGCCCACCCGTGGTTGTCCGTGGAACAATTAGCATGTACTTTCTCTCTCTGAAGACCATAAAAAGCCCTGACCCAGCCAGAGCAGAGTAGACATCAACACAACCAGCTGCAGAGAGAAGCTGCCCTCTCCAGGGCCTCCTCTCTGCTGAGAGCTGCAGACATCAGGACAACCACCTGCAGAGAGGAGGTACCCTCTCCAGGGCCTCCTCTCCCCTGAGAGCTGCAGATATTGGGATGACCTGCCTGTAAGGGGAGCCAGCCTCTCCAGGGCCTCCTCTCTGCTGAGAGCAGCAGACATCAGGACAACCAGCTTTAGAGTGGAGCTACCCACTGCAGGTCCCCTCTGGGCTGTTGTAACACTCAATAAAGCTCCTTTTCGTCTTGCTCACTATCCACTTCTGTGCATATCTCATTCTTCCTGGATGCAGGACAAGAACTTGGGCAAAGATGCCCCTGGCCACAGAGATGTCCAGCCAGAAAAGTGATACCAAAAGATCCCGTAACATTTATTTTTCATTTATGTTAAAAATGGCATTGACCCTTTCATAAGGATTGCAATGAGACTTTCGATTGCTTCAAGTAATATGGACATTTTCATAGTAATAATGAACATGGGAATTATTTCCATTTGTGTCTTTTAAATATATTTTATCAGTGTTTTACAGTTTTCAGTACCCAGATCCTTTACCTCCTTAGTGGAATTTACACCTAAGTATTTAATTTTTTGGTTGCTACTATAAATCATATTGCTTACTTAATTTTCTTTTCAGAGTGTTTGTTACTAATACATAGAAGTGCCACTAATTTTTAAGGCTGATTTTGTATCCTGCACCTATACTCAATTTACTTATCATTTCTAACAGTTTTTTGGTAGAGTCTTTAGGGTTTTCTTAAGTAAGATTATGTCATCAACAAATAGAGAAATTTTCACTTCCACCATGTGACGATATGGCAAGAAGACCTTCATCAGATGCTGATGACTTGATCTTGAAATTCCTAGCCTCCAGAACTGTGAGAAAAATATGTTTTTATTTATAAATTACCCAGTCTCAGGTATTGTATCGGCACAAAACAGACTAAGATAGCTTGTGACAGATATACATTGATTACTCTAATTACTATTAATGTCATTATTACTGAGTATCTATAATGTGAAGTACTATAACAGATGGGCATATAAAAGGAGTGAGAATCTTAGCATATGAAGAATTTAGAGAATTCATTCAAGAATTGTTTTTAGTTACATGTGTCTGCACTTGGTACTATTCTAGGCACTGGGGATCTGACAGATGGAAAAAAGATAAAGTTCCTGCCATAAGGAAACTTGCATTGATCAGCTGAAGAACAAAAGCCTAAGAACAATTGACAACTATATTATAGTGTGATGAATACAATGAGAAGCCAGAGCACACGGAGGAGGAATTTAAAGGGAAGGGGCATGTAACCTGGTTTTCTGAGAGCAAAATTATAAAAAGAGTCTTAGAGGGGGTAATGTCTATGCTAAGCCTGGAAAGACTTATTTGTTGATTTAAAAACTTTCTGCATAATACCTGTTATGTGCCTGAAATTGTTCTAAGTGCTTTACAAATGAGTTATTAATTTGATTTAATTATCCTGATAACTCAGTGAGGTGGGGAAAGTGAAGCATATAGGGGGCTATATTTCTTGCCCCAAATCACAAAACTAAACAGTGGTTCCAAAGTGCATTGCATTAACTGCAATGTACTATGCTTCTCCCTCTTATAATGTTTTTGTAAGCTGTGTTGGGTGAGCTGGAGGTCAAAGGAATGGGGCATAGGAGAAGCAGTCAATAGTCCTAAAGACTCTACCAAAAAACTTGTAGAAATGATAAATAAATTGAGTATAGGTGCAGGATACAAAATCAGCATTAAAAATTAGTGGAACTTCTATGTATTAGTAACAATCTGAAAAGAAAATTAAGCAAACAATGTGATTTATAGTAGCAACCAAAAAATTAAATACTTAGGTGTAAATTCCACTAAGGAGGGAAAGGATCTGGATACTGAAAACTAAAACTCTATAAAACCTTCAACTTTACTGGAGCAATAAAAAGAACCTGGTGGAAAGTTCAAGAGAGAAAAATAGAGGGTGATTTTGAATATTCTAGAAAGCCAGGTGAGAGATTTTGTTATTTTTTGTATTGTGTTCACAGCTGGCACTCATCTAGTGTTATATGACTACACAAAATAATGCATTATTGTTAAGGTAGAAGTATTAATATATTTTACAGATTCTAAGATATAGATCAAAAAACATGGTTAAGTATATAAAGGATATGCATTGCCTGTTTGATCCAGGAATAGCAATATTTAGATTCCCTCTCATGTGTTTCACAATTAATTTAGTTACAACTTAAATCATGCCATATCTATGCTTAAGTTAGTATCTCTTTTGTACGCAGCTATACATGATGCTCTTGTTAGGAATGCCTAGCATACTAAGGTAAAGTGAGATTGCCAAAGGTAATCCAAACGATAAAAATAGAGCTATACATCCAGGAAAAAGATCTAATTCTAGTTTTTATTTTATCCCTTTAGTAGTTTTTATGTTTTCTCACTATATACCAACAGACCTAAACTAGGTTCTCAGTTAAGTATTTGTATTAGTGCGTTTTCACGCTGCTATGAAAATACTACCTGAGCCTGGGTAATTTACAAACAAAGGAGGTTTCATTGACGCACAGTTCTGCATGGCTGGCAAGGCCTGGAAAACTTACAATCATGACGGAGAAGCAGGCACCTTTTTCACAAGGTGGCAGGAGAGCAAGTGAGAGGGTTTAAGTGCCAGACACAACTCTAACTGGTGCCCTATCACGCTGTCGCCAAACTGGTGTCCTGGATGCAAGACAAAGTCCTCCCCACTTATTTCTCTCCTCAAACAGAAGGAAGGGATCTGCCTTGGATCTGTGAGTTGTGTGGTTACGGAAGACGTGATGTAATCACTCTGTTGGCTGCCCCAGCTGGTGTCTGAATAAGTTTCCCCCCCCACTCCACCCAATCCACTGTCTCTAGGCCTAGTTCAGCACTGGGACTCAACTAAGTGTTGCAGTTTTTATGGCCTACACTCACTTCTAAGTTCATTTATAGACACAGATCACTGCAGTCCTCAGTGGTGAGGTTTGCAGACACTCAAGTTTGGACTGTGGGCATAGAAGATTCTCCTCTGGCTAAGGCTGGTTTAAATGCTACCTCTGTGGGCTGATGTCAGCTGAGTTTGGTCCTGTTTTTCTTTCTGCTTTAACAGGACAGCATTGAGTTCAATGCCTAACCGCTGCTGTATTCTCCCTCCCTCAATGCCCAGAGACACTCTCTGCACCAGGTCACTGCAGCTGGGGTGTGGGGGAGGGGCATTGTTGGCAAATCAGTATTGTTTATTCTCTCTTCAGTACCTCTGTCAGCAATACGAGAATAAAACCAGGTACTATGAGGGCTCACCTAATTTTTGGTTCTTCTGTTTTTTTTTTTTTTTTTCTGTGTAGATAGTTGTTAAATTGGTATCCTTCTGTTGGGGATTATTGCTGGAGCCTTCTGTTCTGCCATCTTGCTTAGCCTGTCCATATTTTCTGTATCCATTTATCTTTATTGAACATCTAGGTTGATTACATTTCCTGACTATTGGAAATAATGCCATAATAAAGATGGTAGAACAGATATCTCTTTGACATACTAATTTTATTTCCTTTGATATACACCAAATAGTATAATTTCTGGATCATATGTTAGTTCCATTTTTTATTTGTTGAGGAACCTCCATACAGTTTCCAATTATGGCTGTACTTATGTACGCCCCCACCAACAGTGTATGTGTTCTCCTTCACATCCTTGCTAGCATTTTTGATGTTTTATCTTCTTCATAATAGCTATTCTAATGGGGATAAGCTGATATTCTATTGTTGTTTTGATTGTAATTTCTCTGATGATTGGTGATATTGAACATTTTTTCACATACCTCTTAGCCACTTGTATGTTTTCTTTTGAGAAATGTCCATTCAGGTATTTTGCACATTTTAAAATCAGATTACTTTTATTTTCGCTATTGATTTGTTTGAGTTCCTAAAATATTGTAGTAATTAACTTCATGTCAGGTGCGTAGTTTTTGATGTGGTTTGGATTCTTGTCCCCATCCCAATCTCATATCAAATTGTAATCCCCAATATTGAAGGAGGGGCCTGGTTGAAGGTGATTGGATCGTGGGATCAGATTTCTCCCTTGCTGTTCTCATGATAGTGAGTGAGTTCTCACGAGATCTGGTTGTTTAAAAGTGTGTAGCATCTCCTGTTTCGCTGTCTTCCTCCTGTTCTGACCATGTAAGACATGCTTGCTTCCCCTTTGCCTTCTGCCATGATTCAAAGTTTCCTGAGGCCTCCCCATTCATGCTTCCTAAACAGCCTGTGGAACCATGAGCCAATTAAACCTCTTTTCTTTATAAATTACCAAATCTCAGATATTTCTTTATAGCAGTGTGAGAATGGGCTGTTAACTATTACAGTTTTCAAATATTTATTGCATTATACAGTTTGTCTCTTTACCCTGTTGATTGTTTTATTATTGGTTTCTTTGCTGTGGAGAAGCATTTTAGTTTGACATAATCCTATTTGTCTATTTTTGCTTTCGTTTTCTGTGCTTTTGAAGTCTTATCCAAAAAACCTTGTGTTTATTCCAATGTCCTAAACTATTTTGTCTATGTGGTCTTCTAGTAGTTTTATCATATTGGGTCTTACATATATGAATTTGATCCATTTTGAGATCATTTTTTATAGGGTGAGAGATACAAGTCTAGTTTCATTTTTCTGCATGCTGATATCCGTTTTACCCAACACCAGTTATTGAAGAAACTATCCTTTCACCAATGTGTGTTCTTGGATCCTTTGTTTAAAATCAGTTGACTCTAAGTCTATGGATTGATTTCTCTACTATTTAATTTGTTTCATTAGGCAAGGTGCTTATTTATATGCCACTACCATGCTGTGTTGTTTACAATAGCTTTGTAATATATTTTGAAGTCAGGTAGTGTGATGCCTCCAGCTTTGCTCTTTTTTGTTCAGTATTTCTTTGGCATTTCAGGGTCTTTACGGTTTAATATAAAATTTAAGTTTTTTTTTTGTTTCTGTGAAGAATGTCATAAGTATTTTGACAGATTCCATTGAATCTATGGATTGCTTTGGTAGTATGAATGTTTTAACAATGTTAATTATTCACATCCATGAACACAGGATGTGTTTCCATTTATTTGTGTCCTTATAATTTATTTCATGAATATTTTATAGCATTAATTGCATAAATCTCCCCCTTTTGATTAAATTTTTTCCTAATTTTATTTTATTTAGTTATTGTATATTGGATTTCTTTTCTTCAGATAGTTTGCTATTGGAATATAGAAATATTATGATTTTTAATGTTGATTTTATATCTCAAAACTTCACTGCATTTTTTTAAATTCTAACAGTGTTTCTATGAAGTTTTTATTTTTTAAAAATGTCATGTTTCTGTAAATAGAAAAAATTTGACTTTCTTTTTTTCCAATTTGGATGCCTTTTATTTACTTCTCTTTCTTAGTCGATCTGCCTAAGACTTACAGTACTAATTTGAATAAAAGTGGTGAAAGTGGGCATTCTTGTGTTATTTCAGATATTAGAGGAATAACTGTTAACATTTTTCCATTTAGTATGTTATCTGTGGATTTGTCATACATAGCTTTTATTGTGTTGAAATACATTCTTGCAATACTACATTTGTTGAGAATTTTTATTATAAAAGAATGTCTATTTTTTCAAACACTTCTGCATTTATTGAAGTGGTCATATACTTTTTGTCTTTCATTCTTTTAATGTGGTGTATTATCTTTATTCATTTCTGTGCATTGTACCATCCTTGCAACCCTGGGATGAATATCACTTCATCATCGTTAATAACCTTTATAATGTAATGTTGAATTTGGTTTGCTAGTGCTTTTTGAGGATTTTTGCATCTATGTTCATCAGGGATATTACCCTACACTCCCGTTTTCTTTTAGTGCTTTGTCCTTGTCTGGTTTTGGTATCAGGGTAATGCTGGCCCCATAGAATGAGTTTGGAAGAATTCCATCCTGTCCAGCTGGCCCCATAGAATGAGATTGGAAGAATTCCATTCTGTCCAATTTTTTTGAAATAGTTTGAAAAGAATGAATAATAATTTTTATTTAAATGTATAGGAAAAATCAGCAGTGATGCCATTAGGTCCTGGGCTTTGCTTTTATGGGAGATATTTTATCACTGATTCACTCTTGTTAAGGTTTTTCTATTTCTTCATGATTCAAATTTGGTAGGTTGTTTCCAAGAACTTATCTATTTCTTCTAGGCTTTCCATTTTGTTGGTATATATTTGTTCAAAATCGTCTCTAATAATTCTTAGTATTTCTGCTGTAACAGTTGTAGTATCAGCTTTTCCATCTCTGGTTTTATTTGGCTCCTTCCTCTTTTTATTTTAGCTAGTCTAGCTAAAAGTTTGTCAATTATGTTTACCTTTTAAAAAATCCAGCTCTTTGTTTTGTTGACTTTTTTACTCTTTATTTTGTTTATTTCTGACTCAATCTTTATAATTTCTTTCATTCTACTAATTTGGGTTTCTCTTTGCTCTTGTATTTTTAGTTAACTGAAGTGTAATATTAGGTTTTTTATTTGAAACCTTTTTTAATGTAAATGTTTATTGGTATAAAGTAGTCTCTTTAAACTTCTTTTGCTATATTCTAAAGGTTTTGGTATGTTTTGTTTCTATTTCCATTTGTCTCAAAAATTTTAATTTCTCTTTTAATTATTTCTGTTGACCACTTGCTTGTTCAAGAGCATGTTTAATTTTCATGTATCTGCAAAATGTTCAAGATTTCTTCTATTTTTGATTTCTAGTTTGATAGAACTGTGGTTAGAAGTTATTTGATATGATTTAAATCTTCTTAGATTTGTTCATATTTGTTTTACAGCCTTACATAATCTACCTGAAAGAATGTTTAATGTGGAGTTGAGAAAAAAGTGTATTCGGTAGCTGTTGCATAGAATGTTCTGTACATGTCTGTTAGGTCCATTTGGTCTCAAGTACAGTTTAAATACATTATTTTTTTTCTTAAATTTTATTAAATTAGGTAAGAAATTACATGGGTAATGTAAAATTGTTCTTCATACCCTGTTTAATGCATCTTTTATTATTATTATACTGAAATGAGGTACTGTAATCTTTCACCTAAGTTCCTGAGTTCTTGTGGTGATTTTTTGTGTGTGGATAGTTGTTCAAATTGATGTCGTTGTTGGAGGATAATCCCTGGAGAGTTCTACTGTACCATCCTGTGCCGCCCTCTCATTAAATAAGCAACTCTTTAAATAACTTAATTAGCAAAAACCACAAATATGTGAGAAAAAGAAATGAAAATTGGGAAATAAATAAACTGATAAAATTGCAACTATAAGAAACTAATATTTTCACCTCTATGGTAATAAATGTGAAAAATTGGATGAAATAGATAATTTTCTAGAAAAATGTACTTTACCAAAAACGACCGTAAAATACATAGAATATCTCAACAGACTAGTTTCCACAGAATAATTTGAGAAAATTATCCAAAAGATCACCCCACCTCACATAAACAGAAACAAAAAAAGACTCAGGTAATGGTTTCTCTGGAAGATTCTATCTAACCTTAAAAAAAAAATTTACTTCAGAGACGGGGGAGGAATAGCATTAGGAGAAATACCTAATGTAAATGACGAGTTGATGGGTGCAGCAAACCAACATGGCACATGTATACCTATGTAACAAACCTGCACATTGTGCACGTGTACCCTAGAACTTAAAGTATAATAAAAATTAAAAAAAAATAATAATAGAGTGTAGACATGCAAGGACATTCCCTATAATAATAAGAAAATCTCTGGAAAAAAATAAATAAATAACTTCAGGGCATGGAAATAAATAGAGCCTAAAGCTATTTATTTTTCATGAAGCTACTTCAGACTCATAGAAAATTTCAAACAACAGCACAAAAAATAAAACTTTAAACCAATCTCATTTAGAAAAATAGATGCAAAACTCAACCTAAAATATTAGTAATTCAACAGCACATTAAAAGAGCAAATCCATATTGAGTAAGATTTGTTTCAGGAATACAAAGAAAGTACAGTAATAGGATACCTGATAATTTAACTCATTATCATAGCAGACCTAAGAACCATTTTTGATTGACTCTATAGATGCTGAAAAGCATATTGCAAAATTCAACAATTTCTCGATTTATAAAAATAGTTCATAAAATAAGAATGCATGGATATTTTCTTAAGCTAGTAAAATTCTCACCCCAAAAGCAGCATTATGCTTAATAAGTAAATAATAGATCCATTCATGTTAAAGTAAAAAAGTAGATGAGAATGTTCACAATTATTCTTATTATTTGATGTTAACTTGGAAATACTAGCTAAAGCAATTAGACCTCTGAAAGAAATTAGATATAAATTGCATAGAGGGATGTGAAACTATCCCTATTTGCAAGTGATAAGATTGTATTTATAGAAAATCCCGGTAGATCAAATGAAAAAAGTAATGAAAAGCAGTGAATCAGTGAGGTGCAAAATAATACACAGAAATTAATAACTTTCATATGAATGCATAACCACCAATATGGTTATTATTGAAATGGAATAGAGAGTGTGATGGAAGAAGTCACAGCTTAACAATAGCAATTAAACAGACTAAATATGTAAGATGTGTTAATACTAGTAGGCAAGTTTTATATAAAGAGAAAACTGTAAAAGCACTCATGAAGGACAAAAAAGAAGATAAGCAGTATATACTATCCTAAATATAAATGACCAAAAACATGTTATTAATCCTCCATAAACTAGCCTATAAATTTAACACAAACCCAATAAAAACACTAACAGTGTTTTGTGGGAAGTTAGAGAATCTGATCGTCATGCCTGTAGAGAAAAATAAAGAAGTATATATAAAACATTCTGAAAGAGTACTAAAAAGGGAATAATTATATGAGGATTTGAAATATATAAAACTGTAATAAATGAGACCCATTATAGAAAGGAGTCTGAAGTTTCCTCAGAAAACTAAAAATAGAATTACCATATAATCCAGAAATCCCACTTCTGGATATACATTTTGAACATCTCTAATCCAGAAATTCAATATCCATTCAGTATGATACTGGCTGTGGTTTTAAATGTCCATCAAGGATAGACTGGATTAAGAAAATGTGGCACAAATACGCCATGGAATACTATACAGCCATAAAAAAGGATGAGTTCATGTCCTTTGTAGCGACATGGATGAAGCTGGAAACCATCATTCTGAGCAAACTATCGTAAGGACAGAAAACCAAACACCGCATGTTCTCACTCATAGGTGGGAATTGAACAATGAGAACACTTGGACACAGGGAAGGGAACATCACACACTGGGGCCCGTCATGGTGTGGGGGGATAGGGGAGGGATAGCATTAGGAGAAATACCTAATGTAAATTATGAGTTAATGGTTGCAGCAAACCAACACGGCACATGTATATATATGTAACAAACCTGCACATTGTGCACGTGTACCCTAGAACTTAAAGTACAATAATAAAAAAAAGAAATTCAGTTTCTAAAATGCTCCCAAATTGGAGTTCTGAGATGAAGTCACAAGTGAAAAATTTCACATCTGACCTCAAGTGACAGGTTACAGTCAAAACAGGTACACAAGACACAGTTTATTTAGTACCCCCCAGGGAAAAAAGATTTTTCCAGCTTCTCTCAGCTGTAGTATGTCTTTTCTGTGCATGCCCAGATTCCTACAAACATGCCCACAAAATGCAATAAAATTATATGTGTGTAGGCTAGATGCATCAACAAGAGGTTTCCCATGATGCCCCACATGGGGCCAATACCTACAGGCTTTACATATTAGTATTATTTTTGGTTCATTCTCTGTTGTGTGGTTGTAAAGATACAGTGTAAAATATCAAGAAGGCCTGCAGATACTTTTATGAGTAACGGTGATAAGAGGAAAGCATTTATGTTTAATAAATACAATGTATTTATAAATAATGAAATAAATTTATATATAAATTACTAATAAATATAATTTATTTAATAATTAAATAGAAGAGGCACCATTTATGTTTATCTTTGACATAGAAAGTCAAGTTGTTGGAGAAACAAGATAGCAGTGTAAGTGTGAAATGTCTTACAGAAGAGTATGATATTGGAATGAACAGCATATATGACCTGAAGAAAAAGAATGCTAAACTTTTGATGTTTTAGGCTGCACATGATGAGCAGAAGTTAATGAATTTAAAAAAATGCATAAACTTAAAAATCAAATGAAGATCTTTATTGTATTTTGAAAGAGTGGATCCATGAGCACTGCACTGAACACATGCCACTTAAAGGTATACTGACCATAAAACGAAGAAAGATCTATCACAAGGAATGGAAAATTGAAAAGAACTAGAATATTCAGCAAGCTAGTTTCAGAGATTTAGAAAAAGCCACAACATTAAATTGTTGAAATTTGTGGTGAGAAAGCATCTGCTGTCATAAAGCAGCAGGGAAATTCAGTGACAAGTTTACCAAAGTCCTTGCTGATGAAAATCTCATGTCAGAACAAGTCTACAATGATGATAAAATATCATGTTTTGGAATTATTGCCCCAGAAAGTCACAGAGTACAGGCGAAGAGACAGGAATTAAGGATGCAAAGCACAGAATAACTCTGTTAGGATTTGCTAATGCAGCAGGCATGCATAAGTCTAAACTTGCTGTGATAGGCAAAAGCTTGCATTCTCACTGGTTTTAAGGAGTGAATTTAGTACTAGTCCATTATTATGTTAACAAAAGGGCACGTGTCACCAGGGACATGTTTTCTGATTTTTTCTCAAGCAATTTTATACCAGCAGCTGATGCTCACTACAGGGAAGCTGATTGGAAAATGACTGCAAGATTGTGTTGTTTCTTTATAACTGTTTTACTCATCCTCCAGCTAAAATTGTCATCAAAAATACTGTTTGTGCAATGTACTTTTCCCCAAATGTGACTTCTTACTTCAGCCCTGTTACCAGGGTATCCTTGCATCAATGAAGAGTAAATATAAGACACTTTTTGAACAGTATGCTAGCAGCAGTGAACAGAGGCATGGGTGTGGAAGGTTTTCAGAAGGAGTTTGGCGTGAAGGTTGTCCTATATGTTTTTGCTAACACTTGGAACACAGTGACTAAAGATACAGTTGTGCATACCTGGCACAGCCTCTGGCCTGCAACTGTTTTCAGTGATGATGGTAAACAAGGAAGTGACTGAATAATTATGTATGTAAAGTGAGAACAAAATAATGTCTGACCTCCTTACATATGCAAAAAATATACCCTCAGAGTCCATCAGTAATATGGAAGAAGTGACTATCAAAGAAATTTTTAATATCACTAAAGAGGTTCCAGTAGTTCATTAGTTGACTAATGGTGAAATAGCCAAAATGGCTCTTTATCAAAGTGATTTTGATAATAATCAAAATGAAGATGATATTGTTAACACTGCAAAAAGAAGAGCCTATCAGTAACATGGTGAAAATGTGTACTAGTCTTATTGAGGACTAGAATGTGTGCATTCATAATAGAACAAGAAATTATGTCTGTTTATAAAATCAAAGAGAGACTTCTAAGACAAAAACTGTTGTTAATGAGACAAATGAATCTGGAGGAAACATTTTAAAAGCCATCCAGCAGAATGCCTCCTCATCCCTCAAGGACCCATTTCCTGGTCCTTCAACTGCTTCTGGTGTTTCTTCTCATCTAAAAAAAAAATACAATGTACTGTAACCTTTTAATCAAAACACAGCATCGTGGGTAGAAACTAAAATGCTGCTGTAGTTTGTTGTTTAACAGTTAATACAAGTATTATGATGATGCTACTGTGTTATTTTGTTACACTGAGCATATTATTTTTCACTGTATTAACGGCATGTCATAATTTTTACTGTTAAGTATTGATGTGTGAATAAATGTGAGAAAATGATTGCTTATCAGTAGCATATAAATTTAGAGTGAGGAATGACGGTGATGACAAACAACCACAGATTTTCCACGTGGGTGGCTGAGATAGTGACATCATTTCTTTCTGATGATTCAATGTATACAAATGTTTGTTTCATGCATAAAATCATTAAAATATTATATAAAATTACATTCAGCCTATGTATATAAAGAGTATATGAAGCAAACATATTTGTATTTCAATTTGGGTCCCATTCCCTATATATCTCATTATATATATGCAAATATGCTAATAATTGAAAAAAATTAAAACTCCAAACACTTCTGGTCCCAAGCAGTTTAGATAAAGCATACTCAACCTGTGTATATCCAGAGGAATTTAAATCAATATGTACAAAAGACATCCGCACTCTGATGTTCATTGCAGAATTATTTAAAATAGCCAAGATATGGAAACAACCTAAATGTGGGTCAATGGATTAATGGATAAAGAAAACGTGGTATATATATATACATAATATAACACTGTTCAGTCTTAAAAAATAAAATTCTGTTACTTGCAATAACATGCATAAATGTGGAGGGCATTATGCTAAGAGAAATAAGGCAGGCACACGCAAAACAACAAATACTGCATGCTCACATTTACATGTGGAATCTTAAAAAAAGTCAAACTTACAGAAACAGAGTAAAATGGTGGTTACCGGGGCTAGGGGAATGGGGTAGATGGAGAAAGGGAAGATGTTAATCAAAGGGTACAAAATTTCAGTTAGTTAGAAGGATTTAGTGATCTACTGCACAACAATAATTACTGCATGTTTTAAAATTGCCGAAATAGTAGATTTTAAATGTTTTCACCACAGAAAATAAGTATGTAAAATGATGGATTTGTAAATATAGTTTGATTTAATTATTCAAGAATGTAAACATATAGCAAAATATCATATTGTATGCCATAAATATACGATGTATATAATGATTAGTCAATTAAACATTAAATAAAAGATACAATTAAATTTTAAATGGAATGTTTGTTACAGATACATGAATAGTCAAAAGATGAAGAGAATTTGACATCCAGGAATGGACCTCAATGCATATAAGAGTTTAGTATTATACAGATGTCACTTCAAGTCAGTGCAAGAACATAAACTTGTTTTATATACAGTGTTAGAAAAACTTGAGTAACCATTTGGTAAACAACAGAAGTTGGATTTGTACCTTAAATCATATATCAGCATATGTTTCAAATGAAGCAGTAATTTAAATATGAAGATAGCTTTACTAGATAAGCAGAAGTAAATAATAGATAACTTGTATAAATCCATTGAATGAAAGATGCCTTTCTTCCACCTGCCTCCACAAGGACATGTTCCACATTTATTTACATTTTTGGACTAACTTTAATCTCAAAGTCATATCTTCATACACCTATTTCCTATGTGTTGATGCCACCTAGACTTAAATGCAAGGTTTGTTAAACAAAGACTGTAAACAAGTGTTTACCTGTATTTTAATCTATTAATTGATATCAGGAAACTTTATTTTGTTTCTTTTTTTATTTTATTATTATTATACTTTAAGTTTTAGGGTACATGTGCACAATGTGCAGGTTAGTTACATATGTATACATGTGCCATGTTGGTGTGCTGCACCCATTAACTCATCATTTAGCATTAGGTATATCTCCTAATGCTATCCCTCTCCGCTCCCCCCACCCCACAACAGGCCCTAGAGTGTGATGTTCCCCTTCCTGTGTCCATGTGTTCTCATTGTTCAATTCCCACCTATGAGTGAGAACATGCGGTGTTTGGTTTTTTGTCCTTGCGATAGTTTACTGAGAATGATGATTTCCAGTTTCATCCATGTCCCTACAAAGGACATGAACTCATCATTTCTTATGGCTGCATAGAATTTCAGTTAGACTGCAAGAATAAGTTTTAGAGACCTATTGCACTACATGGTGACTACAGCTAATGATAATATATAGTATATTTCAAAGTTGCTAAATGAATAGATTTTTAAAACATTCTTATCACCAAAATATAAGTTGGTGGGATGATGGATATGTTAATTCGCTTGATTTCATCTTATACATAGAGGGAAACATCATATTGGTCCCCGGAAATATACACAATGATCATTTGTCAGTTAAAAGAGTAAAAAATATAATAGAAATGATTAATAAATTTGATTTTATGAAATACAAGTAAAACTTGTAAGGCTAAGATCAAAATACAAAGCAACAACAACAAATGAAAGCACTGTGAATAAAGTACAAAAAAATGACACAGAACAAAAATGTTACTTTTATCATCAGGAAAAAATGAATCTTCTTATATATAAAGAGTACCTGCAACTGGAGAAGGTAACTATCCTCACTTGTAATAAAAGAAATATTACTTAAAACTACTTGAAATTTCTCTTTTGAAACTATCAGATTGGCTATAATTGAAAGTCTTGGTAATAAACTTACTGGCGAAGCCTTATATAAACAATCACTTTCATTTGTTACTGGTAGGAATACAAATTGGAATGAAATTTGACACTGTCTATCAAAATTTCAAATACATAGATTTTTTTGTCCCTAGAATTCCACTTCATGAATTAAACCCATTAATGGTCCTGTGTATGCGTAAAATGAAATGTTACATAATGTTATTTATTGCAAAAGTATTTGTTGAAACAATGATAAAAATATCTCAGTGTGAATTGATCACAAGATGAATAAGTCATGCTACATTTATATATTGGAGTACAATCCTGTTTTAAGAAAGAACAAAGACATTCTTTAGAGAGACAGTTTAATGCAATGTTTTAGGCCGCTGATATCAGAACAAGTCTTCCTGGCTTCCTCTCACAACTCTATTGCTTATTAACTGTGTAATCCTGGGTAAGTTCCTAAGGCTCATTTTCATCATATATAAAATGCAGATAATACTAGAACTTACTGTTTAGGATTTTCATCAACCTTAGATATATCAGCTCATTTCATATATAGTAAACGCTATATAAGCATTAGCTATTTCTTCCATTGTTGATTTGCAAAAGTCTCCAAAAATGGTTTCAAGTAAAAATGTAAGTAAAGAACAAAGTTACAGTGTGTTGCCCATTGTTTAAAAGAAAGAATGTAAGGAGATACATTTGTATTTTCTTGCTTATACATAATTAAACTCAAATATACATATATATATAAAACAAAGAAATTAGAATATAATTTCTAAAAAATTGAATAAATCACTGATTTCTACATAAGAAACAGTAATTACATTTGGTAATGTGATGGGAATTGGGCAAATGAGGCACAAGGGTGGAAGAGGTATTATTAATGGATAGTTTAATTTTCGACCATGCGATTGAAGCCCTGTTACACGGTGAATTGTGTCCTCATACACAGCCCCCGACCCCACAAAAAAAAGATATGTTGACATGTTAATTCTTCAGAATGTGATGTTATTTGGAACTAAGGTTCCTGCAGACATAGTTCATTAAAATGAGGTCATACTGGAGTAGGGTGGTATCATAATCCCATATGACTGCTGTTCTTATACAAAGAGGAGAAGAGACACAGACACAAGGGGAGAATACCATGACCACAGAGGCAGAGATTAGAGTTTTGCTGTCAGAAGCCAGAAGGCAAGGAATGCCCGGGAACAACCAGAAACTAGAGGAAGCAAAAAAAAAAAAAAAAAAAAAAAAAAAAAAAATCACTCCTACTTACAGCCCTCAGTGGAAGTGTGGCCCTGCCAATAACCTGATTTTGAATTTCTAGCTCACAGAGCTCAGAACTGTGAGAAAATAAATTTCAGTTGTTTTTAGCCACCCAATTTGTGGCAATTATCTACAGTAGTTTTAGAAAATGGATACAAATCCCTAACTGACAATTAAATATACATATATAGTATATATTATCTTGAAAGTTGTAAAACGACAGTTTAAATAAGTAATGAACATAGTACTTCTCACTTCCTGTTGGATCTATCACTTCAGATGAGAATTTTATATACAATTGAACTGAACTCTGTTAGACCAATAAAAGTATTTGTTTTTGAAACTTAGAGAATTAACAAAATCCAGTAAATCCACTCTCTTACAGATTGTACCTCACTTACTTATTTTCTATATGTATAATTTTATATCAATTTATTATTAAAAGCAAAAGACTTGCTCGTGGAGACTGTTGTTAAAACCTGACTTGATTTAAGGAGGGAAGAAGCCACAGAAACAAATGAGTCACCAGGAAATAGCTAATCATCTTTGTGTGACTCACTGTAAGAATCCTTTAATACCGGCTAAAAACATGCATTTAATTTCATATTTATAGGACTAATGGTGAATAGAATAAAAACAGTATAGCCTGTTTTAAACTATCACTTTTTGAAAATTACTTTAGATATTTGTTTAAACTATTAAAATAAATCCTAAAACAAATGTTCTCTCATATTTGAAACCTGCATTACATAAAACCCCATAAATAAATTTTTCTGTGCTTGGTGGTCAGCTTTCTTCATGAAGCATTGCTGAATCCCCAAATTCTAGATCATACTGCAGCTGAGATATTGGCATAGAAACACAGTCCTCATTTTGATGTAATACTGGCTATTAGTTCAAGCTGTATGATTGAAAGAATGTTGTGGTATAGGAGAAAAAGCATAAGGCAAGACAACAAGAGGCCTGGGTCCTAGACCAAGCTCTACCTCTTATTACCTTTGTAAATCTCAGCAACATTGTTCTCATCTACAAAGGAGAGGTAACAGTAACAAGATACTTAGAGTTGTATGTTTTCTTCCAGTATAGAAGGTTATTTGGGAGATCAATGTAATAGTGAATATGAAAGTGCTTTGCAATTTGTATAACTGCATAAATGCAAAATTATCTTTCCATTTCATAAAGAGACAATTTTTCTCTTATAACTTTATTTATTTTTCAGTTTAGTAAAAGAAAGAGGTAACATCAATGGTAGCCAACCATGCAGTATCATGTGGTCAAAGTAAGCCCCCTTAATATATTTTTAGATGAATTTATAACGTTGTATTTATCTATTTTCTTTTGAAACTCTGCAAGCTTCTATTTTGCATAACTATATTTCATTAATAAAATATAACTGTTGATAATAGCCAGAGAACTTGGAAAACCTCAGCAGCATTTAATATAGCAATATTAAAGTGGAAATAAAATAAATATATATCACATATAAGAAAACTGGCACTCAAAATTGTTAGTACAGCATTTAAACATAAGTCTAAATTTAATATCTTCTAATCTCATTTCCTATTTTCTCCAAATATTTTGACTTGCATTACTCTATTTTACTTTCTATGCACTCACCATGCATAGTTATTTCTATTAGTTTATGGGTGAAAAAATTGAGATTTTGAGAGGATATCTAGGGTATCCCTGCTGGCAAATGACAGAACTGAACTAATACTCATTTTTTCTAGTCGCTAAACCATTGCACTTAGCATCAAGATTGATTTATTCAAGAACTGTGTGGCCAGGCACAGTGGCTCATGCCTGTAATCTCACCACTTGGGAAGGCCGAGGCGGGTGGGTCACCTGAGGTCAGGAGTTCAAGACCAGCCTGGTCAACATGGTGAAACCCCGTTTCTATTAAAATACAAAAATTAGCTGGGTGTGGTGCTGTGCACCTGTAGTCCCAGCTATTTGGGAGGCCGAGGCAGGAGACTTGCTTGAACCTGGCAGGCAAAGGTTGCAGTGAGCCGAGATTGTGTCACTGCACTCCAGCCTGGGTGACAGAGGGAGACTCCATCTCCAAAACAAAAAAAGAAATGTGTATTGGGATATACTGGGGTATACTGTATGCCCGCTTTTCTGCCTTTAGGTAAAATTTTTCTTTCACTCAATTGAATTTTTGTTATTGTTGTTGATTTTAACGTGGTGTTTCATTAGTATAGCAACATAAATGGCAATAGTTGAACATATCTGGTTGTATTCCTACTAGCATGCTTTTGCCTGCTTTCTCTCTTGCTATGTTTTTAAACATCACAAATTTCTAAAGGCAGCTAAATGTACTAAATGAGCAGATATTTAAGTCAGAGGCATAACTTTAAGGAGTTAGCTATCTGGAAGGCTCTGAGAATGAAAGGCCCAAACTTGAGGAAATTGTTTGGGAAGAACACTTCCTTCTGTGCGTATCTGTATGGTTCCCACTGTTCCACACAGGTAAACTACTGCTACATCAGAATATGAGGCTATTCATTCAATCTGGATTTAAAATGCAAGGATTGTCTTGGCTCTTTGGGCTCTATTTTGGTTCCATATGAATTTAAAAACAGGTTCTTCTAATTCTGTGTAGAATGTTAATGGTAGTTTAATGGGAACCACATTCAATCTATAAATTACTTTGGGCAGTTAGGGCATTTTCATGATATGGATTCTTCTTATTCATGAGCTTGGAATATTTTTCTATTTGTTTGTGTCCTCTCTGATTTCTTGGACAGTGATTTCTAGTTCTCCTTGAAGAGGTCCTTCTCTTCCCTTGTTAGCTATATTCCTGGATATTTTATTCTGTTTGTAGCAATTGTGAATGGGAGTTCATTCGTGATTTCGCTCTCTGTTTGCCTGTTTTTGGTGTACAGGAATTCTAGCTTTTTTGGAACACTGATTTTGTATCCTGAGACTTTCCTGAAGTTGCTTATCAGCTTAAGAAGCTTTGGAGCTGAGACAATGGGGTTTTCTAGATATAGGATTATGTCATCTGCAAACAAAGATAATTTGACTTCCTCTCTTCCTATTTGAATACACTTTCTTTCCTTCTCTTGCCTGATTGCCCGGGCCAGAACTTCCAATACTGTATTAAATAGGAGTGATGAGAGAGGGCATTCTTGTCTTGTGCCGGTTTTCAAGGGGAATGCTTCCAGCTTTTGCCCATTCACAATAATATTGGCTGTGGGTCTGTCATAGATGGGTCTTATTATTTTAAAGTATGTTTCTTCAATACCTAGCTTATTGAGAACTTTCAGCAGAAAAAGATGTTGAATTTTATCAAAGGCCTTTTCTGCATCAATTGAGATAATAATGTGTTTTTTTCTTTAGTTCTGTTTACGTGATGAGTTGCATTTATTGATTTGTGTATGTTGAACCAGCTTTGTATCCCAGGGGTGAAGACGACTTCATCATGATGGATAAGCTTTTTGACATGCTGCTGGATTTGGTTTGCAAGTATTTTACTAAAGATTTTTGCATCAGTGTTCATCAAGAATATGGGTCTGAAGTTTTCTTTTTTTCTTTTTTGTATCTCTGCCAGGTTGTGGTATTAGGATAATGCTGACCTCATAAAATGAGTTAGAGAAGAGTCCCTCCTTTTCAATTGTTTGAGATAGTTTCAGTAAAAATGCTACCAGCTCTTCTTTGCACCTCTGGTAGAAACTAGCATCAGAGTGAACAGAGAACCTACAGAATGAAAGAAAATTTTTGCAATCTATTCATCTGACAAAGGTCTAATATCCAGAGTCAACAAGGAATGTAAACAAATTTACAAGAAAAAACCAAATAACCACATTGAAAAGTGGGCAAAGGACATAAACAGACACTTCTCAAAAGAAGACATTCATGTAGCCAACAAATGTATGAAAAAAGCTCAACATCACTAATCGTTAGAAAAATGCAAATCAAAACCACAATGAGATATCATCTCATGCCTTTCAGAATGGCACTTATTCTGTCAAGAAACAACAGATGCTGGAGAGGCTGCAGAGAAATATGAATGCTTTTACACTGTTGATGGGAATGTAAATTAGTTCAACCATTGTGAAAAATGGTGTGGCGATTCCTCAAAGATCTAGAACCAGAAATACCATTTGATCTAGCAATCACATTACTGGTATATACCCAAAGAAATATAAATGATTCTATTATAAATATACATTCATGTGTATGTTTATTGCAGCACTGTTTACAATAGCAAAGACATGGAAACAACCCAAATTCCTATCAATGACAGACCGAATAAAGAAAATGTGGTACATATACACCATGGAATACTATGCAACCATAAAAGGGAATGAGATAATGTCCTTTGCAGGGACATGGACGCCATGATCTTCAGCAAATTAATGCAGGAACAGCAAATCAAACACTGTATGTTCTCACTTATAAGTGGGAGTTGAACACATAGTCACAAGGAGGGGAAGAACACACACTGGAGCCTGTTGGGGAGGGGGTGGTGGAAGGGAGAGCATCAGGAAAAATAGTTAATGAATGCTGCACTTAATATCTAGGTGATGGTTGATAGGTGCAGCAAATCACCATGGCACACATTTACCTATGTAACAAACCTGCACATGTATCCCAGAACTTTATATATCTATATCTATATCTATATCTGTATCCATATCTATCTATCTATCTATCTATCTATCTATCTATCTATCTATCTATCATCTATCTCTCTATCTATATATATATGTCAAAAAACAGCAGGTGTTGGCAAGGTTGCAGAGGGAAAGAAATGCTTTTACACTGTTGGTGGGCATGTAAATTAGTTCAACCATTGAAGACAGTGTGGAGATTCCTCAAATGCCTAGAACCAGAAATACCATTTGACCCAGCAATCCCATTACTGGGTGTATATTCAAATGAGTATAAATCATTCTATTACAAAGATATATACAGGTATGTTCATTGCAGCACTGCTTACAATAGCAAAGACATGGAATCAATCCATATGCCCACCAATGACAGACCGAATAAAGAAAATTTTGCAGCCATAAAAAGGAACGAGATCATGTCTTTTGCAGGGACATTAATGATGCTAGAAGCAGTTATCCTCAGCAGACTAACACAGGATCAGAAAACCAAGCACTACATGTTCTTACTTATAAGTGGGAGCTGAATGATGAGAACTCATTGATACATGGAGGGGAACAACACACACTGGGGCCTGTCAGGGTGGGCGAGGTGAGAGAGAGCATCAGGAAGAATAGCTAATGGATGCTGGGCTTAATACCTAGGTGATGGGTTGATCTGTGCATCAAACCACCATGACATGTTTACCTATGTAATAAACCTACACATTCTGCACATGTGCCCCGGAACTTAAAATAAAAGTTGAAGAAAAAAATAAAAATAAAAATGCAAGGATCTATGCAAGTCAAAGGGGATGAGGTTGGGGATGGACTGTTTTATAAATTCTGAATGTCATGACATTTTTATTTGCATAAAGAGAAATAGTGTGTACTGGCCAGAACACTTAATTGAAAGCAACTGGTTTCACTCTGTGAGATGGGGCAGGCCACATCCCCTTTCCAATCTGCACATATCACATCCGCAAGACAGGAATATTGGGCATCTCTAGACAATTTCTAGGACAGTTTTGGGGTACATGTGCCCTTGTACAATATGATCTTCCTGATTTGACTTCCTTCCTCCGTTTTTTAAAATTCCTCAGTGTGGCAAGTTCTTACATATCATTTAAGAAACAGCTCAAATGCAACCACCCCATAACATTTTCCAGACACCCCAAGGAACAGTGCATTTCTATGAGCTTCTATGTTCCAGCGTACCTGCCTCTAGTATTACATAATTATATAATCACAATTCTTGTTTGTGAAGGCTGCCTCTCCCCTCAAATTGATAGTTTTCTCATGGCAGGAGTCTGTCCATATTTGGCTCTTTATGCCAATTGCATTTTAAATTACCTGGTCTGGAGTAGGCACTAGATAAATGTCTGAAATATCCGTTGAAATGGTAGTATTAGGTCCATCTTCCATGGAGCACTGTCCCCAGCAGTATGGTCAATATATGCTAAGAGATCTGCCGTGTGCTGAATAGAGAGGCCTACAAGACAGGAGGTAATGTAGTTTCTCTTCTAATATCCATTCAGAAGGAACGAACAGGGAAAGATATGGGAGGTATTACTTTAATGTTAAAAGTAAGTGTCCATGGTAACTGTAAGGTAGACTGCTTCTTCTTCAAAAAAGTTAGTGCCTGAATGCAATTAAGATAATCCTTCAGGCTTTTAAAAATGAAGAGTTCATGTACATAGGTCCCACTGGATGCACCAGATATTGTGTGTACAATTGTCTGTGCTTTATGTAACAAGATGCAACCTCAAAGCATGTTAGCTAAAGTTGGTTACTAAATTTTCTAAATGTATTCTTTGAGCTTTCTCCTTATTAAATTTAGAAATGTTTTAACAGGTGAATCAAATCCACTATGATTTTAAATTGAATAATCTTATATAACTTCTACTATTTGGCCCTATAGAAATATTAACAGTGCACACTATTTCAAATATCCCTCCAGAGTACCTAAAAGCCATACTATATGAAATGTCAACTCAGACGTAAGTTTCTCCTTACATATCAAGAAATGTTTTATTTCAATAAATGAAGAATATAGACTTTATATAATTCATTGAAAAGATGCTTACTTCCTGACTTTAAGAATTTTTAAAATTTTAGGTTTGGAGGTAGATGTGAAAGTTTGTTACACAAACACATGTCACGGGGGTTTGTTGTACATATTATTACATCATCCAGGTTTTCAGCTAAGTACCCGATAGTTATGTTTTCTGCCCTTCTCTGTCCTCCCACTTTCCCCACTCAAGTCGACCCCAGTATCTGTTGTTTTCTTTTTTGTGTGCATAATTTCTTATCATGTAGCTCCCACTTAGGAGTGAGAACATGTGGTATTTGATTTTGTGTTCCTGTGTTAGTTTGCTAAGGATGATAGCCTCCAGCTCCATCCATGTTCCTGCAAAATACATGATCTTGTTACTTTTTATGGCTGCATAGTATTCCATGGTATATATGTGTCACATTTTCTTTATCTGGTTTGTTATTGATGGACATTTAAGTTGATTTCATGTCTTTGCTATTGTGAACAGTGCTACAGTGAACCTTCATATGCATATGTCTTTTCAATAGAATGCTTTATATTCCGCTGGGTATATACCCAGTAATGGGGTTTTGGGGTTGAATGGTAGTTCTGCTTTTAACTCTTTGAGGATCGCCATACTGCTTTCCACAATGGTAGAACTAATTTAAACTCCCACCTGAAGTGTATAAAGTTTCACTTTTCGCCACAACCTCACCAGCATCTGTTATTTTTTGACTTTTTAATAATTAGCCTTTCTAACTGGTGTGAGATGGTATCTGATTATGGTTTTGATTTGCATTTGTCTAATGATCAGCGATATTGAGCTTTTCTTCATATGCTTGTTGGCCGCATATGTTTTCTTTTGAGAAATGTCTGTTCATGTACTTTGCCCACTTTTTAATGGGGTTGTTTGTCTCTTGTAAATTTGTTTTAGTTCCTTATAGATGCTGGATATTTGACCTTTGTCATATGCATAGTTTGAAAATATTTTCTCCCATTCTGTAGGTTGTCTGTTTACTATGTGGATAATTTTTTTGTTTATTTTGCTGTGAAGAAGCTCTTAAGTTTAATTAGATCCCATTGGTCAATTTTTGCTTTTATTGCCTTTGCTTTTGGTGTCCTTGTCATGAAATCTTTGCCCATTCCTATGTCCAGATAGTATTGCCTAGGTTGTCTTCCAGGGTTTTTAGTCTTTTGGGTTTTACATTTAAGTCTTTAATCTGTCTTGAGTTAATTTTTGTATATGATATAAGGAAGGGGTCCCGCTTCAATCTTCAGCATATGGCTAGTCAATTATCCCAGTACCATTTATTAAACAGGGACTCTTTTCCCCATTGATTGTTTTTGTCAGCTTTGTCAAAGATCAGATGGTTATAGATGTATGACCTTTTTTCTGGGCCCTCTATTCAGTTCCCTTGGTCTATATGACTGTTTTTGTACCAGTACCATGCTGTTTTGGTTACTGTGGCACTGTAGGATAGCTTAAAGTCAGGTAACATGATTCCTCCAGCTTTACTCTTTTTGCTTAAGATTGCCTTGGCTATTCAGGCTCCTTTTCATCTCCATATAAATTTTAAAATAGTTTTTTCCAGTTCTGTCAAGAGTGTCATTGGTAGTTTGATAGGTATAGCATTGAATCTGTAAATTGCTTTGGGCAGTTCAGCCATTTTAATAATATTGATTCTTCCTATCCATGAGCATTGAATGTTTTTCTATTTGTTTGTGTCTTTTGCAGAGTAGGCTCAGAGACTCCAGTGCAGCCACATGGTGGAAGAAGATTTATGCATAGAAAAATCAAAGTGACATTAAAAAAACAGAAATGAGGTACAGAAACAGTTGGATTAGTTACAGCTTGGCATTTGCCCTATTTGAACACAGTTTTACACAAAATTACAACTATAAAGGAAATCTCTGTTTTTAAAGATGTCTGCCGATGTACACTAGCAACCCTTACCATTCTTTTAAATTTATATGTGTCATACTTTGTTTAACATGTTTTTCTGGCCATCTTGTCTTGAGTACATTTTTACTTGAGCAGCTTTTTCTCCCTTGGTTTGAGCAAGTAGAATACTTAAGCCTAAAATCTAAGTCCTATGATTATAAAATATAATTTTGTTTTGTTCCAACTAAGAGTTGTCTCTTTAGAAATGCAAATTTGTTGCCTTGTTAACAATTGCTTAGGGTAATGAAACAGGTAATTAGAAGACTGATAGACCAAATGAAAAAAAAAAGAAAAACTATTTAAAAGCCAGCAAATTGAAATCCTTTATGAGAACTATAAGATCTGCCACTGTGTGTTTGTATATCTATATGTGTTTGTGATATTTGGTAAATAAAGCTAGTTTTTAAATTGTTGGTAAAACAGAAATGACTTACAAATTATCAGGTAAATATCGTTAGATGCTTGCTTGATTTGACCGTGAGCATATGTCTTTGGTTTAGAGTCTCTGGATTCACGGGTCTGGATAGGTGGCCATGATGACGTCTGGAGATTTGTTCTAAGTGCCGAGACCAGAAGCTACAAGCCAAAATTAAGCCCAACATGGTCCCTTCTACCTCTGCTTTTCCTGTTTTGCCTCCTGGCTATTTTCGGAGGAGTTGGATCTTTCAGGTACAGTCTTCACAGCTCTGTCTTCTGTTCATAGTTCTGCTGGGTGTCATGTGACTACTTGGGACCTAGAATGACTGGGGGAAGGCATTAGTGAGGCAACCTGTGTCATAGTTTCAAAATTCTTTTCAGTAATTTAAAATTTTCGAGTCATGTTATGTTAAATTAAATAATAGATAATCATAAAATGTCTGAGTTATCTGTAAGTTAAGATACTGAAATATTAAATATGAGTTTAAGTCTATATACCTTGACATGTTATTTTTATATAATATAGATAAGCTAAATATATTTAGACCTGTTAATAAACATTTTGAAGAACTATCTTTCTAAAAATTATAAAATGGTTTTTAGCTACAAGTTGTGATAAAAAACAGTTCAAAATTACTTTCTATAATTAGAAAGTAATTAGTATTTCTAAGAAACCCTTGAAATTGGGGTTACTAAGAGTTAAAAAATACTACATATGAGAGAAACATCTCTGTATACAGAGTGTATAAACAAAAGCAAGATATGCATTTGATGAGGAAAATTATGAAGACATAAAAGTGTGTGTTAAAAATGTTGTCTGGTTTGCTTTGGGAGGCCGAGGTGGGTGGATCACCTGAGGTCAGGAGTTTGAGACCAGCCTGGCCAACATGGTGAAACCCCGTGTCTACTAAAAATACAAAAAATTAGCTGGGCGTGGTGGCGGGTGCCTGTAATTCCAGTTACTCCGGAGGCTGAGGCAGGAGAATCCTTTGAACCCAGGAGGCAGAGGTTGCAGTTAGCCAAGGTCGCGCCATTGTGCTCCAGCCTGGGCAATGAGAGCAAAACTCTGTCTCAAAAAAAGTAAAACAAAATAAAAAATAAATTTTATCTGGTTTGAAGTCACTTAAAGGTGTCAAATAGAAGGAGTAAAAAAATAGCTACACCAAGATGAATACAGAAAATTGGGGAAAAAGTAAAGCAAAATATTTATGGAAACTTTTTGTGCTTAAAAGATGACAGATTTGATAAATTTATTTCTAAGGTTTTATTAAAATTAACTTTAGTATTGATAATACACTGATAAAAACTAAAATTTTGTTTACTCTTTTGAACAAAAATTGTGTGTAGTTTAATAAGACAGTAAAATATTTTTGTTCACCTTTTAAGTAAACTGTAAAAAGGAAAAAAGAGACAAAAGAAAAGACAGATTGTTTCATGCTGTCTTAGGTCTTTTGATTGTTTTGAAAACTGAGTCTTTTTTATCAAAGAGTAGAAGGTTATTGTTTTCAAAAATCTTATATTTATCACCTTGGTTAAATGAATGACTGTTGTTTTATGGTGACCTGTGATCCTATTTTGGTCAAGTGTTTTAAACCTTTGACATATCTGACAGGTTTCCCAAAATCTAATTTCAGCTTCAAAATTAAGTATTTTTGACTTCCAACTTTGGGATGCTATGGAGCACCCCTGAAGCATCCAAAAGAGACATTAACAAAATTATTTTACGTGTTAAGTTACATAAGAAGCATTGTCAAATAAGAAATGATGATTAACCTTCTTCAAGATAAATGTTATTAACATATGTTACAAAATTGTATGGGATTTCTAAAGTTCTAATTTGTCTGAGTACATGTTATTGATCATAATTATGTTTATTATGTTAAGTTATTGTAGGCCATAGAAATAATCAAATTTCCTTGTCAATTTTGTCCTTAACTATGACTGTTGAAAGTTATTTTCACAGTTAATTGCTTAAATCTGATGCAGTTTATGAAAACTTCACAAGCACAAAAAATCCTAGAATATAGTATCTTTAAGGAGGTTCATGAAAGAATGTAAAGGATTCTGAGACGCATTCTTGAATAAAGGTTTGTAATAACTTTAGAATCATATAATTTGAACTGGATAAGAATTCTTGGAACTTTAGTAAAGTGACTGACTGGTTTATAAAACTGCTAATGCAAGCAAGACAAAAATTGAATACCAAGAAAATACTTTGCCAGATTTTCATGCTAAATCATCCAGTACTGAAGTTCTTTAGATACACAATTTGAATTAATTCCGTGGTATAAATCAAATTTCCTATGATAACCTATTAGTTATCAGTGCTATTCACCTAAATTGGAGAAACAACTGGTATTCAAAAAGACATAAGTCCAGTGTTAAGCATAAACTCTTGGAGAACCACGACAGCTGCCTTGTTTTTACTCACTCCTTAAAGATTTCCTTATTAAGAGTTCTGCATTCTAATGCTCGTCTTGGAAACCACAAAATGATCCAAATTAAATATATATATATGTGTGTGTGTGTGTGTGTGTGTGTGTGTGTGTGTGTGTGTGTGTTGTGACTTCTACATTGCTGAAATAGTTTATGACCAACTTTGGTTTTTCAAACCCATATTCCTAGGAAGACAATCAAAACTTCAGGTACATTTCACTACCCGATGGGCCGTTTAAATGTTTATAGAGGGGTTTCATCTAACTGTCAATTTTTAATGCATGTTTTCTGGTTGTATAAAAGCTTTCCTATGCAAGAGAGCTGATGTTAGAATAGTAGATCATTATGTCACAGTTTATTTTCACCAGATAAAGAAAACTTTTCATGGTTCACTGACTAAGGACAATCAACCCCTTCACAATCTAGAACCCAATGATTGGATTTCTGGAAACATCAGAGAAAGACTGTCCTGCCATCTACTCTGTAGCAAAACTTTGGGACCTCAAACCTTGGGTTTATAATCTCACAACTCAGAAGAGTCCTTCCACACTCTTGGAACTGTACACCCATTGGAATCCTTAAGGTGAAGCTAACCAGTGAGGTTTCTCCCCAGAAGAAGATGGCATCCTTGATGGGGACAGCTTTTTCTCAAGATTAGAGATTGAGACTTCTCTACTATCATGAGACTCTTATCTTTCATTTTTTTCCCTTGCTTATGCCTCTTTGAACAATAGAAAAAGAAAAACAGGTTTTCTGTGTGCACTCACAGGGTTTACTTTTATTTGTGAAGGATTTTCGAGCCAGCCTTATACATGAATAACTTTATGCCTTGACAGATGAAAGTTGAAGGTCCAATGTATGTGAGCAAGTTTAATGTTACATACATTGCCTCATAATCAGTCAGAAACAGAATGTTGCTCCACTCTTCTTAACCTACATTATGCATCAAAGAAAACATTGCCAGAAGGTCTTCACTCTTCTAGAAGGGCTTCATTTTTTAGATTATTTTATCCATTGTTTGGAGTAAATGAGGCAATGATTAGAAATTTACCCCTCGTGATAGGTTCTAGAGAAGATGCTACCTTAAAGAAAACATTCTCTTATGAATGTGATGCTAAATAATAGAATTGCTCTAGATTACTTACTGGCTAAACAGGGAAGTATCTGTGCAGCTCCTGGCACATCTTATTGCCCATGGAGAAATGCATCACATTGGGTATTATAGAGATTCAGTTGTAAGGGATTAACAAAGAGACTCCTTAGTTAAAGTGAGTAGACTCCTTATCTAACTTATTCTTTGATCTATCTGATTTTAGTTGGTTTAGTTTATGGGGACCCTGGCTAAGGAGCATACTCCAAACTCTTGGTATTATCCTCATGATAGTCATAATATTCATCTCCCTGGTGCAGTGTATTCTCTCAAAAGCTTGAAATGTTTGCATGAAGTCATTTTTAGAACCATAAAGTTGAAGAGAGTGGAAAGAGATTCCACTCTCTTCAAGTGGAATGACAAGAGCTGAAAGAAATGTGTGACTATGAGGGCACTGTAATGTATGAATAATGTGTTAAGATCAGAAACCCAAAATGATAGTAACTGAGAGTGGGCCTAAGGCTCTAAGTTTTGGTCATGCTCTCACCTAAGTGAGAATGTGACCAAAAGGGGGAGTTTTTAAACATATTATGAGAGGACATTGTTATGGACTGAGCTCATGCACTAGGCCCCACAGATCAGACCAAACCAAAATGGAGTCACTTATACTAAATGTGACATAATCAAATTCAGACTTTAAGGAAACACATAAATCCTAAAACAGACTAGGTTTTGTTTTTCTTCTATAAACAGGACATTCCATCATAAAGAGGTATCCTCTACTCTAATACTTACAAAAGAAATAACCTCATGTCCTTGTCCTCACCTTATAAAACCCACTGTATGCTATTTCCCAGTGGGTTTCAAGACCAAATAAGTACTTTTATGATGGTGATAGTAACATCAATGGTTAAAGTTTTGGTCAATCTCTCAAAATTGAGAGGATGAACAAAAGGAGGGAATTTTAAAATGAAGTTTAGTCTAAAGCTGCCTGCTAACATATATTAAGGTCGGCCTAATAATTTCTCTGTACGTCATCAACTACAAGCTAAATGAAGTTGTAAACAAAGGGCGGCCTACTCTCATGGCAATTACTGTATTGTGGCCAATCAAAGGTGGCCAGCTGTTCAAACAATGTTCAAATAAGGCAAACCCCTAGCCATAACCAATCAACTCTTTCTGTACCTTACTTCCATCTTTGGTACCTCACTTTGCTTTGTCTATGCATAAATTTTCTTCCACTATATAGCTGTGTTGGAATCACTGAGCCTGTTGTGGCTCCAGAGGCTGACCAATTTGCAAATCATTCCTTGCTCAATTAAACTCTGTTAGACGTAATTCAGCTAATTTTTTTTCTTCTAACAGAAATGAGCTTTATCATTGTCTGCCTATAGCAGTTACTAAATTTATTTGTCTTCTATCTCCAAATCCTCCTCTAATCGAGATTAAACACCGGTGCATTTGACCCCATTGTGAATGGCAAAAAGAAATTAGCATAAGGAATGCACACTTAAAAGAAAATTTTATAACTGATTAATTACTAAAGAAGAGTCTCATAACTAAAAGAAGCTAATCAGAGGCTTAGATTGGAGTAGTCAAAGATACCACTTATACTTGCTGTATGTTCCACTGTTTGATCACTTTTTTTTTCACTCAGTTTTCTTTGTACCTCCTTTAATGGCACCACATTATAGGGAAAATCTTCCTTGCTCACTTTTTGAACATAAAATAGAATTGTTCTAAATTTAGATTTCCCTCAGATCTCTGATCTGTCTAGATTTGCAGTCTATATAAAATAAGACCCATCCCCAGCTTTTTACACCAGAGGTAAATTATAAAGAAATAAAAAATGACCTAGCATCTCTGGTGCATTGATATTTTTCATCTTTCATCATTATTCTGCTTCGAATAGCTTATGTTTGAAGAACATTAAACATCTTCAATATCCTCTGATTTTATAATATTTCTTACATTCCTGAGAGGAGGACTTATCAGAAACATGACAAAATCACATGCAATTTTTTGTTATTTTTCTGTTTAGTAACCTTCCTTTACATTTGCAAAATAGTTTATAATTCAGAAAGCACTATCCTGTACTACCTTTTTTTTTTTTTTTACTTTCACAGCAATTCTGTAAATTATTAAGGGCAAGTATTGTCATCTTTCATCATTTAAAAGAAACTAACCTCAGAAAACTTTGAATATTCTGCTTTAGGTGAAAATGCTAATACACAGTAGAGCACAGAGTAGAAACAAATTCTATATGAAAGTTCAAACTGAACACATATACTGATGCATAAAATACACCCAGAGTACAATCCCAGTCAATGAAACTAATAAATATTATTCAATTTCTAGGTCAGAGCAACATCAAAATCCCCTAAAACTCAATTTATTGTTGATCCTGAGCAGTCTTTTCCTCTTTGTTTTTTTCGCCTCAAGTAAAATGCGCCCTTTTCTGGATTTCAGAGAACTCTTTAATTGAAGTAGGATAAAGCGTATTCTTCATTATACACTCAGAAAGCCCGGCAACATTCAAACTCCTATCAGCAGACAATCTCTAAGACTGCAGGAAACCCTGCTACACTGTAGTTTGCTAAAATAAAGTGTTTTACTATCGAGTATTATTTTATTAATGCCATGGTCCTCTTTTGGTCAAGGCTATGGATTAGGATCTTGGGCAGATAACAAATTCCTACATACTACTGTGAGATTTTATTTGACTTATCCAAATCTCATGAATAATGATCTACCAATATGCTATGAGCTCACAAAGAAAGAAGGGCTTGAAAATGTATGTTCTTAGAAGAAGCTGGAACTAGAAATGTAAAAAATGCTAGACAACATTATCATGAAAGCTATGAGTAAGATGGAGCCAAAGTGAATGACTGGATTTAAAGATTTCTATGTTCTGTGTATTTTCAGTACTAATAAGCTTTAGACTTTTCTAATGTAAGTATGAATTATAAAAACTAAGGATAAAACAAAACCTTATCACCACCACAACCACAACAGAAAAGATAAGGGTAACCTCTGCACATTCAGAAATAGACTGACTAACCTCAAAATCAGTACTGAGGAAAATGCAGAAGTAAAAAAAAGTCTCATAAACTCAGTAGAAGGCTAGAGAGGAAAAAAAAACCATAATAATTAAAAATAAAATAAAATTTAGAAACAAGTTAGGATTCATCAATAATCACATTAAATGCAAAAGTTTAAACCATCTACTGCATGACAGTGACTATCAGATGAGAGGAAAGTTTATTTATATTCTTCTTAAAAGAGATACATTTAAAGCAAATTCATACAGAATGGTTAAAAAGGTTGGAAGAAAATACATTCTAAGCAAAGTATAACCAAAGAAAGGAAGTGTGGCATTATTAATTTCAAAAAGAACAGAAAATCAAAATGCATTCAGAACAGAAAATCAAAAGGCATTATTAGGGATACAGAGGGACACTGCCAAAAAGATGACAGTCATAAACTAGTATGTACCTAATAATATAGCTTTGAATTATATAAGCCAATATTAGGATTATTAGTATTTCTGGTTTCAGCTCCAAAATGTAAAGCACTTGGACATTCTCACTTTCACTTTTACAACAGTGAAAAAGTTAAGCAAACTGAAAACCAATGCCTTTCTTAGAGCCGTCATAAAATTGAGGCCACAGGATAAACCACCAAACTGAAATCTGGAGACATAGATAAATACAGAGGATCACAGTTGAGATCAATTTATTTGAAGCAGAAGCAACTCGAGCAATAAACTGGTAGGAATAATTAAATGGTGATACTGATGAATTGCTGGAGGCTTAGTGTAGACTAGCACCAGAGGGATAATCTCCTGCAGGCCCAGTCTTATGGAAGTCATACAGTTTCATGGGCATTCACTTGAAGAAACTCATCATGTTGTCATTGTGAAGATAAAAATAAAATTCCTCATGCTTTGGTCAGAGTAAGGGAAAAAGTAACCACTTGGAAATACACCTAGTGTTCTCTATAAGAAAGAGCTACTTTACAGAAGAAAAAACTTCACTAGATCTTTATCCAACATGGAAGGAGAGCAACCAGCCAACTCCACCCATCTCTAGACATTCTGTCTCATGCAAGGGAAGAAATAAAAGGCTATGAATTACTTCAGAAGTAATTCATAAAGGCCATCGCCTTGGTGTTCAGGACCAATAAAGGAGTGAAATTTAATCATAATAGTGAAGAGAGCTTGTACTCTCCCACACCTTAGTATAGCTGAAACTGCTGCTAAGCTAGACTTTATTGGTGAAGCATTTATTAGGAGAAACCAAAAAGTAGCAGAGAAAACAAAACAATGTTTTTAGGGGTATTTAAATGCTCTGACACCTGTGGTTACAGCAAACATCAAACATTGCTCAAATCCTATTCAAGTTAATATAAAACCTCACACTAGATCCCTGTACGCCTCAGTTCTCTATTAGCTGATATATTATATCTGGCTTTCAACAGTGGCAACAACAATGACAAGAAATGGTAAAAGGCAAGGAAAAATACAGTTCCAAAAGACATAGCAAGCATCAGAACCAGACACACGCATTGGAATTTTAGACAGGGGATGTCAAATAACTATGACTCGTATACTGATGGCTCTAATGAACAAAAGAGATAATATGCAAAAACAAATGAGTAATATCAGCAGAGAAGTAGAAAATCAAAAAATGAAAGGAATTAAAGGCAATTCTAAGAATCAGAAGCACTGTACCAGAAATGAAAAATTATTTTGATGACCTGGACATGGCCAAGGAAAGGATTAGTGAGTTTGAAGATGTGTCAATTAATACTTACCAAACTGCAACAAGAGAAAAAAAGGATCAAATCAGTAAACTATCTAAGATGTGTAGGGTAATTTGAAAACATGTAACATGTGTGTAAATTGGAATACCATAAGGAGAAGAAAAAAAAAGAAGAAATATTTGAAGTAATAATGGCCAAGGACTTTTCAAAATTAATGACAAACACCACACCACAGATTCAGGAAGTTTATAGAATCCCAAACAGAATAAGTATCAAATAAAATATAACCAGGCATATCATACTCAAGCTGCAGAAAACCAAATACAAGGACAAAATCTTGATAAAAGCCAGTGGTGGGTGTGGGGGTAAAGAAATTACCTTATCTATAGAGGAAAAGGCCTAAGAATAGCAGGCCGGGCACGGTGGCTCATGCCTGTAATCCCAGCACTTTCGGAGGCCCAGGCGGGCGGATCACCTGAGGTCAGGAGTTTGAGACCAGCCTGACTAACATGGTGAAACCCCGTCTCTACTAAAAATACAAAAAAAAAAAAAAAAAAAATTAGCCGGGTGTAGTGGTGGGCGTCTATAATCCCAGCTACTTGGGAGGCTGAGGCAGGAGAATCGGTTGAACCTGGGAGGTGGAGGTTGCAGTGAGCCGAGATCACGCCATTGCACTCCAACCTGGGCAACAGAGCAAGACTCTGTCTCGAAAAAAAAAAAGAAAAGGTTTTAAAAATAAAAATAAAATAAAATAAAAAAGAATAACAGCAGACTCCTTGTCAGAACCCACATAAGCAAGAAGAGAGTGGAGTGAAATATTTAAAGCATTAGAAGATAAAAAAAACTATTAACCTAACATGGAATTTTATATATGCACTGAAATTATCCTTCAATAGTGAATAATAAATAAATGTTTTCTTGGAGCACCTAATGCACAGAAAAAATCTGAGAGATTATTCTTCAGAAGACTTGCCATGAACTAAATGTTAAAAAAAAAAAAAAGTATTCAGCATGCAGAAAGATGATACAGGTCTTTTAAGAACATAAAGAAAAAATGTGTCAGAGAAGAAATAAATGAAATTAAATATTATTATTTATTTTAAATGTAATATAACTATTCAAATATTAATGGTAACAACATACTGTCTGATAATAACCTCTTAATCAGTAAAATGAGTTTTATAAGGCATAGTGGAGTGGAATTGAGATTTCTCTGTTGTAAGCTACCTGCACTACAGGTAAATCCATGTAATGTTATTCAAAGGTGAAAAGACGGAAGTGTGGAAATTTCTACATTATGAGGCACATGCACTACATGTGAATCTATTTAATATTATTTAAAAGTCTGCTTAGATTAATTGTAAATGTATACTGCAAACTCTAAGGCAACTACTACTAATATGTTAAAAAAGAAGCATAGGTGATATTGTAATGTCAACTCACCATTGATGTGAATTGAGTAATATGATTGGTCTAAATATACATATTAAAAGAACAATGAATAGGAAAAAGTTAAAGCATAGTAAATATTATTTCAACTTATATCAGTAATTATTTTAAATGTGAATGGAATGGTCTAAATACACATGTTAAAGATGGTGATTGTGATGGTGGCTTTTTAAACAATTGCTCAACTACACGCTTTTTATAAGAAATCTGCTTTAGATATAAAGACAAAGATGAATTAAAATTAACGAGGTAAAAAATATATATACCATGTTGACACTAATTGAAAGAAAACTGGAATAATTGTTAAATTTAGACAAAACAGATTTCAAAGCAAATAAAATGGCAGGGATAAAGACCAACATTGCATAATGATAAGGCATCCGTTCTCCTAAAAGATGTAACAGTTCTTAGCATGTATATGTCTATCAAAAGAGTATCAAATTACAAAAGGCAGAGAGGGGTGGGGGAAGATGGTGGAGTAGGAATCTCCAGCGATTATCTCCCCTTCCGCCATAGAAACATTAATTTGAACAACTATCCATGCATGAAGAAGTTTTCACAAGAGCTAAGAAAACCAGATGAGACATTACGGTACCTGGTTTTAGCATAATAATTAGAATAGACAAATTGAAGAGGGCAGAAAGGACCATTTAAGTTTTGCATCACCTGTTCCCCAACCTCAGGCAGTTCAGTTTGTAGAGAAATACCATCTACTTGAGGAAAAGGAGGGAAGCAAGCATAGGACTTTGCATTAGAATCCAGTACTGGGCCCACTACAGTAAAGCCCAGCACTGGGCTAGACCCCTCTGCTCCTGGCACCAGGCCAATATACATGAACAAAACCTCTAGACCTGCCCCAACATGAGACAAAATCCTGTGGTCCCAGGGCCAGATGGGAACCTGTGGCCCTGGTAAGGCAAACTTGAGATCTGACCCACATGACCACCAGCTGACTGCAACAGCCTCAGACCCTGAATAAACCTCGGTGGTGGGCAGACTATAGCAGCTGTGGGTCTTGGGCACACTCCAGTGCTGTGCTGGTCTTGGCAGCCACGGTTTCTGGTGTGACTCAGCACTGTGTCAGCCTCAGCAGCCAAATATTATGGACCCAGCAATTCTAGGCTTTCGGGCACCTCAGGGAACTGCAACTGCTGAAATCGTAATGGATTTAAGGATATCACCAGTCAACCTACATTGAATCACTGGACAAACCTGCTGCGGAAGAAAGTTACCAAACAAAGCCAGGCTGCAAACACTGGATTAGGTAAGAATATCGACATGCAGACATTGACACATGGCCACAAGCATCAAGATCAATAAAAAAAACATGATGACAGCAAATGGACAAAATAAAGCTCCAGTGATGCTCAATGGATTAAAGACTTAAACATAAGACATGAAACTATGAAACAACTAGAAGAAAACAGGAAAAAGCAATTTTTTTTTGGATATGACCTCTAGAACACAGACAACAAAGGCAAAAATAAACAAGTGAGACTAGATCAAACTAAAAAGCTCTGCACAGCAAAGGAAACAATCAATGGAGTGAAGAGACAACCTAAAGAATGGGAGAAAATATTTGCAAACTTTGCATCTGACAAGTGGTTAATATCCAATATATATAAGAAACTCAGATAACTCAGCAAAAAGAAAACAAGTAACCTGATTAAAAAATAAGCAAAGTGTTTGGATAGCGATTTCTCCATAAAAGGAATACAAATGGCCAACAGGTATATGAAAAAAAGAATCAAAATCACTAATCATCAAAGAAACACAAATAAAAACCACAGAGAGATACCATCTTATACCAGTTGAAATGGCTATTATCAAAAAGATGGATAACATAAAGATGTAAAATAAAGTGAGACGTTGTACACGGTTGGTGGAAATGTAAGTTGGTACAACCATTATGGAAAGCATTATGGAGATTAGTCAAAAAATTAAAAATAGAGCTGCCATATATCCAGCAATTCCACTTCTATGTGTGTGTGTGTGTGTGTGTGTATATATATATATATATATATATATCTCCAAAAGAAATGACATTAGTATATTGAACATATATCTTCATTTCTATATTTATTCCAGCATTATTCACTATATCCAAGATATGGAATCAACTTAGCTTTCCCTCAACAGATGGGGTATATTGAAAAATATATGGTATATTGATATGGTTTGGCTGTGTCCCCAACCAAATCCCATCTTGAATTGTAACTCCCACAATTCTTATGTATCATGAGAGGAAGCCAGTGGGAGATGATTGAATTATGGGTGCAGGTCTTTCCTCCTCTGTTCTAATGGTAGTAGGTTTCATGAGATCTGATGGTTATTATAAGGGGGAGTTTTCCTGCACAAGCTCTCTATTTTTTTTCCTGCTGCCATCCATGTAAGATGTGACTTGCTTCTCCTTGCCTTCTGCAATGATTATGAGGCTTCCCCAGCCACGTGGAACTCTAAGTCCACTATAAACCTCTTTCTTTTGTAAATTGCCCCATCCTGGGTATGTCTTTATCAGAAGCCTGGAAACAGACCAATACAGTAAATTGGTACCAGGAGAGTGGTGCGCTGCTGAAAAGATACCTGAAAATATGGAAATGACTGTGGAACTGGGTAACAGGCAGAGGTTGGAACAGTTTGGAGGGCTCAGAAGAAGACAAGAAAATGTGGAAAAGTTTGGAACTTCCTAGAGACTTGTTAAATGGCTTTGACCAAAAGCCTGACAGTGATATGGACAATAAAGTCCAGAGCAAAGTGGTCTCAGATGGAAATGAGGAACTTGTTGGGAACTGCAGTAAAGGTGACTCTTGTTATGTTTTAGCAAAGAGAGTGGTGGCTTTTTGCCCCTGCCCTAGAGATTTGTGGAACTTTGAACTTGAAAGAGATGATTTAGGGTATCTGGCAGAAGAAATTTCTAAGCAGCAAAGCATTCAAGAGCTAACTTGGGTGATGTTAAAGGCATTCAGTTTTATAAGGGAAGCAGAGCATAAAAGTTCTGAAAATTTGCAGCCTGGCAATGTGATAGAAAAGAAAAACCAATTTTCTGAGGAGAAATTTAAGCAGGCTGCAGAAATTTGCATAAGTAACAGGGAGCCTAATGTTAATCCCAAGGACAATGGGGAAAATGTTTCCAGGGCAAGTCAGAGGTCTTCATGGCAGCCCCTCCCATCACAGGCCTGGAGGCCTAGGAGAAAATGGTTTATGGGCGAGGCCCAGGGTCCCCATGCTGTGTGCAGTCTAGGGACTTGGTGCCCTGCATCACAGAAACTCCAGTCATGACTAAAAGGGACCAAGGTACAGCTCAGGCTGTTTCTTCAGAGGGTGGAAGCCCCAAGCCTTGGCAGCTTTCATGTGGTGTTGATCCTGCAGGTTCACAGAAGTCAATAATTGAGGTTTGGGAATCTCCACTTAGATTTCAGAAGATGCATGGAAAGGTCTGGATGCCCAGGCAACAGTTTGCTGCAGGGGCAAGGCTTGGGCCCTCATGGAGAAACTCTGCTAGGGCAGTGTAGATAAGAAATGTGGGGTCGGAGCCCCCATGCAGACTTCCTACTGGGGCACCACCTAGTGGACCTGTGAGAAGAAGGCCACCGTCCTCCAGACCCCAGAATGGTAGATCCACTGACAGCTTGCACTGTGGGCCTGGAAAAGCTGCAGACACTCAATGCCAGCCTGTGAAAGCAGCCAGGAGGGAGGCCATACCCTGCAAAGCCACAGGGGCGGAGCTTCCAAAGACCATGGAAACCCACCTCTTGCATCAGTGTGATCTGGATGTGAGAATTGGAATCAAAGGAGATCATTTTGGAGCTTTAAGATTTGGCTGCCCCTCGGGATTTCAGACTTGCATGGGACCTGTAGCCCCTTTGTTTTGGACGATGTCTCCCATTTGGAATGGCTGTACTTATCCAATGCCTGTACTCCCATTGTATCTAGGAAGTAACTAGCTTGCTTTTGATTTTATAGGCTCATAGGCAGAAGGGACTTGCCTTGTTTCAGATGAGACGTTGGACTGTGAACTTTTGAGTTAATGCTGAAATGAGTTAAGACTCTGAAATACTGTTGGGAAGGCACGATCAGTTTTGAAATGTGAGGACATGAGATTTGGGAAAGGATAGGGGCAGAATGATATGGTGGCTGTGTCCCCAACCAAATCGCATCTTGAGTTGTAACTCCCACATTTCCTATGTGTCGTGGGAGGAACCCGGTGGGAGGTGATTGAATTATGGGGGCAGATCTTTCCTGTTCTTTTCTTATAATAGTAAGTCTCACAAGATCTGATGGTTATTGTAAGGGGGAGTTTTCCTGCACAAGCTCTCTCAAGCTCTTTCTTTTTGCCTACTGCTATCAATGTAAGAAGTGACATGCTCCTCTTTGCCTCTCGCCATGATTATGAGGCTTCCACAGCCTTGTGGAACTGTAAGTCCATTATAAACCTCTTTCTTTTGTAAATTGCCCAATCACGGTTATGTCTTTATCAGCAGCATGAAAACAGACTAATACATATATACACATACAATAGAATATTATGCAGCCTTAAGAAAGGAAATGCTGTCATTTGCAACAATGTGGATGAAACTGGAGGATATTATGCAAATATAATAAGCCAGACACAGAAAGACAAATACTGAATGATCTGACTTATGTGTGGGATCTAAAAAAGTTAAACTTATAGAAGCAGAGAGTAGAATGATGTTTGCTGGGGGTTGAGGGAGTGAAGAAATAGAGGGCTTTTGGTCAAAGGGTACAAAGGTTCAGTTATGCAGGATGAATAAGTTCTGGAGATTTAATGTACAGTATGGTGACTATAGTTAATAATACTGTGTTGTATACTAGATATTTGCCAGGAGAATAAATCTTAAATTTTCAGACCATACATAGACACAAAGATGGTAAGATGGTAACTATGTGAGGTGATGGGTATGTTAATTAGCTTGATTGTGGTAATCATTTTCCAATGTGTATATATATCAAATCATCAGTTTGTACATTGTAAACAGGTACAATTTTCATTCATCTATTATCCCTAAATAAAGCTGAAAAATAAAAATAGAAATGAGTAAATAAATTTTTTTTTTTTGAGACAGAGTCTCGCTCTGTCGCCCAGGCTGAGTGCAGTGGCGCCATCTCAGCTCACTGCAAGCTCCGCCTCCTGGGTTCACGCCATTCTCCTGTCTCAGCCTCCTGAGTAGCTGGGACCACAGGCGCCCGCCACCACGCCCAGCTAATTTTTTGTATTTTTAGTAGAGACGGGGTTTCACCGTGTTAGCCAGGATGGTCTTGATCTCCTGACCTCGTGATCCACCCGCCTCGGCCTCCCAAAGTGCTGGGATTACAGGCGTGAGCCACCACGCCCGGCAAGTAAATAAAATTTTACAAGAAATAATTTGGGAGAATTTCTGGGTTCATGCTCGGTCAACAAAAATGGATATTTTTTCTATAGATTAACAAGACTCTTAGAAATTATGATACAAAAAATGTCTTATTATAATATCATATACACACATTATTTAGGAGTAAATCTAATAAAGTACACTCATGATTTTGACAAAGGAAATCACAAAACACTGAGTGACAGTAAGGGCAACCTTAGATACGTAGAGAGACGTATCAGTTTGATGGATGAGAAAACAACATGAAAAAGGTATTATTTCACTTTACAATAAATTTAATGCAATTTGAATCAAAGCCTCATTATGAAGCTATATATGTAGAATTATAAAGGTCTAAAATATTCTTCAAAAATATAAAAGTATTTATAAAGTACTTTCATTTTAAACTCTTGTAATTAAAGTAACGTAGGTGAAGAAAGAGGCAAATTAATCAATATTTTAGATGATAGAACTCAGAAATTCATCAAGGTATATACAACAATTGAATATATAATAGAATTAACTTTCTACATCAGTGGGGAAAGAATAAACTTTCAGTATATTATGTTGGGATAAATTGTTTTCCAATTGAAAAAATTACAATATTAGATCTTTACCAAATATCATATGCAAAAATTGATCCCAGACAAATAAAAGAGAGAAATAAGAAAATCTTCAAAATTATTAAGAAATAGTATTCAGTAATTTTTTCTAACTATGATAAAATTTCTTAGATAAGGAACAGAAAACCCACAAATAAATGAAAGAAGTTACTGAAGTTACTGAAAAACAAATTTAAATGACAACAATATACTTAAACATATTTAGCAAACAAAATGTTAATATCAAGTATATTGAAACAATCTTTCTGATGCCTAAGTCAAAAATATATAAATATTAAAAATGGGTAAATTACATAAAATTGAACTCAGCAAAAAGGACAACTGAATGTACAAGTTACCTTTTTTCACTGTACATATAGGACAATTTAAATTGTAAGCTTAATATTACCAAGAAATGGTGAGCATGTGTTGAAACAGGAAGGTTCATATACTCCTTGTGGAAATATAAAATTGGTATCGTAACTTGAGAGAGCTATTTGGAAAAAAAATGTTAGTTTGTAAATGTGTATACCCCAAGGCCTGGAAATTTTATTCATCAAACATGATTGTGAAGAAAGGAATTAACAGGTTAAAATAATAAAATAGCCTCTAAAAGATACACAGAAACGATTGTAGAAATCCAAATTAAACATAATATGAAGCCCAGAAAGCAGAGAAAATATTGAGATGACAAATTAAATTAATGAAATTAACAATAAAAAAGTGTTGAAGAAAATATTCCTGTGGTCAAAAAGAGCCAAATATGATTAATGCAAGTGTGTCTCATGAATTGGGCAAATAATACAAAACAAAATTTAGACTTATTTTGGGAAAATTCTTGCATTTGTAAGACTGATTTTTTATTCCTACAAACAGTTCAGTTGAGAAAAACAGATTGACAGCAAATGATCAAATTCAGTTCTTTTTTTTCCTTTTATTTTCATTTCTATAATTTTTGAACACTAGAGGAACCAGATCTACAGAAGGCTGAGAGAGAAATTTTTGTGAATGGGAAATTACATACAGTGCCAAATGGCACTTACGAAAACAACAACAGCAAAACTTTCTTTTTTTTTTTTTTTTGTTTGTTTGTTTGACAGAGCCTTGCTCTGTTGCCTAGGCTGGAGTGCTGTGGCACAATCTCGGCTCACGGCAACCTCCACCTCTCGGGTTCAAGAAATTCTCTGCCTCAGCCTCCTGAGTAGCTGGGATTACAGGCGCCCGCAAGCAAGCCCAGCTAATTTTTGTATTTTTAGTAGAGACGGGGTTTCACCACTTTGGCCAGGCTGGTCTTGAACTCCTGACCTTGTGATACACCTGCCTCAGCCTCCCAAAGTGCTGCCATTACAGGCGTGAGCCACTGCATCTGGCCAATGTTGAGCATTTTTATATGCTGTTGGCTGCTTGTACACCTTGTTTTAAGAAGTGTCTGTTCATATTCTCTGCCATTTTAAGTGGATATTTTTGTTCTTTCCTTGTTGATTTAAGTTCCCTGTAGATTCTTGATATTAGACCTTTATCAGATGCATAATTTGTGATTATATCCTCCTATTCCGTAGCCTGTCTGTTTACTGTCAGTAACTTCTTTTGTTGTGCAAAAGCTCTTTAGTTGAATTAGGTGCCACTTATTACTTTTCGTTTTTGTTGTAATTGCTCTTGGGGACTTAGCCACAAATTCTTTGCCAAAACTTGTTAAGAAGGTGTTTCTTAGGTTTTGTTTTAGCATTTTTATAATTTGAGCTCTTACATTTAAGTCTTTAATCCATTTTGAGTTAATTTTCATATATGGTAAGAGGTAGGGGTCCAATTCATTATTCTGCATATGACTAGCCAGTTATCCCAGCACTATTTATTGAATAGGCACTCTTATTGTCAATGCTTATTTCAGTAGATTTTGTGGAAAATCGGATGGTTGTAGTTGTGTAGGTTTACTTCTGTGTTTTCTATTCTGTTCCACCGGTTTATGCATCTGTTTTTGTACTTGTACCATGCTTTTTTGATTACTGTAACCTTATAGTATGGTTTGAGGTTGGATAGTGTGATGCCTCCAGCTTCATTCAGCAAACTGAATCCAGCAGCACATCAAAACGTTAATTCACCATGACCAAGTAAGATTTATTTCTGGGATGGAAAGTTAGTTCACCACATGCAAATCAGTAAATATGATTCACCACATAAACAGAATAAAAAACAAATCTCATACACTCATCTCAGTAGATGCAAAAACAACCTTCAATAAAATCCAACATTCCTTCATGATAAAAATCCTCAACAGATTAGGCATTGGAGGAAGTACATCAAAATAACAAGAGATGTTTGTGACAAAGCCACTGGCAACATCATACTAAATGGGCAAAAGCTGAAAGCCTTGCACTTGAGAACTAGAACAAGACAAATGTGTCCACTCTTACCACTTTCATTCAACATGGTAATGGAAATTCTATCCACACACAGCAATCAGGAAAGAGAAAGAAAAAAAAGCCATTCAAATAGGAAAAGAAGTTAAACTATCTCGTTGCTGACAATAAAATTCCATACATAGAAAACCCTAAAGACCACACCAAAGGGCTTCTAGGGCTGATTAATAGATTAGTTAAAGGTTCAGGATACAAAATCCATGTAAAAAATTCAGTAGCATTTTTATACACGAGTAACATTCTAGCTGAGAGTCAAATCAAGAACATGATCCCATTTACTATAGCCCCAAAGAAAATGAAATACCCAGGAATTCATCTAACCAAGGAGTGAAAGATCTCTACAAAAAAAAAAAAAAACTACAAAACACTGCTGAAAGAAATCAGGGATGACACAAATAAATAAGAAAAATTCCATGGTGGATGTAGTTAAAATGGCCCTACTGCCCAAAGCAATATACAGATTCAATGCTATCTCAATCAAAATGCCAACATTATTTTTCACAGAATTAGAAAAATCTACTATAAAATTAATTTGGAGCCAAAAAAAGAGCTTTAATTAATAAAGCCATCCTAAGCAAACAGCTTTGAAAAAAAAAGGAAGGAGAGTGAATGGACCTTTGATGAACAGAATGACAGACTATGGCAGAAACAATGTTCCTCACCTTGCAACACTAAAAACCCACATTTCCCAGCACTCTTTCCCCTTGCGTCTCAATGAAACCTTGTGAGTATATGTTATGGTGAAGGAAATGTTCTAGAAATGAGGTATTGTGTTCAGAAATTGAGGTTTTTTTAGTTGTTTCCAAAAAAAAAAAAAAAAAAAACAGCCTGTCTAGACTAATACAAAGAGAAACACATAAAACATACATTTCAAAAAAAATTTAGCAAAATCTAGGCAGAAACATCATGGAAAACATAGCAAAATGAAAACAGATATTTTAATGCTATTACAAAGTTGAGGACAAGCCTAAAAGCATTGAAAGGGAATAAAATGTTTACCTTATATTTGAAAGTCAGACAAAACAACTCAGGTATCACGATAATAATTATTTATGTACTGAATAATATTTCATCAAAATATAAAATATAAATTTATATGCATAGTAGAAAATGACAAAATGCAATCATACATGGAGTGCATTACACAGCTTGCTATATGTTTGCTAAATGAAATTGGTAAACACAAATGATATAGATTTAGTGACTGAACAATTCTACGTTCCACTGAATAAAATTAAATTCTATTTAATTAATGGAATGTTTTATGTGTAAATCTGTTTTTCCATTTATCCATCTAATTGCAAAATTCCTTTCTGGCATACAGATATCAATTTTGTGAGTTTCTGTGAATTGCGCTATATAGAAATTTCAATAAATTCTAAAATTCAGGTTTAAGAAAGGCCACACATTGGGACCATAATGTGCTTATATTTAAAAATAATGATGTGAATTAAAATGAAATACCCAAATAGATAAAAGAGAAAATGTTTTACAAAATTATTTTTTAGGTCAAAGAAGAAATTATAACTGTAGTTATAGATAATTCTAAAAAGAAATCCAAGGAGAAAATTAGGTGTCAGATCTTCATCATGGGGTTGAAGTGGTGTTTGCTAAAATGTAACTGGCCAAGCCATAAATAGTCACAGTGTTCAGTAAAATATAATTAGCTTCATTTGACTTCACTACAAAGTAAAACAAAAAATGGAGCTATAATATGTAAACATTAAAGGTAATAATTATAAAATAGCAATGAGAAAAATATTAAAGTATGAATTTTAAAAGATAAAACATAAAATTGATAAAAAATATAAAATCATAGAATTAATTTTTAATACTATGTAACTATTTGTTAAAATTTCAATTAGAATAACAATTTCTAGGAAACCTGATAAGTGGACAAAAGAGATAAAGCACATACATACAAACTTATAAATGTTAATATAACCACAAATAATGTAAAATTATGATAACTAGCTATATCAAACTTTATACTAATAAAGTTAAAAGTCTTGAAATTGATGATGTTTCTAGGAAAAAGGTAATTCATGCAAATGTTTTCAAGAAATAGAAAAATTAAATTATTATTAATTGATTTAAATTAAAATAAGAGAAAAAGGGCCACATTTAAAAATGGTACCCACTCCAGAGGTTTTATAGGAGGTGATTTATTTGAACGTATTATGGAGTAACTAATTATCACCCATTTATGGTGTTATAGGACTCAAAAAGCTATGAGCTCTTTTTGAACTTAACTCATTTTGTAAACATAACATCTCCTTGAAGCAAAATGCAAAATATTATTCATTGTTTTAATCTTATTTCTACACACAGAAATACTTGCACTGAATAAAATACTACTAATTCTAACACAGAGCTATAATTAAAGAGCAATCCATTGTGAACTAGTAGGGTGTTTTTTTATTCTTGAAACTTCTACTTATGTAGTTCATCACATCAAGAGAAAAGGAAGCAAAACCATATGATCATCTTGGTAGAGTCCAGTGAGGCATATGTAAAAAGAATTTGTGTCTATCCCTCATATAATATAGTTAATGAAAAACATAAATATTCTTAGATTCATATGATGAATCATATCTATCTAAAATTTACTTATGAAGCAAATACAACTTAAAGATAGAATATAAAATGTTCTTATTAAATTCTAGAGAAACAAGAATATAGTTCCTATCATCTCTAAAATTTAACTTTGTAAGTTATATTTATTATAGAGAAAAATAAAAATTCTCAAAAAAGACAAAAATGTACTCAAATAATATGATGTTCAATCTGGAAAATTTAAGAAAAATGCCTTTCTTTTTGAGACGGAGTCTCGCTCTGTGGCCCAGGCTGGAGTGCTGTGGTGCGATCTCGGCTCACTGCAAGCTCCACCTCCCGGGTTCACGCCATTCTCCTGCCTCAGCCTCCCGAGTAGCTGGGACTACAGGCGCCCGCCACCACGCCCGGCTATTTTTTTGTATTTTTAGTAGAGACGGGGTTTCACCATGTTAGCCAGGATGGTCTCGATCTCCTGACCTCGTGATCCACCCGCCTCGGCTTCCCAAAGTGTTGGGATTACAGGCTTGAGCCACCGCGCCTGGCCGAAAAATAACTTGACCTTAGTTTCAAACTACAAGATGGTTCATTAACATGGTGAGATTAAAAATTGTTTTAAAATCCCATGCACATATATTTCGTATATAGCTGTTTAATACATGATTAAATGATATTACATTTTAAGTAGAAATAAAAGTATAAAGTACTGGATGAGACCAGAGGCCGAACTCAGGTTCTGATGGCCGAGCTGCCCCACAGGATCATCAAGGAAACCCAGCGTTTGCTGGCAGAGCCAGTTCCTGGCATCAAAGCAGAACCAGATGAAAGCAACGCCCGTTATTTTCATGTGGTCATTGCTGGGGAATCAAAGGATTCCCCCTTTGAGGGAGGGACTTTTAAACGTGAACTATTACTTGCAGAAGAATACCCAATGGCAGCCCCTAAAGTACGTTTCATGACCAAAATTTATCATCCAAATGTAGACAAGTTGGAAAGAATAAGTTGAGATATTTTGAAAGATAAGTGGTCCCCAGCCCTGCAGATCCGCACAGTTCTGCTATCGATCCAGGCCTTGTTAAATGCTCCCAATCCAGATGATCCATTAGCAAATGATGTAGTGGAGCAGTGGAAGACCAACGAAGCCCAAGCCATTGAAACAGCTAGAGCATGGACTAGGCTATATGCCATGAATAGTATTTAAATTGATCCAATCATTAAGTGTGCATCACTTCTCCTGTTCTGCCAAGACTTCTTCCTTTTTGCTTGCATTTAATGGACATAGTCTTAGAAACATTACAGAATAAAAAAACCCAGACATCTTCAGTTATTTGGTGATTAAATGTACATTAGCAAATCTATGTCTTGTCCTGATTCACTGTCATAAAGCATGAGCAGAGGCTAGACGTATCATCCGGATTGTTGTGAAACGTTTAAAAGCAGTGGTCCCTCCCTGCTTTTATTCATTTCCCCCATCCTGGTTTAAGTATAAAGCACTGTGAATGAAGGTAGTTGTCAGGTTAGCTGCAAGGGTGTGGGTGTTTTTCTTTATTTTTTTGAGGGGGGTAAGTAGTTTTATTTTAATTTTATGGGCTCCTTTCCCCGCCTTTTTGGTGCTCTAATTGGATTGGTTAAAAGCAGCTAACCAGTTCTTTAGAAATATGCTCTCTATCCAAGTCTAACTTTATTTAGACACTGTAGATGGACAAGCTTGATTGTTTGAACCAAAATGGGAACATTTAACAAGCATCACTGCCCTCACTAATAACATTGTGACTTTGCTGTCAAGTGTAGAGTCCCCCCTTCAAAATAAGCTTGTGACCATTTTGTATGGCTTGTCTGGAAACTTCTGTAAATCTTATGTTTTACTAAAATATTTTTTGTTATTGTAAAAAAAGTTTAAAGTACTAGGTAATTATAAGAAATGTGAAGCACATATAGGAATAAAAATGATTTAATGATAAATGAATTGGGTAAATGGAGAAAATTGTTTGAGGTTGAAAAGCCTGAATGTAATAAAAATATCTGTTAGAAAAAGCTAAAAGCAATGACAGGCAGGGAAAAAATTATATGCAACAAATATAGAAGGTAAAATATACTTACTATATAAAGAGCTCTTATTAATAAGAAAGAGTTCTTGTCAGTAATACAAATTCTCCAAGAATACATGTGTTATATTGCTTTACAACATCCTTATATTATTATTGTCATTGTACAGATAAGAAACTGAGCCACTTTAGAGCTCATGAACATACCTTAGATTTCTCAGAAAGTTAGTGGTAGTCTAGGTATCCAAATCCTCATCTGCCTGAGTTAAGAGCTCCTCTCTATTGTACTATAAGTCAACATTTGTTAATTTATTAATATTATAACTGAGCCTGATTCTTCCTGTACTTCTGCACTCGCTGTAAATTAACCATTTTACAGGATAATGCCTCTCTCAACACTAAAATCTGTATAATTAATCTATTTATGTAGCCATGCATTTTAATACATTAGAATCCCAAAGCCCAGCAATAGATTTTTTTATATTTTATTTTACAATAGCTAATAAAGTTGATCAAGTAATTATTTATTGAGTTGCTAGTATATGACATATATTAGCCTAGGTATTAGAAGACTGAACGAAAAATAGACAAAGATCTCTTTCCTCATGAAGTTTTATATTTTAGTGGGAATGAGATAGACAATAAACATAAGAGGCAAGATCGTTATATAAAATATTAAAAGGACAAAGAGGTGTGGAGAATAATTAAGTTAGGTAAAAAGAATAGATGGTGATGAAGGGTGTGTGTGTGTGTGTGTGTGTGTGTGTGTGTGCTCACACGCTATTTTAAATAGTTTGATTAAGGCAGACCTAAGTGATATGGAAAATTACTGTACAAAGGTTAAAAGGGTTTGAGGGAGATATCCATGAGGATATCTGGAGTTAGAGCGTTTCAGATAGAGGGGTCAGGCAGTTCCTGAGATGAGAGCATTTCTACCATGATACAGAAAGAACAAGGTTCATGCGGTTGGAAAAATAAAAAAAGTGAGCGAGAAGAGAGAGGAATCAAAGATGAGGTTCCAAAGCTAATGGAATTTTAGATCCTGTGGAGCTCTGTAGCACGTGGAAAGTACTTGGTCTTCTATTTTGCATGAAAGTCATTAATCCATTGGATGTTATGAGCTGAGGAATGATATGAACTGACTTAAAACAGAGTCATTCTGGCTGCTGCTTGTGAATCGATTGCCTGGGGGTGTGTGGAGGGGGAAGAAAATGTAAACTTTTAGATTAGGTGGGTCTCAAAATAATTCAGTGAGAAAACAGAGTAATGATCTAGCTCTAGCCTATAGGTGTGGATTGACACTCAATGAAGAAAAAGAAAAGAAACTTATATATGATTATTACTTGAGAATATACAAAAAGTTTGAAGCTTTAGAAAATTGATAAAATTTACTGTGTTTTCTTCAGATTGATGGCTACTTCCTGTATCTACCCCAAATGACAAAATGCTACTGATTTATATATATTTTATGCTCTGTGTAAAAATTTAGTAATTTGCAGGTGTCATCTTCCTCTATCCCATTTCCTCTGTCAGGGCTGGGATTTGTTTTCCAAACTACATGTGAATTGTCTTTTTTTTTGACGGAGTTTCACTCTGTCACCCAGGCTGTAGAGCAGTGGCGCGATTTTGTCTAGCTACAACATTCCCCTCCCAGGTTAAAGCGATTCTCTTGCCTCAGCCCCTGGAGTAGCTGGGATTACAGGCATGCGCCAACATGCCTGGCTAATTTTTGTATTTTTAGTAGAGACAGGGTTTCATCATGTTGGCCGGACTGGTCCCGAACTCTTGACCTCAGGTGATCTGCCCACCTCAGCCTCCCAAAGTGCTGGGATTACAGGCATGAGCCACCACCCCTGGCCATTTTTATTTTTAATTAAGTTTTTATTTTTCTAGCCTATTTCTAAACTCCTATCGATTTTTAGCCTATTTCTAAACTCCTATTGATCGTGAAGGTTAAAAGTATCCTCCCATTTGTCCCATGAAGTCCGTAGATATCACATAAAAACTGGACTTCTCGAACTCATGCTTTCACCAGTTATTCTGAAAGACTGTGATCCGTATCAACACAAAGGATAACAAAAGTTCTTATGGCTACATTTAAAGCAAATTCAATTTTATATTTTTTAATGCAAAATTTGAGGGAAATAAGGGAAACACCTAAAGGCAAGGTCTTTGATTTAGTTGTATACTTTTTCCGAACTTAAATAACATGGCGAACTTAAGTAAGATAGGATATATATATATATATATATATATCTCACATATGTATCAAAATAACAGAAACTAGGCAAAATTCATCACAAAATCAGACATGCAGTTTTGTTGTGGTCTTCAATATCTTTTACATGATTGCATTTTATTACATAAAAATGTATTTTCACCAGAAAATTATTTACCTTGTAATGAATGTTATTTGAAACTCTAGAAAAAGTGTAGATATTTAGATATTTAGGCACTTCGAAAGCGTACTGATAATAAGGAATACTTTATCATCCTTAAGAGACATTAGTACACATATACATGGTTCAAGAAGCAGGGCTAAGCATATACTATGTAAAAGAAGCAAAAAGACTCTTACTTTAAAATACTGGTAAAATAATTTGACACTAGTTCTAGTGTCAAACTATTCTGAATTTGTCCTTGAGCAAATTATATAAGTTCACTAAACTTCAGTTTCTTTACCTGTAAAAAGTAAAGATAATACCAGCTGCAAGAAGTTACTGTGAAAAGTAGATAAAGTAATGTATTAAATATATAGCTACTAGTACAGAGTAGGAACTGAAGAACTGATGGTTTCCTTCCCCTTCACTGGGCCTCACCAATCAGTTGGGGAAACAGAGTATAGATACTACATGTAAATAATAAAACATAGCAGTCAGCATAGGCAAAGAGTCATGTGAATGGTATTGGTAACTGACACAACAAGAGTTCAGAGGAAATTTTTCAGGACTGGCGTCAAAAGATGCTTCTTGGGGAACACAGGCTTTGGTCCAGAAATTAAAGGAAAAATATTAGAAAAATAGAAACACAGTTGGTATGATCTTCCAAATTCAACCCATTTATTTAATAGGCAGGACTTGGTGGAGATCCAAACAAGAAAGCTTATTCTTTATCACCACAATTTAATACATAAAACAACTCTGCTAGATCTTCCTTTACTGTCTTCTTGATCTCATGGGGGATTTTATAGTCTTTCCAGCCACATTTGTTTAATTACAATATCCTCCTTTTAGAGGTAATTATATGTATTTATTTTTTATTTTAATGTTTATAGATTTAGGGGTTTTGATACATGGACACATTGCATGGTAGTGAAGTATGTACTTTTAATGTAACCATCATGCAAACAGTACACATTGTACTAATTAGGTTATTTCTCATCCCTCACGTTTCTCCCACCCTCTCACCTTTCCAAGCCTCTATTATTCCTCTCTCTGTGTCCATATGTACACAATATTGAGCTTTGATTTATAAGTGAGAAAATGCAACATTTGACATACTGTTTCTGAATTATTTTACTTAAAATAATGGCCTCTAATTCCACTTATATTGCTGCAAAAGACACAATTGCATTATTTTTTATGGCTGAGTAATATTCCATGATGTATGTGTATATATACATATACATATACATATATATATATGTCTGTGTGTGTATATATAAAATTTTCTTTTTCCAATCATCCATTGATGGACATTTATTTTGATTCCATATCTTTGCTATTGTGAATAGTGTTGTGGTAAACATATGAGTGCCAGTATCTTTTTCATATAATGATTTCTTTTCCCTTATGTAGATGCCCAGTAGTGAGATTGTTGGATGGAATGGTAGTTCTATTTTTAGTTCTTAGAGAAATCTCCGTACTGTTTTCAATGGATGTACTTCACCACCAACAGTGTATGAGTCTTTCCTTTTATTTGCATCCTCTTCAACATCTGTTATTTTTTGACTTTTTAATTATAGCCAATCTGACTGGTGTAAATGACATCTCTTTATGATTTTAATTTCCCATTTTTCTGCTAATTAGAGATGTTGAGCATTTTTTTATATGCTCGTTGGCCATTTGCATGTTTTCTTTTGCAAAGTGTTCTGTTGCGGGAAGTCAGGGACCCCGAATGGAGGGACAGGCTGGAGTCGCGGCACAGGAACATAAATTGTGAAGATTTCATCTTAATATGGACATTTATCAGTTCCCAAATAATACTTATATAATTTCTTATGCCTGTCTTTAATCTCTTAATCCTGTTGTCTTTGTAAGCTGAGGATGTACGTCACCTCAGGACCACTGTGATAATGTGTTAACTGTACAAATTGATTGTAAAACGTGTGTTTGAACAATATGAAATCAGTGCACCTTGAAAAAGAACAGAATAACAGAGATTTTTATGGAACAAGGGAAGACAACCATAAAGTCCAACTGCCTGCGAGGTCGGGCAAAAAGAGCCATATTTTTCTTCCTGCAGAGAGCCTATAAATGGACGTGCAAGTAGGAGAGATATTGCTAAATTATTTTCCTAGCAAGGAATATTAATATTAATACCCTGGGAAAGGAATGCATTCCTCGGGGGAGGTCTATAAACGGTCGCTCTTGGAATGTCTATCTGGCGCAGTTGTGATAAGGACTGAGATATGCCCTGGTCTCCTGCAGTACCCTCAGGCTTACTAGGGTTGGGAAGACTCCGCCCTGGTAAATTTGTGGTCAGACTGGTTCTCTGCTCTTTAACCCTGTTTTCTGTTGTTTAAGATGTTTATCAAGACAATACATGCACTGCTGAACATAGACCCTTATCAGTGGTTCTGCTTTTGCCCTTTGTTCTGTTCCCTCAGAAGCATGTGATCTTTGTTAGACCCTTAGTAGTTCTGCTTTTTGTTCTTTGAAGCATGTGATCTTGGTGCCTACTCCCTGTTCTTACACCACCTCCCCTTTTGAAACCCTTAGTAAAAACTTGCTGGTCTGAGACTCAGGCGGGCATCACAGTCCTACCAATATGTGATGTCACCCCTGGCGGCCCAGCTGTAAAATTCCTCTCTTTATACTGTCTCTCTTTATTTCTCAGGGGCTGACACTTATGGAAAATAGAACCTACATTGAAATATTGGGGGTGGGTTCCCCCAGTAGTGTTCGTTCATGTTCTTTACCTACATTTTAATGGGGTCATTTGTTTTGTTGTTGTTGTTGTTGTTGCTGCTATTTTTAGTTCCCTGTAGGTTCTGGATATTAGTCCTTTGTTGGACATATAGTTTACATTATATTTTTTTCCATTTTGTAGGTTGTCTATTCACCCTGTTGATTGTTTATTTTTCTGTGCAGAAACTTCTTAGTTTAGTTAAGTGCCATTTTTCTATTTTTGTTTTTGTTTTATTCACCTTTCAGGTCTTAGTCATGAATTATTTGCCTAGACCAATGTCCAGAAGAGTTTTTCCTATTTTTTTCTAGAATTTTTATGGTTTCAGGTCTTACATTTAAGTTTTAATCTATGTTTAGTTAATTTTTGTATATGGTGAGATATATAGGTTCAGTTTTATTCTTTGGGATGTGGCTATTAGATTTTCCCAGCACCATTTATTGAAAAGGGCATCCTTTCCCCAGTGTATGTTTTTGTCAACTTTGTTGATCAGTTGGCTGTAGGCATGTGGCTTTATTTATAGGTTCTCTATTATGTTCCATTGATCTATGTGTCTAACTGTATACCAGTACAGAAATGTTTTGTTTACTATTTCCTTGTAGTATAATGTAAAGTCAGGTAATATGATGCCTCCAGCTTCGTTCTTTTTGCTTAAAATTGCTTTAGCTATTCAGGTTCTTTTTTGGTCCCATATTAATTTTATGACTATTTTTCTAATTCTGTGAAAAATGATGTTGGTATTTTGATAGAAATTGCATTGAATCTATAGATTGCTTTGGGAAGTATGGTCATTTTAACTATATTAATTCTTCCAATCCATGAGCATAGGATGTTTTTCCATTTGTTTGTGTCATCTAAAGTTTCTTTCATGAGTGTCTTGTATACTGCCAGAATAAGCTTCATAAATGAAATATAAATAAAGCGTTTCCCAGACAAGCAAACACTGAGGGTATTCATCATCACTAGACTGATTCTGCAAGAAATGTTCAAGGAAGTTCCAAACATAAAAACAAGATGTCAGCAGTCACCATCATAAAAACACACAAAAGTATAAAACTCACAGGTCTTATAAAAACTTACACAAAAGAAGCTAAACAACTAGATAATTAACATAATGACAGGAACAAAATCTCACAAATCAATATTAACTTTGAACATAAATGAATTAAATTCTCCACTTAAAAGGTACAGATTGGCAGAATGGATTTTAAAAGAAAACATGATCTGACCCTATGCTACTTGCAGGAGACACACCTTATTGATAGACACTTATAGAATGAAAGTAAAGAAAAATGAAGAGATATTTCATGGAAATAGAAACAAAAAGCAAACAGAAGCACTGGATTCAAATTGGACTTTAGATCAAATGGAGCTAACAGACATTTATAGAGCATTCTGTACAACAAACATAGGATATACATTCTTCACATCAGCTCATGGAACGTTCTCCAAGGTGATAAACTGTATGTTAGGTCACAAAACAAGTATTAATAAATTTCAAACAATCAAAATCATACAAAGTATCTTCTTGGACCACAGTAGAATAAATTTTGAAATCAATTCCAAGAAGAACTCTTGGAAATTATACGAATACATGGAAAATAAACAACATACTCCTGAATGATTTCGTGGGCAATGACAAAATTAAGATGAACATTTAAATTAAAAAATAATAAAATATAACTCATTTGAAATGAATAAAAATGGAGGTACAACATACCAAAACAAAGAAGCACAGCCAAGAAGTGCTAAGAGGGAAGTTTATAACTTTAAATTCCTACATTGATAAAATAGAAAGATCAAAAATTAAAAACTAATGTCATACTTCAAGGAACTCAAAACGCAAGAACAAAACAAACCCAAGAGAGCAGAAGAAAAGAAATAACAAAGATCAGACCAGAACTAAATAAAATTGAGGGCCAAATAAAAAATACAAAATGTCAGTGAAATGAAAGTTAATGTTTTGAAAACGTAAATTAAATTGAGAGACTGCTAGCTAGACTAACCAAGAAGAGAGAAGATTCAAATAAGCACAAATGAGAAGTGAAAAAGGGGACACTGCAACTGATACCACAAAAATACATAAGATCATCAGAGACTTCTATGCATATTTCTATGGTTACATTTATTTATGTATTTATTTATGTATGTATTTATTTATTTATTTACTCCAAATGAAAACTTCATCATCATTCATTCAGTTACAATCATTATTCCCTACTCTCCAACCTACATTTATTCTGATGAGAGGTAACGTTACTACTCTGCGACCTGTCAATATTTTTCTAGCCTCTCTAGTACCTATAGTGTCCACTTTGTTCTTAAGACACAGGAACTCTTTCCTACTGTTGGTGAAAGTGAAGCTGGTGCCTGTGAAGTTCTTTCTGCTCGAGGTCTCAGGAGAAGGCTTTTAGATTTTTCCAGAAATAATAGAACACCAGTCTCTGTGTCTACCCATATTCCAGGAGACATGGGTCAAGTTATAACTGTAACTAACACAGCTTTGGTCATACGACATCAATGAGAGTCTACTGAACCCTCACATTTGGCTGAGGGTAAGGTAACTATGACAAGGGGTAATAAAATGGTATAGTACTCCTTATTATACTAGTAGCCATCTTAAAAGAAACAACTGTTTTCTTTTATGAGCAATTTATTCTGAATGTCTTCATTTCTTTTAAATGTTCTATAACGATCTGTCCATCAATAACCTTCACAATACTTGGTACTTGTCACCCACTATCCTAAGAAGACAGCAAAAATGTCTACTTTGGTGCTTAAACACATGAGGAAATGAAACAGAATGAATGAGTATTCAGGCATTTCTGATTTCTCTGTTTGGGCAATGGAAATATCTCTAAAGTTCTCAATGGGTTATTTATGTCATATTTCAAAAAGTTGCTATGGTTCTTTTTCCTGCAAATCTTCTGTCGATTATTCATTCTTTCTTAGAGTATTTAGGGTGTACCTACTGTGTGGCAAGCTTGGTCTCCCATGATGGGGCTACAGTAGGGTATCTAGAGTCTCAAAATCAAGTAGGAAAGCAAAATATAAACAATTAAGTCTCTCCCAGAGTAAGGAAGAGGGTGAAAGAAATGCTATAGTAATACAAAATATATGTTAATTAAGCCTACTGAAGCAGCCAAAAAAATCTTCAGCACTGAGTAAGACTGACACCTAAGGTCAAACTTCAAGGAACTGACACTTCTCTTTATGTAATATTACTCCTCTGAAGTTCCTGATATTTCCCTTGATGTGAATAAAAGCTGTGTTTTATGAAAAAAGTTTCATTCATCATTTTCTCTTTTTTTTTAGGTTCTCATGAGCACGTCATTTTCAAGAATTCCTTTTTTTTTCATATTTTTATCTATTTAGTCTATTTATATTCTCAGTTTTCTATCTTTAATTAGTTCAATTTCTGGGCCTGTAGTGAAGTTAATTATATTGAGAATCTGTAAAACATATGGTTAGAAAAAAAGTTGCAGTAACGAGGAGTGACTTACTCCCCACTGCTGAATAAAGGCAACTGGTTGAATTTAAGTGTTCAGCAGACAGAAATACCTACTTCATACGTAATGAGATGCTACACAAAATGTCAAAGGCAGTGGGGAAAAAAAATGCAATCACTTGCTACTGAATTCCATGGATTCAACTTTAGGCTTGCAATGTTACTTTGAAGCACATGATATGAAGATTGCAGACTTCCTTTAAAAAAAAAACATTTTGAGCAGCTACATTTAGAATAATCAATAGTACTGGCAAGTGAATGGTAAATGAATTCTAGAGAAATTCTTTACAAATTGAGATTGTATTCCTAACCGAATGATAAATTCATATGTGTTTGGCAGGGGTTCGTAAATTATTGCTTCTTTCGTTTGTGGTTAGGGATGGGGCTCAGGCACTTTTTAATTCACTACCTAAGGCTGAGAGCTAGCTTTTATTCCCTGATCTTCTTACAATTCAAACTCTCACTAGTGTCTCTATCTATCATCTGCCCCTAAAATGTCCCAGACTGCTGTTGAGGGCTCTGGCTGGTCTCCAACAAGTAATTGAGAGTATAGAAAATAGAGGATGTAGAAATTACAGTGAATTTCAGGAAAAGGTGTTAAAATATTTTATTTAAAAGCCAAAAGTTCTCTGCTCTTCAGAACATATTCCAAATGTAAGGTGTTATTCTGATAACACACTGAATTGAACATAGCGGACTACTTATGATCTGTTGTTTGTCTGCCACTTAGACCAGTCTTGTACATCTGTGAAAGAATAGAAGTCCAAAGCGTGAGAAATTTATTTTATAAACATTCATGGCTAGAATAGTAGAGCCTTGGCTATACAGGCAGATGGCATATTGCTCTAACAGTTCTTTGGTACATGCCAGGCACTGTGCTAAATGATTCTGTATTAGTCTCTTCTCCCACTGCTATAAATGACTATCTAAGACAGGGTAATTTATGAAGAAAAGGGATTTAATTGACTCATATTTCAGCAGACTGTACAGGAAGCATGGCTTGGAGGCATCAGGAAACTTACAATCATGGTGGACGGCAAAGGAGGAAGCAAGCAAGTCTCACCATGGCAGAGTAGAAGAGACAGAGAATGAAAGGGGAAGTGCTACACACTTTCAAACAACCGGGTTTTGTGAGTACTCTATCATGAGACGGCACTAGGGAGATGGTGCTAAACCATTAGAAACCACCCATAATCCAATCACCTCCCATCAGGCTCCACCTCCAACACTCGGGATCACAATTCAACATGAGATTTCAGTAGGGACACAAAGCCACACCATATCAGCTTCTCATGGGTTTTTTCATTTAATCTTTAAAGCAACCCTGTGATTGAGTCAGGCACTGCGTTCATTCCCATTTACAGAGGAAGAAGGAGGTTTGGAGTGTGCTGAATATTCTGCCTTTCCCTCCAGGTTCCCACTTAACCCTTCTCCACCTTGCTCTGTGACTGCAAAGGCTGATTACTATGAACTGCATCACCTGGAGCTCTTGCTCTAAGGTTCAGATTAGGTTTGGCTTCTAAGAGGCACCAGATGGAGATTAGAGGCAGGAGGAGTAAGAGGTCAAGATCTTTATTCCATTATTTCCTCCATTCTGGGTGTAGTTTGGTATTGACTGTGTTCCTCTACTGAATGCCACAGGTCCTCTCAGGTGGCTCTCTCCATACATCCATAACCCCTGCAGGATTCTGGTGATTACGCCCTCATCTTGCCCTTTCAGGCCAAGGCATAATGAGGATTTTCTACTGTTTTTAACCAAGGACTTCAACAACATTTTGTGGTAATCACATACTTTAACTCTATCCATGCATTTATAAATAACTTTGTCTTAATTTACTTTCAGATTCTCTTTTTGAGTGGCATCTGTTTTCTGCTGGACAGAGATCACACAGCTAGAATATTATCTCACCATTTTATTTAGGTGCTTTATTTAGGTTGTAAAAATGTAACATAAAATTTACCTTCTTATCCACTTTAAGTCTATAGCTCAGTAGTGTTATGTATATTCTCATTGCTGTGAAACAGACCTCAAGAAGTTAGATTGCAAATCTAAAACTCTATACACATTAAACAACTCTCCTTTTCCCTTTTTCCCCAGCCCTTAGTAACCACAATTCCGCTTTGTTTCTATGAATTTGACTACATTAGATACATCAATATTAGTACAACAATGTAGTATTTGTCTTTTGTAACTGGATTATTCCACTTAACATAATGTTCTCAAGATCTATTCATGTTGTAGCATGTGACAACCTTACTACATTTTTAAGGTTGACTAACACTCCATTTTATGTAATACAACATTTTGTTTATCCATTCTTGAATAACAAGACTGGACATTTGTGTTGCTTACATCTCTTTGCTCTTGTGAATAGTATTGTTTTGAATGCTGGAATACAAATATCTGCTTGAGACCCTTCTTTCAATTCTTTGGGTTACATACCCAGAAGTGAGATTTCTGGATCATATGTTAATTTTATTTTTAATTTTCCAAAGAACTTCCTTACTTATTTTTCTATGGTGGTTGCAACATTTTCCACAGTGCTACCACAGTAGTAGAACTATTCCACTAACAGTACAAAAGGGATGCCGTTATTTGACATCATTGCCAGCACTTGTCATTTTCTATTTTTTTTAACAGTAGCAATTCTAAAGGGTATGAGGTGATACATCTTGTTGGTTTTGATTTATATTTCTCTCATGATTAGTGATGTTGAGCATCTTTTCTTATGCTTGTTGGCCATTCATATATCATCTCTGGAGAAATGTCTATTCAAGTCCTTTGCCCATTTTAAAATCTGGCTACTATTTTGTTGTTGTTGAACTGTAGGAGTTCTTTATATGTACTATGTATTCACTCTTTATCAGATATATGATTTGCAAATATTTTCTCCCATTTCATAAGTTGTTTTTCACTCTGCTAATTGAATCCCTTGATTCACAAGGGCTTCTAAGTTTGATGCAGTCCCATTTATCTGTTTTGCTTTTGTTGCCTCTGCTTTCAGTGTCATATCCAAGAAATAATTACCAAATCCATTGTCATAAAGGTTTCCACGTGTGCTGTATTCTCGGAGTGGTACAATCTTAAGTCTTACATTTAGGTTTTTAACCTGTTTTGAGTTCATATTTATATGGGATTAATATGAGTCCTACTTTTTTTTTGCATATGTTACCCAGCTTTTCTAACATCACTTGTTAAAAAGACTGTAATTTCTCCATTGAGTGGCCTTGGCAACCTGGCTGAACATCAGTGGATCACAAATGTGTGGATTTATTTCTGGGATCTCTATTCTATTCCATTGGAATATTTATATTTCTTTATGCCAGTACCACAGTTTTAATTACTGTAGCTGTGTAATATGATCTGGAATCCGGAAGTATGAAGGCTCTAAATTTGTTATTCTCTTTTCAAAATTGTTTTGGATATTTGGAGTTACTTGATATTTTATGTTAATTTTAAGATTCATCTTTCTATTTTGGCCAAAAAAATGACATTGGGGTTTCAGGTGAGATTGAAGGGCTCCAACTTTGTTATTTTGTTTTCAAAACTGTTTTGGATAATTGGAGTTTATTGATATTTCATGTTAATTTTAGGATTAATCTTTTAATTTTGGCAAAAAATGACATTGGGATTTTGAGATTGAATTTAAACTATCAATCACTTTGAATATTATGGACATCATAATAATATTAAGTATTTCAATCCATAGGCATTTTATATCTTTCAATTTATTTGTGTCTTCTTTAATTTATTTCAGCAATGTTTTATTGATTTTAGTGTACAAGTCTTTTATCTCTTTGGTTAGGTTTATTCCTAAGTATTTTATTTTTTATATGCTATGATAAATATAATGGTTTTCTCAGTTGTATTTTCAGATTGTTCACTGTTAGTGAATAGAAATACCTGATTTTTGTGTTGATTTTGTTTTCTACAAGTTTGCTGAATTCATTTATTAGTTTTAAGATAGTTTTGTAAAGTTGTTGTTTTTTTACCAGTAAGATCATGTATTCTATGAACAAAGTAATTTGACTTATCCCTTCCCAACTTGGAGTCATTAATTAAGTAATTAATTAATCAATTTTGTTCACTTGCTCTGGCTAATACTTCCAATACCATGTTAGATAGAAGTGCTGACAGTGGGCATCCTTACCTTGTTATTGGTCTTCCAGAAAAAGCTCTTTATATTTCACTATTTAGTATGATGCTAGTCATAGACTTTGAGTAAGTGGGTTTTATTATGTTGAGGTAATTTCCTTCTATTTCTACTTTGCTGAGTATTTTTGTTATAAAAGCTTGTTATATCTTGTCAAATGCTTCTTTTCTGCATCACTTGAGAAGGCCATGTGTGTCCTCTATTCTGTTAACACAGTGTATTACACTAATTGATCTTCATAGATTGAACCATCTTTACATTCTAGGAATAAATTCCACTTGGTCAAGGTATATAATCCTTTATTATTGTTATTATTATACTTTAAGTTTTAGGGTACATGTGCACAATGTGCAGGTTTGTTACATATGTATACATGTGCCATGTTGATGTGCTGCATGTCCTGTTGAATTTGGTTTGTTAGTATTTCCTTGAAGATTTTTGCATTAATATTCTTTAGGAATATTGGTATGTAGCTTTCTTTTTTTGTAGTTTAATTGCCTGGCTTTGGTAGCAGAATAATTCAGGTCTCGTAGAATAAACTTAGAAGTTTTCCCTCCCTTTTTTTTTTTTTTTTTTTTTTTTGCAGGTATCAGGATGAATGGTGTTATTTCTTTAGTAGAATTCTGCAGGGAAGCCATCTGGTCCTGGATATTGCTGGGAGGTTTTTGATTACTGATTCCATCCCTTTACTCATTATTGGTTTGTTCATATTTTCTATTTATTCATGGTTCAGTCTTGATAGTTTGGGTGTCTAGTAATTGCTGGTTTTTTTTAGATTATCTGATTTATTGGCATACAGTTCCTCATATATTCTCTTGTTAGATTTTTTATTTTTATGGCATCAGTCATCATGTTCTCCTCTTTTCATTTCTGATTTTAGTTACTTGTTTCAATCAAGAAAAATGACAGAGATGCTACTTACCCATAAAAAGGACCGAAGTAATGGCATTTGCAGTAACCTGGATAGAATTGGAGACTGTTAATCTAAGTGAAGTAACTCAGGAATGGAAAGCCAAACATTGTACGTTCTCAGTCAGAAGTGGGATCTAAGCTATGAGGACATAAAGGCATAAGACTAATACAACGGTGTTTGGAGACTCAGGTGAAGGGGTGTAAGGGGGTGAGGGATAAGAGTACACATTGGGTACAGTGTACACTGCTCAGGTGATGGGTGCATCAAAATCTCAGAAATCACCACTAAAGAATCTATTCATATACAAAAATTAATTAATTAATTAGTTAAAAAATAACTGATCTGCTGTCACTCTAGATTATATTTGTCTTTTTTGGAGTTCCACATAAATGGAATCATACAATGTACTATTTTGTGTCTGATTTCTTTCACTCAGCATAGTTTTACGATTTAACCATGTAGTTACAGATATCATTCCTTGTTATTGTTGAGTATTCCATTGTAGAGATACACTACAATTTGTTTATTTGTTTATCTATTAATAGGCATTTGAGTTGTCTCCAGTTTGGGATTCCTACAAATAAAGCTGTTAAGAACATTAAAAAAAAATGACCGGGAAAAATTTCAATCATTTTAGGAGGTTTACTTGTCAAAGTTAAGGACGAGCACTGGGGAGACAGGCCTATGCCTTTCTCTGAAGCTGATTTTGAGGGCTCCAAATTTAGAGGGGAAAATATTGAGAAATACACAATTTTCATGTAAGAGGAGGGCGGGGGAAAATAGTCATTCATGCCTTTGTCTGGTTCAGTGAATGCATTTTTGCATAAGATAACATAGACAATAGGACAGGGGTAATAATCAGATATACATTTGTGTCAGGTAGGCAGGGGGATGACACATAAATTAAAATCTTTCCTTTGAGTTCTGTCCTATGAACGTGTAAAGATAAGCTATTAATTTACTTTGCCATGGTGAATTTTTACAGACATACTTTAAGATAAACATCTTGGAGTCCACTAGGAATTTCCTTGTGGGCAAAATATGAGGGAGGTATGTAGCTTTTAATCTGTAGCCATCTTATTTAGGAACCAAAAGGGAATGCAGGTGTGCATAACCCAGTTTTCAGCTTGACTTTTCCTTTGGCTTAATGAGTTTGGGGTCCCAAGATTTATTTTTCTTTCACACTTGAATTTTCTCTCTTTTATTCTTAGTTAATCTAGATGAAAGTTTGTCAACATTGTTGATCTTCTCACAAAACTAACTCTTAGTTTTGTTGATTATTATCTATTCTTTTACTATTCTCCATTTCATTTATCTTAACTCATATTACAGGCTAAAACTAATGCTGATGAGAATGTGGAGAAAGGGGAACCCTTGTACATTGCTGGCAGGAATGTAAATTAGTATAACCACTATGGAAAACAGTAAATTAGTACAGCCATTATGGAGGTTCTCAAAAAACTAAAACTAGAACTACCATATGATCCAGCAATCCCACAGATAGGCATATATTCAATAGAAAAGAAATCAGTATATCCAAAAGATATTTGCACTCCCATGTTTATTGCAGCACTGTTCACAATAATTAAGATACAGATTCAACCCAAATGTCAATCGATGGATAAATGAATAAAGAAAATATGGTATATATACACAATGGAATATTATTCAGGCATAAAAAATAACAAAATTATTTCATTTGAAACAACATGGATGGAACTTTTCACAAATAAGTGGAAACTGAAAAAATTGAATTCCTGGAGGTGGAGAGTAAAATCATAGTTATCAGAGGCTAAGAAGGATAGTGGGGAGGGGGCAATAAAGAAGCAATTGTTAATGAATACAAAAATATAGTTAGAAGTTATAAGATCTAGTGTTCAGTAGTAAAATAGGGTGACTGTAGTTGACAGTAATTTATTTTGTGTTTTCACATAACTATAAGAATGGTATGGCAATGTTTCTAACACAAATAAATGATAAATGCTTGGGATGGTGAATGATAAATGCTTGGGGTGGTGAATACCTCAATTTCTTTGACTTAATCATTGCACATGGTATGCTTGCATCAAAATATCACATGTATCCAATAAATGTGTAGAACTAGTATGTGTCCATAATTATAAATAAAAATAAATGAACAAATAAAATGTAAAAAAGAAATTATACAAATGACCAATAAGCACATAAAGAGATGCGTATCATTAGTAATCATTATAAAAATGAAAATCAAAACTACAATGGGATGCCCCCTCACAACCAGTTAGCATGGCTACTTTCGAAACAAAGTAAGAAGTGTTGGCAAGGATTTGGAGAAATTGGAACCTATGTGCACTACTGGTAGGAATGTAAAATAGTGCAGCCACTGTGGAAAAGAGTATGGCAGTTCCTAAGAAAGTTAAAAATAGAATTACAATATAATCCAACAATTCCATTTCTGGGTATATGCCCAAATGAATTGAAAGCAGGGTCTTGAAGAGATACTTGTACATCCAAGTTCATAGCAGCTTTATTCACAGTAGCTAAAATGTGGGAGCAACCCAAGTATCCATGGACAGATGAATGGATAAGCAAGATCTGTATATACATGCAGTCGAATATTACTCAGCCTCAAAAAGGAATACAATCCTGACATAGACTACAACATGAATAAACCTTGAGGACATTGTCATGAGTGGAATACACCAGTGGAAAAAAGAGAAATACCGTATGATATATGAGGTACTTAGAGTAGTCAAAATTGTAGAGACAAAAAGCAGAATGGTCACTGTCAGAGGGCAGGGGGAAGGAGGAATGGGGGATTATTGTTTAATAGGTACAGAGTTTCAGTTTTCCAAGATGGAAATATTATTAATAATATTATTTGTTAGAAAAAACTTAAAAATTATATACATAGAAATGGGTGGTGGTGATGCTTGCACAACATTGTGAATGTGTTTTCTTTTTTTTCTTTTTTTTTTTTTTTTTGAGACGGAGTCTCGTTCTGTCGCCCAGGCTGGAGTGCAGTGGCGCGATCTAGGCTTACTGCAAGCTCCACCGCCTCCCGGGTTCACGCCATTCTCCTGCCTCAGCCTCCCGAGTAGCTGGGACTACAGGTGCCTGCCACCACACCCTGCTAATTTTTTGTATTTTTAGTAGAGATGGGGTTTCACCGTGTTAGCCAGGATGGTCTCAATCTCCTGACCTCGTGATCCGCCCATCTTGGCCTCCCAACTGAATGTGTTTTCTACCACTCATCTGTGTGTTTGAAAATGGTTGAGATGGTAAATTTTATATGTATTTTACCATAATAAAAATGGGAAACAACACTATGTAATTTTGAGGACCTAAGAAGTAGAGGTATTCAGAGCAGAAACTAGAGCAATAGGAATTCAAGCAGTAAAAAAAGATAAAATAGAAAAAAAATTCCCTAGCTGACAGCAGATGAGTATATAGAAATTGAAACTACTCCTCAATATTTAGACAAAATTAAGGAAAGAGACTCATACTATGGGATATATTTGCAAAAACATTCATTTAAATGTTAAATTTACAAATCCTACAATATTCAAAGCAGGAAAAAAAGTTTACTGATGAATTCAGAAAATCAGCCCGAATTCAATTTTTTATTCAGAAAAAACTAAATGCATGAAAAGAATGGAGAAATGTGTACAATTATTCCTGGGAAAAAAATCTATAACCTAAGATTCCTACTCTGCTAACTTGTCATGTACGTAGGAATAAAGCAATGATAATGATATTCTAACTCAGTCGTACTGACCTCCTTACCCTTTTTTTCACCTCATGGCACACATAGAAAATGATGTTTTAATTGCATAATAGGATAACTAGATATGGCTGCTCATAAGGGACAATTAGCCTAAAGGTTCTGGGTGCCCCAATCTATGACTAGCCACCCCAAAATTTTAGGAAATCTATTCACCAGTACACTTGTCATTCATATTTGGTACACTCTTCTGATATGGCACACTAGTTGGAGAACGCTCTTCTAACATATACTAGGGTTCATAAAACATACTGCTCATTCACTCTTCAGTAGAAAATCATCTAAATTGTACTTCCACTGAAAGAAAGATGAAGATAGAACGCAAGAATAATAATCTTTTGAAGAAGCCAACTGCAGGGACATTCAAACCAATAAATAGAGAGTGGTAAGCATGAACAAGTGCTAGAAATACAAGTACTACATTGACTTCAAAATTCTAAAGCTATTCTTGAAAAATATTTACATAATTAAAATTTATTATTATATTTTTATTATTTGGGTCTTTAAGTATGCATTAAATTAACATTGAAAGTACTGTAAACAGGGTGACTAATGCTGGTAAATCAAATGGACAGTTGTCAGGACTTCTATTATCCTTTCTGTAACATTTGTAACTAATATTAAAAAGTTTCAGAAATATTATTTGTTAGAAAAAAAATTAAAAATTATATACATAAGTTTTTGAAGTTAAAAATAAAAGAAACTTCTCTGAGCCTGATCCTTAATTTTAATTCTCAAAGATAAGCTCTGTTCAAAATTTCTAGTGTATCCTTACAAAGTTATCGATATTATGACATTTGATATATGCCAGATGATACAGAGCATGTACAATGCCACATTTTCATTGGACTATGTATTACGGCATTTGGCATATTTCATATGACATGTAACATATGTTATATAATTTTTTCCTTTTCTACAAAAATGGCATATAATATATACTCCTCTTTGCCCTGGATCTTTGTTTATTTTCTTTTAATATGTATTGGACATATTGTTTATTTCAGCTCCTATATATCTACCATCCCTTTTAATTGTTGCATAGTATTGCATTGAATCGGTGCATGAAGATTTGCTAATTTACATGTCAAATACCCTATTGATTGATAATTAAGTAGTTTCAACTTGTTATTTTTAGTAACATGATATTGCAAATTTTTACAAATGCATGTGTAAATATTTGTGCATGTCTTTCTATAGGATAAATTTATAAAATTAGAAATGCTGAGCAGAGGCATATGAATATTTATGTGTTGAGAGATATTCCTGTGTTGTTGTTGGGTAAGATATGCCAATTTACATTGAACCAACAATGAATGATAGAGCAGGTTTCTTCATATCCTTGACAGTAAGGTAGTTTACCACCTTTTCACTTTTTAAAAAATATCTGATAGACAAACTATAATATATTCCATAAATTCTTAGTGAAGTTAACTATCGTTTCATGTTTATTAATCATTTTTATTTTTTCTCTGGATATCTTGTTCCCAATTTTTATCCCCGCCTCTTTTTTTTTTTTTTTTACCAGTTTATCTGTGTGTTCCCCTTGCAAACTTGTAAGAACTATACATGTGTTAATAATAACAGGCCTCAGCCTATTAAGGAGTTGAATTTTTTTCCAGTTATTGTCTTTTGAAACGTTTATACTATTTCTTGGTACATGAAATTTTTAAATGTTTAGATACTACATTTTATCAATTGCTTTCTTTATGGCTTCTGTCTTTCTGAGGAAGTGCTTCCTCACTCCAAGACTTTAAAAATATTTCTTTTGCATTTTATCCTTGTGATTTTATGATTTCACTAACTTTTTTCTATCTAAAATCCAACTAGAAGTTTTACTGTTATAAGGAAGTAAAATGGGTCCAGCTTAATTTTTCCTAAGTGATTATCAGATGTCTCTAAATAATTGGATGGTTCATCTTGTCCTCATTGATATTTACTCATTTTGATATTTATTCTATGACATTTATTCTATCTTTCTCTATGTATGTATTTATCAACACACACACACATACACTTCTATACAGAGAGAAACATCTAGATGTATTTCCCTCTTCCACTAATATTTCTGTCTATGCTCACAACAGTAACACTTCATTTAAATTATGATAACTAGTTATAGGTTTAATTGTTTGTAGATTCAGTTTCTTCACTCCACCAGTACTCTTATTTTTTAAAAGTTTATTAGATATGGAATCTTATTCCAGATAAACTTTTGAATCCTATTGTTATGATACAAATAGTGTTTGTGTTTAAATTTAGTAACTGTGTGACTATCATAATTTAAGTAGACATATTTTAGGCCTTATACGTTTCTGGTAATTTCTTCATTCATTTTTTTAAATTTAAAAGTATAGCTGTTAAAGCACTGTAGGTATAGTGGTAAGAAAACAGACCTTTATGGACCTTATAGGTAGTAAGTAATAAACGATATTAATACACAAAATGTATGCATACAACACATTAAATAATAATGTTATTTGAAAAGCTCCCAGCTAAATTAGGGCTCCAATACCAGAGCGGCTAGCAACTCTGCCGTAAAGGGAAACGAAGGGGAGTTGGATGTGGGTAGTTACAGGATGCCTTTCATAGGATACTTCTTTTACCTGGAGGATAGCCTAATGTCCAGTCTTCACATGGAAAGCTTGTTTATACTGGCAGATGCTCCTGTAGCTCCTGACTGACTCATGTCCAGTTTATGCCTACCTGACCATTGCTGTAGCACTGGGAGCCTGATCTTATCTTCTCTCCCAAACCCTGGAAACCCTTGCCTGGGGGAGCCATCGGCTCTTCAGATAGAAGGCTTAAATTCAATACACCACCACAATAGGAAAAGTTCAAGGATTTTCACTTACAGATCCTGGACAGGGAAGATGCAATGAGTCGGGAGAGAATTCTTCCATTCCCAGGTTATGTGAGCCAGGAATGAAGAGTCAGGCAGACGAGAGAGAGAGAGAGAGAGCACGAGAGAGCACATGTGGCAAGTAGTAGTATATAAGGGAGTATGGTGTGAGTCACTTTATGTTTCCAGGCATTAAATGCCTAAATGGTCTATTTAAAGAAGGCAGTCAGAACAGCTAAGAGTCCAGTTTGCTAGGCAGGAGAGATACCTCTAAGTTTTCATCTTTGGCTACCTGTTTGAGCCATTGCGTATGGTATTCTACTTCTAATGCCTAGGAAGCAGCCTTTTCTGTGTCATTCCCATTTCATAAATAATAATAATTGCATAAGTAATTACCCACACACATATAACATATTATTTTTGTCATAGAAGGAAACGAAACAGCACAATAGGTTATACAGGGAAATTATAGGCCATGCTATAGATTTTATTCTATCTTAAATTGCAATGGAAAACCATTGGAGGGCTTTAAATGAGGAAGAGACACGAGCATATTTGAAGTTTTAAAACTGCTTCTGTCTGTTGTTAAGGAGAGAGATCGAGTTGGGGCAAGGGCAGAAGTTAGGGAACAAGTTGGAAAACTATGATGGTAAAAAAAGAAATGACGGTGTTTTGGTCTTAGACTAGAAAGAGAATGGAGTTAGAGGTAGACAAATTTAAAGCATTGAGTAGAATTGATAGGATTTGGGGTTGAATTAGACTGAAACAGTTTATGGCTGATAGAGGCTGTCTAATTTAGGTAAGTTATTTTCTTATATCTGCCCTCCATTTAACTGACTTTTACTATTTTTTTGGCTGCTTTATTTCTGCCTTTGATGTAACTTTTATTTTTTGAAATGGCTTTATGGTTTCTATGTAGTCTAATTCTGCAGTATTTGTCCCTTTTTTTTGTCTAATTGCTTGTTATCTGATCTCCTATTTCTTTGAATTACTTTTCCAAAGACAGTGTTTTTATTTGCTTTAAAAAATAGAGACTTTTTCTATGAATTTTTTCTATTTACAAAAAGAAGTCTTTTGAAGAGTTTTGTGTGGTGTTTTGTTTGCTTGTTTTTGAGACAGGATCGCACTCTATTGCCCAGGCTGGAGGGCAGTAGTGTGATCTCGGCTCACTGTAGCCTCAAATTCTCATGCTCAAGCAATCCTCCCACCTCAGCCTACCTGGTAGCTGGTACCACAGGTGCACACCACCACACCTGGCCAATTTTTTGTATTATTTTTTAGAGAAAGGGTTTCGCCATTTTGGCCAGGCTGGTCTCAAACTCCTGATCTCAGGTTATCCACCCGCCTCGGCCTACCAAAGTGCTGGGATTACAGACGTGAGCCACCACGTTTGGTGAAGAGTATTTTTGATATATATTTTGTGTCATGTCCCTTTCACATTACCTTTTAGTATGGTATGCACAGGTACTTTGTTGGAAAATTGGTGCTTGTTATATTTAAACACGCATATTTCGGCCTCCCATTTTCTTATGATTTGGACAGAGAGGACAATAAATGGAGTACAGGGAATGGAAACAAACACAGCTGATAACTTCAAATTGAATGCATTGCTTTAAACACCCTGTACTAAATCTAATGAACTTTCTATTATATCATGAGATACTGTTTTTTTTTTCTTTTGTCGCTATCTGTTTTAAAGGAAAACATGATCACTCCTGTTGAAGGCCAGATCAATATGGATCACTTAACCGATTTAACAGATTACACTGAGGCTAACAACTAATTCACAATTTTTTCTTTTTTTGGGAGGGGGGTCGGGCACAGTTAGGGTGTAATTGTATTCACTTTATTTTCAAAAGCAGCTGTATATTGAATATGTCATATATATCTTCAGAGATTCCCACAGGACCATGAGCTTTAGCTGCTTGCTTTGCCTGAACTACCACCCATATGTTAACCCACCTTACTTAGGCTGCATGGTTTCTCACCCAGGGCCAATCTGTAAATTACCTGTAAGAGCCAGGCATCCCCTTTGAGTATTAGCACACAGCCAGACCCACTAAATGTGCACCTTGAGTTTTTGATTTATCCTGCAACTTGTATATACACCTTGTTGCAGAGTGCTTCAGTTGGTTTCTAAGCAGTCTATATAGGATGACTTAACCCAGAAGTATGGGGCTGTAAAGGTGATGAGATAATCTGTACAACAAGCCCCCATGACACAAGTTTACCTGTGTAACAAACCTGAACATGTACGCCTGAAGTTAAAATACAAGTTAAAAAAAGGAAATGTGGCATTAAGCGTCCAATTTGAAAATGTATGTGGCATATACATAAATACTGTTTATCTCATTGACCAGTCATAAAGAGAGGAAAGCCAAGAATCATGCAGATAAATGCATTTCTTCCTCCCACAGACTCTTCTAAGAATTGCTCTACTGCCTAGCTGGAGATCCATGTGGTTGAGAGAATTTACGTGCTCAACAGTCTACTGGCTTGGCCAGCATATCAACTTGAGTTGATTCCCATCCTTTTTACCTAGCTTCCCCTTTTCTCCACTGTTACTGTCCTTGGATTGAATTTCTCAAAAATAACATCAGCACTTACTTCTGACTTCAAACTCTATTTTCTAAAGAAGCCAGATTAAGATAAACCACAAGCAAACTTTTAGTTTGCTGATTGATTTATCTACAAAACCTTACCTTCCCAGCCTCTTGATCATTTTAATGTGCATTAAGACTGAATCAAATAGATACAGTTCCTCCCTTAGTGTCATATCCTTTGTCATTTTGTTGTGCGCCTCACCATGGCTCTAGTCCTTATTGATTCAAGTCTTCATCACTCACTCAAATACTCTCAGATCTAACTGCCTACTGTGAAATATTCAAACTTGTCCAAAGGAAAATGCTTGATTTTCTCCCCCAAACTGCTCATCTGCTAGTTTCCCATATATACATTAATGCACCAATATCCACCTATATTTTAGGCCAAACACCTAAGGGTCATTCTTGATTTCTCTCTTTTCTTAATGAGCCACATCCAATGTATTAGCAGTGATGCCTATCTATCTCCAAATTAGATTCCTCTCTCTTCTGTTTTGGCCTTCTCCAATTCATTCTCACATCAGTCAGAGTGCTCTTTTGGAAATACAATTCATATTATATCATTCCCCTCCTTTAACCTCCCACAAGGGCCCCTGATCAGTTGTCACTGGGTTATAGTTATTTCTTAAAACAACTTAAAAGGCTTATCATGATGTAGCTTCTGATTATTTCTGTATTACAAAATATTACTTTTGTAATATTTTCACTTTTATTTATGAATTATGAAGCACAGTGTAATAGAAATGACAGGTGTCTTCGAGACGATATGGTGCAATTTATCTTCTTCTTCCTAGTGTAAGAGTATGTATATGCCAAATACATTTTCAAATTGGATGCTTAATGTCATATTTCTTTTTTTTAACTTGTATTTTAATCTCAGAGGTATATGTTCAGGTTTGTTACGTAGGTAAACTTGTGTCACGTGGGTGTGTTGTACAGGTTATTTCATCACCCAGCTATTAACCTTAATACCATTAGTTATTTTTCCTGATCCTCTCCCTCCTCCTACCCTCACCTTCGGATAGGCTCCAGTGTCTGTTGTTCCCCTCTATGTGTCCATGTGTTCGCATCATTTAGCTCCCACTTATAAGTGGGAACATGCAGTATTTGTTTTTTTTTTTTTTCCCCTGTACTAGTTCGCTAAGGATAATGGCCTCCAGCTCTATCTATATCTCTGCAAAGGACATGATCTCATTCTTTTTTATGGCTGCATAGTATTCCATGGTGACATGCACCACATTTTCTTTATCCAGTCTATCATTGATGGGCATTGAGATTGATCCCATGTCTTTGCTATTGTGAATAGTGTTGCAGTGAACCTACATGTGCATGTGTCTTTAAAATAGAATGATTTATATTCTTTTTTTTTTTTAATTATACTTTAAGTTTTAGGGTACATGTGCACAACGTGCAGGTTCGTTACATATGTATACATGTGCGATGCTGGTGCGCTGCACCCACTAACTCGTCATCTAGCATTAGGTATATCTCCCAATGATTTATATTCTTTTAAGTGTATACCCGGTAATGGGATTGCTGAGTAAAATAGTACTTCTGTCTTTAGGTCTTTGAGGAATTGCTACACTGTCTTCCACAATGGTTGAACTAACTGACACTCTCACATTTTGGGTGGGGCCTTTTTAGCCATGGCTGGAGCTGGAGCAGTTAGGAAGCAGAAGGCAGTGTTCCAAGGTTGTGTAAGGCAGCAGGGCCCTGGGCCTGGCCAAGTAAACCATTCTTCCTTCCTAGGCATCTGGGCCTGTTATGGAAGGGGCTGCTGCAAGGGTCTCTGAAATGCCTTTGAGGTCTTTACCCCATTGTCTTGGCTATTAGCACTTGGTTACTCTTTACTTTTGCAAATATCTGCGGCTGGCTTGAATTCTGCCCCTGAAAATGGGTTTTTCTTTTCTACTACGTAGCCTGGTTAAAAATGTTCCAAACTTGCATGCTCTGCTTCCCTTTTAAATGTAAGTTCCAGATTCAGACCATCATTTTGCTCACATATATTAGCATATGTCGTTACAAGCAGCCAGGCTATATCTTTAGTGCTTTGCTGCATAGACATTTGTTCCACCAGATACCCTAAATCATCTCTCTCAGGTTCAACGTTCCATGGATCTCTAGGGCAGAAGTGCATTGCCTCTAACCTCCTTGCTACTGCATAACAAAAATAACTTATGATTCAGTCCCCGATAAACTCCTCATCTCCATCTGAGAGGCCTTCTCAGTCTGGACATCATTGTCCATATCACTATCAGCATTTTGGTCCCAACAATGTAACAAGTATCTAGGAAGCTTCAAGCTTCCTCTCATTTTCCTGTCTTCTGAGCCCTCCAGACTATTTTAACCTCCGCCCATTACCCAGATCCAATGTCGTTTCCACATTTGCAGGTATCTTTATAACAACACCCCACTGTCAGTACCCATTTTCTCTACTAGTCCTTTCTCACGTTGTTATAAAGAACTACCTGAGACTGGGTAATTTATAAAGTAAAAATGTTTAATTGGCTCACGGTTCCACAAGCTGTACAGGAAGCATGGCTTGGGAGGCCTCAGGAAGCTTACAATAATGGCAGATGGTGAAGAGGAAGGAGGCATGTCTTACATGGCCCGGGCAAGGGAAAGAGAGAGAAGGAGGAGGTCCTACACACTTTTAAACAATCAAATATGATGAGAACTCACTCACTATCGTGAGTACAGCAAGAGGAAAATCTGCCCCCATGATCCAGTCACCCCCACCAGGCCCCTCCTCCAACACTGGGGATTACAATTCAACATGAGACGTGGGCAGGAGGAAAAATCCAAAGCATGTCACCCCTCCGATGTGACTGGATTTTAGACTGCTTTGAGCGTCACAGGGCAAGAGAAATAATGGTATATGGCTCCCAGAGCTAGAATAGAAAAGGCTCTAAAGTTTCTACTAGGATCTCTTGGAATACTTATTTGGTGGTAGATTGAGGTCATATAGGAAGGCCGATTGCTCGGCAACTACCATGGTAATCTATTGGAAAGTCTCAACTGGGGTCCCAGCCTCCAGTCAGCATCTAATACCAGTTACATCAGTGAACCATTTTGAGTGCCCAGTCCAGCTGAGGTTTCAAAGGACTGAAGGCCCTACTGTCATTTGTTTTTGTCAAAGAAAAGCTTAGCTAGTTATTACTGGATTGTATTAAAATAAAGGACTCTGTGGTTTTATATTAAGGCCATAATAACTTATCATTATATACAATTTATATTCAATTGATATACTTCAGGAGCATATATAATTTGTTAACATTTTCTGACTTTTGCACAAATTTTAGTCTGTTTTGTGTTGCTATAACAAAATACTTGAAGCTGAGTAATTTATAAAGAAAAGAAGTTTATTTGGCTCACTATTCTGCAGGCCGTACAAGCAGGGAACTTGTATCTGCTTGGCTTCTGGTGAGACTGTACTACTCATGGTGGAAGGTGACGTAAAGGCAGGCATGCCACATGGTGAGAGAGAGAGCAACAGCAAAGAAGGGGGTGCTACACTCTTATGTAATAGACAGCTCTTGCATGAACTAATAAAGTAACAACTCCCTCATTACCATGGGGAGGTCACCAAGCCATTCATGATGGATCTGCACCCATGACCAAAACACCTGCCACTAAGCCTACTTCTAACATTGGGGGCCACTTTTCAACATGAGATTTGGAGGGGACAAACATCCAAACTATATCAACTTATTTTTTATTTATTTTATGTTTTTATTTTTTATCTTTTTGAGATGAGTCTCACTCTGTTGTCCAGACTGGAGTTTAGTGGCGCGATCTCTGCTCACTGCAACCTCCAGCTCCCGGGGTCAAGCGATTCTCCTGCCTCAGCTTCCCAAGTAGCTGGGATTACAGGTGCCTGCTACCGTGCCCGGCTAATTTTTATATTTTTAGTAGAGATGGGGTTTCACTATGTTGGCTAGGCTGGTCTGAAACTCCTGACCCCAAGTGATCTTCCCCCTTTGGCCTCCCGAAGTGCTGGGATTACAGGCGTGACCCACCATTCCCGGCCTCAACTTTTAATTCATATTTTTCTCTTTCACTTTTTTATTCTCACATACACTCTCAATTTGTTTCTTCCTCTAGGTCTTAGACATGGTCATTTTGACTTGGCTTTAATGTAAATAAATATGTGTTCACTATATTTGGATAGATATTATTCTACAATAACTATATTGAATGTGTTACATTTTGCAAGTTCTCCTAATGTAGATACACATCTACTTATAAAAGTCATCATGTATTGTGCCAAACACAGGTATTTCTGTGTAGCAAATGTATGTAGTCTGTATGCTTAGAGCATGAAAATGAAGCCACAGAATTTAAATGAAATGCAACTGATCAGTTGCTCTTCCAATTTGTGAAGAGACTATATATTACTGTTTTGTGGCGTAAAGAGCAAGTAACTACCCTTTAAATAATGACAGAAATATTTCCTGTATAACAAATAAAGTAGGACATATACTTGTGAAAAATTTTCACTAAACAAAAAAAAAATCATCCTAAATGCAATAATATGGCTGTTTTTCTGTATATCACAGGCATGAGAATAGTTATTGCTTTTTTCTAAACAATGCAGTAAAAACTGCTAAATGTCAACAGAAATCAACAGAATCTGGAGTTAACTCAAAGTCCAGATAGAAAAATTTCAAATTTACTATGCCCCTCTGGAGAAGCTATGTTTTCTTCAACCTCCCATCACTGAGCATATTATGGAGCATACTATGTGTAAGCAAAACTCTTATCTATTGCTTTGCATAGAAGGAAGGCAACTTTTATTTATGGAATGCACAGTATGTACCAGGTAAACACTGTACTATATTATATGTTAATATCATTTCATTTTCCTAGTACAATTTTGTGAAGGAAGAGGTGGCTTGGATATAAATATTTAGCAGTAATACAACTAAGCCATCGTTTTATTTACATCCATAAAATATTAGCCTTGGAAGAAGCTATTAGAGATCATTTAGTCTGGTGGGTTTTAACCAGGTTATAGTCTAAGTACTATTAATATAGGTGACATATTACTACAAATAATATGTTTTATTATAACTGAAAGATCTGAGGAAAGTAAACTTTGGGTAGAAGCATGTGTGGTTTGAGAAAAAAAAAATCATCCAGGATTTTCTGATATGCTCCTTTGAATGAATGTTGCCGTCCTTCCCTTTCTCCTGCCTGCCGTGTCCATTGGAGAATAATGAAGTGGCTGAATTAGCTTTCTTTACAAATAAAACAGTTAGAAAATTATAGCAGCTTAGAGAAAGTGATTTGGCCAAAGCACACGGTGCAAGATAATGTCAGGAGCGGGTTTAGAATCCTTGCTATCTCTATGTTCTTTCTTCTAACACTTGCTAACTGCTCTTCCAAAATGTGCACAGATTAATGCATTTTCAGAAATGCTGGATTTGAGAAATGATCAGACCATCCTTATATAAGAAAAACTCATTTTGCCTACTATGGAAATTATGTCAGTGCAAGAATTCCATGGCTTCATGTATTAGTCACTGTCCCATTTGCAAGATAAAGCCTGGAACACTGGTGCTGGAGTCATCATTTGTAATTCAAGGCAAATGAGAGAAATACCATGCATATTGATTATTCCTTCTGAAAAATTAAAGTTGATGGGGAATTTGAGATGGTTGTGACCACCATAGGAATGAAAATTATAACCTGAATTGCTATATGAACGTGAATCAAAGTATTGTTACCACTTGCAGAAATCATTTATTGGGTGTCCACTCCCATAAAAAATGTATTATTTTTGTTCATTTTGTTGACAGATTGTTGGCATTTATGCAGATGTGGGAAGCAGGTACACTTTATTTGATTCCTTAGGACATAGTCATATCTTTTTGTTAATTTATTATAGCAGAACATTCAGTATATTTTAATGCAACCAGAATAGAAAATGAGCTCCTCCCAGTGACTTATTTCATTTCTAAAAATTATTATTATTAAATTAAATCACTGGCAAAGAACACTATTTGATTTTCTAAATTAAAGGCAAATATCGTAGGTTAGTTGTTATCAAGTATCTTGGCATTCAAATTCAGGGCAGATTCAGCTTTCGCTAGGAAAAGCAGATTTTCTTTTGAGTCAAGTGAGCTACCTAATTAGGTTCTTCATCCAAAGCTGTTTGAAGAATTACTAAACGCATTCATCCCAGTTCTCCCAGCCTACAAGTCAGACTATTGGAAACTCACTGAAGAGAAGATAAGGCATTTACTTAGGGGCAGGAGATGTTAAATTTTCCTGTGACTTTTATTCATCAATTAGTTATTATGTCCTAATGCTCTTTATCAATATTACTTACTAAACCCTAAGCCTGATCTGTACCAATTGCAATGCACTATTTATTCTGAGCAGCAGGTGCTAACTTTTTTTCTCATAGTGATAGCACCCATTTTCTGCAACAAATGACAACTATTTTTTCTCTTATAATTCTAATTAAGATTTCCTTGGACCATGCAGAAAAATGACATTGTTTATCTGTTCAAAAATCAAAGCTTATTTTTTAGTTTTTTATCCATTGATCTTAATTTGCAAGTTCTCAAAGGCAATACCTTCAACTTAAATTATGGCCAGAGTTTGCATTATCTTCACTGAGTATAAATAAAATTATATGATATGATGCAAAACAGGAAAAAAAATTAGACAGTAAAGCCCCCATACCAGACCAAAATCACATGCCCGATAGTGTATGGGTAGAATTATCTTTTGCTTTCATTTTTATTTCAATTGGAGGAAAACAGGCATACAATCCACTTTGCTTCATTAACTGTGATCTGGATAAAAAGTTTTAGCCAATTTTTATTAAGTATCATTTATAAGGGAAAAAGTTTTGTCCATATTACCAAAACACCAGCATGTTTTCCAACATATGTGTTTAAGGAGAACTAAAAATGTATGTGGTGATGACACTATTATTTCCTTATAGAATAAGTAAGTAAGAAAGATGGAAAAATGCTAGAAGCATACACATTCTCATTAAATAAAATTATTATTTAAAAGTTCAACTATAATAGCATATAGCCTCAGAATAAGCAGTACATTTGCATAAACTCTTTATAAAGGGATTCAGATTCTAGGTTTTGTGCTATCAAAATGGTATTAGCCAGCTTACTGTGACTAGTTAGGACTCCACTATGTGTCCTATGGCCTCAGAAAAGTTGTAGCAATATATTTCACCATTGAAAATACACAAAATGTCAGTTAAGTAAACACCATGTAATTGATTATGCTATAGATTATTTATTGTGGCATATGAATCTGGCTTTACATATGCAATTGTCATTGCTTATGTTAATATTTGTGTAGACTTGCCTCAATATGTTTATTTTTCTTTCCACATTTTCTGGAGCTAAATGCAAGGTGACAGAAGGATTGGCTTAGAATTGGTAGATATCTTTATCTCTTCAGAGTGTAGATGTACCAGTTTAGTATAGACAAACATAATGAGACACTATTCTCTTTATCATGCTCTGCCTCCCCCAACCACTCACAGCTGGAGGCACTGATACATTCCGCCAACAGGCTCAGTCACGTGTAATCCCTGAGCTGAGAGCAGGCGTGTGTGTGTGTGTGTGTGTGTGTCTGTGTGTAAAGAGCCACAGCAAACTACCAAGTGAGATTTAGATCTCAACTTTTGCTCTTGATCGAGTATGCAGGTATTTGTATTCCTGCATGACCGCTATATCAATGGATTCTCTGTAACGGCTGGGGTTCTTTTCTATGGTTTATTGGTCAAGTCCTGTAATTCCCAGTCATACAGTAGAATGTTCTAAGCCACCCACACCCAGCTGGCTGGAGCCTAACATCTACCCTAGTTCTTATTATCCTTCTTCTAGAGGGCTGGATCCTGCACACTCTCATCACTGTTCCTCATCCTTTCTTGCATTCCTTACACACCAGCAAGGAGCTTGCTGAGGAAAACCTGAAACAACAATGGTTACTGAAACAAGCTCCTATTTGGATGCAATACAATATGGCCATCCTTCTCAGAGTCTATTCCTATACCTAGGTCAGTTTGTTAAACCCTCACCCCTCTATACATACTCTTGGTTACACTTCCTTCCCCAACCAGCAAGCCCCGGCACTAAAGATTTTTTCCTATTTTACAAAGCTGATAAAAACATAATAAAGGTAGACATTAACAATGTGACATCATCACCCTAATCCCATTCTCTGCTACCCTTGTAAATTTCAATTAAGCTAATAATGAGTCTAAGGTAAAATAAAAATAATATGACGTGATTCTTCATGGATTGATCATGCTGTCAGCATTTTCATAGCCGAAGAGTTACATTGGGTCTGCACTGCATTAATTATAGTAGCAATAAAACTTACTGAGAACAGAGGATGAATATCTTGAGGTCCATGTTCAATCCACTGAACATGCCTGCCTCTCTTCACCCTTGAACACTGCTGTTAATACATTTTTATTCTGAGATACAATGCTTTGAAACAAACACTTATATTTAAAATGCCTGCTTTGTAATTAGGTAGTCACATACATATAGCTGAAAACAAGATCATAATACTCCACTCAGAAACATATAATTTAAACAAGTAAGGGGTTATATATTCTAAGTAACCTTTTGTTTCTTGAAAATCTATTTTTAGTATGCAAATATACAGATGTGCACACTTGTTACTCTCTAATAAGTAAGTTGTGTCAGATCTAACAAAAGTGATAAATCTTGTTACAATTTTAAAAAGAAATTTGCAATGCATTTTTATTATGGTTTATTTATATGAAGCTTCCACTTTGTTAGGGTCTACACATATCACCAACATGAGTATCATGATAGATTTTTTAAAAAGCAAGACTCTTAAACTACTATGGCAGCAAATGTCTAAGTAATACTTGCTGTTTTAAGATGGGATATCCCAAAAAATTAGCCAGGCGTGGTGGCGCACACTTGTAATCCTAGCTACTCGGGAGGCTGAGGCAGGAGAATCCCTTGAACCCAGCAGGTGGAGGTTGCAGTGAACTGAGATCGCGCCATTGTACTCCAGCCTGGGCGACAGGGCAAGACACTGTTTTAGACAAAAAAAAAAAAAAAAAAAGGTGGGATATCCACTGAATAGTCCAGATATTTAGATCACCTAAACAAAACAAAAATCTTGCAGTTGGTTATAAAAATTGCTGTCAAATATTCATTTATTATCCAAATTGGAAATGATACAAGAACCCAATGTTTGTTGGTAGGATATATTTTTAGCAAGATTATTTCAACATCAGTTAAGTGCTCATATGTTAACTGGCTTGTACAGGGTACCCTAAGTCCTTCATTAATATATTGCAAATTTAATGATCTTGAATATATGCATGCCTATGAAATAAAATTTTGAATTAGAAACATTTCAATAGAATAAAGCAACTTATGGCTCAATAGGAATTTTCTATGCATGACCTGGAAGTTTAATGAGATATATTGTAAACCTCTTATTTTGTTTATTTGCTACTAGATGCATACTAATTATATATATATATATATGTATATATACATATATATATATATATATATACACATACATATATATATTTGTGTGGGCTTATATTACATATAAAATGCATTAAAGTTTCACACACACTCACACATATATATGTCCATAATTTGAGAAGCAAATATTATTTATATTATTCCATTATTGGCCAGGCCTAAGTAGGCATATCACATATTTTAGCTCATATAATTCTCATAAAATTATATGCACCCAAAAATATTATTTTCTTTTTACAAGTAAATACCCTAAAGTCTAGGATATTTTCATTGCATTATGTGTCAGCATATATTCTATTCATTATTTCACATTTTCACATCAACTGATAGACGCTTTACAAATTTGTTTTTCATTGTGGCAAAATTGTGGTTCATTCAATGAACAATATCAGCCAAATTAAATTCTTCCATATATTTTATCAAATTTTGTACTTATTTGCAGTTGGATGAAAGGTTTCAGATACATTGTCATGACTGGAAGCCAGTGCCTATGGATGTAACTTTTGGCAATAGTCAGATTGCTGTGCCTTTCCTCTTGCATCTTTTAGTTCTTCCCCACAGAGTGAAGTACCACCATTCACAAAAGATAAAGTAGGAAGTTGAGAAGAGTAATAACTATTTATTGCTTCTGAAAGGGGTTAATGAGCACCTCTAAAATTGCAATGGACAGGATAGAGATAGAAAGAACCCTGGTGTCACCATAGGTTGGAGGACTATTGGGTTGCATATGATTGTTTGGGTTTGAAAGAGATGATGGACATAGATAACTATTCTGACTCAATTCAAAAAATCAAACTTATAGAAGCAGAGAATAGCATGGTGGTTACCAGTGGTTGGGGATGTGGGTGGAAAATGGGGAGATGTTGATTAAAGGATACATAGTTTTAGTTACACAAAAAAAATAAGTTCTAGAGACCTATTGTACACCCTGGTTACTATAGCAAATAATAATAAATTGCATACTTGCAAAATTCTAAGAGAGTAGATTTTAAATGTTCTCATTACAAAAAACATAAGTATGTGAAGTAATGGATATGTTAATTAGCTTGATTATGTCATTTCACAATGTATACACATATCAAAACATAATCTTGTACACTGTAAAAATAATTTTTTTTCAGTTTTCAAGTCAATATAATTTTAAAAATTAATTAATTAATTAGCTATCCACAAACATCCCAAAACGAATAAGATACACTAGAACATTTACTGTAAATTGGGCCAGCTCCTATGCACACCCATCTGTCATTTGGTTACAGATGTGCCAAGAGTATTCTACCAAAATCCAAGTGTAAAGTTTGCCAGGTGTAAATTTTAAATCTGATTGTAATAGCTAAGCTTTTTCCAGTTAGACATGTTTTGTTGTGCATTGCATGCAAATGTTCTTACTCTAGCATTTTAAAATTCATTATTCTGCTTATTTGCTTTTATATGAGACCATAAACTTTAAAGTACAATATTTCAGTTCAGATTATCTGGCAAAACTATCCATGGGAAAGTGAGTAGAGCCAAGGGAAAGCACACACCACACATGCTATCCATTGATTAGCATTGAATATGTATAGATATCGTCTTATTTCACATTGAATAAACAGAAAGAACACTACTTTAGGTCTCCGATAAAACAATACAGAACCAAAGAAATAGAATTTCACCTGAAATATCCCATATGCTTTTTAAAATCATTTAATGCAGGTCTAGAAGTAAAATATTTTTAGAACTCATGGGCATCCTTAATGCATGACAAGAAAACATGTTGTCTATGAAATACCACAAAACCATAACATGCTGCCAAGATATCAGAGATACTTAAGGGGATTTGTTGAAGTTCACACACACACACACACACACACACACACACACACACACACACAGAGAGAGAGAGAGAAAGAGAGAAGGAGGAAGAAGAAGGAGGAGGAGGAGGAGGGGGAGGAGGAGGAGGAAAAGGAGAAGGAGAAGACGATAAAAAAGTAATCTTATAATTTTAAAATGTATATTCAATGCAAGGAAAAGCCAAATGGTTATTAGAGATGCTTGAAATATATTGAATGAAAAAAACTTAAACATTTTGCAGTTTACAAGGAAAAGAGAAAAGATAATTTAGTTCATTCCCTTTTGGAGACCCAATTGTTCAATGTTTTCATCAGTTGTGTAAAAATACTTCGTATCTATTCAAGAAAATGTTTATTTTGCAACTTAGATTCTGCAACCTCATTTTCTGATACTTAGAAAATAATAGTTATCTGACCTCAGGGTAAGGGTTAACTTTCTAAGTACATAATCAAATAAAGAGTCCATAAACAAATTTTTTCAGCCATTTTATCCCTTTATAAATCAGTGTCAATCATCTCTTCCCTTTACAGAATCTCCTAGTATTCAATAGGTGACATATCCCTCTTAAGAATCATTGTTTATATTTTGTTGTATTTCTACCAGCTAAGTTTGTATTGAATTGTTCTTCAATAGTTTGTATTATGAAGGCAATGTTTTTTAAAAAAATTTCCAAACTGCATAATTACTTTATTATTAGGCATACTTTTTCAAACCACATATTAGATTGAATATTCCTTTGCTCATTTAGGAGTCCTACTTCAATATGTCCACTGCTCAAAAATTACTGATATAAGGAAAAACACAGTGACAGATTGGCCAACTCAATTATTTGAAAATTTTGCAAGCAAGAAAAACAAAAAATAAAAGGCAAGCACCAAATTAGGGAAAACACAAGTGCACTTACTCTCTTTCCATTTATCTATATATAAAATTATAATAAAATTATGGGTGCAATTAATATTGAGAGAACTCGTACAAAAATTATAAAAGAAAAAATTCTGGGAGAAAAGTAGGTGACATCCAGTTATCCATAGGTCCTTTATAAAAATGGATTACATCAAATTCTGGTTTCCAATCCAACATACAAGAAGCTTAGAAGTCATATTTCCACTCTAGCAAGTAGAAAGCTGAACAAGCTGCAATAACAACTTTACTTAGATTGGTCAGAAAAGTGAGGTTACAGGGCAAACTGCTGTCCCCAAATTGGAGAGACAGACAAGTAAATACAGAGCATCACAACTTACTGGAAGAGAAACCCATGAAGTGGACACTTCATGAGAATCATTACTGGGATAAGAGAAACTCAACTGTAATTGATAAATTTCTGAAGGTTTGGTGTGGGCAAGACTGAGAGTTAAAAACTTCGGCCGGCCGTGGTGGCTCACGCCTGTAATCCCAGCACTTTGGGAGGCCGAGGCCGGCGGATCACGAGGTCACGAGATCGAGACCATCCTGGCTAACTCGGTGAAACCCTGTCTCTACTAAAAATACAAAAAATTAGCTGGGCGTGGTGGCGGGCGCCTGTAGTCCCAGCTACTCGGGAGGCTGAGGCAGGAGAATGGCGTGAACCCGGGAGGCGGAACTTGCAGTGAGGCGAGATCGCGCCACTGCACTACTTCCAGCCTGGGCGACACAGCTAGACTCCATTTCAAAAAACAAACAAACAAACAAACAAACAAAAAGACTTCATGGAGGCTTAGTTACAAGACAATCCCCACACTTGTGAGTTTTACTTCCAGGAGCTCATACAGATTCTCACAGGGAATATTCCAGAAAAGTCCACTCATGCTTCTGGCAGGAAGAGGAGAAATGCAACCATTTTGAAATACATCAGACCACTTTGTTATTCTTAACAAGGCCTGCCTTTAATATAAACAATATTACCAGAACATAAACTACATGGTTTTTTCAAAGCCGAACTCATCTGTGGGTAGAATATGCAACTCTAGCCCCCTCTAGACATCTTGTCTCACCTAAGTGAGGGGGACAACTGAGAAGCACTTGAAAATTTTACCATCCAGAAGCACAAACTCACTAAAAGATTGAGACCTAATCAGGGGATTATAGTATGCTCCCCTCCTCCCACATTTTACCACAACATTACTAAACGCCTATTTATCAGTTTCTTTTACTCTGTGCATCACGTCTGGCTATCAAAAAAAAATTACAAGATATACAAAAGAGGAAAAAAACACAGCTTGAAGAGACAGAGCAAGCATCAGAACCAGACCCAGATACAGCTGGGATGTTGGAATTATTAGACTGAGTATTTAAAGCAACTATGATTAACATCCTAAGGGTTCTAATGAATAAAATACATAGTATGGAGGTGAGATTAGCAATGTAAACAGAAAGATGAAAATGTTAATAAAGAATCAAAAGGAAATACTAGAGATCAAAACCACCATAACAGAAATTAAGAATGCCTTTGGTTAGTGGACTCAATACAGTTGAGGAAATAATCTCTGAGCTTCAGGCTATTTCAATACAAATGTCCAAAATGATAAAAAATAAATGAGAATAAAAGACTGAAATAAAAAAAAACGCAACATCATATTCAAGATCTATGAGACAACTTGAAATGGTGAAACTTCTGCGTAATAGGAACACTAGATGGGGAAGAAGAAGAGCGAGGAACACAAGAAATATTTGAAGCAACAATGGCTGGCAATTTTTCCAAATTAAAATCGGACACCAAATAATAGATCCAGGAAGCTCAGAGAATGCCTAGTACAATAAATACCGAAAACTACACCTGGGAATATCATATTCAAACTACAGGAAATTAAATCTGAGGAAAACATATTGGAAGTATTCAGAGAGAGAAAAAAAAGACATCTTACCTATAGAAAAGCAATGGCGAATATTATATCTGATGTCTCCTCAGAAACCATGCAAGTAAGAATAGAGTGGAGTAAAATACTTAAAATGTTAAGAGAAGAAAAACACCAACCTAGAATTCTATATCTTGTGAATGTATCCTTCAAAAGGAAAGGAGAACTAAAGACTTTCTCAGATAAAAATTGAGGAAATTTGTTGCCAGTTAGTTGATATTGCAAGATATATTAAAAGAAATTTATCAGCGAGAAGGAAAATAATATCAATGAGAACCTTGAATATAAATAAAAGAAGCACTTCAGTGAAAGAATAAGTGAAGGTAAAATAAACACTTTTTAAAATCTCTTAATTGCTATAACAGACAATTTGTTCAAAACAATAATAACAATATATTCTGTTTTGTATGCTTATGTATAATCCATTCACAGTACATGAATTAGTTGTAAATTTATATGGCAAACTGTAAGGCAACCAAAAAATGTTTGTTTTGTTTTAAAGAGTATAACTGATGTGCTAAGAAAAGAGGGGAAATTAAATTTTATAAAAATTCAAAACCACGAAAGGCAGAAAAAGAGTGGAAAACAAAAATAAGAACAACGAACAAAGGCAATTAATAGAACACAATAACATACATGGTAGATATTAAATAAACCGCCTTAGCTTAGGCTGACCCAACAAAATACCATACGCTGGGTAGCTTAGACACCAGAAATGGCAGAAACTTTAAGTTTAGGGTACCAGGTTTGTTGGATTCAACTGTAGACTCTCTTCCTGGCTTGCACATGTCCGCCTTCTCACTGTTTCCTCACATGGCAGAGAAAGAGAGAGAGATTTCTCTCTCTTCCTAGGCTTATAAGACCAAGGTCCTGTCAGATAAGAGCTCTACCCTCATGACCTCGTTTAAGTTTAATTACCTATTAAGAAAACTCATCTCCAGATACAGTCACATTGAAGGTTAACATCATGATCATAGATACAAACATTCATTCAAAATATAAATTTTGGGAGGATACAATTCGGTTCATAACACTAACTGTATCAATAACCACTTTAAATAGCAACGGTGTAAACACCAATTAAAAGGTAGACATTGTCAGAATGGAGGGAAAAACAAGACCCAATAATACAGTCTATACAAAAAACCCAGTATAAATATTAAGACATATTAATTAAACATAATAGAAGGAGAAAAATATGCCATGCTATTCACTAGTCGAAAGAAAGCAGTGGAGGCTATATTCATTTCAGACAGAGAATATTTCTGGGCAAAGTTATCAGGATAAAAAAGGACTTTCATAATGATACAGGGGTCAGTTCACAAAAACATAAAAATTGTCAATGTGTATGTACTTAATAACAGAGCATCAATATGCATGAGGCAAAAACTGAGAAAGGCAAGGAGAAATAGATGAATCCACTATTACAGTTGAAGACTTCAACAACCTTTATCAGAAATAGACAGATTCTGCAGGCAGAAAATCTGTAAGAACACAAATAAACTCAATTATAGCAATCGAGTATTATTCACATCTATTGACTACTTCATCTACCGGCAAGAGAATACCATTTCTTCCCAAGTTCACATGGAACATTCACCAATATTGACCATATTCTGGGCCATAAAATGCATCTTAACAAATGTAATAGATTAAAATTCATAAAGTATCTTCTCCCAGACCACATTGAATGAAACTAGAAGTCAATAACGAAAAGATAGTTAGAAAATTGCAAAATATTTGGAGATTAAACGACATACATGTACAAAGTACGAGTCAAAGAAAAAAATCAAAAGAAATGAAAAAAAATTGAACAAAATAAAAATGAAAATACAACTTATCAAAATTTGTGGGATGCTGTGAAAGCAGTGCTTAGAAGAAAATTTATAGCATTGAATGCATAATTAGAAAAAAGAAATATCTAAAATTAATAATATAAACAACCTTATGAAACAACAAAAATAAGAGCAGATTAATTTCATAGTAGCCAGAATAAAAGAACTAATAAAAATTAAGAAGTACATAAATTGAAAACAGGAAATTAATAGAGAAAAATTAACAAAAGCAGAAGCCAATTCTTTGAAAAAGTCAATAAATATCAATAGGCCTCTAGCCAGGCTAACTAATAAAAAAGAGAGAAAACACAAATTACTAATTACAGAAGTGAAAGAGAGGATATTACTAGAAACCATTCAGATCAGATATAAAAATAATAATAAAGGTATATTATGAACAACTCTATGTCCACCTAGATTTGATAACCTAGAAGAATCGGACCAAATCTTTGAAAGACACAATCTGCCAAAACTCACACAAGAAGGAATAATAAATTTGAATAGACCTACATATGTGTTAAAGAAATTGAATCAATGATTAACAATCTTTCAAAATGGAAATCACTGGACCAGATAGGTTCATTGGTGAACTATACCAAATTTAAGGAATAAATTATATCAGTTCTCTACAATTTCTTCCAGAACATAGAATAAGAGAGGATACTCTCTGACTCAATGAGGCAGTCTTTACATTCATACCAAAACCAGACAAATATATTAGAAGAAATAAAAACTACAACACATATTTCTCATGCACATAGGTGCAAAAATCCTCAAGAAAATATTAACAAATCCAACAATGTATAAAATAATTATACACAATGTTCAGGTGTGATTTATTCTAGCTATACAAGGCTGGTTCAATATTTGAAAGTCAAGTAATGCCATCATATCATCAAGCTAAAGAAGAAAGAGTACATGATCAAATCAATAGACAACAGAAAAAGCATTTGACAAAATCCAATACCCATTCATGACAAAAACTATCAGCAAATTATGTGTGTTTCTTTACATCTACAAAAATGCCTACAGCTAACATCATACTTAATGATAAAAATCTACCTAATGACAAGAAACTAGAAGTTTCCCTGCTAAGTTCATGAATAGAGTAAGTATTTCCCCTTTCACTACTCTTTTTCAACATTGTACTGGAAGTCCTCCCCAATGCAGTAAAACAATAAAGGGAAATAAAAGTATATTGGTCAGGAAAAATGAAACAAAACCGTCTTTGTTTGCAGATAACAGGATTGTGCAGAAAACCTGAAATATTTGACCAAAAAAACCCAAAGTAAAACAAAACAAGACCAGAAACGCCTGGAACTATAGGTTGGTGAAAAGATTATTTCAGCTTTTGGCGTTACTTCCAATGGCAAAAATCGCAAGAACCTTTGCACCCACCTAATAATAAGCAATTATAGCAAAGGTTGCAGGATACAAGGTTAACAAGAAAAGTCAACCACTTTCTTATATACTAGCAATGCACAACTGGAATTTGCATTTAAACACACTTTACTATTTGCATTACCAGTCCTCAAAATAAAATATTTAGGTATGTATCTAAAATATGTACAAGATCTATATGAGGAAAACTACTAAACTCTGATGTAAGAAATCAACAGAAAACTAAATAAAGGGAGAGATACTCCATGCTTATAGATAGTAAAACTAAATATCATCAAGATACCAATTCCTTGCAACTTGATCTATAAATTTAACACAATTCCAAACAAAATCCAAGTAAGTTATTTCTGTAGATATAGTTGAGCTAATTCAAAAGTTTATATGGAGAGGCAAATAACAAATTTAATTAATTCAGTTTTGAAGGATAAGAAATTCAAGTAACTGACATTATTAATCTTCAAAAGTCAGTGAAAATCTGCATTAATCAAGATAGTCTGGTATTAGAATAAACATCTAAAAATAATTCAGTGAAGCAGAATAGAGAATCCAGAAATAGGACCACATAAAAATAGTCAACTGATCTTTGAGAAAAGCATAAAGGCAATACAAGAGAGCAAAGATTGTCTTTTTTTTTTAATGTTATCAGAAAAGCTAGACATCCCCATGCAAAAAAAAAAAAATCAATTTACATGTAAACCTCAAACCATTCATAAGGAGAGATGCAAAATGCACTGCAGACCTAAATGCTAAATGCAAAACTATAAAACTCCTAGAAGATAGCAAAGAAAAAATATAGATGACCTTGGGTATGGTGATGGAGCCAACACCAAAGAAATGATTCATGAAAGAAATAATAGATATGTTGGGCTCTATTTAAATTAAAAACTTTTGCTTTGTGAAAGATGCTGTAAAAAGAAGAAGACAAACCAAAGACTGAGGGAAAAATATTTGTAAAAGACATAAAATAGTCAACTGTTATCCAAAATATAAGGAGTTTTTAAAATCACCAATAAATAATGAACAACTCGATTAAAAATGGGCAAAAGACCTGAACAGACACCTCACAAAAGATGATGTACAGATGATGGCAAATAGCATATAAAAATATACTCGATATCATGTGTTATTAGAGAAATATAAATTAAAACAACAATGAGATACCACTACCTATTTATTAGAGTGGTCTGAACTCAAAACACTGACAGTGCCAAATACTGGAAAGGATGTAGAGCAACAAGAACTCTCATTTATTATTGGAATTGGAAAATGGTGCAGTCATGTTGGAAGACAGTTTGGTAGTTGCTTACAAATTAAATATAGCCTTGCTATACAATCCAGCAATCATGCTCTTTGGTATTCACCCAAATGAATTAAAACCTTTTTTTCATTAAAAAAAAAACTACACACAAATGCATTATAGCAGCCTAATGAACAATTACTAAAACTTGGAAGCAGCCAAGGTATCTTTAGTTAGTGAATTGGTAAACTATGGTACATCCAGACAACAGAATATTATTCAGCAATAAAAAGATAGAAGCTACCAAGTCATGAGAAAACATGGAGAAACTTTATATGCTTGTAACCAAGTGAAAGAAGCAATCTGAAAAGGCTATATACTGTACAATTCCAACTGTATGACGTTCTCAAAAGGGGAAAACTACGGATACCGTAAAAGAGTAAGTGGTTTCCAGGGGCTAGGATGAGGAAGGGCTAAATAGCAGGAGTACAGACAGCTTTTAGGATAGTGAAACTGCTCCGTATGATACTATCATGATGGATACATGTCATCATACATTTGTCAAAGCCCATAGATTGTACAAAACCAAGAGTGAACCCTGACGTAAACTCTGGAATTTGAGTGATAATAATGTGTCAATGTAGGTATACGATTGTAACAAATGTACCATTCTGGTTAAGGATATTGGTAGTGGGGTGGCTGGGGCTGTGGGGAAAGAGGTATATGGGGAATCTCTGTGCCTTTCCCTCAATGTTTTGTGAGCCTAAAAACTACTCTAAACGTTAGGTCTAATTAAAATAGATTACATCCATTATCAAAATGTAAACTCAATATGTTTTTAAAATCACGAAGTAAGAAGATCATACTCTATGATCAAAATGCAACAAAGTTAGAAATCAACGTTAAAACACATTTAAACCCAATTACTTACAAAGCTAAACAACAACAAAAAACTTCTCCCCAAACTACAATTAAGATAAAATAATATTTAAAGGCAGTGAATCTGTAAGTTAAAACTATGTATAAAATGATTCCACATAGCAAGCTTAAATATGGCCAACAAAAGAAAGAAAAATTTACAACCATCAATGTTTGTATTATTAAATAAGAAAGAACAGAAGTAAATTAGCTTAATATTCAACTCAAACAATTTTGATAAAAAATAACTTAGGCAACGAATTAGAAAAAAACAGTAATGTTGACAAATACATCTTGGATTACTGGACATAATAATTTGAAATTGCTAATACCTTATACAGACATTTGAAATAAAAAATCAAGACAGAGTGAACCTGCGATATAATAAGAGTAATAATATTAAAGTACTATGATAGGCCCTACACAAACACTATCAGTACATGCTCACTTTATAACTTAATAGTTGATAAGATTATCCTCATTTTGTAGAGGAGGCAAATAAAAAGGTTACATAATTTTATAGGGATCACACAGTTTTATAAGAGACAGAGCCAGTGATTCTAAATTCATTGACTACAGAGCTCATACCCTCAACTCTATTACAATAATTATCCTCAGTTATAGCAATGAGTGTTATGATGTGCATTTGAAAATCTCAATTCAATTGACCAATTTCTGATAAAATTACTAACCCTCTCCTACATTCAAAAGCTACTCAAAATAATAATCATGGTAAAAGCTAAAAAGGGTCCGTCCGGGCGCGGGGTGGCTCATGCCTGTAATCCCAGCACTTTGGGAGGCCGAGGCAGGCGGATCACAAGGTCAGGAGACCGAGACCATCCTGGCTAACTCGGTGAAACCCCGTCTCTACTAAAAGTACAAAAAATTAGCCGGGCGTGGTGGTGGGCACCTGTAGTCCCAGCTACCCGGGAGGCTGAGGCAGGAGAATGGTGTGGAACCCGGGAGGCGGAGCTTGCAGTGAGCCGAGATCGCGCCACCGCACTCCAGCCTGGGCCACAGTGGAAGGCTCCGTCTCAAAAATAAAAAAAAATAAAAATAAAAAAATAAAGCTAAAAAGGGGAAAAAAGCCAAAAGAATAATTTTCCAAAATGCTTCATGGTATGTGGCTTAAGAGGTTCATTCTTTCAAATGTCAGACATGAGATCATTTTCATCCTTTTATCCCTGCCTGCCTGTAAACATTGAAATAAAGGACATGATTTGATTTGTTTCCTAAATTTAGATTAATTTTTATTTACACAAGTGGATTGAAAAATATAAAATATTCAAATTTCACAGAAAAAAGTCCTACTTTACCCCCACCACATTACCTTAAATATTCCTCCTAAGGTACCCTGTTACTCTAAAGAAATTTGCTAGAGAAATTTGCTCTTTTTGTTGTGTACATAAACTTGCTGATAATTATACTGTGCATTTACATGCATTAACTAGTAGAAAATATAGCATTGTTTTATGTATGTATTTGTTTTTTATTCTTTTTTTATTATACTTTAAGTTTTAGGGCACATGTGCACGACATGCAGTTTAGTTACATATGTATACATGTGCCATGTTGGTGTGCTGCACCCATTAACTCGTCATTTAACATTAGGCATATCTCCTAATGCTATCCCTCCCCCCTCCCCCCACCCCACAACAGGCCCGGGTGTGTGATGTTCCCCTTCCTGTGTCCATGTGTTCTCATTGTTCAATTCCCACCTATGAGTGAGAACATGCGGTGTTTGGTTTTTTTGTCCTTGTGATGGTTTGTTGAGAATGATGGTTTCCAGCTTCATCCATGTCCCTACAAAGGACATGAACTCATCATTTATTATGGCTGCATAGTATTCCATGGTGTATATGTGCCACATTTTCTTAATCCAGTCTATCATAGTTGGACATCTGGGTTGGTTCCAAGTCTTTGCTATGGTGAATAGTGCTGCAATAAACATACATGTGCATGTGTCTTTATAGCAGCATGATTTATAATCCTTTGGGTATATACCCAGTAATGGGATGGCTGGGTCGAGTGGAATTTCTAGTTCTAGATCCCTGAGGAATCGCTACACTGACTTCCACAATGATTGAACTAGTTTACAGTCCCACCAGCAGTGTAAAAGTGTTCCTATTTCTCCACATCCTCTCCAGCACCTGTTGTTTCCTGACTTTTGCATGATCGCCATTCTAACTGGTGTGAGATGATATCTCATTGTGGTTTTGATTTGCATTTCTCTGATGGCCAGTGATGATGAGCATTTTTTCATGTGTCTGTTGGCTGCATAAATGTCTTCTTTTGAGAAGTGTCTGTTCATATCCTTTGCCCACTTTTTGATGGGGTTGTTTGTTTTTTTCTTGTAAATTTGTTTGAGCTCTTTGTAGATTCTGGATATTAGCCCTTTGTCAGATGAGTAGGTTGCAAAAATTTTCTCCCATTCTGTAGGTTGCCTGTTCACTCTGATGGTAGTTTCTTTTGCTGTGCAGAAGCTCTTTAGTTTAATTAGATCCCATTTGTCAATTTTGGCTTTTGTTGCCATTGCTTTTGGTGTTTTAGACATGAAGTCCTTGCCCATGCCTGTGTCCTGAATGGTATTGCCTAGGTTTTCTTCTAGGGTTTTTATGGTTTTACATCTAACATTTAAGTCTTTAATCCATCTTGAATTAATTTTTGTATAAGGTGTAAGGAAGGGATCCAGTTTCAGCTTTCTACATATGGCTAGCCAATTTCCCAGCACCATTTATTAAATAGGGAATTGTTTCCCCATTTCTTGTTTTTGTCAGGTTTGTCAAAGATCAGATCGTTGTAGATATGTGGCATTATTTCTGAGGGCTCTGTTCTATTCCATTGGTCTATATCTCTGTTTTGGTTCCAGTACCATGCTGTTTTGGTTACTGTAGCCTTGTAGTATAGTTTGAAGTCAGGTAGCGTGATGCCTCCAGCTTTGTTCTTTTGGCTTAGGATTGACTGGGCAATGCGGGCTCTTTTTTAGTTCCATATGAACTTTAAAGTAGTTTTTTCCAATTCTGTGAAGAAAGTCATTGGTAGTTTGATGGGGATGGTATTGAATCTATAAATTACCTTGGGCAGTATGGCCGTGTTCTTCCATTTGTTTCTATCCTCTTTTATTTCATTGAGCAGTGGTTTGTAGTTCTCCTTGAAGAGGTCCTTCACTTCCCTTGTAAGTTGGATTCCTAGCTATTTTATTCTCTTTGAAGCAATTGTGAATGGGAGTTCACTCATGATTTGGCTCTCTGTTTGTCTGTTATTGGTGTATAAGAATGCTTGTGATTTTTGCACATTGATTTTGTATCCTGAGACTTGGCTGAAGTTGCCTATCAGCTTAAGGAGATTTTGGGCTGAGACGGTGGGGTTTTCTAGATATACAATATGTCATCTGCAAACAGGGACAATTTGACTTTCTGTTTTCCTCATCACGTTATGTGATTATTCAGTTTGCTAGTGTCAATTACAACGTCATTGAGAACTTTCCATTTCATGGAATATCTACTTTGTTTTATATTTTAACTGCTGCAACATATTTTATAGCCTGGACTATACTAGAGGTTATCTATCAGTTCACATGGCAATGGGTGTTTGAATTCTTTCTATTATTTTTTTGCTTTATATAACTTTTATGATACTTTCACTTTAAACAGGTTAAAAAATGTATGCATATAAAGATAAATTTTAATTTTATCATATTTTTTGTTTTTGTTTTTGTTTTTTGTTTTTACTTTTTCCTTTTCCTTTTATTATTTTTTAGTATTTCAATAGCTTTTGGGGTACAAGTAGTGTTTGGTTGCATGGATGAGTTCTAGAGTGGTAAAGTCTAAGATTTTAGTACACCCATTAAGTCTGAGATTTTAGTGCACTCAACACCCTACACCTATTGGGTACATCACGTTGTACCCAATATGTAGATTTTATCCCTCACTTTCCTCCCACCCTTCCCCTTCTGAATCTCCAAAGTAATTATACCTCTTTGTATGTCTTTGCATCCTCACAGCTTAGCTCCTGCTTATAAATGACTGCATTAGGTATTTGGTTTTCCATTCCCGAGTTACTTCACTTAGAATAATGGCCTCCAGCCCCATGCAAGTTGCTGCAAAATACATTATTTTGTTACATTTTATGGCTGAGTAGTAGTTCATGGTGTATATATATCACAAAATTTTCATCCACTCCTTGGTCAATGGGTGCTTAAGTGGGTTCCATATATTTACAGTTGTGATTTGTGCTACTGTAAACATACATGTGCCTGTGTCTTTTTCATATAACAACTTCTTTTTCTTTGGGTAAATACTCAGCAGTGGGATTCCTGGAATGAATGGTAGATCTACTATTAGCTCTTTAAGGAATCTCCATACTGTTTTCCATAGAGGTTGTACTACTTTACATTCCCACCAGCAGTGAAAATGCATCCCTTTTCACCAAATCTATGCCGACATCTGTTGTTTTTTGACTTTTTAAGTATGGCTATTTTTGCAGGACTAAAGTAGTATCTCATTGTGGTTTTAATTTGCATTTCCCTGATGATTAGTGGTGTTGAGCTTCCTTTCATGTATTTCTTGGCCATTTGTGTGTCTTCTTTCCAGAAATGTCTATTCATGTCCTTTGCCCACTCTTTGATAGAATTATTTTATTTTTCTTCCTGATTTATTTGAATTTCTTGTAGATTATAGATGCTAGTCCTTTCTCAGATGCATAGTGTGCAAATATGTTCTCTCATTCTGTGCCTTGTCTGTTTACTCTCCTATTTCTTTTGCTGTGCAGTACCTTTTTAGTTTAATTAGGTCCTACTTATTTATTTTTGTTTTTCTTGGATTTACATTTGTGGTCTTAGTCATGAATTATTTGCCTAGGCCAATGTTCAGAACAGTTTTTCCAATGTTATCTTCTAGAATTTCCATGGTTTCAGGTCTTAGATTTAAGTCTTTGATCCATCTTGAATTGTCTGTTTATAAGGTGAGAGATGATGATTCTAATATTTCAAAATCTTAATGTATTATTCATCTATATGTTTTAATAATTTTAATTTTATTACTATTTTAAAATTTCAACTTTTATTTTAGATTCGGGGGTACATATGCAGGTTTGTTACATGGGTATACCTTGTGATGCTGAGTTTTGGGGTACAACTGATCCTGTAACTCAGGTAAACATTCACATATATATGTGTGTGTGTGTGTGTGTGTGTGTGTGTGTGTATGTGTGTGTATACATAAATAAACAAGCAAATGAATAAATAAATAGTGTAATACGGACATGCCACATGCCAGTTTAACATCACCAGACAGGAATTTGAGAAGTAAAAAGACTGTATCATAGTATGCAACATTTACACTTATATTGTCTTCCAATATATCAATACTAATTTGCAGCATTATTTTAGATGAGAACCCAATTCTCTTTACTTGGTCAATACTTAACATTTGTACTTAAAAAAATCATTCTGACAGATGAAAAATTGAATTTTACTGTTTTTGTTTGCTTACTTGTTTGCTTTTCACTGTGTACTTCTTGGATTACCAGTAAGATTCACCATGTTTTAATTATTCATTTGTATTAGCTTTGGAAAATTGTCTACTCAAATACTTTGTCATTTTTTTCTATTTAATACTTAAATTTTTCTTATCCTTTTTTTGTAAAATTTATGCATTGTAAATGTTAATTCTCATATTTATATGTGTTGAAAATATTTTCTTGTGATTTTAAAAATTTGCTTATGCTGTTTTTGTCATATAGAATGCACTTAATCTTGACATAAGAAATTAAACAGTATTGATTTTCACAGGTTTTGCTTTTTGAGTCCCGCTTAAGAAAGCTTCGGCATCCAAGATTATGAATATATTCTCCATATTTTCTCAAAATTCTAATTCTATTTAATAAAACGTAACTTTCTTTTTGTATTAAATATTTTATCCATCTGAAATTAACATTAATCAATGATGTAAAGAAAGAAATATTTTTTAAAATAGATAACAAATTGCCTCAACTATTTTACTACTTACTAATTTTCTCTGCTAATGTTAAATGCTACTTTATCTTAAACTAAAACCCTACATACATCTGAATCACTTTATATCTAATGTTCTGTGAAATTCAATTGCCCATGTCTGTTTTTCTCTTCTTAAAAAATTACTACAGTGTTTTACTTACTTTAAGTTTATTATATGTTTTGAGACCTGGGAAGGTGTATTCCTCTCCTCCACTTCGTCTTTCTCAAAATTGGCCTAACTCTTTTTAAAACTATATATTTTTAGGTGTGGGAAAAAAAACACATAATATTTACCATGTGAATCACTTTCAAGTGTATAATTGATTAGTGTTATCTACATGGACCTTATTGTGCAACCGATCTCCAGAATTTCTTCATCTTGCAAATCTGAAACTTTATACCCAAGAAAGAACTCCCTTTTTCCCCCAGCCCAAGCTCCTCTGTTTCTATTTTTACTACTTTCGATACCTCATGTAAGAGGAATCATACAGCATTTGTCTGGCTTATTTCACTTTGTATAATGTCCTCAAGGTTCATCCTCATTGTGGCATATGGCAGAATATCTCTTTCTTTTTTTATTTTTAAATTTTCAGTTTTTGTGGTTACATAGTAGGTTTATCTATTTCTGGGATGCATGAGATAAACTGCTTTTCAGGATTACTTATAGACATAGTGGCCCTTAGTGGCAAGATTTGTGGGAATTCAAGTTCATATCCCTGTTGGCAGTTCTCCTTTTGCTAGGGCTAATTTAAGTGTTCCCTCAGTGGGTGGGTGTCAGCTGAGTTTGGTCCAGTTTTCTTTTCTGCTCTAACAGGACAGCAGGAAGTTGAAATTCAATACCTCACAGTTTCAGTGTTCTCCCTCCCCCAGTGCCCAGAGACCGTCTCTGCACCATGCCGCAGCTGCCAGGGAGTGGAGGAGACATTAAATCTGACACTGCAGAATTTCAAAGGATCATTAGGGATTACTATTAGCAACTATATGCCGATAAACTGGAAAACACAGAAGAAATTGACACATTCCTGGACACATACAATATAACAAGATTGAACCATGAAAAATCCAAAACCTGAGCAGACCAACAACACATAAGAAGAGCAAAATTGTTATAGAAAATCTCCCAGTAAAAAAAAGCCCAGGACCTGAAGGCTTCACTTCTGAGTTCTACCAAATCCTACTCAGACTATTTCAAAAAATAAAGGAAAAGTGAATACTTCCCAATTCGTTCTAGGAGGCAAGTATTAACCTGATGTGAAAACCAGACAAAGACACACTAAAAATAGGAAACTACAGGCCAATATCTCTCATGGTTATTGATGAAAATATCCTCAGCAACATACTAGCAGATCAAATTTAACAACACATTAAAAATGTCATTTATCTTCACCAAGTGGGATTTATCTTTGGGATGACAGGTTGGCCCAAAATATGCAAATCAACCAATGCAATGCATCATATCAACAGAAGGATGAAACAAAACAATATGATAATTTCAATTGATGCTTACAAATGTTTGATACAATTTAGCATCCTTTTACAATAAAAATCCTCAAAAAATTGGGTATGGGAAAACATATTTCAAGTTAATAAATGTCATCTATGACAGACCCACAACTAGTATCATACTAAGATCTGGAACACAACAAGGATGCCCAATGTCACCACCATTATTCAACATACTACTGGAAGTTGTAGTATAGCAATCAGACAACAGAAGAATATAAAGGACATAAAATTGGAAAAGAAGAAGTCAATTCTTGTTTGCAAATTATATAATTGTGATGACTAATATTAAGTGTTAACTTGATTGGATTCAAGGATGCAAAGTATTGTTTCTGGGTGTGTCTGTGAGGGTGTTGCCAGAGATTAACATTTGAGTCAGTGGACTGGGAGAAGCAGACACACCCTCAATCTGTGTGGGCACTCTCCAGTCGGCTGCCAGCACAGCTAGAAAAAGCAAGCAGAAGAAGGTGGAATGAGCAGATTAGCTGAGTCTTCCAGCCTTTATCTTTCTCCCTTGCTGGATGCTTCCTGCCCTGGAAACTCAGACTCCACTTTCTTCGGCTTTCGGACTCTTGGACTTACACCAGTGGTTTGCCAGGGACTCTTGGGCCTTTGGCCACAGACTGAAGGCTGCACTGTCAGCTTCCCTACTTTTGAGGTTTGGGGACTGAGCCAATACTCGTTTCTTTGCTCCTCAGCTTGCAGACGGCCTATTGTGGGACTTCAACTTGTTATCCTGCGAGTTAATTCTCCTTAATAAACTCCCTTTCATATATACATATATCCTATTAGTTGTCTCCCTCTAGAGAACCCTGACTAATATAATGATCTTATATTTGGAAAAACCTACACTCCACCAAAAAAAAATTAGAAATGATAACAAATTTAGTAGTTTCAGGATAGAAAATCAACCTACAAAAATCAGTAGTATTTCTATATGCCAACAATCTGAAAGAGAAATAAAATAGTAATCCCTTTTACAATAACCACACATAAAATTAAATACCTAGAAATTAACTAGATCTCTATAATAAAAACTATAAAACACGGATGAAAGAAAATAAAGAGTACACTAAAAAATGGAAAATATTCCCTGTACATGGATTGGAAGAATCAATATTGTTAAAATGTCCATACTATCTAAAGCAATCTACAGATTCAATTCAATGCCTATCAAAACTTCAATGACATTCTTCACAGAAAGAGAAAAAAACTCTCCTAAAATTTATATGGAACCACGAAAGATCCAGAATACACAAAACTAACCTGAGAAAAATGAACAAAACTGGAGGAATTGCATTACCTGATTTCAAATTATACTACAGAGCTATGGTAACCAAAATAGCATGGTACTGGCATAGAAACAGACACATAGACCAATGGAACAGAGTAGAAAACCTGGAAACAAATTCACACACCTACAGTGAACTCATTTTTGACAAAGGTGCCAAGAATATACACCGTGGGAAAGACAGTTTCTTCAATAAATGGTGCTAGGAAAACTGTATATCTATATGCAGAAGAATAAAACTAGACCCCTCTCTCTCACCATATACAAAAATCACGTCAAGGCTGGGTGCAGTGGCTCATGCCCATAATCCCAGCAGTTTGGGAGGCCGAGGCAGGCGGATCACGAGGTCAGGAGATCGAGATCATCCTGGCCAACATGGTGAAACCCCGTCTCTACTAAAAATACAAAAAACTAGCCAGGCGTGGTGGCGGGCACCTGGAGTCCCAGCTGCTCGGGAGGCTGAGGCAGGAGAATGGCGTGAACCTGGGAGGCGGAGGTTGCAGTGAGCTGAGACCGTGCCACTGCACTCCAGCCTGGGCGACAGAGCAAGACTCTGTCTCCAAAAAAAAAAAAAAAAAAAAAAAAAAATTCACATCAAAATGGATTAAAGACTTAAGTCTAAGGCCTCAAATTATGAAAACTACTGCAAGAAAACATTGACAAAAATCTCCAGAACATTAGTCTGGGCAAAAATTTCTTGAGTAATACCACGCAGGCACAGGCAACCAAAGCAAAAATGAATAAACGGGATCACATTAAGTTAAAAAGCTCCTGGACAGCAATGGAAACAATCAACAAATTGAAGAGACAAACCACAGAATGAGAGAGAATATCTGCAAACTACCCACCTGGCAAGGGATTAATAACCAGAAAATATAAGGAGCTCAAACAACTCTATAAGAAACATATAATAATCTGATTTAAAAAATAGACAAAATATCTGAACAGACATTCACAAAAGAAAACATACAAATGGCAAAATGGCATATAAAAAGATGCTCAGCATCACTGGTCATCAGAGAAATGCAAATCAAAACTACAATGAGATATAATCTCACCCCATTTAGAATGACTTACATCTAAAAGTCGGGCAATAACAAACACTGACAAGGGTGTGGAGAAAATAGAGCCCTTGTACACAGTTGCTGGGAATGTAAATTACTACAACCACTATGGAGAATAGTCTGGAGGTCCCTCAAAATGATAAAAATTCAGCTACTGTATGATCTAGCAATCCCAATGCGGGGCATATACCCAGAAGAAAGGAAATCAGTACATTGAGGATATATCTGCACTCCTGTGTTTGTTACAGCACTGTTTACAATAGCTAAGGTTGGAAAGCAACCTAAATGCCCATCAACAGATGACTAGATAAAGAAAATGTGGTACGTATACACAATGTAGTACTATTCAGCCATTAAAAAAGACTGATATTCTGTTATTTCCAACAACATGGATGGAATAGGAGGTCATTATATTAAGTAAAATAAACCAGGCACAGAAAGACAAACATCACATGTTCTGACTTATTTGCTGGATGTAAATATCAAAACCATTAAAGTCATGGAGATAGAGAGCAGAAACAGGGTGACCATAAGCTGGGAAGGGTAGTGTGCAGTGGGGGGATGTGGAGATGGTTAATGGGTATAAAAAATAGTAAGAATGAATAAGGCCTACTATCTGATTGCACAACAGGTTGACTATAGTCAATAATAATTTAACTGTACATTTTAAAATAAAGAGCGTAATTAGATTGTAACAGAAAGATTAAATGCTTGAGGGATGGATATCCCATTTTACATGATGTGATTATTATACATTGCATGCCTGTATCAAAACATCTCATGTACCACATAGATACATACATCTGTTATGTACCCACAAAAATCAAAATAAAAATTTCAAAAATAATTAACTCAAGGAGAGGTTATAACTTTACCATAACAGCATTCCAAATCCAGGAACAAATGTATTTCTCTTCACTCCCTGCTGTATTCATTTATGTTTTTCGGTAAAGTTTTATAGTTATCTCTTTAAAGGTATTGCATTATCTTATTTCTTAGATTTTACATTTTTATCTTTATGAATACAAATGTTAAATATTAAGTTCTATAGACTTTTAATCTGTTGATGATTATGCATGGGAAATAGACAGAAAGATATAGCTGTATATCTCTCTAGCCAATTGAAAATTAATTCTCTCAATAAGGTTAATAAGATTCATTTATATTATGATGTGTAACTGTCGTTAACTTATTGAATCTTCTGTATAAAATGCTGTGTTTGAATATGGCCACTTATTTCTCCACTCTTCTGTCATTGGGCAGTTTGGATGTTTCCCTTTTTTTCTCTTAAGAATAGTTGTGCTATAAACCATCCTGCTCATATCTTACAGTCTACAACTATAAACTTTTATCTTGAAAGTACACCTAGAAATGAAATTGCTTGGAATCAGAATGGGTGAATGTTCATCTTTTCAAGTTATTGGCAAGCAATTTCCAGAAGTGGCTTTATCAGTTTACACTGCCACCAGCGCTGGAAGCACTCTGGTAGATCCAAATCCTTCTAAATTGGACATCATTAGTTTATTACTGAATGATCAATTTTCTGTAACTATATCATCTGTGCTTGAAAAGAATTTTCATTTTTTATTTTGAGCATGTGGAGTTATCACTCTGTCTTTGTCTCTGTTTCACTATGTGTATTTGTGTGTGTACGTGTATATGAGGTCGAGTTTATCAAATGTTCAAATAATTTTGATCATTACTTTGTTTTATGGTCCAGTTTAACTTACCCCACCTTCATTGCTAAGTAAGTTTCTTTCTTTGCCTAGTTTGCTAAAAGTTCTTTTTTTATAAATTTTTTATTGGGGTTGCATATTATCAAGTGCTTGTTATTTGGCTATCTTTTGAAATGATCAAATACATTTATTCCTGTAAGTGATTAATAGAATAGATTTAATTTTAATAAAGTAAATAAAATTACATTTTATAATATTAAAATATTATTTGGTGTTTTCTCTAGGAGCTAAATGATGAGAACACATGGACACATAGAAGGAAACAACACACACTGGGGCCTCTCAGAGGGTAGGGGTGGGAGGAGGGAGAAGATCAGGAAAAATAAGTAATAGTTACTAGGCTTAAAACTTGGGTGATGAAATAATCTGTACAACAAACCCCCATGACACAAGTTTACCTATGTAACAAACCTGCCCCTGTAGCCCTGAACTTAAAATAAAAGTTAAAAAAACACTTTGCATTATGAGATGTTTCTTACTTGGTTATGACGTTGAGACCTAAAAATAGAACTCTAAGTCCCCCAACTGACTTAAAGGACCTTCTCTTGGCCGAGGTGTCCCCAAAAAAACCTTAAAAAGTGAGTTTCAGGCTCTGATGGAATGGAAGCTCAGACACACCTCATTATAACCCTTCCTTCTTGCGGTTTAGACACAACAACTGATCAGCAATAATGATGGAGATCAGAAGACTGACAGAATGAACTGTTTGTGGCAATTAGATATTAAATTATAAATTAGGCATAAAAGCATGCCAGGTAAGAGTTAAGTCATGCATTTCTACACTTGAAGAATAAACTGTCTTCCGACTGACACAAGGTTTTCTTTTTCTGTGACAGCTACACAAACACTGGCCTTGAGATAAGCAGTATTAAAATAATTGCACATCATTTACGGTCACATGCTGACTGACTGACTCCCTGTTTCACAAGCCATAACTACAGCTTTGATTGGATAAGCGATTGAGTTCAGTAATTTTCTTCAGGTAAGAAACTATGGACCACAGACCGGTTCTGGCCAGTTTGGAGATGCTGCACACTTGATTGCCTTTGTGTCGCTGCTCCACTTTTGGATGTATAGAACTTAACTGCAATGTATTTAAATATTAAGTCTCCACCCCAAGGTGAACATGGGACACATTCACCTTTATGAATATTCATAGCTCCTTCTATAACCTGTTGAATATGTATAATTGGCCAACCTGTTCAGCATAAATCCCTGTTCCACCTTCCCCTTTCTTGAAATGCGTGCCTTTCAGGCTTTACTAGATGCTGCACTTCCCAGCCTGTGGGATGACAAACCTTTCGTTAATAAACTTTTATAAGAAATAAAGTGTTTCACTGAGTGTGGTGGCTCATGTCTATAATCCCAGCACTATGGGAGGCGAAGGCAGGCAGACTGCTTGAGTCCATGAGGCAATGGTTGCAGTGAGCCATGATTGGGCCACTGCACTCTATCTAGCAGGATGACAGAGTGAGACTCTGCCTCAAAAAAAAAAAAAAAAAAAAAAAAAAAAAAAAAAGAAAGTCTTCCTTCCAAATATACAGATGTCAAGATTTTTCAGTTGCAATGTATTTTTTAATACATTGCTGAATTCAGCTTGTTATGCCTTATTTTGGATTTGCTTTTCCTTTTAAGCTAATGAGTTTGGCCTATAGCTACCTGTTCATGTGCTGTTCTTTTTATAGGTCTAATACCAAGATTATACTAGTCTCAAAACATGAGTTGAGTAGTCTCACATATTGTTCTTATGCTCTGAAATGGTTTGTAGAAAATGATTTTGTTGTTGTTGTTGTTTTAATGATTGGTAGAAATCTGTCTCGCACCTATAGGTCCAGCTAATCAGGAGGCTCAGGCTGGAAAATTGCTTGAGCCTGGGAAGCAAAGGTTGCAGAGAGTTGAGATCGTGCCACTGCCAGCCTGGGCGACAGAGTGAGACCCAGTCTATTTAAAAAAAAAGGGGGGGGGAGGGGGAGGGGCGGGTGTGGTGGCTCACGCCTGTAATCCCAGAACTTTGGGAGGCTGAGGCAGGTGGATCACGGGGTCAGGAGTTCAAGAACAGCCTGGCCAAGATGGTGAAACCCCGTCTCTACTAAAAATACAAAAATTAGCTGGGTGTGGTGGTGGGTGCCTGTAATCCCAGCTACTTGGGAGGCTGAGGCAGAGAATGGCTTGAACCCAGGAGGCAGAGATTGCAGTGAGCTGAGATCACGCCACTGCACTCCAGCCTGGGCAGTAGAGCGAGACTCCATCTCAAACAAACAAACAAAAAATAAGACATCTGGGCCTTTTGTATATTTTGATGAGTGAGAGGTAAGAACATTTGACTGCCTTTTTAAACTTTGTCTATGTTTGTATGTCAATTCAGATGTGTTATTTCTTCCTGAGGTTATTTCATGAAATTTTATTTTCGTATACAATTTTTACTTTATCTAGATACTCAAATGTAAAATATTATACACAGTGCTTTCTAATCATTAAACATATATTTTTTCTGTATCTGGAATTAAGGATATGTGTGTATTTTCAAGTACACATTTATTTTTGTGTATATTTGATCATTGCTAGGCATCGTAGGTAAGAGTTGGAGTTTTCAGTATATGTTCAATTTTCTGTCTTAAACATTGTGTATTGTTCATTTTACAAAGATAGCACCGTTTTTTTAAAAGTAGATCAAATTGACATTTGCAAACTCCTAAGAAATGAATGTAGCCAATTATATCAGGATAAAGGAGTCATTTTCCCTTTGCAGAAGTAATGAGATAATTGTTTTCATGGATACTTAAAATGGCACTGCACAGTCCTTATTCTGTGGATCTGGACTCTTTTTTAGGCCATGGGTTCTAGGCGTCTAATAACAATTTTACTCAGAAAACTTGGCAAGAGACAGGAGCAAAGACCCATAGGCTCATAATCATCTATCTGTGATTAAATTTTAATTTATTGTATCTATTGAGAACTGATACCTGTGTTGCTGTCCATCAGTTTTGCCTTTAGGGATACTATACTCTATTGACCATTTCCTTAACTTTCTGCATGTCACAATTCCTTTAATGCCACTGAGACCTTGCCACCCAATATGAGAATTGCATCAAGAGAGATGCAATTCTGATAAATACCAGATTGTGACTTTGATTTATTTTTTTTAGAATCCTGTTATCCTGTTCTTATCAATGAGCCCAGTTTTGCAATAGCCCTTCCTATTATCAGCTTTGGCCTACATTTTATACCCTCACTAAACTTCAGTGTGGTGCTGGTTACCCCTTCACAGCTGCTGTTCTTATTTCTTTGATAAATGTCATATCCCTGGGTCCCCACTGAATCATGATCATCTGGTATGTTTTTCCACCTTTCATAGTATATCCAGAATGTCTTCTTCTTTGAGGCTTTTAATCTCTCCTTGTGTGGCTGCATGGCAATTCTGGAATTTCAGCCTTCTTGTAGGGTGACATTTTAAAATTAATTGTCTATGAGGCTTCTCAGCAGCCTTCCCTCACAGTATTCCAGGATCCTTGCATGAATGATAAATTCAGTAACATGGAAGGGTGTTCTCAAATTAACAAACTCTCTTTTAGCTAATATTTGGTTCCACTCCTCTGACCCAGCACCCTCAGAATCCAGTTCTGTGAATGTCTTACTGGCTCCTGAGTGTAATAGCAAAAATTCAAAAGTGCTGAGATATTTATATAAATTATGTAATCCTTACAGTAAACTTTTCAAGCTAGACACAATTTTCCATTTTACAGATAAAGACACTAAGGTTTAAAATGATTTAATAGCTGGTACAAGGTCATAACCTAAAAGTAAGTGATAGGTTAGTCTTACTCGAAAACCCATATTCTCAACATCACTACTCATTGATTCAGGAAACCCAGCTCATACACGGTAGATTGGATAAAAGGTTGGTTTCTTCGCTTTTTAGTATAATTCTACAGTCATTACATCATCAGTTTAACCATCCAATTACTAAGATTTTTAACTACCGAGTTGAAGTCTCATTGAATGAATTGTTGTGCATACTCTATGAGATAATGACTAGAACCGAGTGTAATGACTAGCTGAAATTTCTGCAGGCAAAGGTGAAAGAATATCTGTTAAATTATTAACTATGACATCAATCATAGCTTTTCACCAAGTGTGTCGCATATAGATTTACCCTTCAGAGGGCGAACTATTTCTAAGTTTGTGTATAAAAAAGCCAAAATAGGTTAGCTATTAAAGACTCATACAGTTGAATGGGGACTGAAATCTATAATTTAAAGATCCAGAAGACTAATTTTTATAAGCCCTAAAATACAAAGTTTGGAAGCATAATTTATCCTTAGCTTTCTCTTCCAATACAATTTATACTAAAATGATACTAACATTTGTGGCTTTTGGACAACCCGGTAACCAGATCTACCAATGGACCTGGCAAACTATAGTCATTATGTGGTAAACTAGAGTTAGAAGCCCTCAGATATAAGCAGGGTTTACAAACTGCTTCCAATCACAGACAAAAATAAAAGACTTGGAAGACCATCTTGAGGTAAAAGACCCAAGAGAAGCTGCATTTTACTAATTACAGTATTGCCATAATGTCATGCCTCCCAAAGCTTTCAAAATAACTGCAGACAGCACAAAAACATTCACCTGCGAGAACTTTTATTCTAAGCCTAGTTTAATCAGCAATTTGTGTAGCTGAAATGGGAAGGGATTTGTTTGAAATGTGGCATTGAATCCCATACGTCTGAATATCCAAAACAAGCCAGATCTTGAATTCAGTCTCAAAGGTGCATTTTAACCACATGCCAGAATAAAAACACATCTGAACTGGAAATACTTGGGCTCTGGCATTGGCTGAGCCACTAACGTGGTGTGAGACTTTGGAAAAGTCACTTTCGCTTTCCAGGGCTTATCTTCTTTATTAGTAAAATGAAATTATCTCAAGTTTTTTTGAACTCCAAAATATATGATTGCAAACTAAATAACTGTTGTTTGGTGACATATTAATATTTTCACAGTGTCTTTAAAGTGGTTTGACTGAAATAGCTCCTTCTCAGATGGTTGTGCAGACTCTCCTTAAGTAGAGATTCTTCAAAGAAGGGACTATTTTCCCACTTTGTCGCAAGTGGGAGAAAGTTCACAACATGCTAATTGGGCTACCTTGAAATTCCAAAGATCTGCAAATGGAACAGCTGCAAATGCAACTGGTGATAATTGATGGCTAATTATGCAAGCAATAACACACTCCAGGGTATGGGCTTGTCTGCCAATACATGCATGCCTTTGATATTTTATTAGCCAACAAACATATACCCTGAAGGTTGTATTGTGCAGAAAAAAAAGGCTTTAGAAAACATAAAATAGTTTTAAGTAGAGTATACAATTTTGAAAACATATTAGCACACTACATACAATAGTTCAATTAGAACCAAGTAATCAGGCCTAAAGGCAACAATTCCGAAGAGAATTCCCTGGAGTATACCTCTTTAATCCTTCACTCAGCACGTCACCATTCTGTCCCGTACCCCTGCACTTGCATAATCCAAACAGCCATTTGAAAAATTATCAAATTCCTTGTTTGCTTTTTAACAATAGACTGTAACGAATTAACATTTAGTGATAATTCATAAGGTGACACTAGGAAAATGTTTCCTTTCATAAAGGATCGATTATATTTGACCACTATGTAGTAGAGCAGGTCTTCAAATAATCTTGTTTCATTCAATGTCTTTTTAAAAACCCTTGATGAGAAAATAAAATCAATTTCCGGCCAGGGCCACTGTCTGTATGGAGTTTGCACATTCTTATTATGTCTGTGTGAGTTTTCTCTGGGTACTTCATGCCTCTCCCACATTCCAAAGCTGTGCACACCAGGTGAACTGGCATGTATACATTTTCTGAGTGAGTGAGTGTCAGGGTACGTGTGAGTGCACTCTGCAATGGAATGGCACCCAGGCCAGGACTTGTTCCTGCCATGCACCCTGAGCTGCCTGGACAGGCTCTGGCCACCCATGACCCTGAAACAGAATGGGCAGGGTGGAAAATGAATGGCTACATGAATACATTATGGTAAAATAAATATTTGGAAAGTCCACAATAATCATACAAATGCATGATAATAAATGATGCAGTAAGGCAACAATCAGTGGGCCTGTAATTTTTTTTTTTTTTTTTTTTTTTTTTTTTTTGAGATGGAGTCTCGCTCTGCCACCTAGGCTGGAGTGCAGTGGCGTGATCTCGGCTCACTGCAAGCTCCGCCTCCCAGGTTCACGCCATTCTCCTGCCTCAGCCTCCCAAGTAGCGAGTATGTGGGATTACAGGCACCCATCACCATGCCTGGCTAATTTTTTGTATTTTTAGTAGAGACGGGGGTTCACTTTGTTAGCCAGGATAGTCTCAATCTCCTGACCTCGTGATCCACCTGCCTCGGCCTCCCAAAGTGCTGGGATTACAGGCGTGAGCCACCTGTAATATTTTTAATTGCTTGTTTCTTAACTGAGTGGTGGCAGAAGATGCCCCTTATAATGTTTGCTTAGCAAACATATATTATTTTATTTAAACCACTACAACAATTTTCACTCACTGATTCACCAAAAATTGGGTAAACAATTGTCTTTGTCTTTATTAATATTTCTTAAATGTATGTACGGTATGGTTTGGCTGTGTCCCCACCCGAATCTCAACTTGAATTGTATCTCCCAGAATCCCTGCATGTTGTGGGAGGTACCCAGGGGGACACAATTGAATCATATGGGTCCATCTTTCCCATGTTATTCTCATGATAGTGAGTATGTCTCACAACATCTGATGGGTTTATTGGGAGCTTTCACTTTTGCTTCCTCCTCACTTTCTCTTTCTGCCACCATGTAAGAAGTGCCTTTCACTTCCCACCATGATTCTGAGGCCTCCCCAGCCTTGTGGAGCTGTAAGTTCATTTTTTTTGTTCCCAGTCTTGTATATGTCTTTATCAGCAGTGTGAAAGTGGACTAATACAGTAAACTGGTACCAGTAGAGTGGGGCATTGCTGAAAAGATACCCAACAATGTGGAAGCAACTTTGGAACTGGGTAACAGGAAGAGGGTGAAACAGTTTGGAGGGTGAACTTCCTAGAGACTTGTTGAATGGCTTTGCCCAAAATGCTGATAGTGATATGGACAATAAAATCCGGGCTGAGGTGGTATCAGGTGGAGATGAGGAACTTGTTGGGAACTGAAGCAAAGGTGAGTCTTGTTATGTTTTAGCAAAGAGATTGGCAGCATTTTACCCCTGCCCTAGAGATTTATGGAAGTTTGAAGTTGAGAAAGATGATTTACAGTATCTGGCAGAAGAAATTTCTAAGCAGCAAAGCATTCGAGATGAGACTTGGGTACTGTTAAAGGCATTCAGTTTTAAAAGGGAAAAAGAGCATAAAAGTTCAGAAAATTTGCAGCCTGACAATGTGATAGAAAAGAAAATCCCATTTTCTGGGAGAAAGTCAAGCCAGCTGCAGAAATTTGCATAAATAGCAAGTTGCCTAATGTTAATCCCCAAGACCATGGGGAAAAATATCTCTAGGCCATGTCAGAGACCTTCATGACAGCATCCCCCATCACAGGCCTGGAGGCCCAGGAGGAAAAAGTGGTTTCTTGGGCCAGGCCTAGGGTCCACATGCTGTGTGCAGCCTAGGAACTTGATGCCCTGTGTTTCAGCTGCTCCAGCCATGACTAAAAAAGGCCAATGTAGAGCTTGGGCTATGACTTCAGAGGGTGGAAGCCCCAATCCTTGGCAGCTTCCAAGTGGTGTTAAGCCTGCAGGTGCACAGAAGTCAAGAATTGAGGTTTGGGAACCTTCCCCTAGATTTCACAAGATGTATGAAAATGACTGCATGCCCAGGTAAAAGTTTGCTGCAGGGGTGGGGCTTACATGGAGAATAGGATATTTTGTTTGCTTATGTACCCCAAATGCCTAGAACAATACCTGGATTGTCATAGATACTAAATACATATTTATGATTGAGTGGATGGATGTCAGGTGAGATCTACCTCATGGCATAGGAGTCTCCCAAACACATAAAGGTTGATCAGATTTAGGGAAGCCAAAATTTTGACAAATACAAACAGTGGTAGTATTAATAGTGGAAGTAATTATGTTATACAAATAATAATCATTGGTTTGCCCAGATACCATTGTATTAAAGGTTTCTGCATCTGCTCTCTTACATAGCCTATAGGTATTTCCACAGAAACATGTCCAGGAAATTAAATGTAATTTAATTATCTTAACATTATGTTGAGGAAGAATATATTTTCTTTCTTTTTTATTATTTGTCAAAATTTGTGTGACAGAAAAGAGCTGCTTGGTTGGTATGAAATACAAGTATTGCATAATCCTTCCATGGATCATTAAGGGATAATTATACCTACTGGAAGGAAGCACAGGTGGTAGCTTTCTTCCACAGTAGTGTACCATTTCATTTTAATAAGCAATTGGCATCTGCCTCTGCCAGGTTCTATTCCATACTCAATGACAATAAGAAATGCAAAAGCATTGGCACCGTTTTATATTCCACAATAGAAAAATAATAATCTTGTCATTTATTTTGAAGATATATCTAAGTTTGTTCCATGCTCTTTCTTTTATGTCTTATTTTCTGTCATAGGGTCATTGTTAATAAATTGTTAGTAATAATAAACATCCAATTGGATGCTAACATATTACAACATAATGATAATAAAAAATGTAACATATTTCACTTTATAGGATGATATTCTAATTCCAGCTGGTGATAAGAAACAATAGCCAATGTATCAACTGTGATTATTTCAACCCTTAGTATAACCCTAGGAAACTTGAATTTGCATTTACTCTATCAGAGAGGTGAACTGTGATTTTCTTTGACCAGATTTTGTCATTGAAAACTCAGATGGGTTTAGTGATGAACAAAAAAGCAATCTTAATGCGTAAAACATAGCTTCAGGCCGGGCGTGTTGGCTCATGCCTGTAATCCCAGCACTTTGGGAGGCCGAGGCGGATGGATCACTTGAAGTCCGAAGTTCAAAACCAGCGTGGATAACATGGTAAAACCCCATCTCTACTAAAAATACAAAACAATTAGCCAGGCATGGTGGCAGATGCCTGTAATCCCAGCTACTTGGGAAGCTGAGGCAGGAGAACTGCTTGAACCCAGGAGGTGGAGATTGCAGTGAGCCAAGATCGTGCCGCTGCACTCCAACCTGGGTAACAGAGCAAGAATTTGTCTCAAAAAACAAAACAAAACAAAACAAAACATAGCTTTCATCTGTATGGCAATAAAACAGCTTAACAAGTCCTGGACTTAACATGTTGTAAAAATGTTCTCCTGGGTCAATTTGCTACCTCATATCCTAGGTATAAATGATTCTTCTCCTGACAAAGCTGACAATAGGGCTCAGTAAGGAATTTGCTAAGATGCTCATTTATATAGCATTAAAGATTATTTAGTACAAAGAAGGAAAACATGAACAAATAGAAGCTGAATTAAATTGTGGATAGACAGGCTAAACAAGAAATCAACTTAAAGGGACCAACTAGAGAAGAAGAATAGTAGAAAAATACATACTGAGGAATACCTAGGAGAGCAAAATCTTGAAGGAGATAATGCAAAAAAGAGCAAGGGGAAATCCTTGTGTCTATGAGAAGATACTGAAGTTACATTCTATTGGGCTCCTGGGACCTCAGGCACTGGAGAGAGGAAGGAAGTCTTTGAAGGTGCTACTCCAGTGATCTTTCTATAGTAATGACTCCAACTTAATACATGCCAAAATATATTTATGAAGCACCTTATATGTGTAGAGTGTTGCATTAAATTTCATTGTTTGTGTCCCCTACTGTATTAGTATGTTCTCATGCTGCTAATATATATACACCTGAGACTGGGTGATTTATAAAGGAAAGAGATTTAATTGACTCACAGTTCAGCATGGCGGGAGAAGCCTCAGGAAACTTACAATCATGGCAGAAGGGAAAGCTAACAAGTCCTTCTTCACATGGCAGCAGGAAGGAGAAGAATAAGCAAAAGGGAAAAAAGCCCCTTATAAAACCATCAGATCTCATGATAACTCACTATCATGAAAATGTCATGAGGGTAATCGCCCCCATGATTCAATTACCTCCCACTGGTTCCCTCCTATGACAAGTGGGAATTATGGGAACTAAAATTCAGGATGAGATTTGGGTGGGGACACAGCCAAACCATATAACCTACAGGTGATTGGTAAAAGCAACCAAGAGCCCTGTGTTGAAAAGGATTCTGATAGTATATATCTGGTATCAGTAGAAACAACTGTTGCAATGTCTGTCATGCCTCCCTTACAGAGATTTAGATGAGGAGTAAATAAGGTAGCCCACGTAAAAGTTCAGCATAAGAACTTGCACAGAGTAAACTTTGAATTAGATGCCCTTCAGTAGAAAGTATTATAAAACCCAAATGAAGCATATTTCAAAAATAAGGAAAATTGTCTGGCTCCTTAACTGAGAGGTCCAGAGTCTGGAAATGCTTCAGTCACAATGTGATCCACAGCTTCCTCATGTCATCAGTAGTCCAATTCCTCTGTGATTATCTCAGCTTTGCTCTCCTACCTGGGCCATATTCTTCCTCAGACTGGCTTTCCTCCTGGTAGAAAACCGGCTCTAGTAGGTCTGGACCTCACATCCACATCTCAAATGCTGAACTCCACTAGCTCACACTGGAGTCAGCTTCTCTATAACAAATAGTGAATAGATGGTGGGGCTTCAACTACCAATATTCAGTACATAAACACTCAATAAAGTAAACCCTTATTAATGTTGTTAGCAGAATGGATGACTAGTAGCTTTTTTGCTACATATTTGCAAAATCCTGTTTCTTTTCATTTAGTATTGTATTTACCAACTTATATTTTAATAAAATAGTCAAAACTGGTTATAGAATACATTAACTGATCAGTGAGTTCAGATAGCAATGTTGATTGCTTTGCAAACATCTAGTCTTGGATAACTCAATGTTGTTTGTCAAATGCAATCTAAATCTAAAATTAATCAAAGCCAGCTACTGGCTTCCTAACCACATTCTTGATCTTGTTAGGGAAAGGATTTAGAATTTGTGTGCCATCTATCCGCCCTGATTTTACTATTTTTCTGGCCATAATATATGATGATGCCTCATTTCATAGAGTATTCTTCTCTTCCCTGGCCCTAAGTCTAGATGTGATTCATGTCAAATCTAGGACTAGTAGAGAGCCTACATGTAGTTGTCATTATCATGCAAATTCTTCACTTATCTAGTGAGCACCCACTGTGTACCATGTATTTTTTTTACATCCAAAATACTCTGAGATACTCACCACAATGTGATAAATGCTATAATAAAGATATAACTGAGGTCCTTAGTGAGTATAGGAGAAATAACTTTCTGACAGACATAGCAACTAATGGTACAAAGTAAAGAGCCCAGAAATAAACCCAAGCATATATGGCATATTAATCTTTGAAAAGGGCACCAGGAAGACACAATGTGGAAAGAATATTCTCTTCAACCAATAGTACAGAAAAACTAAATGTTCACATGCAAAAGAATGTAATAGGACACCTATCTTATGCCATACATAAAAATCAACCCATAATCGATAAAAAGTTTATGTATAACACCTAAAACTGTAAAACTTCTTGAAGAAAACGTAGGGGAAAAGTTCAAGGCATTAGTCTTGGCAATGATTTTATGGATACATCACAAGAAGCACAGGCAACAGAAGCAAAAACAGACAATTGGGACTACATCAAGCTAAAAAGCTTCCGCACCACAAAGTTAACAAACAACAGAGTGAAAAAGGCAGCACAGTCCGGGCACGGTAGCTCACACTTGTAATCCCCACACTTTAGGAGGCCGAGGCGAGTGGATCATTTGAGGTTAGGAGTTCAAGACCAGCCTGACCAACATCGTGAAACCCTGTCTTGACTATAATCCAACAATTAGCCGGACCTGGTGGCAGGTGCCTGTAATCCCAGCTGCCCGGGAGGCTGAGGCAGGAGATTTGCTTGAACCCAGGAGGCAGAGGTTGCAGTGAGCCAAGATCACACCACTGCACTCCAGCCTGGGTGACAGAGTGAGACTCTGTCTTAAAAAAGAAAAAGAAAAAAGGCAGCACAGAATGGGAAAAAAATATTTTCAAACCTTATATCTGATAAAGGATTGATATCTAAAATATATATCTTCTTTAACTCCATAGGAAAAATAAATAAAATAAATAATGGTATTAAAAATTAGCAAAAGATTTAAATAAATATTTCTCCAAAGAAGACGTACAAATGGCCGAGAGATACATGAAAAGGTGCTTAATATCACTAACTATCTAGGAAATGGAAATAAAAGCCACAATGATATTACCTCCTAGTCATTAGGATCATTGTCAAAAAAATAAAGGATGACAAGTGTTGCCAAGGGTGTGGAAAAGTTGGAAACCTTGCACACTGTTAATGGGAATTTAATTTGGCACAGCAATGATGGAAAACAATATGAATGTTCCTCAAGAAATTATAAATGAAACTACCCTATGATTCAGCAATCTCACCTCTACATATTTATTCAAAACAATTAAAATCAGGATCTCAGAGACAAGAAGAAAGACCATCGGGAATACGAAATCATGCTCACCTTACTCTCTTCACCTTTGATTACTGTTCAAGGAAAGGAATAGTTTGCTTTTGATTTATAATTAAGGGGAAATAGACAGCAAAAAAATGCAACTCCTTCATGAGTCTACTTCCCTTAAAGGGAAAGATTAAGGATAATATATTTCTATTTCATCATTTTATAGATGGTGAAACTGAAGTTCATGTTTTCAACTTTATCTCCAACGCAATTATCTTTCCATGGTAAGTACCCCAACTTAATACCCTTTAACACATATTTATTATGCACCCTATATATACAGAGTGCTGCATTAGACCCAGGGCTTTTAGAGAGCTTATCATAAAATGCCTGTTTTCTCTCTCTGTCTTTCCAACACCTAGTACAATATCTAATGCAAAGTGATACATTTTTTCAAAATGGTGAATTGAGGTGTGAGGTATTTGCACAGCTAACTATATGTGAAGACAATTTGTCAAATGCACCAATACCTTTTCTTTTACTTATTGCGTCCTAACTAATACAAATGTAAGTTTCAAATCATCTCCTTTCGTCAAAGAATTTAATTGAGTTAGAACTAATTATCCAAAAACTGAAAGCTGTTGGAAAACATCTAAGAACACACTGAAAGAGAAGGAGTTAGTGTCAAGATGTAATTTGTCATCTTGGGCTAGTATGGGAAAAGATGCATTACAAATGAGCTCAAAACCTTTGAAAAACATACAGATGCCATAAAAAGGAAGGACAAGGAAAATGTTCTATAACACACCTCTTATATGTTAAGTACACATCTCATGGTGTTAATGTTTTATTTTGCTGGCCTAGCTGATTACCTCATTAAAAATTGTAAATGTTATAGTTTAAAGATGAAGAGAGAAAGTAATATCAAAAGTATAAAGACATCGAAGAGCTGTTGTTTGAGTGCCTTCATTGCTCTCCAATATGCTGTTACAGTCTCAGTGGAGGTCAATGAGGCTTCCATTATCATCGACTTAAGTGGCCAAAATCACTCTTTCAAACCCATTATTAACTCTAATGTCAAAGAGTCTTTAATGTGCACATCTTCATAGCTGAGACACCTCACAACCAAACTTCTGTGTTGGTTTTTGACTACAGTTTTTCCATTGTGTCAAGTCAGACAAGTACAATTCTAGCAGCTTTCCAATGTCAACTAGCAGTCATCTCGGACCTCTCTCACATTATCTAGCAAATTCTTTAGCTATGCAAGTGGAATCTCCATCTGAGATACCTGTGCTTGTGTGTATATGTATATGTATGTGTGCTTGCATGAGATATTTTATTTTGCAATGAATTTTACAGTAAGTTATATATAGTATCTACAAAATTGCAATATGGCCGAAATGGCTTGGAATTGAACACAGTATTAACATTTTTGCTATAAGCAAATGTAATCAAATCAGCAGGAGATTTCCAATGTTATTTATTCTAAGGAAGCAGTCTTAATTGTTTTTAAACCATTAAATCTTTTCCTCCAAAGAGATTATGGAACACAAATATACTGACTGGATAAAAGTGGAGACCATCTAGCCTGAACCATTTACATATGAGGAAACTAAGTCCCAAAGAAAGGATGAAATTTATTGAATTTTGCACAGCTAATAAGTGATAAAGCCAGCTCTTAAAGCCAGTCCATCACATTATAACATGTAAGTTTTAATCCCACTTCTACCACCAGCTGTGTATGACTTGGGCAAGTCATTTTAAACTCTTGAGTCTCAGTTTTCTTCATTTGCAAAATGAGGATAATAAGGTGCCTATTTTATTATGCTCTTTTGCGAGGATTACATGAAGTGCTTTTTGTGAACATTCCTAGTAAATATAATGTATTATACAAGTATTTCTTATTACCACCATCACCATTTGCTGATACTCAGCACAGTGCTTTTTTCCACTATATATGTAGCTTTTGACTTTGTGTATTGCTATTGATATGATTTGGGTGTCCCCACCCAAATCTCATCCTGAATTGTAATCCTCATAATCCCCATAACCTTCACATGTAAAGGGAAAGAACAGGTGGAGGTAATTGAATCATGGAGGTGGTTTCCACCATGTTGTTTTTGTGATAATGAGTGAGTTCTCATGATATCTGATGGTTTTATAATTGGTTCTCCTCCTGTTTGCTCGGCACTTCTCTTTCCTGCTGCCTTGTGAACAAGGTGCCTTTCTTCCCCGTTGCCTTCTGCCATGATTGTAAGTTTCCTTAGGCATTCCCCAGCCATGCTGAACTGTGAGTCAATTAAACCTCTTTTCTTTATAAATTACCCAGTCTCAGGTATGTCTTTTTCAGCAGTGTCATAATGGATTAATACAATAAATTGGTACTGAAGTAGTGAGGTGCTGCTGAAAAGATACCCAAAAATATGGAAGCAACTTTGGAACTGGGTAACAGACAGAGTTTGGAACAGTTTGGAGGGCTAAGAAGAAGACAGAAAAATGTGGAAAAGTTTGAAACTTCCTAGAGACTTGTTGAATGGGTTTGATGAAGATACTGATATTTATATGGACAATGAAGTCCAGGCTAAGGTTGGTTTAGTTAGAGATGAAGAACTTGTTGGGAACTGGAATAAAGGTGACTCTTGCTATCCTTTAGTAAAGAGACTGGAAGCTTTTTGTCCCCACCCTAGAGAACTGTGGAACTTTGAACTTGAGAGAGATGATTTAGGGTATATGGCAGAATAAATTTCTAAGCAGGAAAGCATTCAAGATGTGACTTGGGTGCTCTTAAAAGCATTCAGTTTTATATATTCACAAAGAGATGACTTGGAATGGGAACTTATGTTTAAAAGGGAAGCAGGGCATAAAAGTTTAGAAAACTTGCAGTCTGATGATGTGATATAAAAGAAAAACCCATTTTCTGAGGAGAAATTCAAACCAGCTGCAGAAATTTGCGTAAGTAACTAGCCAAATGTTAATCGCCAAGACAATGGAGAAAATGTCTCCAGGGCATGTCAGAGGTCTTCACGGCAGCCCCTTCCATAACAGGCCCAGAGGCCTAGGAGGAATAAATTGTTTCCTGGGCTGGGCCTAGGGCCTTTCTGCTTTGTGCAATTTAGAGATTTGGTGCCCTGCATCCCAGCCATGGCTAAAAGGGACCAACGTACAGCACAGGCTATTGCTTCAGTGGGTGCAAGCCCCAAGCCTTGGTGGCTTACATGTGGTGTTGGGCCTGTGAGTACACAGCAGTCAAGAACTGAGGTTTTGTAACTTCTGCCTAGATTTCAGGGGATGTATGGAAATGCCAGAATATCTAGGCAGAAGTTTGCTGCAGGGGTGAAGCCCTCATGGAGAACCTCTGCTAGGGCAATGCAGAAGAGAAATGTTGGGTTGGAGCCCCCACACAGAGTCCCCACTGGGGCACTGCCTAGTGGAGCTGTGAGAAGAGGGCCACCATTCTCCAGACCCCAGAATGGTATCAGTAGATCCACCGACAGCTTTTACCATGCACCTGGAAAAGCTGAAGACACTCAATGCCAGCCTATGAAAGCAGCTGGGAGGGGGGCTGTACCCTGCAAAGCCACAGGGTTGGAGCTTCCCAAGGGCATGGGAGCCCACCTTTTGCATCCGCAGAACCTTGATGTGGGACATGGAGTCAAAAAAGATCACTTTGAAGCTTTAAGGTTTGACTGCCCCACTGGATTTTGGACTTGCTTGGTGTCCATTTTTTGGACCAATTTCTTCCATTTGGAGTGGGTGTATCTACCCAATGCCTCTACCCCCATCGTATCCAGAAAATAACTAACTTGCTTTTGATTTTACAGGCTCATAGGTGGAAGGGACTTTCCTTATCCCAGATGAGACTTTGGATTTATACTTTTGGGTTAATGCTGGAATTAATTAAGACTTTGAGGGACTGTTGAGATGGCATAATTGGTTTTGAAATGTGTAAGGAACATGAGATTTGGGAGGGGCCTGGGGCCTGGCTGTGTCAGATTCCGGAATAATGAAAATAATAGACAAGTACCTTTCTGCATGATCTGAAGCTTTGGATTGATTTATGAAAGTATTTCTTAGACTTACGACGGGAATGATTTACCCGAGTAGTTTTTCCATTTTAATTCACCAAAGTCATATATTCTTGAGTTGTACTTAAGGAATCAAATTCTTCTGTGATTAAAAGATGCAACAACTTATAAGTTTACATAATTTTGCTAGAAACTCATGCATTTAAAAGCCTTCCATTTATTGAACTGTTTCTAGAAAGAAATTTAAATATATATTTCTATATACATATGCATACATACATAATAATATGCCCAATACTATGCTGTGTTTTACCTTACAGATATATAGATAGGTAGATAGATTCATTGAGATTGATTTTAAAAAATATGAAATATATAATTGCCTTAAAATTATTATGAGTCTAGTAGTTCAGTACCGGGCGTTACAATTTGAGTTATGCTAAACAAAGTGTAAGCCTTATATAAAGAAATCGAGTATCAGGGTCTGGATCTGTCTGGATCCTAACCCTATATTTTTCAGATTAGCAAAGTAACTTGCTTACCATTTCCCTAAAGTCTTTTTTCAGTTTATACATCTGGGGCTTGTATTGGTCACACCCTGGAGACTAGTTTAAGGTCTAGTAGACTACATTTCCCTAACCTGAAAATTTTCCCACTTTTATTAGTATGTGCCCATGTAAAAAATAAAAATTAAAAAAAAGATAAGAAGACAGAAAACTGAAACATAAATTTTAGTAAATCTCAGTACCAAAGATAACCATTTATTAAAATAATAATTCAGCCAGGTGCGATGGCTCATGCCTGTAATCCCAGCACTTTGGAAGGCTGAGGCGGGCAGATCACCTGAGGTCTGGTGTTCAAGACCAGCCTGACCAACATGGTGCTACCTTGTCTCTAATAAAAATACAAAATTAGCTGGGCGTGATGGCACATGCCTCTAATCCCAGCTACTTGGAGGCTGAGGCAGGAGAATCACTTGAACCCAGGAGGTGGAAGTTGCAGTGAACTGAGATCGCACCATTGCACTCCAGCCTGGGCAACAAGAGCGAAACTCCATCTCCAACATAATAATAATAATACTAGTGCATAAACATCCCAATATTTAACACACACATTCTATGTAAATGTATTCCATATATACTCATATATACATCAAGGAAAAACTTCAGCCCATATTCAGAGTTTTAGAGGATTTTGTTTTTAATTTTTAAGAATGATGTTGTGGTGAACACATTTGTAACTATGCCTCATCATGAATATTCTATTAAGTAATTAGTATCAATTCAAAACAAGTTAGTAAGTTAAAACTAACTATGTTTGAAATGCTATTGAGAGAAGTTAAACAGCTTCTTGCAGCAATGCATCTCACAATATTTGGAATGGCTCTTCAATAAAAAGAGCAACATACAACGAAAGCATTTGATCATGATGCAAAACTTTGGAGATGTTCACTCTAACCTACTGCTGTCACCTTCACCATTTTTTTTTAATTTTTATAGTTAATTTTTCTTTAACTTTTATTTAAATTCAAGGGTACATGTGCAGGTTTGTTATATAGGTAAACTTGTGTCGTGGGGGTTTGTTGTATAGACCATTTCATCACCCAGTTATTAAGCCTAGTACCCATTAGTTATTTTTCTTGATCTGTTTCCTCCTCCCAACCTCTACCCTCAAATTGGCCCTACTGTGTGTTGTTCCCTTCTATATGTCCATGTGCTCTCATCATTTAGCTCCCACTTATAAGTGAGAGCATGGGGTATTTGGTTTTCTGTCCCTGCATTATTTTACGAAGGATAATGACCTCCAGCTCCATCCATATTCCTCCAAAGGACATTATCTCATTATCTTTTATGGCTGCATAGTACTTCATGGTGTATTTGTACCACATTTTTTTTTATCTAGTAAACTATTGATGGGCATTTAGGCTGTTTCTACGTCCTTACAACTGTGAATAATGCTGCATTGAACATACACATGCATGTATCTTTATAATAGAACAAAAATATTCCTGTAGGTATATATCCAGTAATGGGATTCCTAGCTAGAATGGTATTTCTGTGTTTAGGTTTTGAGCAATTACCACTCTGCTTTCCACAATGGTTGACTAATTTACACTCTCACCAATAGTGTATAAGGGTTCCCTTTTCTCCACAACCTCACCAACATCTGTATTTTTTTTTTTTTACTTTTTAATAATAGCCATTCTCACTGGCATGAGATGGTATCTCATTGTGGTTTTGATTTTCATTTCTCTAATGGTCAGTGATGTTGAGCTTATTTTCACTTGTTTGTTGGCCACATGTGTGTCTTCTTTTGAGGAGCGTATTAGTTTGTTTTCACACTGCTGATAAAGACATACCTGAAACTGGGAACATAAAAGAGGTTTAGAACTTACAGTTCCGCATTGCTGGGGAGGCTTCACTATTATGATGGGAAGTGAAAGGCACTTCTTACATGGCAGTGGCAAGAGAAAAATGAGAAAGAAGCAAACGCAGAAACTCCAGATAAAACCATCAGATCTCATGAGACTTATTCATTATCCTGAGAAAAGCACGGGAAAGACTGACCCTTATGACTCAATTACCTCCTCCTGGGTCCCTTCCACAACATGGGGGAATTCTGGGAGATAAAATTCAAGCTGAGATTTGGGGGAGGTATGAGCCAAACCATATCATTCTGCCCCTGGTCCCTCCAAATCTCATGACCTCACATTTTAAAACCAATCATGCCTTCCTAACAGTTCCCCAAAGTCCTCATTTCAGCATTAATCCAAAAATCCACAGTTTAAAGTCTGATCTGAGACAAGGCAAGTCTCTGCTGCCTTGAGCCTGTAAAATCAACGGCAGGTGAGTTACTTCCTAGATACAATGAGGGTACAGGTATTGGGTAAATACAGGTTCCAAATTGGAGAAATTGGCCAAAACAAAGGGGTTAGAGGGCCCATGCAAGTTTCAAATCCAGGAGGGCAGTCAAATTTTAAAGCTCCAAAATGATTTTCTTTGACTCCACATTTGACATCCAGGTCACGCTGATGCAAGATGTGGGCTCTCATGGTCTTGGGCAGCTCTGCCTCTGTGGCTTTGCAGGGTACAGCCTCCCTTCTGGCTGCTTTCATGGGCTGGCATTGAGTGTCTGTGGCTTTTCCAGGTTCATGGGGCAAGCTGTGGGTGGAGCTACCATTCTGGGGTCTGGAGGATGGTGGCCCTTTTCTCACAACTGCACTAGGCCGTGCCCCAGTAGGAACTCTGTGTGGGGGCTCTGACCCCACATTTTCCTTCCTCACTGCCTTAGCAGAGGTTTTCCATGAGGACTCTGCCCTTGCAGCAAACTTCTGCCTGGGCTTCCAGGCATTTCCAAACATCTTCTGAAATCTAGGCGGAGGCTCCCAAACCTCAATTCTTCTGTGCACCCGCAGGCTCAACACCACATGGAACGTGCAAGGCCTGGGGCTTCCACCCTCTGAAGCCACAACCCAAGCTCTACATTGGCCCCTTTCAGCCACAGCTGAAGCAGCTGGGACATAAGGCACCAAGTCCCTAGGCTGCACACAGCACGGGGACCCTGGGCCCACCCCATCAAACAACTTTTTCCTCCTGGCCTCTGGGACTGTGATGGGAGGGGTTGCTGTGAAGGTCCCTGACATGGCCTGGAGACATTTTCCCCACGATCTTGAGGATTAATTTTAGGCTCCTTGCTATTTATGCAAATTTCTGCAGCCAGATTGAGTTCCTCCTCAGAAAAATGGGTTTTTATTTTCTGCTACATCGTCAGGCTGTGAATTTTCTGAACTTTTATGCTCTGTTTGCTTTTTAAAATGGAATGCTTTTAGCAGTACCCAAGTCACCTTTTGAATGCTTTGCTGCTTAGAAATTTCTCCTACCAGATACCATAAGTCATCTCTCTCAAGTTCAAAGTTCCACAAATCTCTACAGCAGGGGCAAAATGCCGCTAGTCTCTTTGCTGAAACACAACAAGAGTCACCTTTGCTCCAGTTCCCAACAAGTTTCTCATTTCCATCTGAGACCACCTCAGCCTGGACCTTTTTGTTCATATCACAAAACATTTTTGTCACAGCCATTCAACAAGTCTCTAGGAAGTTCCAAACTTTCCCATATTTTCCTGTCTTCTTTTGAGCCCTCCAAACTGTTCCAACCCCTGCCTGTTACCCAGTTTCAAAGTCTCTTCCACATTTTTGGGTATATTTTCAGCAACACCCCACTCTACTGGTACCAATTCACTGTATTAGTTCATTTTCATGCTGCTGATAAAGACATACCAGAAACTAGGAACAAAAAGAGGTCTAATTGGACTTACAGTTCCACGTGGCTGGGGAGGCCTCAGAATCATGATGGGAGGCAAAAGGCACTACTTACATGTTGGTGGCAAGAGAAAAATGAGGAAGAGGCGAAAGCAGAAACCCCTGATAAACCCACCAGATCTCATGAGACTTACTCACTATCACGAGAATAGCGCAGGAAAGACTGGCCCCCTTGATTCAATTACCTCTCCCTGAATCCCTTGCACAACACGTGGGAATTCTGGGAGATACAAATCAAGTTGAGTTTTGGGTGAGGACACACCCAAACCATATCAAGAAGTGTCTTTTCATGTCCTTTGCCCACTTTTTAATGGGGTTGTTGTCTTATTTTCTTGTAAATTTGTTTAAGTTACTTGCAGACTCTGGATATTAGACCTTTTTCAGATGGATAGCTTGGAAAAGTTTTCTCCTGTTATGCAGGATGCCTGTTCTCTCTGATAATAGTTTCTTTTGCTGTACAGAACTTGTTTAGTTTAATTAGATCCCATTTGTCAATTTCTGCTTTTGTTGCAATTGCTTTTAGCATCTGTGTCATGAAATTTTTGCCCGTGTCTTTGTCCTAAGTGGTATTGCCTAGGATGTCTGCCAGGATTTTTATAGTTTTGGGTTTTACATTTAAATCTTTAATCCACCTTGATTTAATTTTAGCATATGGTGTTAGGAAGAGGTTCACTTTCAATCTTCTGCATATGGCTAGTTGGTTATCTCAGCAACATTTATTAAATAGGGAATCCTTTTCCCATTGCATGTTTTTGTCAGGTTTGTCTAAGATCAGATATTTTTAGGTGTGCAGTCTTATGGGTTTGCTATTCTGTTCCATTGGTCTATGTGTCTGTTTTTGTACCAGTACCATGTTGTTTTGGTTATTGTAGCCCTGTTGTACCGTTTGAAGTCAGGTAGCGTGATGCCTCCAGCTTTGTTTTTGTTTGTTTGTTTGTTTGTTTTTGTTTTTTATTATGCTTACTTCCTTGGCCATTGAAGCTCATTTTGATTCCATGTGAATTTTAAAATGGTCTTTTTCTGGCTCTATGAAGAATGTCAATGGTACTGTAATAGGCATAGCATTGAATCTATAAATTGCTTATGGCAGTATGGTCATTTTAACAATATTAATTCTTCCTATCCATGAGCATAGAATGTTTTTTCCATTTGTTTCTGTCATCTCTGATTTATTTGCGCAGTGGTTTGTAGTTCTCCTTGCAGACATCTTTCACTTCCCTAGTTAGCTGTTTTCCTAGTTATCTTATTGTTTTTGTGGCAATTGTGAATGGGAGTACATTTCTTATTTGGCTCTTGGCTTGACTGTTGTTGGTGTATGGGAACGGTAGTGATTTTTACACATTAATTTTGTGTTCTGTGACTTTGATGAAGTTGTTTATCAGCTTAAGAAGCTTTTGGGCTAAGTCTGTGGGGTTTTCTAGATATAGAAGCATGTCATCTGCAAATAGAGAAAATTTTACTTGCTCTTTACCAATTTACATGCCCTTTATTTCTTCCTCTTGCCTGATTACCCTGGTCAGGACATTGAATACTATGTTGAGTACTAGTGGTGAGAGAGGGCATCCTTGTCATGTCCCGATTTTCAAGGGGAATGCTTCCAGCATTTGTCCATTCGGTATGATGTTGGCTATGTGATTTGCATAGATGGTTCTTATTATTTTGAGGTATGTTCCTTCAGTAACTAATTTATTGATAATTTTTAACAGAAACAGATGTTGAATTTTATATGAAGCCTGTTTTGTATCTATTGAGATAATCATGTGGTTTTTGTCTTTAGTTAATTTTATGTATTGAATTACATTTAATAATTTGTGTATGTTGATCCAACTTTGCATCCCAGGGATAAAGTCTACTTGATCTTGATGGATAAGCTTTTTGATGTGCTTCTAGATTTGGTTTGCCAGTATTTTTTGAGGATAATTGCATTAATGCTCATCAAGAATGTTGGCCTGAAATTTCTTTTATTTTCTTCTATCTCTGTCAGGTTTTCATGTCAGGATGATGCTGGTCTCATAGAATGAGTTAGGGAAGGAGCCCCTTCTCCTCAAGTTTTTGGAAGAGTTTCAGTAGAAATGGTACCAGCTCTTCTTTGTACATCTGGTAGAATTCAGCTGTGAATCTGCCTGGTCCTGGCCTTTTATTTTGTTGCTAAGCTATTTATTACTCCTTCCATTTCCCACCTTGCTATTGCTCAATTCAAAGATTCAGTTTCTTCCCAGTTCAGTCTTGGGAAGGTGTATGTGCCCAGAAATGTATCCATTTGTTCTAGATTTTCTAGTTTATGTGCAAAGAGGTGTTCATAATATTATCTGATCGTGGTTTGTATTTCTGTGCAGTCAGTGGTAATATCCCCCTTGTCATTTCTGATTGTGATTATTTGAATCTTCTCTCTTTTCTTCTTTATTAATCTAGCTAGCAGTCTATCTAGCTTATTACTTTTTTTTCAAAAATCCAGGTGCCGGATTCATGGATCTTTTGAAAAGTTTATCGTGGCTCTGTCTTCTTCAGCTCAGCTGTGATTTTGGTTGTTGCTTATTTTCTGCCAGCCCTGGGATTTGTTTGCCTTTGATTCTCTAGTTCTTTTAGTTGTAATGTTAGATTGTTAAATTAAGATTTTTCTAACTTTCTGATGTGGGCATTTAGTGCTATAAATTTCCCTCTTAACACTGCCTTAGCTGTGTCCCAGAGATTCTGGTATGTTCTGTCTTTGTTCTCATTAGTTTCAACAAAATTCTTCATATCTGCCTTAGTTTCATTATTTACCCAAAACTCATTTAGGTACAGCTGTTCAATTGCCGTGTAATTGTATGGTTTTGAGTGAATTTCTTAGTATTGATTTCTAATTCGATTGCACTGCCATCTGTATGAGTGGTTGTCATGATCTCAGTTGTTTTGCATTTGCTGAGGTGTGTTTTACTTCTGATTATGTGATCAATTTTGGAGCATGTGCTATGTGGAAATGAAATGAATGTATATTCTGTGGTTTTTGGGTGGAAATTTCTGAATTTCTGCGATAGATATCAGGTTCTTTAGACCCACTGCCGAGTTCAGGTCCTGAATATCTTTGTTACTTTTCTGTCTCAATTATCAGTCTAATATTGTTAGTGGTATATAAAAGTCTCCCACTATTATAGTGTGGAAGTCTAAGTCTCTTTGAAGGTCTCTAAGAACTTGTTTTATGAATCTAGTTGTTCCTGTTTTGGGTGCATATATATTTAGGATAGTTAGATCCTTTTGTCGAATTGAACCCTTTACCATTATGTAATGTCCTTCTTTGTTTGTCTTTTTTGATCTTTGTTGATTTAAAGTCTGTTTTGTTAGAAACTAGGATTGCAACCCTGATTTTCTTCTGTTTTCCACTTTCTTGGTGAATTTTTCTCCATCTCTTTATTTTGATCATGCATGTATCATTGCATGTGAGATGGTCTCTTAAAGATAACATACCAATTGGTCTTGGTTCTTTATTGAGCTTGCCACTCTGTGTGTGTGTGTGTGTGTGTGTGTGTGTGTGTGTGTGTGTGTGGCATTTAGCCATTTACATTTAAGCTTAGTATTGATGTGTATGGATTTCATCCTGTTATCATGATGTTAGCTGGTTATTTTGCAGACTTATTTATGTGGTTAATTTATAGTTTCACTGGTCTGAGTACCTCAGTGTGTTTTTGTAGTGGCTTGTAACAGTCCCTACTTTCCATATTTAGTGCTTCTTTTAGAAGCTCTTGTACGGAAGGTCTGATGGTAACAAATTTCTTTAGCATTTGCTTGTCTGAAAAGATCTCATTTCTCCTTCACTTATAAAGCTTAGTTTGACCAGATATGAAATTCTAGATTTGAATTTTTTTTTTGAGTGTTGAATATTGACCTCCAATCTCTTCTGGTGCGTAGGGTTTCAGCTGAGAGATCTGTTGTTAGACTGATGGGCTTCCCTTTGTAGGTAACCTTACCTTTCTTTCTAGCTGCCTTTAATATTTTTTCTATCATTTCAACTTTAGAGAATTGTTACTGGTGGAAGGTCTTGACTAGGAGTCATCTAGGTTCTTGGCATTTTGAACAAATAATTGGACAAAATGCACAAACAAAGCAACAGAAAATGAAGCAATGAAAGCACAGATTTATTGAAATGAAAGTACACTCAGCAGAGTGAGAGTGGGCTCCAGCAAGCAGCCCAAGTGCGCTGGTTACAGAATTTTCTCAGGTTTAAATACGCTCTAGAGGTCTCCCATTAGTTACTTGGTTACACCTTGTATAAATAATGACTTGCTTGTGATCAGTCTGATTGGTTGCAGGAGGTGACCAATCAGAGGCTTAAGTGAAGTTACAAAGTTGCACATGAGGACTTGGCCCACGACCAGTCTAATTGTTTGCAGGAGGCGAGGAATCAGATGCTGAAGTGAAGTTACAAAGTTACACCCTATGCACATGAAGACTGGTTGCTGGAGGGAACAAATCAGAGGTACTTTTCATTTTTTATCTGTGATGCGGTACAAGATGCAGTGCAAAGATATTAGCCTGTGATTCTTTTGTTACTTCGGTGTGGAGAGGTGGGGTTTTCCTTTTGATTCAGTTCTAAGAAGTCAGTGTGAATTGGCCGTAGTTTCCCTGCCTCCAGACCCTATTCTCCTGCCTTAGAATCTGGTAAATATGTGCCTTGGGGATGATCTTCTTGCAAAGTATCATACTGGGGTTCTCTGCATTTCCTGAATTTGAACGTTGGCCTCTTTAGTGAGGTTGGGGAAGGTCTCATGGATTATATCCTGAAATATGTTTTTCAAGTTGGTGCCATTCTCCTAACCTCTTTCAGGAACACCAATCAGTCATAGATTCAATCTCTTTACATAATCTCATATTTCTCAGAAGTTTTGCTCATTCTTTTTTATTCTTTATATTCTATTATTATCTGCCTGTATTATTATCTAAAGGCAGTCTTCAAGCTCTGAGATTCGTTCCCCTGCTTAGTCTACTCTGCTATTACTACTTGTGATTGCATTATGAAATTCTTGTACTGTGATTTTCGGCTATATCAACTTGGTTACATTATTCTCTATACTGGCTATTTTTTTCTGCCATCTCCTAAAATATTTTATCAGGATTTTTAGCTTCCTTGCATTGGCATTTAAGGTACTCCTGCAGCTCAGTAAACTTCATTCCTATCAATATTTTGAATTCTATTTCTGTCATTTCAGCTATCTCAGCCTCAGCCCAGTTCCAAACCCTTCTTTGCTGGAGAGGTGATTTAGTCATTTGGAGCAAAGAAGGCACTCTAGCTTTTTGAGTTTTCAGCATTCTTGTGCTGATACTTTTTCATCTTTGTGGGCTTATCTACCTTCAGAGTTTGAGGTTGCTGACCTTTAGATTTTTTTTAATTTTACCCTATTTGATTACCTTGAGGTTTTGATCATGGTATAAGGTAGATTCAGCTGACTGGCTTCATTTCCTGGCGATTTCATCACCTTTTCCATTTTAGGTTTTAAATACTGAGTCAGACAACAGTAAATATACAAATACAAGCTAATAAAAAGTACTCTTGATATTTAGTTTCTAACAGCTCTCCAGGAATATTGCAATTTTATATTTTAATTAGTAGAGAATGAAAGTATCCTTTACTCACTCTCTACCAAACACTCGGTGTCATTGTTCATTTTATTGTTTGCCAGTATGATGGTTATTATTGTAATGTAACAATATTCTTGGCACATCATGAGCCCACTTGATCTAGAGTAAGCTCTAGATAATTAACTCTTGTAATTAATACAAGAGTTGAAGCTTGTATTAATTAGGAAAGTCTTTTCTGAGTTATGCCTTTGAAATTTTTAAATCTGTTTTCTTCCCCAGAGACACCAATTATAAATCATCTTTGTTTACTTTCCATATCTACCATTAGATAGGTATCATTAGATGTGAAAGAGATCCTTGCAAATGTGTGCCTTTTGGGAGTGGGCTGGCTACTCTGAAGAAGATAATGGTCAGCTGGCTCTGCCCAACAATAGCAGCAGCTATATGTGTTCTTTCCTGGCATTCTCTTTCATTCTAGTGTAAATTTTCCTATACTTCGTAGCCCTTTTAAATATATTTTGAGGTATGGTGCTATGCCAAAATAGTGCTTCCTTTATTTTACCAGAGATGAAGCTTTCTCCTTGTGGTGAGGTGGTTTTAAGATGAGGGGAAAATCTAACCTTGTTATGGCTGGAATTCTCACCTCAGTTACTAATTATCTATAAAATCCATGTTTGCTATAAATATCAAATAACATACAGACAAATTTTATTTTATTCTTTCAACCAAAGGTAAATATAAAGGGGTCAATGTTTCGATTAGAATTTAAAAATAAAAATGTACTAGACTCAAAAATGAAACACAAAAATCACCTTCTTAATGGAAAGCTGTACCGTTATGCTCTTTGCAATATGGAAACTTGACATTCTTGTCAAACTTATACTCATCTGCTTGTTATGAACACACTGTTCATTCTAAGCCATTTTGAGTTCTGTGGCATTACCAATTCTAAGCTTTGACAACTAGGATTTCTTGACATTTTGCTATTTCATTGTGAGGCAGGTCCACAAACAAAATTATAATTTTCCCATATAATAATTTTTATAATGAAAACAAAACATGCACATTAACAACATGGAGGGAAAACAAAAAAATCATTTATGTTAACTTTAATCTTATTTCTTAGTGAATTCTGAATGGTAGGACAGTGGGCATGAGATGTTTCCTCTATCAACCTCCCATTCCCACTATCCTAATACTCTCAATGAAGTATTACTTGGTCAAAACAATTTGTGATTTGAAATAAGATATATGTGAACTATAAAATAACAATTTTCTGTCAAATTGTCTTTTCAAATATATCTTGTCACTTGCTAGAGACTGATTATTTTTCAAAATTCCAGAACTCTTATCACCTTCCATTCACATTTGAGTTTAATACTTTTTTCATCTCCAGGATAAAATAAAATTAAAGACATACAAGAAAAAATAATAGTAGAAACCAGGTAACATATCTACTATTCAATAATTATCAAGCTTGTTTGACAGACAATGTTGAACTTACATCTAAATATTTGCTGAATATTTGTCATCTATATATTGTTAACTATTTTTCATTTCTATTCTAAGAAGAGATTTAGAATGTGTATATATTGCTCTTCCCACAAACATCTGCTTTTCTATATTCTAGCTTGACAGATCTTCTTGAAACTTCCTAATGTGCTATGCTTTTTCTTGATTCCCCGCTGCTTTGCTTGTGTATTTCCCTCTGCCGGAATGTTCATCCCACATATTTCACCTTATTGCATATTTCATCTCACTGACTGTTATTGATTCTTCTCAAGAGTCACATGCCACCTTCCTCAGAAAGCCAGTTATTATCCCCCTCACACAAGTTAGATTGCTGTACCTAGAACATACCTAAACATCACCCAATCACTATTCCACATAAACATATTTTTTCTGTCTCTATCTGTATTCCCCACTTGACTCTGAGCTCCTTGAGATTTCTTTATTCCTAGTACCTCAAGCCAAGTATAACACAGAGCAGGAGCTCAAAAAATATTTGGGAAATAAATGAATGACGAGCAGCTTTGGAAAGGACCATGTTCTTTGGTAACTACATAAGTTGCATTAAGTTGCTTTATTTCATATGCACATAACTCTGTAGGGTAAGCAGGACAGATATTATTATTCGCATTTTACAGATGGGGAAGATGGGGAAACTAATCCCAAGAGATCAAGTCAATTTGCTAATTTCATTATTTGGCCATTATTTCTTTATTCATTCTCTCTCTCTCTCTCTCTCTCTCTCTCTCTCTCTCTCTCTCCATCTTATTCTTCCCTCTAACATTTTATTTTAAAATACTCATAGATATTGGGGGGTTACTTATATAAGTGAGCTATAGCTTATAGTTTTCAGTGAAAGTCATAGCTTTATAAACAGATAATTGCAAAAGTATAGCTATATGCAAAATATGCTGGGGTATTGATGGGAGGAAGGACACTGTTAGTTCAGCTTCTCTGAGAAGCAGAGGGCAAGATGTGATCAGACACGTGAGGTGATATAGTGTGGAAATGCCTATGGAAAAAAAGTAGATGGAAATGTAGAAACTTTGGAAGGAGCCATCAGACTCTGATGTAGGTCAAATCCCTTTGAAGAAGAGAGAAAAGGAAGGAGATTTGGATAGATCCAGTTTCAGGCCACAGAGCAATTATAAAAATATTTTGGTGAGACCAATGAGGAACTTATTGAGTGACCCAACATAAAATAAGTTGTATAAGTTGTAGGAATGGGCTGCCTTAGTATTCCTGTGATAGTCAGTCATTGAGAGCAGCCCATGGGAGGTGTGATGTCAGTGTGAATGGAGTGGTGGAATTAGGATTCAGCTGCTGAGGCCATCTGTCAATTATGCAACCTGGAACAGGAGATATAATTGCCACATTTTCATGCTACCACAGACAACTTCTCTGTCTGAGGAAGTCACAGGAAGAGCTGAAAGGCAAGGCAGGGCATGGGTTGAGTTCATCATATTCCATCCAGCCAGAGAAGGAGAAAAACTATGCTGTGTGTGTGTGTGTGTGTGTGTGTGTGTGTGTGTGTGTGTGTGTCTAGGTGGGGAGCGGAAGTAAGTAAAACAGATTTATTTTCACAGAAAAAATTACAAAATGTAACACTTTCAGATAATTTAGATAGTAATCCTTGTGAGTTGTTCAATTTACAATTGAATCACTGAAATGGTCAAATGACTTAAGTCAACATTTCTCAATGTTAATTCATTGAACACTAGATCTGCAGAGTTTTAGTATAGCTAGAAAAAGGTTCTTCCGTGGTCAAATAAGTTTTGGAAATCCTGAGTTAAAATAACTGCACATGGAACATGCATGTGTGTTTGTGTTTGTGTGTCCATGTGTGCATTTCCTTCAGAGACTTGGGAGTGTGTATTTGCATTCTGAATCTCCATCAAGAGGATTTAATTTCTTTTTATATTTTGGTGGTCTTTATTTTAAATTATTTTTTGTGGATATACAGTAAGTGTATATATTTATGGGGTACGTGAGATATTTTGATACATGCATGCAATAAGAAAGAAGCATGTCATGGGAAATGGGGTATCTATCCCCTCAAGCATTATCCTTTGAATGACAAATAATCAAATTACACTCCTTACATTATTTAAAAATTTACAATTATTACTTACTGTAGTCATCCTGTTATGCTATCAAACAGTAGGTCTTTTTCATTCTATTTTTTTTGTAACAATTTGCATTAGTCAGAGTTCTTCAGAGGGACAGAACTAATAGGATATATGTTTATATGAAAGGGAGTTTATTAAGGAGAATTGGCTCACACAATTACAAGGCGAAGTCCCACGATAGGCTGTCTTCAAGCTGAGGAAGAAAGAAGCCAGTAGTGGCTTATTTTGAGTCAAAAAGCCACAAAAGTAAGGAAGCCAACAGTGCAGCCTTCATTCTGTGGCCGAAGGCCTGAGAGACCCCAGCAAATCACTGGTGTAAGTCCAAGAGTCCAAAGGCCAAAGACACTGGAGTCCGATGCCCAAGGGGAGGAGAAACGGATAGAAGCATCCATCAAGGGATAAAGATGTAAACCAGAAGACTTAGCAAGCCAGAGTATCCGGCCTTCTTCGGCCTGCTTTGTTCAATCCATGCTGGCAGCTGATTGGATAGTGCCCACCCAGATTGAGGGTGGGTCTGCCTCTCCCAGTTCACTGACTCAAATGTTAATCTCCACTGGCAACATCCTCACAGACACACCCAGGAGCAATGCTTTACCAGCTATCTCGGCATCCTTCAATTTCATCAACTTTACACCTACTATTAACTGTCACACCGTTAACCATCCCTGCCTCCACACCAGCATTTCACCACACTTTCCAGCCTCTGGTAACCATCCTTCTACTCTCTATGTCCATGAGTTCAATTGTTTTGATTTTTAGATCCTACAAGTAAGTGAGAATATGTGATGTTCATCTTTCTGTGCTTGGCTTATTTCACTTAACATAATGTTCTTTAGTTCCATTCATGATGTTGCAAATGACTGGATCTCATTTTTTTCTCACTGAATAGTACTCCGTTATGTATATGTACCACATTTTCTTTATCCATTCGTCTGTTGATGGACTCTATGATTGCTTCCAAATTTAGCTATTGTAAACAGTGCTACACAAAACATAAGAGTGCAGATGCCTTTTTTCATATACTGATTTCCTTTCTTTTTTGTATATACTGAGCAGTGGTATTGCTGGATTATATGGTTGCTACGTTTTTAATTTTTTTGAGGAACCTCAAATTGTTCTCCATAGTAGCTGTGCTAATTTACATTCCCGCCAACAGTTTGGAGGGTTCCCTTTCCTCCACATCCTCACCAGCATTTGTTATTGCCTCTCTTTCGAATATAAGCTGTTTTAACTGGGATGAGATAATATCTCATTGTAGTTTGGATTTGCATTTCTCTGATGATCAATGATATTGACACCTTTTCCTATGCCTGTTTGCCATTGGGGTATGTCTTCATTTGAGAAATAACTACTCAAATCTTTTGCCCATTTTATGATCAAATTATTAGGCATTTTTAAATAGAGCTGTTTGAGTTTCTTTTATATTTTGGTTATTCATCCCTTGTCTTGTCAGGGGGGTAGTTTGCAAACAATTTCTCTGATTTATATGAGGTTGTATCTTTATGTTGTTGATTGTTTCCTTTGCTATGTGGAAGCTTTTTAACTTGATGTGTTCTTATTTCTGCTTTGGTTGCCTGTTCTTGTGGAGTATTGCTTAAGGAATGTTTGCCCAGACCAATGTCCTGGAGATTTTCCCAAAAGTTTTATTGTAGTTATTTTATAGTTTGTTGTCTTAGATTTAAGTATTTAATCTGTTTTGATTTTTTTTATGATGAGAGATAGGGGTCTAGTTTCATTCTTCTGCATATGGATATCTAGTATTCACATCACCATTTGTTGAAGAGTTTGTCTTTTTCTCAGTGTATGTTCTCGGTACCATTATCAAAAATGAGTTCACTGTCTGTAAATGTGTGGATTTGTTTCTGGGTTCTTCATTCTGTCCCAGTGGTCTGTGTATCTGTTTTTATGACAGTCTCAACCTCCAGGGCCCATGCATCTTCCCACCTCAGCCTTTCGAGTAGCCGGAACTACAGGCACACACCACTATGCAGGGCTAACTTTTTTTTTGTATTTTGTATAAAGGCAGGGTTGTGCCATGTTGCCCAGCCTGGTCTTGAAATCCTGAGCTCAAGAGATCCATCCACCTCAGCCTTCCAAACTGTGAGGTTTATAGGAGTGTGCCACCATGCCCGGCCAGTACCATGCTGTTTGGTTCCTATAGCTCTGTAGTATAATTTGAATTCAGATAATATGACTCCTCCAGTTTTGTTCTGTTTGCTTAGAATAGTTTTTGCTATTCTGCGTCTTTTTTTTTTTTTTTGGTTCTATATAAATTTTAGTGTTGTTTTTTCTATTTATGTGGATAATATCATTGTTGTTTTGATAGGGATTGCATTGACTCTGTAGATTGCTTTGGGCAGCTTGGACATTTTAACAATATTGACTTTTCCAATCCGTGAACAGAGAATGTTTTTCTATTTTTTGGTCTCCTCTTCAATTTATTTCATCAGTGTTTTACAGATTTCATTATAAGGCCCTTTCAATTATTTGGCTATTTTCTAGGTATTTAATTTTATGTAATTTTATGTGTCACAATTGTAAAAGGGATTACTTCTTAATTTTTTTTTCACATTGATCACTGTTGACATATATAAATGCTACTGGATTTTGTGTGTTGATTTTGTATCTTGCAACTTTACTGAATTTGTTTATGATTTGCAATCTTTTTTGGTGTATTATTTAGGTTTTTCCAAATATAAAAATATTTCATCTGCAAGCAAGAATAATTTGACTTAAATTTGTATGTCCTTTATATTTTTCTCTTGTCTGATTGCTCTAGCTAGGACTTCCAGTACTATGTTGAATAACAGTTGTAAAAGTGGGGATCTTTGATGTGTTCCAGATCTTAGAGAGCAGACTTTCAGTTTCCCCTATTCAGTACGATAGTGGCTGTGGGTTTGTCATATATGACTTTTACTCTGTTGAGGTATGTTCCTTCACTACCCAGTTTTTTGAGTGTTTTTCTCATGAAGGGATTTTGAATATTATCTAATGCTTTTACAGCATCAATTGATACAATTATATCATTTTTATCCTTAATTGTTTTTATATGATGCATCACATGGATTGATTTGTGTATGTTGAACTATCCTCGCATCACAGTAATAACTTCCCATTGGTCATGATAAATGATCTTTCTAATGCATTGTTGAAATTGGTTTGCTAGTATTGCATTGAGAATATTTGCATCAATATTCATCAGAGATGTTGGCCAGTAGTGATTTTTCTTTTTCTTTTCTTTTTTTTATTTTGTGATGTGTCTTTGGTTTTGGTATCAGTGTTATACTGGCCTCATAGGACGGGTTTGGAAGTAGTCCTTCATCCTCTGTTTTTTGGAATAGTTTGAGTAGGGTTGATATTCGTTCTTTAAGTGCTAGTAGAATTAAGCCAGGCTTTATTTACTGGGAGACTTTTTATTATGGCTTTGATCTTATTAGTTGTTATTGGTCTGTTCAGGTTTTGCATTTCTTCGCGATTCAATCTTGGTAGGTTGTATGTGTCTAGGAATTTATTTATTTTCCCTATATTTTTCAGTTCACTAGCATATAGTTGCTCATTGTAGCCACTAACGATCCTTTGAAATTCTGCAGTATCATTTTTCATTACTGATTTCATTTATTTGGATCTTCTCTCTTTTTTTCTTAATTGGTCTGGATACAGGTTTGTCAATTTTGTTTAACTTATAAAAAAAGCTGTTTTATTGATCTCTTGTATTTTTTCAATTTCAAGTCTATTTCTGCTCTGATCTTTATTATTTATTTTCTTCTACTAATTTTGGGTTTGGTTTTCTAGTTCCTTAAGATGGATCATTAGATTGTTTTTTTTGAAGTTTTTCTTGTTTGTTTTTTGATAAAGACAATTATAACTATAAACTTCCCTTTTAGTACTGGTTTTGCTGTATCCCATAGGTTTTGCTATGTTATGTTTCCATCATAATTTGTTTTGAGAAGTGTTTCAAATCTCTTTATTGACCCATGGTCATTTGGGAGTATAGTTTTTTATTTCCATATATTTCTTATAGTTTCCAAAATTCCTCTTGCTATTAATTTTCATTTTATTCCATTGTTGTCAGGGAAGATGCTTGATATTATTTTAATTTTTTGAATGTTTTGATACTTGTTTTGTGACCTAACAAATGAGATAATCTATGTAAAGTGTCTAGTGTCACAGTGAATGCATAGGAAGCACTCAGCCAATGTTAGGTAAGTTTTGAAGTTTTTGGTATGGGGATATTTATAAGAATTTATAAAGCATTTGAGCATCCCCAGAAGGGTTAATTTCATCTAAATTGAAACTTTAAGAAAATGTTTTTTGCTTGTATCTTGCATGGTCTGGGAATGAGAGACAGAAAACTAGTAAGATGCTTCTGGAGTGGCTCAAACAAACAAAATACCTGTAAGGTAAAATTATGTCAGTTTATTTTTTTTTCTTTTGAAATCAGGTTTTCGTTAGCATTTGTCAGGAATAGTAACAAGTGGGAAATGGCATTTGATGGTTTGGACTTGTATTAATTACTCCCTAAAATAAGTTAAGAATTGGTATTAATGTTTTACAAAAACAATACCTAGGCCCATCCCCAGAGATACTGATTTAATCCTTCTGGGACACAACCTAGGCATCAGTATTTTTTAAAAGCTCTTCAAGAGATTCTAATGTGCACTCGGAATTCAGAACCAGTGTTCTAGTTTACCCAGACCTTCCTAAGGCTCAGTGGATATGATGTGAAATCGATCCATCCTTTGTGAGCAACCTGTTTCTCCACTAGGCACAGTAGTTACCACTCTGCTGGGTGCAAGATGTTCCCTGTCAGTAAATATCATTGCTCCTTTGAGATGAATGGACTCTAATACTGCTATAATGAACCTGCAAGTTCCTGCCAATACTTTAATCAGAAAATCACATTTGTAAAACTGTCTGTGTGTATGCTGGAAAGTTGATGTTTATCTAGCTGGGACAATGAATCAAGGAAGCATATCACTACGTGTTGTAACTCTTTGTGATGTCAGATTTTCAGCATGTAAGCAGTCATAACAAGTGGTAACCAGCACAAGCTGATGGACTTATTCAACTGCCCAGTGCACTGAATGCATGGAAACATTTTGAAGCGGAAATTTGAAGCCAATTATTAAGATATGGCATTATTGGAATTTGAATGCTTAGCTTATTGAGATTAATTCTGGTTTTGAGTAGAGTTTGGCAAACTTCTTTTTCTAAAGGTCCAGATACCAAGTATCTTATCCTTTTCAGGGCATACAGTTCTCTCAAAACTATTCGGCTCTGACATTGTCATTTAAAAAAGCCACAGACAATATGTTTTCAAAAAATGAGCACTGCTGTTTTCCAATAAAACTTTATTTTGCAAAAACAGGTAGCTGCCTGCATTTGATCCTGAGCTGTAATTTGCTAACCCATGTACCAAGGCTGGTGACATTTATGTTGTTTGGGTTTATTACAAAGCTAGTATTATTCACATATGAAACAGGGTCATTTGATGCTCGGGAGAGTAGTAATAACAATGTGGAAAGATTGATATGTAGAGGAAAGCACATGGCTCACTGTGGGTATGGGAAATATCTGTGAACAGGATGATGCTAAAATTTAAGAGGCACTACAAGCTGGTTTAAAACCCCTGGGCAGGTGGGATACTTGAGGGCATACTCACTAATGAAGTGATTTCAATCATACTGGAAATTGCTGAGGATGTTTATTACTCTGTATCACCAAGCAGCAACTAGAAAATGGGTGCCTGGGAGAAGACTTTTTAATCCATATACATTGGACCTGGTGTTTAGAATTTAAAATTTAAAATTGTAGGCCACCAAAGCTAATGATGCTGAACTAAGATTAGTGTGCTTAAAATTACAAATAGAAGCATGCACATTAAGCTCATTTTGATGAGGAGGAGTCTGATTGTATGTAAAAAGACTTGTCAAAAAATCACAATTTTAATATTCCAAAGTTGGGGACTCGAGGAATGTCAAAACATCGTAAGTGGGCTGAAGATTTGAGCCATTCTAAGTTCTCAAAATGATAAGTTTATAAGATTGCAACCAGTTCCTGTAAACTAGTTTTTAAAAGCATTTATTTTGAAAATTTTCTAAAACCTACAGTGCAGAAGGAGAAAAAATAGTAGTTAGAAATAGTTTTCTGTTTCCATGCCTGATAAATGTGTGCACTGAATTGAGGATGAATCAATAAACAGAGGTACAATATTCTCAATCTCCTACAGAACAGTCTACAAATATTTCCCTGGCTGAGATTTGCACCATACTATAAAGAGCTACTATTTAGTGGCATCACTTTAATCTCAGAATCCCATATTCCAAATGCTTATCCAGTAGAGGTACAATGAAAAAAAAAAGTCAAATAAAATTCAAACTTGTATCAGGAGGACAGTAAAGTACTTGATAATGTGTTTAGTGAATGAATGGAGCAGTAAGTAGTATTAGCTGAATAGATATGCCACGCTAGCAGTACACTAGGCCTCTTAAAAATTCACTAACGTAGCCTCTTGTCCTACTTTGGCCAACTCAAATCAACCTGAGAGAAATGACAACCTGATCAGTTATGATGATGACTCACAATGAAGTGATGGTCAACCAGGAAGGACAGAATGGTATGTACCTCAACTGGAATGGAATACCAAACCCTGTGGAAGCCACTGTAGTTTGATATAGCTCACTTACATTTGATTTCTAATATATCCTCCAGCCTTCACCTTCTCACTGAGTTGTATTTGCCCTAGTCTGCCTACTAGGGAATCCTAATTTTTCTTTTTGCTGGACCTGCTGATTGTGTATTATTAATTTATTTTGAGTAAAGGTGAAAGATAAATAAATACATCTCTAGCATTCTACTAATTTGAAAAGTATACCTCAAGGGGACTTACAGGATACTATTAAGTTAGAATGGCTTATTGAATAAGTGATCAGTGGTATGAATTATTTGGCAATTATGGTTTTTCTAAGATAACTATGTTTAAGATAATATTAAAAATGAACTTTAGCCAAAGAGCCAAGGTTGACAAATAGCAAAAATCAAATCTAGCTTTTGGACCTAGATGCCAAGCAAGTGTGAAGGACTATGCATCCAAATCTAAACACCTGGAGACTATAAATTGGGTTATGAGTTGGAGATTGGGAGGTTTTGAGAAAATGATTGTTGGAGAAAGACATGGATCTGCAATGAGTCCTGTTTATCAAGGTATGAAAATTAGGGGCTTGCCCCTCACCTCAAGCTTAACAAGAAGGACTTCAAAGGGATGATTGAGCCCTTAATACATAACTGACACTTGGGTAGGAACACAGTGGGCTGAGAAAGAGGAGTGAATGCTAGAGTGAAGGAGAGTGTTTCAAGAACTTCAAGGAAACTGTAAATAAAGATCTGTATTAACAGTGGAGTGATCTCTGATGAATTCAAGCAGCACTACAGAATTTATGGGAAAGGTTCCACCAAGGTACTCAGGCAAACCTTGTATATATCTGCATAGCCATATAGGCACATGGTTGAACTGAAGATCATCTTAGTCTTGGTAGAATACCTTATGATATTCCCAAAACACAAGAGGGTAGGAAACCTGTGAGAAGCAGCCTCAAGACCACCTTTCATTTGCCTGCTTCTCTTCCTTGGGAGGCCATCATGTGACAGTTTCTCATTACTCTTTAGGTTATGTTGAGGTATGAGCTTTCTTCCCTCCATAATAATGTAGCCCACAACACAATGCAGTTATCTAGCCTCTTTGTTTCAGTGTCATCCTTCTTAGTATGTGAGATACAGACCATGGGGAGTTGGCATCTTTGACTATTCTTTATTTAGTTATATGTGCAATAAACTCTCTGAATCTAAAAATGTATGATTGTATGTTTACTAGTTTAATCAGTCAGTCCTTGGCTTTGGCCTTCCTTTGTCTTTTCCGTATGTTTCACACAGAATACAAGATAATCAGGTTTAAATACTTTCTAGGCCCAGATAATACATCCCTGGTTGTTAATTGTGGTAGAAGTAAGAATATGCCTTACTTACATCCCAAATCCAAAGATAAGATTAAGAATTGATGAGATACAATGTAATGGTTGAGATAAAAGAATGTAAATATCACAGCACCAGGAAAAAATCAGCAAGGTTTCTGGAGAGAAAGAGAAGGCCCTCTTGGGAGTCCTGGACATGAATTTTGAGGTGAGATCAACCTATATGTTGGTATTTTTCTCCAGTTACACTTAGTTGCTAGGGTGCAGGTGAGAAGTAGGTGGAAAATAAATTTGTTGATGGTTGGATATTGCCAGTAGTGATAACAAACCCTGGAATGAAATTCTACTACTAACAATAGGCAACACTGTGTCAATCATTAGTAATTAAAAACATATGGGAGTCTGTTGACACTAGAGCATGTTTGCAAAACTACTGGAGAATTATTCAAAGAAACAAACTAACAGAATACCTTTAATGACCTGACTCAGAGTTAGCAAGTTAGAAATTATACGAAAAAGTAGTCGAGTGCCATTTAGGAATCAAACCCCTCTCACTTCTAGAGATTAATGGAGGGAAGTCTGTGAAGGTTTTCATGGTAATTTTAACTTTTGCCGCATTAATTGCTGATCCTGACCATTCTTTCATTTTCAGTTCTGATTTCATTTTTAGGGCATAGTGACTATGCTCTGTGACATTTCAGGAAAGAAGAAGCTTACATCCTTTGGCAACTAAAGACAGTGTAATTGAAAGGTCCAAAACCAGAATTAACAGATAAACATGTGGGTGTCTTTCCAAGTGTGAATTTCACACTATCCTCTTCCCAATTAACTGACCGGTGTCAAACATTAAGCACTGAGGCAATAGTAAGTAGTAGCTCTAGAAGACCTCACTTTAAAATTTACCCCAGAGCTGACCCCAGCAACAAGAGGACCGACTCTCACCTCAGCCACAGCCACAGACAATTACAACCATCCCCAGTGAGGAAATTAGGGATACCTGGATCCCCCAGGGGGACGGCCACTGTTTATAGAAGGCCTGGCAGAAAACTTGGGGCTACCTGCAGAGATGGTGTGTGCAGTGGATGACAATTTCATGCCTTTGGGCAAATTGTTATTAAAACCAGTTGAGAATTTCGAGACTGTAATGGACAGGCCCTGAATTATGAAGGAAGTCAAGATAAAAAGAGACGGTCTTTCGGTAGTGAGGATCACACCTGTCATACATTAGAATTGTTTAATGGTGTTGAAACACCTAGTCTCAAAGCAATGGAAGGAACTAGATTTGCTCTAAGGAGTCTGTTCCTTGGTTTTGAAGACATTTTACAAAAAGTGGGAAATTTAGGGACAATTAAAGACCTTGAAATGGATACGGATACTGATAAAGGTTGAGTATCCCTTATATGAAATGTTTGAAATGAGAATTGATTCAGAATTTTTATTATTTTTCTGGATTTGTGAATATTTGCATTATATTTACTGGTTGTGTATTCCAAATCTGGAAATCCAAGATCCCAAATCCAAAATGTTCCAATGAGCATTTCTGTTGAGTGTTATGTTGGTACTCAAAAACTATTAAATTTTGGAGCATTTCGGGTTTCAAATTTTTGGATTTGATGTACTCAATCTGTAATATCTGAAGGTTTCAAATACATCCTTAAAATATGTTGCCATTGCTAAAAACAATTTACAACCTTGCTGAACAAGGCAGTTTATCTGAAAATTGAAGAACTAGACTCCAGAATTAATGTACATAAATTCTGTGGACTTGAAACTAAATATTTGGAAATCACTGATATGCAAAAGAATAACTAACTCATCAGTAACAAGGAGACATCATATATAATTGTACAGGTTTCTTAGGAGAGATGCCATTTACTTTATGAGTTTCCAAATTTACCCAGATAGATAAAAATATTTTGAGAGGTGGCTACTACATGCAATAGTCAGGTGGGCTGAGATACAAAAGCCTACATCTGATCTCTATAATTTATAAGTATAGCTCCAAACCAACAAAATCAACTGCATCAAATATTTTTTAGACCTTGTTGCCTTAGCAATGGTAAAACCATTGTATTATTTGTACTGCATACCAATAACACACCATAGGTGATGCTACTAAATTCAGCCTAGTTTTCTTTTTTTCTTTCATCTTCAATAGACTCCTCAAATGCCTATTGATCTCTCTTTGAAACAAGTAATATAAGATGGGCTGGGGATGTCCTAAAAGTCAGAATGAACTAGTACTTCCTAAAACAAAACAAAAAAGATGCAGAGGGAAAGAAGAGCGTTGAATTTCATTTGATCATTCATTTCTCTAGTAGAAATGTGTTTGGTGATTACCATCCATCAGCCATTAATATAGCAGCTGATGAAGCCATGATGCTTATCCTCAACAAGGACACAAAGGTAGGAAGTCAGAATCCCACAACTATTTGCCTCCTCACAATTACTTACCTTTTTTTCTTCTTTATTATTAAAAAGTATTAGCAACTAATAAGCCCCTTCTAGCACTATGTGATACTAGGATCAACAGTCAAATAGATGACTCTTATCTGCCTAAATGTAATTTAATGTAATTTTTAAAAATCATAATAGTAATCAGATTCAGGAGGCAAAGCAATAATACTAGCGCAGTGCTGCTCTCAATACTTCAACAGATACGTAGCTGAAGAAAATGCCAAAAATAGTGGAGTTTTGTCTTCATTGTATTTACAGTTTCTAATGGCATATTTTCAAATTAAGGCTTGGATAAGACAGTTTTAGCACTTACCATTGGAAGAACAGGCCAATCAGACCCGCATAATATTTCTCAAGTTCAAAAGAAACAAGATAATAACTATATACCAAAAGGCATTTCTCCTCATGAAAAAGAGGAAATGTTGATTGAATACATATCTCTAAATACCCAGTCCATTTAAATTTTATGTCACAACAACAAATTGTCATTGACACTTATCATCAGCATAGATATTTTCTACCAAAATACCACTTTTCCTGGTGTGAATTTATCTTCTGCTTCTCAGCAAAATTTCAAATATATTTTCAAATGTGCAATATTAAATTTCTCTCATAAATGCTGAGGAAGCCACCGAAAATTTCGTTTCTAAGTGTAGCTAATATGAGGATGAATCAGATTTCCAAGTAAGTCTCTGAAACATTCTCATGAAAAAGGGTTAAGTCTGTAGAAAGAGTCTGCAGCCCTGCACATAATGAAAAGTCCAATCCTGCACGTGCAAAATGTGGCAGGTGCTAAAGCTATCAGCTGTATCAGTGAGCAGATCCAGGGACAATTTTCATATGCTAAGCTATATCTTTTTTTAAAAGGTGATGAAAGAAAACATTATAAAATCCATTGTTGTGTCATTTAATCTGCATCACATCAGGATTCTAGTCTCTTCTTTGTGATTTTATCAAACCACAGTAGACTACATCTATTTCTGTTCTGGGCATGCTTTCTCTTTAATAATTCTGCTTTTATACCTCTAAGCACACTGTTGTAATTAGATCACTTTGAGTATTCTGAACTTTTCCTCAAGGACTTTTCTCAGAATATCTTTACTGCTTGTTTTTGAATTAGACCACCTTGGTTAGGATTTCCAGCCCCAATGAGTCCTTGAAAGCCAAATGGCTAACCTGAACTAGTGCCTGCCTAGTCTGCTGAGTTGGGTGGGGGACATCCCATAATTCGATTTACTCTTTGTAAAATGAGGATATGGCCTAAATGGGTGTCATGGTGACTTCTTGCCCTCTTCCTGCAAATAAATTATTCTTCAGTTATATGGCTGGGTAAATAGTAATGCCACAGAAAAATACAATCTTTTTTAAATGCTCATTTTTCTAAATTTTCTAAATTGTGAAATCTTTAATTTTTGTGGGTACATAGTAGGGGCATATATTTATAAGACACATAAAATGTTTTGATGCAAGCAGGCAATGTGAAATAATCATATAATGGAGAATGGGGTATCCAACCCACAAGCATTTATCTTTTGTGTTACAAACAAACCCATTGTAATCTTTTAGTTATTTTAAAAGATAAAATTTATCATTGACTATAGTCACCCCATTGTGCTATCAAATAGTAGGTCTTATCATGCTTTCTACTTTTTGGATCCAATAACAATTCCTACCTACCCCCCAATCACCCCAGTATACTTCCCAGACTATGGTAACCATCCTTCTACTCTCTACATCCATGAGTTCAATTGTTTTTATTTTTATATCCAACAAATAAGTAAGAACATGCTATGCTTGTTTTTCTGTGCCTGGCTTATTTCACTTAACATAATGACCTTCAGTTCCACTCTTGTTATTGCAAATGACAGGCTCTCATTATTTTTTATGACTGAATAGTACTCCATCGTGTACCTATGACACGTTTTGTTTATTCATCTGTCGATGGACACTTAGGTTGCTTCCAAATCTTGGCTACTGGGAGCAGTGCTGCAATAAACATGTGAGCACAGATTTTTTTATATGTATGCTCCTTGTTTTTCTTTTGGGTATATAACCAGCAGTGGGATTGCTGGATTATACGGTAGCTCTATTTTTAGTATTTTGAGGAACCTCCAAACTGTTCTCCATAGCGGTTGTACTAATTTACATTCCCACAGTGTACGAGTGTTCCCTTTTCTCCACATCCTTGCCGCATTTGTTATTGCTTGACTTTCGGATAGAAGCCATTTTAACTGGGGTGAGATGGTATCTCTCTAGCTTTTATTTGCATTTCTCTGATGATCAATTATGTTGATACCTTTTCATAAGCCTGCTTGCCATTTGTATGTCTTCTTTTGAGAAATGTCTATTAAAATCTTTTGCCCATTTTTTGATCAGATTATTGGACTTTTTCCTATAGACATGTTTGCACTCCTAATATATTCCAGTTATTCATCTGTTGGCAGATGGGTAGTTTGCAAATATTTTCTCTCATTCTGTGGGTTGTCTCTTCACTTTGTTGATTGTACCCTTTGCTGCACAAAAGCTTTATAACTTGATATGATCACATTTGTCTATTTCTGCTTTGGTTGCCTGTGCTCATGGGGTATTGCTCAATAAATTTTTGTACAGACCAAAGTTCTGGAGATTCTCCACAAGGTTTTATTCTAGTAGTTTGATTGTTTGAGGACTTAGATTTAAGTTTTAATTCATTTAAATTTTATTTTTCCATATGGTGTGAGATCAGGTTCTAGTTTCATTCTTCTGCATATAGATTTCCAGTTTTCCTAGCATGGTTTATTGAAAAGAGTTTTTCTCCAGGGTATGTTCTTGCCACCTTTGTCAAAAATGAGTTCACCGTAGGTGTGTGAATTTCTTTCTGGGTTCTCTGTTCTGTTCCTTTGGTCTATGTGTCATATTTCAGATGTTAAAAAAAAAGGCTTTCAATTCTTCCCCATTCGGTATGATACCAGATGTGTGTCTGTCATATATAACTTTTATTATGTTGAGGTATGTTTCTTCTATACCCATTTTCTTGATGATTTTTTGAATCATGAAAGCATGTTTAATTTTATCAATTGCTCTTCAGCATCAATTGAAATGATCATATGTATTTTGTCCTTCATTCTGTTGATATGGTGTGTCACATTGACTGACTTGTGTATGTTGAACAATCCTTGCATCCCAGGGATAAATACCATTTGGTCATGATTAATAATCTTTCTAAAGTATTTTTGAATTGGTTTGCTAGAATCTTGTTGAGGATTTTGGCATCAATAGTCATCAGAGGTGTTGGCCTGTGGTTTTCTTTTCTTTGATGTGTCTTTGTCTGGTTTTGGTATTAGGATAACACTGGCCTTGTGGAATCAGTTTGGAAGTATTCCCTCCTCCTCTGTTTTTCACAATAGTTTGAGTAGGATTGGTATTAGTTCTACTTCAAATGTTTGTTAGAATTCAGTAGTGAAACCATTGGTTCTCAGGGTTTCCTTTAGTGAGGAATTTTTTGTTACGGCTTCAATCTCATTGCTTGTTATTGGTCTATTTAGATTTTGCATTTCTTCCTGACTCAATCTTGCTAGGCTTTATGTGTCTAGGAATTTGTCCATGTCTTCTGGATTTTCCAATTCATTGGAATATAGTTGCTCATAGTAGCAATTAATGCTGCTTTGAACTGCAGTATCAGTTGTAATGTCTTTTTTTTTCATTTCTGATTTATTTATTTGGATCTTGTCTTTTTAAATTTAGCCTCGCTAAAGATTTGTCAATTTTGTTCAAATTTTGAAAAACTAACTTTGTTTTATTGATCTTTTAAATTGTTTTCTTCATTTCAATTTTATTTATTACTGCTCTGATCTTTATTTCTTTTGGTCCTGCTTATTATGGTTTGTTTTTCTCTTGCTCTTCTTGTTTTTTAAAATGCATCACTTGATTGTTTACTTGAAGTTTTTCGTGTTTTCTGATGTAGGCACTTATAGCTATAAACTTCCCCCTTAGTACTGATTTTGGTGTATTCTATAAATTTTGGTATGTTGTATTTCCATTATCATTTGTTTCAAGAAGTTTGTCAATTGTTTTCCTAATTTCTTCATTGACCCACAAGTCATTTAGGAACATATGGTTTCATTTTCATTTGTTTTTATAGGTTCTAAAATTCCTCTGGTTTGTGGTTTTCTAGTTTTATTCTATTGTGGTCAGAGAAGGTGATAGATATTATTTTGATTTCTTTGAATGTTATGAGACTTGTTTTGTGACCTACCCATATGGTCTATCTTTGAAAATAATCCGTGTGCTGAGGAAAAGAATGTGTATTCTGCAGTTGTTGAATGACATATTCTGTAAATATCTATTCAATCCATTTAGTCTATAGTGTAGATTAAGTCTGATGTTTCTTTGTTGATTTTCTGTCTGGAATATCTGTTCAATGCTGAAAGTGGGGTGTTGAAGACCCCAACTATTACTGTACTGAGGTATTTCTCTTTGTCTCCAATATATTTGCTTTTCATATCTGGGTCTTCTAGTGTTGGCAATATATATTTAAAATTGTTATATTCTCTTGTTAAATTGACAACTTCATTATTATATAGTGACCTTTTTGTCTCTTCTTACAGTTTTTGTCTTGAAGTCTATTTTGTCTGATGCAAATCTAGTCACACCTGCTTTTTTGGTTTTCATTTGCATGTAATATCTTTTTCCATTGCTTTACTTTCAGTCTATCTGTGTCTTTATAGGTGAAGCATTAAGGACCGTCAAAGTAGTACCTGGGTATCATTGCTGGTTATTAAGGGCCCCGGGGCTCTTCATTTAGTGGGTGATGAATACTGCCAGGATTGGGTCCATCCCTTCAAGGCAGTGGGTTCCCTTCTGTCCCAGAGTGTTTAGGAATATCTTCCAGGAACCAGGGCCTAGAATGGGGGCCTCACAACTCTGACTATTACCCTATCCTGCTGTGGCTGAGAGAGTATCCGAGATGCAAGACAAAGTCCTCCTTACTCTTCACTCTCCTCTCCTCAAGCACAAGGAAGGGGTCTGTTTTGGAGTCATGAGCTATGTAGCCTGGATTTAGGAAAAGGGTAATGCCAGCACTCCCTTAGCTGCCCTAGCTCGCGTCTCAGTAGGTTATGTGCCCCTTCAGTCCACTGTCTCTGGGCCTAGTTCAGTACTAGGACTTGCCTAAGAGTTGCAGTTTTTGCAGCATACAACGCCTTTTGAGTTTATTTAGAGCCCCAGGGCATTTCAGCCCCTTGATGCTAGGTTAGAGGGAACTCAAGTTCAGATGGCTGGGATTAGTGATTCCCCTCTGCGTAGGGCTGGTTTAAATGCAACGACAATAGGTGGTTGTCAGCTGAGTTTTGGTCTAGTTTTCCTTCCTGCTTTTCCAGGACAGCACTGAGTGCAATATGTCACAGTTGCTGGACTCTCCCTCCCCCAACTCCCAGACATGCTCTCCACACCATGCTGTGGCTGCTGAGATAGAGTGGGGTGGGCTGGGGTTTCGATGGGGGAGGTAGGAGAGAGTTGGTGGAGTGGAGCCAGTGGTTTAAGACTGATTTTTCTATCTCTTTAGTGTCTCTCCCAGCGATATGATGTTAAAACCAGTTACTATGAGGGCTCACCTGATTTTTGGTTCTTATGATGGTGTTTTTACATGTAGGTAGTTGTTAAATTAGTATTCTTGCTGTGAGGGATGACTGGTGGAGCCTTCTATTCTGCCATCTTGCTTTGCCTCCTCAAAAATGTTGGCAATTAAATTCCAAATATTTTGCTCATATGTAACACTTAGTATAAAATATAGTATTTAATATCATGCACCAGCATGAAAAACACTTTAATTATATCTGAAGGATAATATAACATCTGGTATCTCGTATATGTCACAGAAATTTTTGACATCTTTATACTCAGACAACTATACTGAGGAAAAGGAATTTTTACCCCCTCTTATCAAGCATGATAATTTCTTTGGGGAAAGAACTACCACGTACTCCCTCCTTTTCCTCCATCCCTTCCTTTTTCCATGGGAGATGACAATGTGACCTTCATTGGTCAGAACCTCATTCATCTATTACTACATCTTATACCGCTGGGCATGTTACTGGACCTTCAGGATTTGGTTCAAATTGGTTTTCCTCTTTCACTTCCTACCCAATTTTATGTGAAAATATTTTTACTTTCAATAAGGGAAGACTCTTGGAAACTATCAGTGCCTGACAGGAGCTATGCTAGTGGTTGGTACATTAAATAAATGTCAATTAAGACCTTTATAGAAAGGTATGAAGTTATGTAAACATAAATGTGCAACTGTGAAAATTTAAGTAGAAACCTAGTATGGAAAATATTACCCTGTGACTGTCTTTGATATGCCCTCTTCCCCTAGCTAGTATGTCTGTTTCTCTAGAAGTTATAGACATTTTTGGCAATCCTTCCTTCTCCAGGAAAAACAAACTGTTCCTCCCAGTGTTATAATATTTATAAACTAATTCAAGTTCATGTGTTAATGGGTTATACTTGTTTAGAAAATAATTTGGATCATAGTATTTCTCACACTAGGAAGATATGTTGATTCTTTAGAGACAAATGTTCATGGCACAGAGTGATGAAATTGATCAGCCATGTCCCTTCATAACTTTCAATTCTCTTTCCTTAATTTGTCCATTCAACCAGTGTTAAATTATTTCAGGTACAGCAATGTCTTCATTCACAGAATACTCATCTAACACTACCAATTGCCCACCTTGAATTTCTAGCACATGATATCAACTACCACATGTGCCACTGTCTACATAAATTGCTTTGATTCCTTTTGTGACATAGCTGGGTAGAGATAAAAAAAGATATGAAACATGAATATCTGTAGAGAAATATGGCACTCAAGACATTCCATCTTCACTTATACAGCAACATCATCCTTTTCTGTTTTACATGGTAAAATCTTTATGTTAAGGGCAGGTAGTGCCTGTGCCTTGGCAATAATTTATTACAACTTATATAGCACTTACTTTTTTTTTTTTTTGATATGGGGTCTTGCTCTGTCACCCAGGCTGGAATGCAGTGGCATGATCTAGGCTCACTGCAACCTCTGCCTCCCAGGCTCAAGTGATACTTTCACCTTGGCATCTGAAGTACCAGGGACCACAGGCGGGCACCACCACATCCAGCTAATTTTTTGTATTTTTTTTGTAGAGATGGGGTTTTTCTATGTTGGCCAGGCTGGTCTCCAACTCCTGAGCTCAAGGGATCCACCCACCTCAGCGTCCCAAAGTGCTGAGATTACAGGCATAAGCCACCATGCCCAGTCAAGATCTTTTACATCTCTATTCTATTTAAACTTCTAGGTACAGTCCCCTATGTAATTTATTTTGTTCCACTTTAGACATGAACAAATATGTATTTCAATATAAAATTCATTACAACTAATGCCTAAACCTAGGTAATGCCAATTGGTGTAGCCTTAGAGGGTTGGCCTAAGACCAATTTCAATTCAATTTAATTAGTATTTTTTTCTCCCAGTTCTTCACCAATATGCCAACCAGTGAAAGTTATGGAGAAACAAAGTCCATTTCAATATAAGGGCAAACTTCCAGAGCAATCAGCAATGTTTAAAATGGTACAGTCTTTCTCAGTGAGCTTCTCATCACCAGAGGCACACCATCAATGGATATTTGATCATCTACAGTAAAATTGTAAAAGAAACTCTTACACTAGATATAGGCATGGTTTAAGTAATTTCTTTACTCCTTTATATTTCTAAGCCCATGAAAATATTTTTTCTATATAGCTGGTGGCCTATTTTTTATTGCTTGTGTGAATGGTGGCTAATGCAAAACCCTACCATTTTAGAGACTTCTTCTTTATCTACAGTTTGGTTTGTAGGCTAACTTACTAGTTTTTTCATCTCATGAACTTATAACAATTCAAGAACTACTTTCTAAATCTTGCATTTTACTTTTCAGTCTAAATTGACAAATATCACGTGTCTGTGTATGGCTTCTGAATGTTCAGATCATAACATGTTTCTCTGGCCTCCAAATGAAAATAAAACAATAATTTGAATTGATGTTACATCCTGTAAAAAACAGAAAAGAGAAATCTATGTTAGTAAGAGTGAGGCAAGTTGTAACAAAATTGTGATCACACTGTGAAACCAGCACATCTCTAAATCTTTCTAAATGCACGTTACCATAATAAAAAAAAAAAAACTTTCTCATACACAGGTGATAGCAACAACCTACCATCTGTAGGGATCTGCCAAACTCGCAGCCTCTTTCACTGACCAATTTCCATAGTGAGGACCACTAAGCATTCACTTGTCAGCTCAGCACCTGAGCAAGTCCTGGGGTTAAGTTAATCCATGTTCTGGGAGAGAAGATATTTTAAGTAATTCTATACCCAGAGTTCTAAGTTCAGACTTAAGCCAATATTTATGATGAGCTCACTCTAGCCAGACCTTTTTAACTCCTACTTATCCTTTATACTCAAGGGCATACCCTCTAGCGTGTTGCCATTAGAGTTTCCTTCTTTCCATAGCCAGCCCTTCTGGCTACAGTAACAACAGGATGGTTCAAATTCTTCTATGGCATCTACGACATCATGATAAAAGAATGCATCTCTGTTATGCCCAACACTGAGAGTGCCTGCTTTGTTGTTGCTGCCCCCTCTCTGTTCAACCATTTCTCTGAAATGTTCATTTGTTTCTGCTGAAATAGGCACGGGGGAAACCAGCAAGCCCACGCATAAGTCAGTGGCCCACAAATGTGAATGTGCATCAGAATCACCAAGACAGTTCGTTCAAACATAGATAGTTAGGCCCTATTTTTAGAGTTTCTGATTCAGTAGGTCTGGGGTGAAACCCAATAATGTGCGTGCCTAGCACTTTATCAGGTGATGATGATGGTGCTGGTCTGTGGATTACCATTTAATAATGAATTTAGCAAGGTAATCAGTTGCCTGTCTTCTTCAGTTAAATATACCACCAGTCTCTAAGAATGAATTTCTTGGAGCCTCTTCGTTTATCTTCTGAGTGAGAAAGTACCTCTTTCCCTTCTCTAAGAGGGTAAATTTCCATAAGGCCATTGATGCTTGCTCTCCAGTATTTTGCATCTTTTTACCTACTTTTCTGTTTATATACGTTGGGAATTGGAGAGCCTGTCTAGCTGATTCTTAATAAGCTCTGCAAAGGGTATGTATTAGTTTACTAGTGCTTCTGTAACAGAGTACCACAGACTGGGTGGCTTAAACAACAAAAATCATTTTCCCACACTTCTGGAGGCTAGATATCTGAGACCAAGGTGTCAGCAGAGCTGGTTCCTTCTAGAGGCTCTGAGGGAGACTCTGTTCCAGCCCTCCCTCCTAGCTTCCTGTGGTTTTCTGTCAATCTATGATACTACTTGTCCTGTAATATGGATCAACCCAATTGCTGTCTTCATGTTTATGTGACTTTTTCTCTGTGTGCATGTCTGTGTACAAATTTCCCGTTTCATAAAGACATCAATCATAGCCTCCTGCATTATCTTAACAAATTATATACTCAAAGACCGTATTCCCACATAAGATCACATTCTCAGGTACTGATGTTTACGGCTTCAATATATAAATTTGGGGAGGACATAATTCAACTCAAACAGAGTGTCATGTCCCCATGAATACCTGGCTTTCTATGAAATGGAGGTTGTTTGAAGATTCTACCCTCAGCTTTGGATCTTAATCACCGGTTAGAAGCTACATGAATTGCTTTGCTCTACAACCTTCTATGAATAAATGCCTGGAGGGAGGCGAGACCTTACTGAAAGCTATCTTGAGTCCAGTCTATAATGAATCATCCTGAAGAACAGAGTAGTTTCTCTTAAGGAAAGTATTCTCTCATTGCTCTTCTTTGGCTAGAATTACCTGTTCATTACTGGTTGTCCATTTTTCCATATGATCAATATAATTATATTGTCAACAACAATAATGACAAAAAATTTTTCAAAAGCTACAGCAATGTCCAGGTGCGGTGCCTCATGCCTGTAATCCCAGCACTTTGGGAGGCTAAGGCAGGTGGATCACGAGGTCAGGAGGTTGAGACCATCCTGGCTAATACGGTGAAACGTTGTCTCTATTTAAAATACAAAAAATTAGCCAGGCATGGTGGCACATGCCTGTAGTCCTAGCTACTCGGGAGGCTGAAGCAGGAGAATCTCTTGAACCTGGGAGGCAGAGGTTGCAGTGAGCAGAGATCTTTTTCTTTTCTTTTTTTTTTTATTATACTTTAAGTTTTAGGGTACATGTGCACATTGTGCAGGTTAGTTACATATGTATACATGTGCCATGCTGGTGTGCTGCACCCACTAACTCGTCATCTAGCATTAGGTATATCTCCCGATGCTATCCCTCCCCCCTCCCCCCACCCCACAACAGTCCCCAGAGTGTGATATTCCCCTTCCTGTGTCCATGTGATCTCATTGTTCAATTCCCACCTGTGAGTGAGAATATGTGGTGTTTGGTTTTTTGTTCTTGTGATAGTTTACTGAGAATGATGATTTCCAATTTCATCCATGTCCCTACAAAGGACATGAACTCATCATTTTTTTATGGCTGCATAGTATTCCATGGTGTATATGTGCCACATTTTCTTGATCCAGTCTATCATTGTTGGACATTTGGGTTGGTTCCAAGTCTTTGCTATTGTGAATAATGCCGCAATAAACATACGTGTGCATGTGTCTTTATAGCAGCATGATTTATAGGCCTTTGGGTATATACCCAGTAATGGGATGGCTGGGTCAAATGGTATTTCTAGTTCTAGATCCCTGAGGAATCGCCACACTGACTTCCACAATGGTTGAACTAGTTTACAGTCCCACCAACAGTGTCAAAGTGTTCCTATTTCTCCACATCCTCTCCAGCACCTGTTGTTTCCTGACTTTTTACTGATTGCCATTCTAACTGGTGTGAGATGGTATCTCATTGTGGTTTTGATTTGCATTTCTCTGATGGCCAGTGATGATGAGCATTTTTTCATGTGTTTTTTGGCTGCATAAATGTCTTCTTTTGAGAAGTGTCTGTTCATGTCCTTCGCCCACTTTTTGATGGGGTTGTTTGTTTTTTTTCTTGTAAATTTGTTTGAGTTCATTGTAGATTCTGGATATTAGCCCTTTGTCAGATGAGTAGGTTGCGAAAATTTTCTCCCATTCTGTAGGTTGCCTGTTCACTCTGATGGTAGTTTCTTTTGCTGTGCAGAAGCTCTTTAGTTTAATTAGATCCCATTTGTCAGTTTTGGCTTTTGTTGCCATTGGTGAGCAGAGATCTTACCATTGCACTCCAGCCTGGGCGACAGAGCAAGACTCAGTCTCAAAAACAAACAAACAAAACAACAAACCAAAAAAGCTACAGCAACAACACTTGTGATATTTAGATTTTGTAGCTTAATGTGAGAAATAACTGGAAAGTTTATGAAATTAAGTCTTCTTACTTAGTAATACAGTTTTTCTTGTCATTTTTTCAGGACTTCCTTTATGTTCCTCTGCAAGTATTTGCAATTTTATAAATACAGCTTCTGTCATATCTTGTTATGTCTATTCCTAAATATTTTATGTATGCAATATAATGGGTACAATCTTACTTTTATTAGCAACTTGTATGGTCATGACTCCTTCCAAAAGAGCTCTTCTTCTATTAGGTAAGTGATTTGATAATCCTACTTAGAAACTTACACATTAAGACATGTCTTTTGGTAGGTATGTGGGGATGTGAGCAGACAGAGCTGCTCTACAATGAGATACAAACATATTTGCTTGAGAAAGAAGGAATGATGAATAGAGACAGATAATGGAGAAATGGAGTCATTTGGTTGGCAAATAACCAAAAGTTGGCTGTAATGGAGAAAATTAGTACTTATCAGGGACTTACTACAGTGTGTGTTTGTGTCCTCTGAGAAAAAGACATAAAGATTAGGTTAGACATACTTGAGATTTGTTGAGAAAAAAGCTTGTAAGATTAAAAAAAAGTGGAAAGACCTAGAAATGGTGGGTAGCACCTTCAGACAATCATACTGATCTGACATTTGTGAGAGAGAGAGGGAAGGAAGAAATGATTGGATAGGGAGGGTTTCAGAATGCAGTACAACTCGGAGAAAGTTTCCATCAAGCCAATATTAATGTTCTAGAAAGTACTGGTCTAATCATTAATATTCCCATTTGGCATAATATTATTTATATTCTAGATTTTTAAATATTGTTCTACTTTGGTTTTCTTGCATTAAAAGTATAACATGATGGTACAGAGACTGCACTCTAAAATTCAGCAGACTCAAATTTATTTCCTAATTCTGACATTGAGCCAGTTATTTTACCTTTTTATTCTTTACTTTTCTCATCTCTAAAATGAGAAAACTTGTAGTATCTACCTCATAAATGTTTATATGTATTGAATGGGAAAATGCAAGTAAAGCACATAGTATCAGGCTCTTCATTAATGTCTCTTCCTCTTCTTTTTGTTCTTTTTTTATTTTGAGGGGAAGTCTCACTCTTTCGCCTAGGCTGGAGTGCAGTGGCACGATCTCTGCTCACTGCAACCTCCACCTCCCAGGTTCAAGCGATTCTCCTGCCTCAGCCTCCCAAGTAGCTGGGATTACAGGCACCCGCCACCATGCCTGGCTAATTTTTTGTATTTTTAGTAGAGACAGGGGTTTCACTATGTTGGCCACACTGGTCTCGAACTCCTGACCTCATAATCCACCTGCCTTGGTCTCCCAAAGTGCTGGGATTACAGGCATAAGCCACCACACTCCGCCTCTTCCTCTTGATAAAAAAGGTACTTATCTTAACATGGGACCTCCACTCTCATGTCATCTAAACCTAGTTACATCCCAAATAACTCATCTCCAAATACCATAACACTGGAGGTTAAGACTTCAATGTAAACATTTTAGGGGGACACAAGCATTCAGCCTACAATACTACCAGTCATTATTATATATTATTATATGAATATTTTATATAATTACACACACACACACACACACACACACACACCTCACTTACAAAACCTTTGGACCAAAAGAACTTTTTAGAATTATAAAGTTGTTTATATATTATATAAAAATATATATCATATAACATAATTACATAATGTATAATATTTTATATAATTATATATCAAATAATCATTAAAACTTATTTGTAAATGGAATAAATATATCACAGATATGTGTTACTGTTTCAAGTAATTTTACATCTTTTGTGATAAATAAACACAGTAGTAGCCCTGTATCCACAGTTTTGCTTTTTGTAGTTTCAGTTACCCATGGTCAACCATGGTCTGAAAAGAGGTGAGTACAGTGCAGTAAGATAGTGAGAGAGAGGCCATATTCACATAGCTCATATTATTATAATTGTTCTATTTTATGATCACTTATTGTTGTTAATCTCTTCCTGTGCCTAATTTATAAATTAAACTTTATCATACATATATGCAAAGAACAAACATAGTACAGTATATATAGGGTTAAGTTTGTCTGCCATTTCAGAAACCTACTGGAGGTCTCGGAACTTATTCCCTGCGTATAAGGGGGTACTACTGTGTATTTATATAAACTACTATTGAAACAGGAATAGCTTTTTAAAATCTTGTGTTTTGTTTTGTAATCAATACTTACTAAGCTATTAATGTAAATATCAACATAGTCTAAATGTTTTTGATCTTATAGAGACAGCACCAAATATTTTCCTCACAAACAGCAGCTAAAAGCAATATTTTTGTCAATTATCATTATGTTGTAAGAAAATGGAGACTACAAGTATAATTTAATGTTATACAGCATAAATTAAATGAAAAAACAATGTCTCTTATGTTGGCATTAAACACATTAAACCGAGTTATTTGTAAACTGATAGATTTTATTCTTCACTGTTCAAATAATGATGTTGTATAGTTGAAGCTTATGACAGAACTGGATCAGTATTTCCTTTAAATATTAAAAAGAACATAATTTTTTATCATATTTGATCCTGTTCACAAGTGGTTACTAAGAACGGTTTGTAAAGCTGCAAAAATTCAGAGATAAAGACAATTTTTCACATCGTGACTGGCATATTTGGCTATAAATCAAAATGCAATGTACAAAGTTAGCTAAAAAGCTAGACTAGAAATCAGGAGACACAAAGTTTAACACTGGCTCTGCTACTATATAGCCATAAAACTACGTTTAAATGCCCTCATCTGTAATATAAATTGATTACTCAGGGAGATCCCCAAAGGCTTTACCAGCCATGATACTTTAGTATCTTCAGAATGTAAGATCATAGTTATTATTTTGTTAACTCAGCTGGTTAGGGCATAGTGTTAGTAAAGAAATATAGACTAATGGTTTTGATCATTCTTTAGACTTGTTAATATTACTGCTGAATCATTTGATTCATTTGCCAAATATTTATAGGTCACCTATTATGTGCTGAGTACTCCTTCAAGGTCTATGTATGAGTCACTTTTTTAGTGGAGTGAGAGAGAAAGAGAGAGAGAGAGAGAGAGAGAGAGAGAATGAGAATTCCATATTGCCAAGAAGCTTATATTACAGTGAAACGAAACAGACAGTACTAAATTAAATAAGTTAAATAAACCATATTAAATAGAAGTAAGTGTTAAGGAGAAATAAAAATGAAAGAATAAAAAGGGTGGCAGGAGGCCTGGAGATTGCAATTATAGATAGTGGCCAAGAAAGATGCTATTAATATGTTGATTTTATTTGAGTGAGGAGCTACAGAAAAATATGTCCAAGCCAAAAATATATCTCTAAGAACAACATTAGGCAAAACAAAAAGAAGTGCAAACAGAGGTCTTGAGGTAAGAATGTTCCTGACTTTTTTTTTTTTTTTTTGTAAACAGCAAGAATGATAGTGTGTGAAGTTCTAGCCATAGCAATTAGGCAAGAGAAAGAAATAAAAGGCATCCAAAAAAAAACAGAGGAAGGTAAACTATCTCTCTTTGCAGATGATATGATTCTATACCTAGACAGTCCCATAATCTCTCCTCAAAGACTCCCAGATCTGATAAACATATTTAGCAAAGGATTAGAAGAAAAAAATCAATGTACAAAAATTAGTAGCATTTCTTTTTTTTTTTTTTTTTTGAGACAGAGTCTTACTCTGTCGCCCAGGCTGGAGTGCAGAGGCCTGATCTTGGCTCACTGCAACCTCCACCTCCCAGGTTCAAGCGATTCTCATTTCTATACACCAGTAATATCCAAGCTGAGGGCCAAATGAAGAATGCAATACCATTCACAATAGCCACAGAAAGAATGAAATACATAGGAATATAGCTAATCAGAGAAGTAAATGATCTCTACAATGAGAATTATAAAACATTGCTGAAAGAAATCAGAAATAACACAAACAAATGGGAAGAACATTCCATGCTCATGGATAAGAAGAACCAATATTTTTAAAATGGCCATACTACCCAAAGCAATTTACATATGCAATGCTAGTCCTGGCAAACTAACAGTGACATTTTTTTCACAGAATCAGAAAAAAAATTCTAAAATTCATATGGGACCAAAAAAGAGCCTAAATACCCAAAGCAATCCTAAGCATAAAGAACAAAGCCAGAGATATTACATTTCCTGACTTCAAACTATACAATGCTACAGTAACCAAAACAGCATGGTCCTGGTACCAAAACAGACATAGAGACCATCGAACAGAATAGAGAACACAGAAATAAGCCACACACTTAACAACCATATCATCTTTGACAAGGTCAACAATGAGGAAAGGACTCCCTATTTAATAAATCATTCTGAGATAAATGGCTGCCCATATGCAGAAGATTCAACCTGGACCCCTTCCTTTCACCATATGCAAAAATCAACTCAAGATGGATTAAATATTTAAATGTAAAACCTAAAACTATAAAACCCTGGAAGAAAACCTAGGAAATACCATCCTGAGCATTGGCTCTGGCAAAAATTTCATGAGGAAGACTCTAAAAGCAATTGCAACAAAAACAAAAATTGACAAGTGGGACCTAATTAAAATAAAGACCTTCTGCATGCCAAAAGAACCTATCCACAGAATAAACAGATAACCTATGGAATGGGAGGAAATACTAACAAACTATGCATCCAGTAAAGGTCTGATATTCAGAATACATAAGTAACTTAAAGAAATCCACAAGCAGAAACCAACCTCATTATGAAGTAGGAAAAGGACATGAACAGAAACTTATCAAAAAAAGACAAACGTAGCAAACAAGCACATGAAAAAATTCTCAGCAACGCTAACCATTAGAGAAATGCAAATCAAAATCACAGTTAGATACCATCTGACACAGGCTAGAATAGCTATTATAAAAGTAAAAAAATAACAAATAATGGAGAGGTTGCAGTAAAAAAGGAAGACTTAAACACTGCTGATTGGATTGCAAATTAGCTTAGCCACTGTAGAGAGCAGTTTGGAGAATTCTCAAAGAACTTAAAACTCAACTACTATTCAATCCAGCAATCCCATTACTGGGCTGTATTAGGGTTCTCTAGAAGGACAGAACTAATAGGATATATGTATAAATAAAGGGGAGTTTATTAAGTATTAACTCAGATGATCACAAGGTCCCACAGTAGGCCGTCTGTAAGCTGAGGAGGAAAAGCCAGTCCAAGTCCCAAAACTGAAAAACCTGGAGCCCAATGTTTGAGGGAAGGAAGCATCCAGCACGGGAGAAAGATGTAGGCTGGAAGGCTAGGCCAGTCTAGCCTTTTCATGTTTTTCAGCCTGCTTTATATCTGCTGACAGCTGATTAGATGGTTCCCACGTAAATTAAGGGTGGATCTGCCTTTCCCAGCCCACTAACTCGAATGTTAATCTCCTTTGGCAACACCCTCACGGACACACCCAGGATCAATACTTTGCATCCTTCAATCCAATCAAGTTGACACTCAATATTAACCATCACAAGTCCACCCCTTGTCAACTTGAAGCCACACACATCTCCTGAGATCATACATAATCTTCAAATAAAGACAATAATAAGGTCATAATTATACCTAACATAATACAGCTATCATTCATACAACCGGAAATGCACCAATCTCCAACCCAAATGGTATTACATAAAGTTAATAATAATTAAATGCTGATATGAAGTCAGTAAATCCTATGATACATGCTAAAGAAAAAAAGGAAATAAGACGAAGATATTTTCTTAGTATAAGTGTATGCTTGCACAAACATGTTTTTAACAAAAGAAGGAAGAAATACTCATGACAATTAGTCCTTGTTTCTGCAACTGGTCCCGTGATTGTAGCTGGTATTGATGACTACCTTCTTCTACTACCCATTCGGTATCCCGTTTGCCTTCAGTAAGCACCTAAGCAGGTCAGGTGTTTTTTGTTGTTGTTTGTTTGTTTGTTTGTTTTTCCTGGTGGAGTGAACCAAACCTTCATTCCTGAAGGGTCTGGGCCATTTGTATTCCTGCCTGGATTGGGCTGTTGTAGTTTCTCATTGACCTTACACAGGGCATGGTAATACTAAGAGACGCCCTAATGGATCTCCTGTATTCCATGCATACTCTTCCTTACCTCTGTTGTGGAGGAGTAGACTGAATTCATCTTGATAGTCCAGGTCAATCACCCCAGCCAACACTGTAACTCCCTTAGCCTGTTGACTTAAAGGTAGGAGGAGCCCAATGTGTCCAGGTGGCAGTCTTAACTTCCAGTTTAGTGGAATTGTTGTGTCTCCTGGTGGCAGCGTTCTTCCCTTTGGAACTAAGACCTCTAGGCAAGCAGAACATAATGTCGCAAGAACAGGAAGCAAAAATTTTGCTAGTGGATTACTAGGGGTGATGGTGAGTAGTGCCACTTCCACTTCCACCCCTTGATTCCTGGCCCCTTAATCCTGGCTATGGGAAAAACAGTACAATATATTGGACACTAATCCAGAGCATACATGGCCTTCTGGATAACTTTGCCCCAGCCCTGCAAAGTATTGTCACCTAGTTGGCATTGTAATTGTGACTTCAAAAGGCCATTCCACCGTTCTATCAATCCAGATGCTTCAGGATGATAGGGAACATGGTAAGACCAGTGAATTCCATGAGCATAAGTCCACTGCCGCACTCCTTTAGCCATAAGGTGAGTGCCTCAGTCAGAAGAATTGCTGAGTGGACTACCATGATGGTGGATAAGGCATTCCATGATTCCACAGATGGTAGTCCTGGCAGAAGCATTGTATCCAGGATAGGCAAACCCATATCCGGAGTAAGTGTCTATTCCAGTGAGAACAAACCTTTGCCCTTTCCATAATGAAAGAGGATAATCAACGTGCCACTAAGTAGCTGGCTGATCACCCCGAGGAATGATGCCATATCGAGGAGTCAGTATTGGTCTCTGCTGCTGGTGAATTGGGCACTCAGCAGTGACCATAGCCAGGTCAGCCTTGGTGAGTGGAAGTCCATGTTGCTGAGCCCATGAGTAGCCATCCCTGCCACCATGGCCACTTTTTTCACGGGCCCATTGGGTGATGACAGGCGTGGCTCGGAAAAGAGGCTGAATGGTGTCCACAGAATGGGTCATCCTATCCACTTGATTGTTAAAATCCTCCTCTGCTGAGGTCACCCATTGGTGAGCACTCACATGGGAATACAAATATCTTCACAATTTTTGACCACTCAGCAAGGTCCATCCACATACTTCTTCCCAAAATTTTTTTGTCACCAATTTTCCAATAATGCTTTTTCCAAGTCCCTGACCATCCAGCCAAACCATTGGCTACAGCCCATGAATCAGTATCGCATCCAGCCATTTCTTCTTCCATGCAAAGTTCACAATCAGGGGCACTGATCGAAGTTCTGCCATTATGAAAAGAGAATTATACAATGTATAAAATAGGTGAAATTAATATTCTTGGGGAGATTCAGTGACTATTACATTAAAAAACCAAATTGATATGAAAAAGTAAATAATTTCTTAAAAATTTAAAATGCAATTGTCAAAACTAAAAATAAGTCTTTAGATAAAATAAATATCAAAATTGATCACAGCTGAAGATGTAGTTAGTGATAGACTCCTAAGATTAATATTATTTCTTTTTTGTGTATTAGGTTTCAGAATGTAATTTGATCATATTTTTTATTTAAGATGTTCTACATAATATATATAAAATGAGTGACTTAAAAACTACTTTACTAAGGTATAAGTGACATGTAAAAAGCTATACAGATTTAATGTATACAATTCTGTGAGTTTAGGGATAAGTATACACTTGTGAAACCATCACAGTCATCAAAGCCATGAACACATCTACCTCCTCCCACAGACTGTACCTGTCTTGTACTTTTTTTTTTTTCAGTAAAAACACCATGTCGTAGTCTGTTTGTGCTGCTAAAGCAAAATACCTTAAACTTGGTAATTTATAAAGCATAGTCATTTATTGCTCACATTTCTGGAGCTAGGAAGTACAAGATCAAGATGCCAGCAAATTTGATGTATGGTGTCTGTTCCTATAGATTGTGCCTTCTCCATGTGTCTTCGCATGGTGGAAGGGGCAAAGGAAGCTCTCTTGTGTCTCTTTTATAGGGTTACTAATTCCATTCAAGAGGTCTCTACCCTCTTGACCTAATCACCTCCCAGATCCCCAACCTCCTAATAAAATTGCACTGGGGATTAGGTACCACCATATGAATTTTTGGCAAGCGTAATTTTTCTCACCATAGTATCTCATCCTTGGCCCCACAAAATTCATGCACTTCTCACACACAAAATACATTTATTGCATCCCAATATCCCCAGGAGTCTTATCTCATTTCAGCATCAATTCAGAATTGTAGTCCAGCATCTCATCTAAATATCCTCTAAATCACATATGGTTGAGACTCAAGGTACACTTGGTCTTGAAGCAAATTGCTCTCCAGCTATGACCCTGAGAAATCAAACAAGTTTTGTGCTTCCAAACTACAATGGTGTGGCAAGAACAGGACAAACATTCCCATTCCCATTCCCAAAGAAAGAAGTAGGAAGAAAGAAAGAGCTGGTCCCAAGTAATTCCAACACCCATCAGGGCAAACAACATTGAATATTAAGCTTTAAGAATAATCTTTATTTTTACAATGCCCCACCTTCCAGATACACTGGGCCAGAGATTGGGCCCCAAGGTTCTAGGTGGCCCTACCTCCATGAATTTGCTAGGTACGGCCCATGTTGAAGCTTTCACAGGTTGGAGTCATGTGACTGCACCTTTCCCAGGCTGGACTTGCAAGCTCTTGCAAGTTCTGGGATCTCAGAGGTGGCTTCACCCAATGGCTCTACTAAGCATTGCCCTTGTGTGGGATTTCTGCAGTGGCCCCTTGCCTATGGCAATCCTCTGCCTGGGCACTAGGGCATCTTTTGAAATCTAGATGAAGGTAGCCATTGTCCCACAGCTCCTTGCACTCTGTGAGCCTGCAAACGTGGTACTGCATGGATGCTATCAAACTTTACCACTTGTGCCCTTTAGAAGGGTGGCCTAAGCTGCACCTGGTCTGGCTTGTGCCACAGATGGGGCAGCCAAGTAGTGCTGCAACGGAATACAGGGAGAAGAGCCTTGAAATTGTTTTGCATCAAAAGCCCTGGCATTCTGAGACCATAATGGGCAGGGCAGCCCTAAATATGTCTGAAATGCCTTTGAGATCATTCTTCCATGTTCTTGATGAATAACGCCTGGCGTCTACTCATCCATACTAATCTCATGAACTGTCCACTTGGCGATAACCTTGGTGTTCTCTCCCAAGCACACATATTCATTCTTTACAACATGGCAAGAAAGAGAATTTTCCAGATCTTTGAGTTCTGATTTCCTTGTGATTACAAATTCCAACTTTAATTTTAATTCTTTCTCAGATTACACTGTTAGGAGTCAAGAGAAGCCAGGTCATACCCTTAACATTTTGATGATTTTTTCTGCCAAATATTCTATTTCATTGTCCAGGAGCTCTACCTTTCGCAAGACACTAGGACATGAACATAATTCGCCAAGTTATTTTCCACTTTATAAAAAGAATAGCTTTCCACCAGTTTCCAATAACATGACATTCATTTCCAACTGTGTCCTCATCAGAATATCCTTTACCATTGATATTTCTACCAACGTTAGATTCCTAACATCTTAGGTAATCTCTAAGAAGATTGAGGCTATCTCTGCAGACCTCCTCTTCTTCTTAGGCCTCATTGAAATTGCCCTTTATGGTTTGTTCAGGGCAATACAGGCTTTTGTCCAGCGTGCTCTTTAAAACTCTTCTACTGATTCTCCAATTTCAAAGCCCGTTCCATGTTTATAAGGTATTCCGATTATCCAATTTCAAAGCCCGTTCCACTTTTTTAAGGTATTTTATATAGCAGCAACCACTCCTGGTATGAATTTCTGTCTTTGTTTGGGCTTCTATATCAAAATACCTTAGTCTTGGTAATTTATAAACAATGGAAATTTATTTCTCACAGTTCTGAAGGTGGGAAAGTACAGGATCAAGGTGCCAGCAGATTCAATGTCTGGTGAAGGCCAGTTTGTCACAGATGATGACTTCCTGTAGAACATGACAGAAGAGGTGAAAAAGCTCCCTCTTGCCTCTTTTATAAGGACACTAATTCCATTCATGAGGGCTTTGCCTTCATGTTCTAAACACTTTCTAAAGGCTCTAACTCTTAATAATATTGCACTCAGAATTAGGTATCAGCATATAAATTTTGGTGGAACACAAACATTCAGACTGTAGCATATCATATTACAACATAATATGTTAACATAAAATCTACTCTCTTAGCAAATTTTAAGTATGTATTAAAGTATTTGTAGTTGTAGGCACTGGGGTGTATAGTCTATTTCCAGAACTTATTTATCTTGTGTAAGTGAAGCTTTATATGCTTTGCCATCCATATTTCCCCCTTTAGCCTGCTCTAGGTAACAACCATTCTACTTTTATGAGTTTGTCTATTTCAGCTCTCACATATGAGTGGAATCATACAGTATTTATCTTTACATGTTTGACTTATTTCACTTAGTACAATATACTTCAGGTTCATCTGTGTTGTAACAAATGGCAGGATTTATTTTCTTTTGTGAGGCCAAATTATATACCATTGTGTGTATTTATCACATTTTCCATATTCATTTGTCCATTGATAAAAATTTAGGTTATTTCCATATCTTGGTTATTGTGAACAATGCTTCAGCGAGTTCTGGAGTTCAGGTGTCTCTTCAATATCCTGCTTTCAATTCCTTTGGATAAATATGTATAAGTGGGATTTCTGGTGTTGTCAAAAAACACCACCAGGATGGCTAAATAGTAGAAAGAAGAGCTTCGTTGGTGATATCAGTTTATAAACTAGAAAGAAACAGCCTCTGGCATGTGACAAATGTGCTCTCTTTTAGAAGAGAGAAAAACAGGTTTGGTTTTATGCCTCACAGGGCCTGTATCACACAATTAGGTCATACAATTAAACAGGTTTTGGGGAAAAGCTATACATAATTATGAGGGGAGCTAATCGTATGCACAAAGGGCAAACATTTACATAACATACATCCTATGTTCATTTTGAAATAGGGTTTTATCATTAAAATGAGGTAGAAGTTGGTTCTTTATGTCAAAAGGTGAACTATAGGACACAAAGACAGTTTGTGCACAGCCTCTATAAGCTGACTGAAAGTGTCTTAAAGTCTGTAATTGCTTATCAAGAAAGAATGTTTGTAAGACTGGCCCTCTGTCCAATCAGTTGCAGGGGTCTGGAATGTAAATCAGAGTTAAGAGAGGTCTGAAAATTTGACTGATAGCTACTATTAGGGAGTTTAACCAAAGTGTGTTTTTTTTCTTGTGTCCTGAACCCTCAACCCATAGATACCTTTGTTTCCTTAATTTTAGAGTCCATCTTGTCTAATATAAGGGATCAAATTAGATAGTAAACTATTTTGTACTGTTTTGAGGAACCTCCATGCTGTTTACTGTCAAGGCTGTACCAAATTACATTCCCACCAACAGTGTGTAAGGGAATTTTTTTTTCTCCATATCCAAACTAACACTGTTATATTTTGTTGTTGTTTTTTAAATAGCCATCCTGACAGGTGAGACATAATATCTCATTGTGGTTTTTATTGCATTTCCTGGATGATTCGTGATATTGAGCACCTTTTCATATGTCTGTTGGCTATCTGTATGTTTCATTTAAATAAATGCTCATTAAATTCCATTGCCCACCTTTTGATCAGGTTATTAGTTATTTTGCTATTTAATTGTAGGGGTTTCTTATATATTTTGGATATTAACCTCTCATCAGATACATGGTTTTCAAATATTTTCTCTCATTTTGTAGGTCGCCAGCATCAGGACCTCCTGAAGCTGGGTCATGGGTGCATGTCCTCCACCTTGGCCAAATAACTTTCTAAATTAACTGAGACCTGTCTCAGATTTTTTGGGGTTTACACAGTCATGATGTCTCTTCATTTATAAATTTATTCGATTTTTTACTGTTTTTTTTTCTTAATCTACCTAAAGGTCTGTCAATTTTGTTCCTCTTCTCAAAAAACCAAATCTTAGTTTCATTAATCCTTTTGACTGTTTTTTCTAGTCTCTATTTTACTTATTTTAGCTCTGATGATTCTTTCTTTCTTCTGAATTTGGGCTTAGTTTGTTCTTCTTTTTCTATACCTTGAGATATAGTGTTAGGTTCTTTGAGATCTTTCTTTTTTTTTTTTTGATGTAGGTATTTATTGTCATAAACATCCATGTTAAGATGATGTCTGCTGCATCCCATAAATTTTGTTATGTTGTGCATACATTTTTATCCGTCTTAAGATATTTTTTAATTTTCCTCTTAATTCATCCCATGACTCATTGTTTGTTCAGGATCATGTTGTTTAATTCTATGTCTTTATCATTTTTCTAAAATTCTTCCTGTTACTGATTTCAAATTTTATACCATTGTGACCAGAAATTGTATTCAATATCATTTCATTTGTCCTAAGTTTGTTCAGACCATTTTGGGGGCTTGACACATGATCAGTCCTGAAGAAGGTTCCTTGTGCACTTGAGTAGAATGCGTATTCTGTTTCTGTTGGATGTAATGTCCTGCGTATGTCTGTTAAGTCCATTTTGTCTAAAGTGTTATTTAAGTCCATTGTTTCCTTACTGATTTTCTGTCTGCATGATCTGTCCATTGCTGAAAGTGAAGTGTTCAAGTCTCTTACTATTATTCTATTATAGTCTATCTCTCCCTTCAAATCTATTAATATTTGTTTACAAATTTAGATGCCCCAATGTTTGGTGTACATTTACTTATAATTGTTATATCAGCTAGCAGTGTATGTCAGGTAGTTGAGAGATCTGCAGGTGAGACATTCCATAAGGCTTATTAGTGGGACTCTTGGTAAACTGTGTGAGCTAGCCAGTAGCATCTGCATCTGTTTATTGAGATGTGGACACAAGATGCTGTGAGCACCCTCCCCTTTCTCTATACCTGACTGCTCCAAAATGATTCAATTTTGCTAATTTCCTCACTGTGGTGGGTGGAATGAGATGGAAGTGAGTTTCCTGGGCAGTATCTTGCAAGGCTGGGGAAGCCAGGTGCTCATTTGTCTCTCACTTTTCTCCATGGTAGAAATTACAGGCTGAAGGGCTCTTTCTTGGCTCTGAGCTATGCTCTTTTGGAGGAGGGGTTATACAGGTAAAGTGAAACTGTTTTACTTGCCTTCTTCTTGAATTTTTTGCTCCATTGATGCTAGAACGTCTCCACTGGACTCCCAGGCTCACATAAAGGTATTCTAGTCCTTGAGTATTTGTTTAAATTTGTGTTTCTGTTAGGGGTTTAAGGGCTAAACACTTCTAATCTGCCATCCTGCTGATGTCATTCTCCTAGATTAATATCATTCTGAACTCAGTGTCAAAAAACAAGGATTTAAAATATAAGAAAAGAATTACTAGACAGAGGAGACACATGAAGAAGTTCTAAAGTATGTGAAAGCAGAGTTTTCAAAATACACAATTGAAAGAATGAGAAGGAGAAAAAAATTTCAGAGCTGAAAAAAATTGTGTTTAAAAGACTATTAGTTATTAAGCTTTTTAAAGTTCACACCAAAGCACAAACATTCGCAAAGAATACCTAGGTACGTGTGAGTAAAATTTTAGAATCCCAAGAATGCAGGGTTGAAGAGATAGAAAACAAGCAACTTGCAAAAGAGCCTCTTTCTGATAATTTATCGTCTCATTCTCTTTCCAGCTACTCTGGGGTTTTGTGCTCACTGCTTGGAATTATTTAACAGTGTCTCCTCATATGGCTGGTTCATTCTCATTTTCAGGTTTCAGAGTAAATGTCACTTTCTCAGAGAGGCTTTCTTCTAACCTTCCTCACTAAATAGGCTGTCTATTCTCTATTTAAAAACTATTTTTAAAAAGCTATTTAGTTCCTTCTAGTACTTACCAAAATTAAAATTATTTCATTTTGTCTACTTATTTTTCTGTCTCTTGCAGTAGAATATATGTTCCATAGGGAGAAGGTATAACGATCATGTATGTAGTATTTTTCCTACCACAGAGCAAGTGTTCTGTTTATATTTGTGGAATGGGCAGAAGAAGAATAATCAGATGGATGCCAGACTTTTCTTTGACTACAATGAATGCTGCATTTCATTGAACAATGTCTTTCTCTCATTTGTTCAACAAATATTTAGAGAGTTCCTACTGTATTCCAGGTACTGTACTTGGCACTGGTAATATAAAATATGCTCTGTGTGCTTTGTCTTCTGCCATGAAAGTCAATGATATTGCACTTTACTGCAGGGAATTCTCTAACTGCTTGGGCCTAAGTCACATCTACTCTGACTGAATATTTTAGTCAGCGTTTACCTTCATGGGGTCTTTAACTTCTTTGTAGTTACAAATGTGTGTGTGTGTGTGTGTGTGTGTGTGTGTGTGTGTGTGTGTGTTATCATTTATTTAATTTTTTCCAATTCATACCTGAGATAAAATTGCTTAAAGTTTTTAAAGAAACATGAGAGCCTGAAAAAAATATTACACTACAAATAAGCTTTATTGAATCTTCTTGGTTTGTATTCTCATGCGTGTAACTGAGACCATCTGGAAAAATCATGCTATTCTGTGGAGTTCTGCATAATTCCAAGGTCATTAAATCCAAGTCATTTCACCATGCAGGCATCACAATACAAAAGTAATCAGTAATCATCCAAAGCACTGGCATTCTTAATCAAGCTTTGGCTTTGAACTGCTTGTGACTTACTTTTGATCCTACTTTCTTCTTACTTCATGATTTTTCTATCACATATTACCAGTTATCAGAAAGGAATCCTGATCAAGTGAAAGGGTTCTTGGATCTCATACAAGGAAGAATTTGTAGTGAGCATGCAAAGTAAAGTGAATGCAAGTCTATTAGAGAAGTAAATAAACAAAAGAATGGCTACTCTATTGACAGAACAGAGCATTCCTGAAAGCACGAGGGTGAATGCATCCACCATAGGTGCACTGCTTGTTTTTATATGAGATAAAGCAAAAAATAACCATGGGGCAGGTGTGCTCTACTTCAAGGGCTTGTGACAAAAGATGGTTCATCTTTGTGTAACCACTGACTTTGACAATAATCTATATTATTATATATATTTTTTGGAGAGAGGGCCTCCTCTGTTGCCCAGGCTGGAGTGTAGTAGTGCCATCAGGGCTCCTGCAGCCTCAACCTCCCCGGGCTCAGATGATCTTCCCACTTCAGCCTCCCGAGTAGCTGGGACTAGAGCTACATAGCAGCATGCCCAGCTAATTTTTGTAATTTTTATAGAAATAGGATTTTGCCATGTTGCCCAGCCTGGTCTCAAACTCTTGTGATCAAAAGATCTGCCCACCTTGGCCTCCCAAAGTGCTGGGATTACAGGCATGTGCCACCATACCAACTATATTATCTTTAAAGCAAAACTTTTTCTTGAACAAAGAATGCTTTTGTCCTTAGGATATCAAGACATCAGGACATTTTCTGGTCTGTTAACTCTGAAGTCTGTTCAGTAAACATTATTAGTCTGTTCCCTTAACCATAAACATCTTGTGACTAAGGATGACTAACTTCCTGGGAATGTAGCTCAGTAGGTCTTAGCCTCATTTTACTCAGCTCTGTTCAAGATGGAGTCACTCTGCTTCAAATGTCTCTTACATATATAATCATTTGGCCTCCTTCTGCAACCTCATGCCTCCCTATATCAGGCATATTTATTACTGTGTTTCTGGTCATAACCTCCTATTACTTCTTTACAGTATTCTCTCTCTCTGGATCTGTGACCTTTGACTTTTTTGAAAACATCATGTCTGATCTTTCCTTTACTGTATACAGGCCTCTGTGTATATTTGGTGTTCAGAGAGTTGGCCCCAGTCATATGAGTATAAAGCAGATATATTTCAAACATTTATTAAATAATGGAAATCCTTTTAAATTGGAAAGCCCAGTATTTTGGTAAGGGGGTAGTTTGAGGATGAAGGACAATTTACTGGCACCCTTCTTGACTTACCCTTTGGGTGGTATCTAGTTGTGGAAACCTGGTCTAGCCAGCTGGCCCAGGGAAATATTCTCTAGTGTAGTTGTATTAGTCTGTTCTTGCATTGCTATAAATAACTACCTGAGACTGGGTAATTTATAAAGAAAAGAGATTTAATTGGCTCACAGTTCCACAGAATCTACAAGAAGCGGGGCTAGGGAGGACTCAGGAAACTTAAAATCATAGTTGAAGGTGAAAAGAAAAGAGGGTTGTCTTACATGGCTGGAACAGGAGGAAGAGAAAGGGAGGGAGGGTGGTGCTACACACTTTTAAACAACCAGATTTCATGAGAATTTTATCACGAGACAGCACTAGAGTGATGATGCTAAACCATTAGAAACCACCTTCACAATCCAATCACCTCCCACCAGGCCCCTCCTCCAAAATTGGGGATTACAATTTGACATGAGATTTGGGAGGGGACAGAGACAAATCACATCATTCTGGTCCTGACCCATTCAAAATCTCAGGTCCTTCTCACATTTTAAAATACAATCATGCCTTCCCAACAGTCCCCCAAAGCCTTAACTCATTCCAGCATTAACTCAGAAGTCCAAGTCTAAAGTCTCATCTGAGACAAGGCAAGTCTCTTCTGCCTATGAGCCTGTAAAATCAAAAGCAAGTTAGTTACTTTAAAGATACAATGGAGGTACAGGCATTGGATAAATACACCCATTCCAAGAGGGATAAATTAGCCAAAACAAAGGAGTTCCAGGCCCATGCAATTAAAAAACCCAGCAGGCAGTCATTAAATCTTAAAGCTCCAAAATAATGGCCTTTGACTCCATGTCTTACATCCAGACCACACTAATGCAAGGGGTGGGCTCCCAAGGCCTTGAGAAGCTCCACCCCTATGGCTCTGCAGGGCTGCAGGGCTGCAGGGCTCTGCAATAGCTGGTTTTACAGGCTGGTGTTGAGTGTCTGTGGCCTTTGCAGGCACAGGGTGCAAGCTGTTGGTGGATCTACCATTCGGGGGTCTGGAGAATGGTGGGCCTCTTCTCGCAACTCCACTAGGCAGTACCCTGGTGGTGACTTTGTCTGAGGGCTGTGAACCCACATTTTCCCTCCACACTGCCCTAGTAGAAGTCCTCCATGAGGGCTCTGCCCCTGCAACAGACTTCTGCCTGGGCATCCAGATGTTTCCATACATCTTCTGAAATGTAAGTGGAGGCTCCCAAGCTTCATCTCTTGCCTTCTGCACACCAACAGGCCCAACACCACATAGAAACCACCAAGTCTTGGGGCTTGCACCATCTGAAGCAATGGCCCAAGTTGTACCTTGACCCCTTTTAGCCAGGGCTGGAGCTGGAGTGGCTGGTACACAGGACATTATGTCCCAAGGCTGCACAGAGCAGCAGGGTCCTGGGCCTGGCCCATGAAACCATTTTTTCCTCCTAGGCCTCCAGGGCTGTGATGGGAGGGGCTGCCACGAAGGTCTCTGAAATGTCCTGGAGGCATTTTCCCCATTGTCTTGGCTATTAACATTTGGCTTCTCTTTACTTATGCAAATTTCTGCAGACTTCTTGAATTCCTCCCAGAAAAAAGGGGTTTTTCTTTTTTACCACATGGTCAGGCTGAAAAAATTTTAAAATTGTATCCTCTGCTTCCCTTTTCAGTATAAGTGTTCCATTTTCAGATATTCTCTTTGCACACACATATGAGCATATGCTGTTAGAAGAAGCCAGGTCACACATCTTGAATGCTTTGCTGCTTAGAGATTTCTTCTGTCAGATACCCTAAATAATCTCTCTCAAGTTCAAGCTTCCACAGATCTCTAAAGCAAGAGCACAATACTGCCAGTCTCTTTGCTAAAGAATAGCAAGAGTAACCTTAACTCCGGTTCCCAACAAGTTTCTCATCTCCATCTGAGACCACCTCAGCCTGGACTTCATTTTTCATATTACTATCAGCATTTTGGTTAAAGCCATTCAACAAGTCTTTAGGAAGTTCGAGATTTTCCCACATCTTTCTATCTACTGAGCCCTCCAAGTCTCTAGGAAGTTCCAAACTTTTTCTCATCTTCCTGTCTTCTTCTGAGCCCTCCAAACTGTTCCAACCTCTTCCTGTTACCCAGTTCCAAAGTAACTTCCTCACTTTCAGGTTATCTTTATAGCAGTGTTCCACTCCCAGTACCAATTTTATATATTAGTCTGTTCTCACATTCCTGTAAAGAACTACCTGAGACTGGGTAATTTAGAAATGAAAGAGGTTTAATGGACGCATGTTTCCATAGGCTGTACAGGAAGCATGACTGGGGTGGCCTCAGGAAACTTACAATCATGGTAGAAGGTAAAGAAGAAGGAGGCACATCTTACATGGCCAGAACAGAAGGAAAAGAAAGAGGGGGAAATGCTACACACTTTTAAACAACTGCATCTCTTGAGAACTCTATCATGAGACAGTACTAGGGTGATGATGCTAAACCATTAGAAACCACCTCTGAGTTCCAGTCACCTCCCATGAGGACCCTCTTCCAAAATTGAGAATTATATTTCAACATGAGATTTTGGTGGGGACACAGAGCCAAACCATATCAGTAGTATATAAACACAATCTTTCACTGCCTCGGGAAAAGGCTTGATTTTGATTTTCACTAAGAAACAATAAGGCTACAAATCATAACGATAAGGCTACAGATCATGGCAGCAGGCTTTGACAGGTCAAGACCTCAGTAGCACAAACTGCTATCACATGAGTCTCACCTTGAATTGAAACTCAAAATAAAAACTATTTCTCATTTTTACTCTTCATTCAAGATGCTCCCTTTTACAGCTGACCATTCTTATTTCTGAATATTGAACTTTTGAGTTATCTTTGGCTTTTCTCTCAACTTTCTCCTTCCCACACTCCATTAATCATAGCACATTAAGTTATGTCAGTTATTTATAGGATGTGTGTTGGAACATGTACTCTGTCTTATGCTCTTGCCACTTCTCTAGCCTCAGCCCTCTTCACACTAGTTTTTTTCTGCTTCATGGCTCTGCTCATTCTACCTGGAACTTTTTTGTCCTATTAATTATATGTATACATTTTTTTTCATTTAAGCATCCCCTACCCTAGGCAAGAATACAGAGGCTTCTTTATGTTTTATTCCAAGTTTTAATTCAATCTGGCATTAAAGGATTTCTCTCAACTGAATCTATCTTACTTGCATTTTATCCCATTATAATAACATAATATGGAGTTCAAGCATCAAATGGCCTGGGTTAAAATAACAGCTCCGCTATTTATTAGCTGTGTGAAATTGGGACATTTATGGAACTTGCAAATGCTTTGGTTTCCTTGTTTGAAAAATTAGTATGAAAATATAGTGTAACACTATTTTGAAGAATAAATTAGATGATACCTGAAAAGCATCCCAAACAGTGTATAATACATGGTAAATTTTTAATAGATGATAATGATGGTGATACCGTTTAGGTTACTCTTGTTCAGATAGCTATGCTTTTATATTCATTACTTTTTTTTTGACTTGTCATTTTAGTTTTTTAAAAAATTATCTACTTTGCCATTGGTTTTCAAGGAAAAGAATATTGCCCCGTTTCAGCTATATCCCTCAGCAGGCTCAGATGCCTTTGGCACTCCTGGAGGGTAGTTTTAGCAATAAATAGCTGCCACACTAGTATTTGTCACTCTAACCTTTCTGGTTAATAAAATTGTTATATTAGATCATTGTTTGTTGGCGGTCCCTAACATACCAGTTCATAGAGAAAGCTATTTACTGACATGGAATACACTTAATAATAATTGATACTGATTGGATCATCAAATAAACTGAACGAGACAAAGAAATGGTATTGCAACATAAGAATGTCCCTGAAGATCATTGTTGGGATACTCATTGAACATGATTATCTAAACAGTATCTTTCAAAATATAGCTGTGAGGGAAACCAGTCATAGCACATTAAAGATTATGGCTTAGTTTGATGAATGCTCAAAAATTCAACATGGTGTTCTGAAATGAGAATTGAACTTGAATCAGATGGTTTATCCCTGGCTTTGTTATTAAGATGTCAGGATTGGCAAATCCTCTCCGTCTCTGATCTTCAGTTTCCTCAGTTATAAAATATTGAAGTTGTACTAGAATATACCAAAGAATTTTACCATCCCTAATATTTACTTCTCCAGGTTTGGGGAAACACCTTAATTTAGGCTACATATTTTACTTCCAATAAGGAATATTTGATATAAAGGGAGAGTGGCATTAAGTAAAGACAAGATGTTTGGATTGATTTTCAATTAGGCTTAGGCTTTATAATTGCTTTTATGGTCACAAATAGGAAATGGGTCAAATACGATATACAACATTAATACTAACCACATAATATCTATATAGAAATTCTAGGCCCATAACTTCTTTTATTTATATTTTTCAATCAAAAATACTTATTAAGCACATGCATCACATTAGATATTGCACTGCATGCTGGGATAACAAGAAAAACACCATTCTTCAGAGAATTAAAATCCATTAAGAGACAAAAATAAAGCAAAACATATAATTAGAAATTCAATGAGTACAGTAAGCAGAGTCTGTGGTGCCAAACCCTTTCATATATATATATATATATATTCCCTCATTTGATCTTCTTAAAACCCTTATAAGTTATGAGTTACCTTTCATGTTAACCAATGAAGATACAGTATCTCTGTCTATAGTTTTGGCTGGTTTTAGCCTATAGAAATAGCTCTATGTGAAATGTTTTTGACTTGGCCCAAGAGAATTAAGAAAGTTTTCAGAATAATGGAAAATATTGGGAAAAGTTTCAGTTCAGTATTTAGATACACAATTATTTAGCAGATCACTTGCCTTTAAAAGTACACATCTCCATTCCTTGGATGAAAACATTCAGCGTGGTAGGCTCTTAATCAATTATTGAAATCCTATCTGCTATGGTTTGAACATTTACGTGCCTTTCAAAGTTTATGTTGGAAGTTAATTCCCAATGCAACAATATGAAGTTATCCGGTCTTCAGAAGGTGACTGGGTCATGAGGGCTTCACTCTCATGAATGAATTAGTGCTCTTATAAAAGGCCTAGTGGGGGCAGGTGCGGTGGCTCACACATGTAATCCCAGCACTTTGGGAGGCTTAGGTGGGTGGATCACTTGAGGTCAGGAGTTCGAGGCCAGCCTGGCCAACATGATGAAACCCTGTCTTTACTAAAAATGCAAAAATTAGCCAGGTGTGGTGGCACACGCCTGTAGTCTCAGCTACTCAGGAGGCCGAGGTAGAAGAATCACTTGAACCCGGGAGGCAGAGGTTGCAGTGAGCCAAGATCATGCCACTGCACTCCCACCTGGGTGACAGAGTGAGACTGTGTCTCAACAACAACAACAAAAAAGGCCTGGGGGAAAATAGCTAGGTCCCTTTTGCCTTCTTGCCTTCAGCCATGTGAGGATGCAATAAGGCACCATCTTGGAGCAGAGAGCAGCACTCACCAGACACCAAATCTGCTGGCACTTAGACCTTTGACTTCCTAGTCACTAGAACTGTAATAAGTTTCTGCTGTTTATAAACTACCTACTCACAGGTATTTTGTTATAACAGCACCAGTGGACTAAGACATTACCCATATTTCTGAACACAAGTCAAATGTCACATCTGAAAAAATATCCTTGAGCAGTGGTTTGTAGTCCTCCTTGAAGAAGTCCTTCACTTCCCTTGTTAGATGTATTCCTAAGAATTTTATTCTTTCAGTAGCAATTTGCAATGAGAGTTAATTCATGATTTGGCTCTCTGCTTCCCTGTGGTTGGTGTGTAAGAATGCTAGCAGTTTTTGCACATTGACTTTGTATCCAGAGACTTTGCTGAAGTTGCTTATCAGCTTAAGAAGCTTTTGTGCTGACTTTATATCTTTCTCTTGCCTGATTGCCCTGGCCAGAACTACCAATACTATATTGAATAGGAGTGGTGAGAGAGGGCATCCTTGTCTTGTGCTGGTTTTCAAGGGGAATGCTTCCAGCTTTTGCTCATTCAGTATGGTATTGGCTGTGGGTTTGTCATAGATGTCTCTTATTATTGTGAGTTTTGTTCCTTTAGTACCTAGTTTATTGAGAGTGTTTAAAATGAAGAATGTTCAATTTTATCACAAGTCTTTTCTGCATCTCTTGAGATAATCATGTGGTTTTTGTCTTTAGTTCTGTTTATGTGATTAATCACATTTATTGATTTGCATATGTTGAACCAGCCTTAAAACCCAGGAATGAAATCAGCTTGATCATGGTGGGTAAGCTTTTTGATGTGCTGCTGGATTCAGTTTGCTAGTATTTTATTGAGGATTTCGCCATCAATGTTTTCGAAGATACTTGACTGAAGGTTTCTGTTTTTGTTGTATCTCTGCCAGGTTTTGGTATCAGGATGATGCTGGCCTCATATAATAAGTTAGGGAGGAGTCCTTCCTTTTCAATTGTTTGGAATAGTTTCAGTTGAAATGGTACCAGCTCTTCTTTGTACATCTGGCAGAATTCAGCTGTGAATCCATGTAGTCCCGGGCTTTTTTTTTTTTTTGGTTGGTAGGTGTATTAGTCCGTTCGCATGCTGCTATGAAGAAATAACCTGAGTCTGAGTTAATTATAAAAGAGGTTTAATTGACTCACAGTTCTTCATTGCTGGGGAGGCCTCAGGAAACTTACAATCATAGTGGAAGGCAAAGAAGAAGCAGGCACCTTCTACACAGAGCAGCAGGATGGAGTGAGTGCAAACAGGGGAAATACTAGATGCTTATAAAATCGTCAGATCTCATGAGACTCGCTCATTCTCATGAGAACAGCATGGTGGAAACTGCCCCCATGATACAATTACCTCCACCTGGTCCTCCCTTTGACACACAGGGATTATGCGGATTACAATTCAAGGTGAGATTTGGGTGGGGGCACAGAGCCAAACCATATAATTCCTCCCCGGCCCCTCCCAAATCTCATGTTCTCACATTTCAAAACCAATCATGCCTTCCCAACAGTTCCTCAATGTCTTAACCCATTTCAGCATTAACCCAAAAGTCCACAGTTTAAAGTCTCATCTGAGACAAGGCAAGTCCCTTTCTTACAGCGTATACAAAAATTAACTCAAGATTGATTAAAAATTTACATGTAAAAACCAAAGCTATAAAAACCCCAAAGAAATTCTAGGCAATACCATTCAGGACATAGGCACAAGGAAATATTTCATGCCAAGAACACCAAAAGCAATTGCAACAAAAGCAAAAATTGACAAATAGGATCTAATTAAAGTAAAGAGCTTCTGCAAAGCAAAACGAATTATTATTACGGCAAACAGACAACCTAGAGAACGGGAGAAAATGTTTGCAAGCTATCCATCTGACAAGGATCTAATCTCCAGAGTCTGCAGTGAACTTAAAGAGTTTACAAAAGAAAAACAAACCTTATTTAAAAGTGGAGGAGCTGCATGAAGAGACACTTCTCAAAAAAAGACATACATGTAGCCTACAAACATATGAAAAAAAGCTCAACATCAATGATCATTAGAGAAACGCAACTCAAAACCACAGTGAGATACCATCTCATGCCAGTCAGAATGGCTATCATTAAAAAGTCAAAGAACAACAGATACTGGCGAGGTTGTGGAGAAAAAGAAGTGCTTTTACACTGTTGGTGGGAGTGTAAATTATTTCAACTTTTGTGGAAGACGGAGTTGTGATTCTTCAAGGGCCCAGAGACAGAAATACCATTTGACCTAGAAGTCCCATTACTGGGTATATACCCAAAGGAATATAAATCATTCTATTCTAAAGATCCATGCACATATATGTTCATTGCAGCACTATTCACAATGGCAAAGATGTAGAATCAATCCAAATGCCTATCGATGATAGACTGGATAAAAAAAAATATGGTACATATACACTATGTAACACTATTATGCGGGAACAGACAAACACACACCACATTTTCTCACTTATAAGGGGGAGCTGAATTATGAGAACACATTGACATATGGGTGGGGGGAACAACAGACACCGGGTCTTGTCAATGGGGGAGAGGAGGGAGAGCATCAGGAAGAAGAGCTAATGGATTCTGGGCTTAATATCTAGGTGATGGGTTGATCTGTGTAGCAAACCACCAAGGCACATGTTGACCTATGTAACAAACCTGCACTTCCTGCACCTGTACCACTGAACTTAAAATAAAAGTTAGGGGGAAAAAAAGAGAAAATATTCCTATAGTCAGAACAAATAATTGTTTTCTCTATCCTTCTACAGAACATTGTATGCTAATTATAACACTTACTGCATTCTACTTTATGTCATCCTTGTTTATATCCCATGGGCTCCACTTCTAGTCAGCAGTTCCTTGAGGGAATGGACTAAGCTTTACGCCTTCCGAGATCCCTCAAAGTGTTTGGTAAATAGTGAATGCTCAATAAACTATATGTTGAATAAAGAATAAATAGTTGCTCCTATGTGGTCCAGGCCCTCTTAGGAATTTTCATATTGTTTTTTGAATATTGCTTTTTCCTCTCACCCTTATCTACTTTTAGCTTTTGATTCTTAAAAAAGAAGAAAAAAAAAGTAGATCAGGTTAGAATTTAGCTGGGAAAGCAGTCAGGTAATATTATTTTGATGTTTAAATATAAAGGAAAGGACCTAAACCAAGGAGCAGGTAAGACCAGCATCCCTGGGGATTCTGAGGCCCTGCTACAGGAGGGAGACAACACGGGGCTTCTTTCTCATGTATATCTGATCTGAGGATTGGAGAGACTATAGATAATAAAGCAATATAACACTGGGAATTATGACTCAGGTACTCAGATATTCAGCCAAGTTGCCGACATTTGTTAAAAAGGAAATAGATGGAAACAGGGCATAGAGGCTTGTGCTTGCTTTAATTATGTAAAAAGGTATTATTTTTCTTTTTAACAGCCAAGATACTGCATTCAAATATGTGACCTTGCAAGGAAAAAGTGGACCACTTTTTACTTCATTTCTTTTTCTTTTTTCTGAACTTATGCAGATATACTTTTTGAGGGTGAGGAGTCAGGTGGCAGATGGTAAGGTGGAGCAGAGCAATATGGCATAGTAAGAAAGAAGATGAAAAGCCAAACATCCTAGATTTTGGAGCCAGAAAACTGACCACTTTTACCTAACTGGACAGAAACATACCTTTAGAAAATAAGCTGAGTCAGTGGCAAAGCTTTATGCCAACAATAATTAATATTAGCCCTAACGAAGGGTGTTGACATGTGAGCACACCCAGGACTATAATATTCTGCATAATATTTTCTTGGAGACATTCTGTATACAGTGGGCACTTGTCCTAAAGCCTGATTTGGATTATAGACTTGTATGCCAGATCCAATAATAAGATGAATGATTAACACTGAAACTTGATCTCTGAGTTTCTTATTAAATACATTGGTATAGAAACCTCACAAGTAGCTTCCCAAAGAGCTTCTTTCTAAATTAAATACATAACTTTGATCTTTTCATTTAAGTCAATTGGATAGTCAATTAAAAGTAATTTTATCTATATGCATGATTACTATTTCTATGAAAGTAATGATAATTTGAATTATATTGAGTCATAATTTAACCTCAAAGTAAGGCTTTGAACTTTCTAGAGAAATTTCTAATTCAAAATTTCCACATTAAGGCTAATTATATATAATTTCATAGAAATTGTTTTAATTTAACTTGTGCGTATACTTTCAGCACCTTCTAAACTCCTTCAAATATATTTTAAAAAATAATTTAGAGAATCTGAAGCAAGTTTCACAAATTACAGTCAGCCAGATGTCTCTATTCAGTGTGGAAAGCAAGCATTCAGGCTGGCACTTCTACTTTCTGAGTTTTAGCTTCAGAGCTATTGCACTGGACTTCAGTGTCCTTTCTTGCTCCCAGGTCCATTTTTACTATCTTAATTCCTTATAAATTTATTTTTATTGATACATAATATTTTACATATGCATGGGGTACATGTGATATTTTGTTACATGTATAGACTGCTTAATAATCAAATCAAGGTATTGGGGGTGTTGATCACCTCGAGTATTTATCATTTCTGTGTGTTAGGTACATCTCATGTCTTCTCTTCTGGCTATTTTCAAATATATAATAAATTGTTGTTAACTAAAGTCATTCTACTGTGCTAAAGACACTGGAACTTATTCCTTCTCTCTAACTGTATGTTAGCACCCATTGACCAACCTCTACTTTTCCTCCCTCCCACCCACATCCCCTTCCCAATCCCTGGCATCTATCATTCTACTCTCTACCTTTATGAGATCACTTTTTTTTTTTTTTAGCACCCACATGCAAGTGAGATCATGTGACATTTGCATTTCTGGGTCTGGCTTATTTCACTGCCTTAATTCTTGTCATGGGTTGAATCATTTCCCTGCCAAAGATGTTGTACTCCTAATTTCCAATACCTGTAAATGTGAACTTATTTGGAAATAGGGTCTTTGCAAATGTAATCTAGTTAAACAAGGTCTTCAGTGTGGGCCCTAATACGGTAAGACTGTGTTCTCATAAAAAGGGATATTTTGGATTGGGCGAGGTGGCTCACGTCTGTAATCACAGCACTTGGGGAATTCAAGGCAGGTAGATCACAAGGTCAGGAGATCGATACCAGCCTGGCCAACACGGTGAAACCCCATCTCTACTAAAAATACAAAAATATTAGCTGGGCGTGGTGGTATGCGCCTGTAGTCTCAGCTACTCCCAGCTACTCAGGAGGCTGAGTCAGGACAGTCGCTTGAACCCGGGAGGCGGAGGTTGTGGTGAGCCGAGATCGCGCCACTGCACTCCATCCTGGGCGACAGAGCAAGACACCATCTCAAAAAAAAAAAAATAGGATATTTGGACAGGGATAGACATGTACAGAGGGAAGACAATGTGAAGACACAGGGAGAAGACAGCCATCTACAAGTCAAGGAGAGAGGCTTGGAATGCATCCTTTCCTCACAGCCTTCCAATGAACCAACCCTGATGACACCTCCATTTTAGACTTCTAGACTCCAGAACTGAAATATTTTTTGTTGTTTAAGTCAGGCAGTTTGTGATACTTTGTTAAGATAGCATGAGGAAACTGCTATAATTGTAATTTAATTTCCCTAGGAAAAACATGAAAAGAGTGGGGGCATATGCCTTCTATAGCCAAAGTGCTCTTAAATGAGCCCTGAGCTAGCTTGGATAAGTCATCCTGCCTTTTAACAAATTGGAACCTGCTTTAGAATACACACAGAAACATATATTTGAATACACACACACATATATATATTCATACATTTATTAATTTATATATTATATTTCTTTCATCACAACCTAATGTCATATGCTATTCATTATTTCTTTGCTTTTGACTATGAGGTACATATTACATTACTGTAACCTACAGGTGAAGATCTCAGTGATCAGAGAAATTTTGTCACATGTCTAAGATTACAAAGAAAACAGGTGAGAGAGTTATAATCTGACCTTCATTTAGTCTGACTCCACTGTCCAGAGCCTTAATTACTAAGTTACATTAGCTTGAAAAGGAAGAGGGAGAAGAAAGCCATATATGATTCTACATAAGAAATGTGACTACAGGATATAATAAAAGTATTGTTTGTGGAAAATTATTGAAGAAAAACACAATTGAGTTGGACTAGAACATAGTGTAGAGTAGAAGGTAATATATGATGGGAATAGAAGATTAGGCTAGATCTATATTGTGGACGCCCTTGAATGTGAAACTGAGAACTTAAAAACAAACTTATGGATAGTATTAATCAACTTTGTTTTCACATCTCTTATTTCTGTATTTCTCAGTGAAACATCTGTAAGAAACCCCATTGCTTTTGACATTTGCAACAAAATATCACAGTCAACTAAATCCTAGCCCATTCCAACACTGGATACTCACCTGTCTTACATATTGTGTTTGAGAATGACATGAAACTAAATAATCCAGCAGAGTTAAAAAGCTGTGTACAGGCAGGGAGTGAACCCAAGGCAGTTTCTAGGATCTCTCACTGTGTCTTTTAAGCTAAACTCTAGTTAATCCCAGAATGCAACACGTCCCAAAGTCTAAAGCAATTCTGATTTGCTTGATAATCACCCTATGTTTTGGTTTTACATACCAGTTTCTTTTCATATCTATCCAATTTTTTTGTTAAAATACAGTGCTGTAAAGTCTACTATATTTCATTATACAGTGTATATTTGAAAACAATTAAAATTATTCTTAACAACAATAGTATGTCTATTTATATCAAGGCTATAGATCTAAACCCCAATGTACATTTTGATTTTTGTGAATGAACGCACCTTCGGTAGGGATACAGGGATGCCCTTACCAAGCTGTTTATCTCTCTGATATATTTATAATACAGTTACTCATATTACATATGCATATAACTATATCTATATCTGATTAACATATCTGCCTCCACAAATATATATTTGAAATGTAGATTACTTATGCCATTTAAAAACATGCTGCTATATATAATTCATTGCCATCTGTTCCTCTGGTTTCTCTTTTATACTCTAAAAATTCCCAGAAAATTATGAAAATCTGCAAGGATTTCTGAAGTCCTATATGTGTTAAATTGTAGCATTTACATACTGGATTACATTAGGAGACCCAAAACAGAGCACTGGGTTAGGAAGAAGAGTACTAGGAAATTCTTGGTGACCTATGACTTTAGACAAAATGCTTTAGTACCTCTGAACCTCAGTTTTCTCATCTTTAAAATTAAAATAATAAGCTTCACATCCCTGTGAGTTAGGATGATTTTATTTTATCAAAAGTGATAATTATGAGAAATGTTTAAACTTTCAAAATATGAAATAATTGCAAGTAATTATTAACATGCCTAGATAACAAAACAAAATAAATAATAGCAATTTCAGACTAATTGGAAAGGAAGAAGTAAAAGCCTTCTTCCAGTGGCTCATTAAAAAAATGAGAGATGGTCAAGTGACTGTTACTCAATGCCTGGAGATATACTTTGGTTAAGTTCACTAAATATTTGCTGATAATATACTATCTATTAATATGTTAAATCCCTGAAGCATGCCAAACATCAGTCTAGGTGCTGAGAAAAAGCAGTGAACAAATCAAAGACCCATTGCCTCATGTAGTATCTGGATGGATGAGGTAGAGGGAAACAGAAAATAATTAACATAAACAATAGATAAGTTAACCATATATTATTGCCTCTAAGATGTTATTAATTGTAAAGAACACCATGGTTTTATGTACCACTAAAAACAAACAAAAAAAAAGGCATTGATAAATACATATGACAGGCCATTGATTGCAAAATTCATTCCAATTTCAGAGACGATACCATGTGAAAAAACAGCATTGCATCTTGGGATCAATGAACTATAGTAGAAAATCATTAGGTCATCAGTTATAAGAAAAGAAAAAAGGAGGGGAAAGTGGAATCTGGGTTAGGTGGTTTTGTTGCAGCATTAAATAGGCTGGTCATTTTATTAGTGTCTTAGGGCTGCCATAACAAATTACCACAAACTGGTGGCTTAAACCAATGTATTCTCTCATGGATCTGGATGCCAGAAGTCCAAAATCAAGGTGTGAGTAGAACAGTGTTTTACTAAGGACTCTAGGGAAGAATCCTTCCTTGCCTCTCCTTAGCTTGCGGTGGCTCAAAGCAATCCTTGTTGTTGTTTGGCTTGCAGTAGCATCAACTCCAATCTCAGTCTCTGTCTTCACATGACCTTCTTCTCTCCGTGTCTCTGTGTATTCTCTCCTCTTGTTATAAGATTACCAGTCATTGGATATAAGGTCCTCTCTCATCCAGTATGGCATTATCTTAACTTATGACATCAGTGAAGAGCCTATTTCCAAATATGTTTACATTTTGAGGCTCCTGGAAAATATGAATTTTGGAGGAACATCGTTAAATCCACCTTTTTTATGTTATGAAAGCATGAATCTAGTAAGCTGACAAAAGCAAAGTTAAGAGAGATGAAATAAAGCTCGGATCATGTCACATCTTTAGTACCTAGTGTTTGTCAGGCCTAGCTAAATCCTTATCCTCTCCATGGATTGAATGTCTGAAAGTTTCTTAAATTTTTGAGCCAACAAATTCTTATTTTTATTAAAGCCAATTTTAAACCAAAGTGTATCTATATCAAGAAACTCACAGTAGTTTCATATGGGTGAAATATGAATTATGAAACAGTAAATGGCAATGATTCTGGAGATATGGGCATCAGCCGATTCATGAAGTGCCTAATGTGCCATGTTAAGAATATTAGACTTTGTCTTTTGAGTAATAGGGGTCCATTAAATGGTTTTAAATAAGAAGTCAAGGGTGATAGGACTGGAGTTACGTTTAGAAATATCACTCCGACTTTTGGATAAAGAGTAGATTGAGCATGGAGTGGTGGGGGTGGTGCGGGGAGGACTAGAATGATTTGGGCAGATGCTACAAATTATCCATCCTTCCCGAGACTATAGTCCTATCTGGACTCCTGCTTCCAAACTTCCTTGCTGCTAACAACTATCTCTTTCTTCCCTTTCTGGAAAATGGCACTTGCTAAGATAATGACATTTTTATGGTCTGTAACATTACTAACATTTTACCAATACCATTGTCTTTTGACTTGCTATGTTACTTAAATCTTTCTTTCAGCAATTCACTTAAAATCTACTTCCCAAGTATGTTTTTATTTCCAATGATATATATAATTTCTCTTCCCAAGTGTCCACTTCCATTACTCATATGCAACAAAGATAATTATGTTTCATGTGTTAATCAAATCATGATCAGATTTCTTCTTGCTATGCTTTGCTCATCTAAATGGAAAACTTTGAGTCTATTTTTTTTATCACTACCAAGACCTCAGCTGCTTCCTCAGTGCAGGACAAAGGTCCCTTAAGGATTACATTATTGAATATTTTATTTTTTGTCAGAAGCCTTTGGCTTCCTATGTAAATGATTATTTATAGTTTAATTAATAGTCGTAATGTAGTATCAAAATAAATCTTGTATGTTGAAACAACTCTATTATGTCAAGTAGCTTTTAATTTATAGCTTTTGCACAATGAACTAATTAAACTAAATTTCTAAAAAAAGAATAATAAAAATAATAATACAATTGAAAAAATGTGTTGAACACAAACCAGGCTCCAGTCACTCTACTAGTACATAGGAACACAGAATTTAATACAATCGGGTGTTGCTTAATCACTGGGATATGTTCTGATAAATTAAGTGACTTTGTGTGAACATCATAGAGTGCAGTATACAAACCTAGATGGTATAGCCTATTATACACCTAGGCTATATGGTGTAGCCTATTACTCCTAGGCTACAAACCTATATAGCATGTTACTGTATTGAACACTGTAGAAACCTGTATAGCATGTGACTGTACTGAACACTGCAGACAGTTATAACACAATGGTATTAGTGTATCTAAACATATCTAAAGATAGAAAAGACACAGTAAAAATAAGGGAAATAATTTTATGGAACCACTGTCATATAGGTGGTCTGTTAACTGAAATGTTGTTATACAAAGGCGTGACTGTGTGGCAAAACCTCACTCTTCTAATGTTCATCTATAATAAGGAAGAACAATGCTTAACTATAATAAACTTGGTGAGTGATAAGGTATGATGGAGGCATACATATATATATATATATATATACACACACATATATGTATGTATATGTGTGTATGTCTGTATATGTATATTTATTTCACTATGAAGAGAAAAGATGAATAAATCTGCTGAGAACTTAAAGGTGTATTCATTTGAACTGGGTCTTGAAATATGAGGAGAAGACTTATAGGTAGCTTGTGAGTTAAATATAAACTGTACTGAATAGCTAGAAATAATACTCAAGGGTAATGGATACAATTCCAACAAAGTCCACAAACCCTAGTCAACAAGAGATTAAATATTTCTTAATTTGATTACAAATGATTTTGACATCAAGACTTTAGGCTATCACACAGGTGGAAATTTCATCTAAAGTCACTTTTGAGACTCTTCCCCCAGGGCAGTACAAAACTATAGAGAGAGTTATGTAGCTCTTCAGCATTTAAGAGGCTTCTTTTGTCATCAGTCATTGGTCAGAAAACCATTGTCCAAATTCATATGATTTTTGCAAGTCTAGTGGTTCTGTTCTCTTCAAACCATGGTTGGGGAAAAGGGAAGAATAATCAACATCAGAGCCATAGAGCTATTTCTTCTTAAAATATTGCCCTTTCTTTAAGGCACAACTAAAAGACAGAGCTCTAGGCCCTGTCACTCATGGGATATAAAGACTCTTTTTCTTTTTTATTCTAGAAGAATCTCTTTAGTCAGAGGGAAATAGCTTTCCCAAGTTTAGTCTTTTATTCCCTCTTCTCCCTATTAGACTCATGGAATATTTTCCTCAATAGGCTTCGTGTTTTGTGAGACAAAAGCCAAGAAAATAAGATTTTCTTGAGTATAAGTTATATTTTATGCTCAACTGTATTATTCCTCCATGGCAAAACACACACACACATACACACACACGTGGCAAAAACCAGAATTTGGTATCTTTTTGAATACAAAAAAGGGAAAAGAAAATATCTATCTATCTATCTATCTATCTACCTATCTATCTATGTATCTACATATATAGACAGATACTGAACACTGTAAAACATTGATAAAGGAAATTTGAAATGACTCAGATAAATGAAAAGGTCTCATGTTCATGAATTGGAAGAATAAATAGTGTTAAAATATCCATACTACCCAAAATGATATACTGATTTAATTGAATTCCTATCCAAATTCTAATGCTATTTTTCACAGAAATAGAAAAACTTTCTAAAATTTGTATATGACCACAAAATACGCTGAATAGTCAAAGCAATCTTAAGCTGAAAGAACAAAACTGGAAGCATCACACCCCCTGATTTTGAAATATATTATAAAGCTATTCCAAACAAGACAGCATGGTATTTGCCTAAAAACAGACATAACAACCTATGGAACAGAGTTGAAAGCCCAGAAATAAACACACACAACCGTCAATTGCTTTTTAACAAAAATGTCAAGGACATATATTGGGGAAAATACAGTCTCTTCAATAAATTATGTTGGGAAAACTGGATATTCACACACAGAAGAATGAAATTGGACCGACCTTTATCTCACACAATATACAAATATCAATGGAAAATGGATTGAATATTTCAACATAAAACAGGAAACTGTAAAACTACCAGAAAAAATATAAGGGAATGACTTCTTAGATAGGAACTCAAAAGTATAGGCTGCAAGAGCAGAAATAGACAAATGGGATTGCATCAGTTTAGAAGTTTCTACACAGAAAAGGGTACATTCAAAAGAGTGAAAATACAACTTACAGACTGGGAGAAAATATGTGCCAACAATACATCTGATAAGTTGCTAATATCCAAAATATATGAGAAACTCAATAAACAACTCGATAACAAGAAAATGGCCCAGTTATAAATTGAGTAAATGATTTGAAAAGGCATTTCTCAAAAGGATACATACAAATGGCCCACAGATTCATGAGAAAATGCTAAACATCTCTAATTATCAAGGAAATGCAAATTAAAACCACAATAAGATACCACCTTACCCCGGTTAGAATGGCTATTATCAAAACAACTAGAGGTAACAAGTGTTAGCAGGGATGTAGAAAAAAGGGAACACTTGCAAACTGTTAGTTGGGAAGTAAATTGGTACAGTTGTTATGGAAAACAATATGGAGGCTTCTCAGAAGTTAAAAATCACTATATTTCCATATGATCCAGCAATCCAACTTCTGGGTAAATATCCAAAAAAAGTGAAATCAGAAGAGCTATCTGCAGTCCCCTATTGATTGCAGCATTATTCACAGTAGCCAAAATATAGAAAGTATCTAAATGACCATAAATTAAAGAATGGATGAAGGTTACTAGTGGCCAATAAGCTCATAAAAGAATGCTCAAAATTATTAGCCATTAGGGGAACGAAAAACTACAATGAGATAGTATTTCACATCAACTAGAATGCTTATAAGATAAAAGGAAGCAAATAAAATGTGTTAGTTACTGGTGGAGAAACTGGAACCCTTATGCATTACCCGAGGCTATGTAAACGGAGTAGTTTCATTGAAAAACGGGTTGGTAGCTCCTTCAGATGTTACACAGAGCTCCTATGTGATGAAGTGATTCTAATCCTAGGTAAATACCCAAGGTAAATTAAAATAGATGTCCACATAACACTGGGACCATGGATGTTCTTATCAGCAGTTTTTATAATAGCCAAAAATGGAAGCAACACAAATTCCCATCAACAAATGAACGAATAAATAAAATGTGATATATTAATGCAATAAAATATTATTTGGCAATTAAAAAATGGATTACTGTACTGATACATGCTCCAGCAAGAATGAAAAAAATACCATAAGTGAGAAGGCAGTAACAAGATTGAAGTCATAATAGAATCTCCCAGTAAAGAAAAGCCTGGTACCTGACTGCTTCACTGCTGAATTCTGTCAAACATTAAGAATACCAATACTACTCAAACTTTTCTCAAAAACAGAGGCGGAGGAAATATTTCCAAACTCATTCTATGAGGCTAGTGCTACTCTGATACCCAAACCAGAGAGACACATCAATAAAAGAAAATTACAGGCCAACATCTGTGATGAATATTGATGCAAAAATCCTCAATAAAATACTAGAAAACATATATGATTTAATTTATATGAAAAGTGTAGAATAGACAAATCTATAGAAACCAAAAATAGATTAGGGGTAGCCTGGACCTGGGGAGAAAGCTAGAATGCTAATGGTGGGGACTGCTCTTGGGTTTGGGTTTTTATGGCAATTGGGGTAATGAAAATTTTCTAAAATTGATTTATGATGATGGCAGCAGAACTCTGTCATCATAGTCAGTACCAATGAATTGCATACTTTTTATGGGTGAACTTTATGATATGGGAATTGTATCTCAGTAAAGCTGTTTAGAAAAGAAAAAAGGGGCCAACTCTTAGCTCTACCATACGATATCATCTCATAAGTCTCAGCCAATGCTAGAAATAAGCATTATGATTCAAGAAAGGAAGACCCATTAATCAAATGAATAATTCAGTAGAGTATAAATATAATTTAATTATATAAAAATCAAATTATTTTCTTTAAACTACCCATTACCACTAAAAATAAAAATAGAAATAAAATGGGATGAAGGTTTCTGAATTAGAAGATACAGCAAGTTCCAGGAGAGGAAGATCAACTTTGCTAAGATTCCATTTTTTATTTTTGCAAAACTCTGCCCTGTTAATTGAAACCCAGTTGAAATTCTGATGACGTTTATCTGGTTCTTCACAGAATTATTCTGAAGTTTATCTGAGATTAGAAGTTAATTTCAATATTTTCTTATGCATGTAATATTAATTTCTTAAATAAACAAGTATTTTGTATAATAAAATAATCTTAAATGTTAAAACATGTTAATGTATATTTAATTAGAATTCCAGAAGGAAAAGGTAAAAAGCATGATATAAAAGCATTATTTGAATCATTCAAAAGAGATTATGTTTGTGGACTTTTCAAAATTCATGAAGTACATTAATTTTCATGTTCAATAAATCCAAGGAGCCCAAAGCAGAATTTTTTAAATAAAAATACACTTAAACACATCACAGAAAACAAGCAAACAAAAAACTTTAAAAATCAAGACAACAGTTAACTTTTAAAAAAGTAACCTAACATAAAATAAGAGGAAACATTATAAAAGTAAGAATTAGACTAATAGCTGACCCGTTAAGAGAAAAATGCAACCAGCCAACTTACAATTCTTTACCCAACAAAAATATCCCTTAAGAATCAAAAGGAAATTAAGACTTTCTTATTTAACAAAACTAAATCCTAATAGAATTCAGTAACAGTAGGCATGCATTGGTTGTACATAACTATGTATATACACACATGCACACCCATACATATACACACATGAAGGATATTCCTCAGCAATTCAAGCAGGAAAAAAAAATAATTTCAGATATAAATTTGGAGATAAAGATGGGAATAAAGAGCAGCAAGTACTTAAATATATGTGTAAATTATATAAACATTGTGTTCTAATCAATAATAATTCCTCATGGCAAATTAAATAGTAAATAAGTTTTGAGTGGATAAATGGATTTAAATATTCAAATATTTCTAATATCCTCATCCTTTTACAAGTTCCTGGAAGTGGTTAAGGTATCAATTAACATTAAACACTGATAAATCAAAGATTCATGTTTTAAAGTCTGTGGTAATCAATGAAAAACTTTTGTAAGTATGTGTAACTTCCAAACTGACAAGAAAGAAAGAGAAATGCTAGTTTTAAATACTAGATCTATCTAAAAGAAATATCAAAAGCAGTAGAAAAGAAAATTAGAGAGGATAAATATAAATCATAGTGTAAGATGAAACATATACACCCAAATATGTTAGTGATTTCACAAAAATATATTTATTAGATGTTACAATTAAAAATAAACATTTTCAGTTTATCTAAATAAGGATTTTCATTTTCAGTGCTAGGTAAAAATGTGAGATTCAAATATTAATATGAACGTTAAAATAAAATCATCAAAATAAAACTATGGAAATTATAGTGAGAAATTACAAGGTCACTGTTGAAATTAATAAAAATAGTTTAAAGACTTATATGCTATAGGGAGGATAAACAATTATTAAAAAATTGTTTTTTGCAAAGAACAAAAAAAGTAATAAACCCCTGGACAGGGTGAGAGAGAGAGTGTGTATAAGAAAATAAAGAAGTAAAAGGAAGAGGAGGAGAAGGAGGAGGAGGAGGAGGAGGAAGAGAATAGCAGAGGACAGAGAAAGCAAAAATAACACATATAATTACATACCTGTTTATATTATTTGTATCTGTGTCCCTGCCCAAATCTCATGTCAAATTGCAATCCCAAATGTTGGAGGTGGGGCCTGGTGGGAGGTGATTAGATCACGGAGGTGTTTTCCATACTTTAACACCATCCCCCCTTGGTTTTGTCATCGTGATAGTGAGTTATTGTGAGATCTGGTTGATTAAAAGTGTGTGTCACCTCCGCTCTCTCTCTTCCTCCTGTTCCATCCATGCGAAGGTCCAGCTTCCCCATTTGCCTTCCACCATAATTGTAAGTTTTGCCAGGCCTATCCAGAAGCAGAAGCCACTTTGCACCACGTACAGCTTGCAAAACTGTGAGCCAGTTCAACCTCTTTTATTTATGAATTACCCAGTCTCAGGTAGTTCTTTTTAACAGTGGAAGAATGAACTAGTACAGAAAATTGGTACTCAAAACTTGGGCATTGCTTTAAAAATACCTGAAAATGGGGAAGCAACTTTGGATCTGGGTAACAGGTAGAGGTTGGAAGAGTGTCAAGTGAACAGAAGAAGGCAGGAAGATGAGGAAAAATTTGGATCATCCAAGAGACTTGTTAAATTGTTGTTACCCAAATGCTGATAGTGATGTGAACAATGAAGTCCAGGCTGAGGAGGTCTCAGATAGAGATGAAGAACTTACTGACAACTGGAGTAAAGGTCACTTTTGCTATGCTTTAGCAAAGAGCCTGGCTTTATTGTGCCCCTGCTCCAGGGATCTGTGAACTTGAAACTTCAGAGTGATGATTTAGGTTATCTGGCAGAATAAATTTCTAAGCAGCAAAGCATTCAAGACATGACCTGGCTACTTCTAACTACCTCTGCTCATATGCATGAACAAGTAAATGATCTGAAACTGAGACTTGTATTTAAAAGGGAAGCAGAGCTTAAATGTTTTTAAAAAATTGCAGCCTGGCCATGTGGTAGAAAAGAAAAGCCCATTTTCAGTGGAGGAATTCAAGCAGGCCACAGAAATTTGCATAAGTAGAAAGAAGCCGAGTGCTAACAGCCAAGACCAAGGAAAAAAGTCCTCGGAGGTATTTCAGCAACCTTCATAGCAGCCCCCCCAATCACAGGCCCAGAGGCCTTGGAGAATGGAATAGTTTCATGGCCCATGTCTGGAACCCTGCTACCCTGTGCAGCCTGGGGACACTGCTGCCTGCACTCTGGCTGCTCCAGTTCAAGCCATGAAACAAAGGGTTCCAGGTACAGTTCAGGCCACTGCTCCAGATGGTGCAGGCTGGAAACCTTGGTAGCTTCCATGTCGTGTTAAGCTTGCAGATGCACAGAATGCAAGAGTTAAGGCTTGGAAGCCTCTGCCTAGATTTCAGAGGATGTATGAGAAAGCCTGGGTATCCAGGCAGAAGCCTGCTGCAGGGATGGAACCTACATGGAGAGCCTCTACTAGGGCAGTGTGGAGAGGAAATATGGGGTTGCAGCTCCCACACAAAATCATCATTTGGGCACTGCCTAGTGGAGCTGTGAGAAGAGGGGCACTGTCCTCCAGACCCAAGAATGGTAAATCCACCTACAGGTTGCACCATGCACATGGAAAAGCCCCAGGCACTCAACGCTAGCCTGTGAAAGAAGCTGTTGGAGCAGTACCCTGCAGATCCATAGGGGCAGAGATTACCAAGGCCCTGGGAGCCCACCCTTTGCACCAGTGTGCCCTAGATGTGAAACATGGAGTCAAAGGAGATTATTTTGGTGCTTTAAGATTTAATGACTGCCATGATGGGTTTCAAATTTGTAAGGGGCCTGTAGCCCCTTTCTTTTGGCTGATTTCTTCCTTTTGTAATGGGAGTATTTACCCAATGCTTATACTCCCATTGTATCTTGGAAACAACTAACTTTTCTTCTTCTTTTCTTCTTCTTTTTTTTTTTTTTTTTTTTTACAGACTCATAGGGAGGAGGGACTAGCCTTGTCTCAGACGAGACTTTGGACTTTGGAGTTAATGCTGAAATGAGTTAAGACTCTGGGGGATGTTGAGAAAGCATTATTGTATTTTGAAATGTGAGAAAGACATGAGATTTAGGAGAAGCCTAGGTGGAATAATATAGTTTGGATTTGTGTCATTGCCCAAATGTCATATCAAATTAAAACCCCTAATATTGGAGGTGCGGTCTTGGGGGAGGTGATTGGATCATGGGGGTGGTTTCTCATGATTTGACACCATCCCTCCCTGGTTCTGTCATTGTGATAGTGAGTTCTTATGAAATCTGGTTGTTCAAACATGTGTGGCACCTCCCCTCTGTCTCTTCCTCCTGCTCCGGCCCTGTGAAGTTCCAGCTTCCTCTTTGCCTTCTACCATGATTGTAAATTTCCTGAGGCCTCTCCAGAAGCAAAAGCTGCTATGCTTCCTATACGGCTTATAGAACCATGAACCAATTAAACCCCTTTTCTTTATAAATTACCCGATATCAGTTATTTCTTTATAGCAGTGTAAGAATAGACTAGTACACACACACACACACAGACATATATATATACACACACACACACTCGTATGTATGTATATATAATTATGCATCACTATGAATGCTGCACAGATTTAACAAAGATATCATGAACAACTATGATTAGATTTAGTAAAAATTTATGTGAAGAGGACAAATTCTTAAGAAAGCACATGATTCCAAAATTGACCCAGAAATACAATGATAACCTGGATAATTATATCACTACTGAAGACATTGACTCTATAATGAAAAGCACTACCACAAAGAGAATGCTAATAGCAAGGCATTTCATCCGATAATTTTAACAGACATTTAAGGAAGAAACAGCCTCAATACTAAATAAATTCTTCCATAGAATGAAAAAAGCAAAAAAACCCAGAAACTAAAGACTCTTCATTTATGTAACCAGCCTAAATTGACACCAAAACAGTTGGCTAAAAAATTATATGAAAAGAAAATTGCAGGCTAGTATTATTTTTAAACATAAATTCAAACCTTCTAAATAATATTAACCAACAGAATCCGGCATTATGTGACTAAGATATCAAGTTGCAGTTTTTTCAATAATGCAGAACCCGTTTGAGTCTTGAAGAGACATTTGTACATCCATGTTTATAGCAGCATATTTCACAATTGCTAAAACATGAAAAGAGATAGAGATGGAGACAAATATATTTTAAAAAGTTGAAAAGTTAAGCCACAGAATAGAATATATCTTTAACACTTTAACACATGTAATTGACAAAAGGCTTTTATGCGGAGTAGAAATTCCTCAAAATTGATAAGACAAAGACTGTCAATCCAAATATTCTAAAGACAAATATTCTAAAGACCAAATATTCTGAAGACGAAGACTCTCAATCTCAAATATTCTAAAATATTTGAGAAACTTTAACACACACATCACAAAAGGGGATATCCAAAATGTCCAATAAACATGAATTGTGCCAAATCTATAAATGAGCTAAATACCGATCCACACCAGAATGGAATAATTGTGTATGTTTTTAAGGTAGAATAATCAACAGTTATGGAACTGAATAAACACACAGCAACAGTGGCATAAATATAATGTTGGGCTAAAGAAGCCAAACACAACACAAAATAAAACATAAGGTGTGATTCCATTTCTATAAAACACAAAGTAGGGGAAACAAAATTATAGTCTTCAAGATTGCAAGTGGTAAACAAAATAAAGAAAAACTAAGAAATTATTAACATATAAGTCAAGGGTGCAGTAACCTTTATGGAGAGTGCAGAGGCATGTTCCCGGAAAACAGCATGTGAGTGCTTCTGGGTTATTATCACTCTTTTATTTACTTTTTGTGGTAAGCACACGGGTATTGACTTCATTAAGCTGTATGTTTTTCTTCCATGTAGCCTTCCAAATGTGTGTTTTATTTCACAATAAAATGTTTCAAAGTAAATTTCATAGAACAAATGATAAATATTTAAGCATATTATTAAATGTATAAAGGTAACAGAAGAATTATGTATAATAATATAATCAGCAACATTCTCAGGAAAAAGGAAGCCACAAGATGGAAGTTAGCACAATTAAGCTAAATCTCTCATTTTTCAAGCAAGACAATTGCCTAAAGTTAAAGAAATGACGTTCTAATCCTATAATTTATGTTGTCTATTACCACCAAAAAGGTGTGTGTGGGTTTGCGTGTGTGTGTGAACGTGGGTTTATAAACTGTTGACCATGATGAGAGGGTCAAGGATGAAAACCTAGACTTCTCTTCTAGGGCTATTATGTACCATTTGTTTTTAGCTATCTGCATATATTACTAAATACTAACAATTATAGTTGAGTTAGTTTAAAAGTACCAGAGGACCCTATATAAGATTATACCAGGGAACAATTTTTGATAATATATTGATGTAACCCTTTAAAAATTAAATTATGGTGATAATGGAGATGAAATTTCTGTTTCCATCCCCGATATTCAGAAATAAGCTCTATAACCTAAAAGGCACTAAGATAAATCATCTTCTCAGCATCTTACCCTATGTTCCAGCAACAGGGGTTGACCACTCATTTTTGAACTTGTCTTTAATAGATACACCTTGCTGGATGGGAGATATTTGTCTTCCATTCCTTTCCATACATTTCTTTCCATAGTTGGAACAACTCATCATAATCTTCTGTCACCATCTTCTGTTCCTGCACTCTCAGGCCCATTAGACTATTCTAATAAATGAACCTCATTTTATTCCAACCTGACAGCTTTGTATTTCAGCTGCAAGTTTTGGGATGTGCAAAGATGAGTATATTATTATTTCTTACCTAAGCAGTGACATTTTTGAGGGGCAAAGGGATTATTATTAATTAACTACCTTGGGAGACAGGTAGCATTATTGTTTATACTGTGTCTGCCTAGACTCATGGTCATTTATTGCTAAAAATGAATTGTGTTTATATTCTTAGTTTGCAATGCATATCTATGGTTGACTAAAAATCATTTACCTTCCAAATTTGTGGGCAGTATTCTGTCTCCCATTAACATAAATTTAAAGCTAGAAACCATAAAGAGGACTTCTCTTATATTTCTCATGATTTTATATTATAAACTAAAACTAAGTAACACACACACACACACATATATATATTTGCAAATCATGTTCACAAGCAGTAAGTAGTTAAGTGATTCACTGGGAAGTATGGCAAATGCTAGGAAATTTTCTGTATTTGAAAATGTGGCAGACTGGCCAGATTCAAGATACTTATTTGTAAAATATAATTATTTTTGAGAGCACAGCAACCTAGGTCAAATGACTAACCAAATAAAGCTAAAGCATTTAAAGGTATCCAAAATGGTGGCACTCCTGCTTGCTAGTAGGATCTTGTGAAATGCTGTCCACGTAGCTTATAGAAAGTTGGGTATTCCTTTGAAAAGTATGTAAACTACAAAGTTTCTAATTACATTTGTATTAATTAATATGTACAGTGAGCTGCATGTAACTGAGGGACAAACATAACAATGGCGGAAATTAGATAAAAATTCACTTTTCCTGCATGTCAATGTCTGAAATAGTAGGGTAGATCTTCTCCATGAAGTTCTCTGAGTTGTTATGCTTGGACTATAATCCCCATGGTGCTAGGCCTTGAACTCTTTTTATCTTCTTGTTCCGTCCTTTGTGAGATTTTCTACCTCTCTGCTTGTTTGAGATGACTCTAAAATGACTCCTCACTTGCTTTCCAAGTCAGGTGAAAAGAAACACAGGAGGGCAAAGCCACACCCATTTCCTTCAATGATACAACCCAGAAGTCGCTACTTCAGCATATATCTCATTGGTCAGAACTTAGTCATTTGCCTGAACCTATCTAAAAAGGAGGCTGAGAAATATATTACTTGTCTTAGTGTCTATGTACCCAATTAAACATTCATTTCATTGGAAGGAGGAAGAAATGTATACAGAGGAGAGAGCTGTCAATTATAGCCTCCTTCAATAAGTATTAACAGTACTGATTCACGTTCCCCAGGAGCATAAAGTCTAAACTGGGGAAAATATACAGACTTTTGAGCATAGTTTGCAGTAGAATGTGATAAATAATCTCTCTAAGAAAGAAGCAGAAAAACAATACTATAAGCACATGAAACATGTGAGAAGGAAATCAATTCTGACAGGGAAACTGAATAGACATTTTATAATTGGATGCATTTAAGATAGTAACTGGGAAAATACAAATTATTAATTATCAACAGATGAAGACTGGTTAGAAGAAATTCCCAGGAGAAAACATAATCAGAGAAGTTTTTTCGAAAAACGCAGGACAAATTTAATTTGGCAAGAGTTTAGGTTTCATTCATTCTTTCAGTACAACTATATTTGTAGTGAACTATTGCTTATTCTGCATTCTTATTTATTTATTCATTCATGTATCTCATATTATTTACCACTTACTTACCGCGTGCCGGATTATGTGCTCATGAGCCCTGGGAATACTGACATAAACTCTGCCTTCAGGGGTCTTAATGTACAGTGAAGAAAACAAACAATAACAGATATTTACACAAGAATATTATCACAAGTATTATGCTGGGTGTTGTTTTGGGTTAAATATTTATGTCCCTGCAAAATCATATGTTGAAATACTAAGTCACAATATGAAGATATTAGGAGGTATGGCCTTTGGGAAGTAATAAGCTCAGAAGGACGAGCCCACATAAATGGGATTAGTGCCCTTTAAAAAGAAACCCCAGAGAGCTATCTCATCCTCCTTCCACCATGTGAAAATATGAGAAGTCAGCAGCCTGCATCCCAGAAGAAAGCCCTTATTAGAACTATATCATACTGGCATCCTGATCTCAGACTTCCAGCCTCCAGAACAGTGAGAAATACATTTCCATTGTTTATGAGACATACAGCCTCTGGTGTTTTCTTATAGCAATCCAAACTGACTAAGACAGACATTAGTAATGAGCCTTGGTGATGGGGCGACTGCTGTAATAAACAACTAAAAATATTAAGGCAGCTTTGCACCTGAATAATGGGTAGAAACTGGGTAGAGGTACATGTTGGAGAAAACCTGGATTGCTGTGAATGTACTTTTAAAGGCAATTATGGTGAGAGCTTATAAAGAAAATAATAGAGCTGTAGAGAAATCTTCTGTCTTCTCAAATAATACTTAAATAACCATAAGTAGAATGTTGGCAGAAATATGAATGGTAAAGTCCATTCTGATAAGATCTTACATGGAAATGAAAATGAAACATATTGGAAACTGTAAGAAAAGCAATCCTTGTAATAAACTGGCAAAGAACATGACAATTGAATATTTAGCTAAGGAGATTTCTAAGCAAAAAGGGTTGAAGTTTCTGGTTCCTCCTGACTGCTTATAGTAAAAGTTGGGAAGAAGGAAATGAATTAAACATAAAATTGCTAAGCAAAAAGAAACCAGAAATTAAAGACTTGGAAAATTCTCGGCATTTTAATGTTACTAAAATCAATAAAGAATGTTCAGGAAACAAAACTAAGGGTTGGGTAGGCAGACCATTTCATAACAAGATTAGTGTGGGTGAGAACCACCGGGGATAAAATCAACCACCTTAACAAAAACCAGGAATAGAGATGAGATTATACTAGCAGAAATACTGCTAGCTGGGACTGAAGGAAACCGGAAATGAAAGAAAATGAAGGAGAACTTGGACTTCCTAGACCGTACAGGACTGGATTATGGAGCTATAGATACTGTGAACACCTGCTATCTTTAAGACAAGAGAATAAGGACTCCAAAGGCAATTCAGAGATCAACAATTCTACCACTCCTACACAGGCCCAAAATGCACAGGCGTAGGGTGGCAGGGAGGGCTGCCTTCGCTTTGATTTCAAAAGGTGTAGCCATTTTGTAAAACCCTGGAGGCACAACTTCAACCTTAATTGAGAACTGCAGGATGGGTAGGGCCACCGCAGAAAACCGCAACAGCACCCTGCTGAGCTGTCAGGGTGACATTGCAAACCCAGTGTGTCCAGAAGTTGGGAAAGCCACCCCAGTGGGTCTGGCAGGCAAAGCATTAAGCCAAAGATGCTCAATCTTAACGCTTAATGCTTAATCTCAAGCATTAAGATTTAATGGAGTATGTACTATTAGGTTTTGAATTTACTTGGGATCATTCCTTTTATTTTATATTTCTCCCTTTTGAAATGAGAATGTCTATTCTATGCCTGTCTCAACATTGTATTATGAAAGCACACAACTTTTCTGGTTTCACAGATGTGCAGCTGGATAGATTGTGTCTTATAATACAGTATACAGGAAAATGAACGTAGGTTAGGTAGGTGGTCAGAGAAGGGTTCTGTGACAAGGTGATATTTAATAAGAGTCTGTGAGAATGACCAATTAAAGTGATGTTATATATGTTAGTAAAAAGTATCCCAGGCAGAAATATAAGAATATGTAAAGATTGTAAAATGGGGAAAAAGTATGGAATGTTAGAGGAATTGAAAGCGTCGTGAAGCAGAAATTATTAATAGGAAAGTGGGCAGGTGTCAGATCATGTGTGATTTTCATGGTCATATTTTAGATTTGTTACTTTATCCTGAGGTTACTGGAAAGGAATTGAAAAGATTTAAGCAAAGGAACAATATAAGTCACTTAATTTTTAATTTAAGAAAATAAGTGAAGGCATGCTAGAGAATGAGATCTGCGAAAATCGAAGCAAGGTGGAGCTAAAAACAGTAGAAGATGAATGACATCAGATCAGTGAGGGGCTTGAAAGCCATGTGCAGAAATATAGACTTTATTCTGGGGTCAATGGAGAAACATTAACTACATAAATTGGATTCATTTTTCTAATATGTTCCCTCCAAAGTAAATAAAGCCTTTAATACCCCCATTTACCTATTAGAAACTTCAGAGAATTAAGTTTAAATCAAAACTGCTGTCAAAGCCATGATCCAATGGACAGTTGCAAATATTATGCTGAAGAAAATTCACATGTTAAGGAGAACTAGTCAGACTTGCCCCCTCAATGATTTCGAAAGACTGATGGGATCTTCAGGATGAACTGAACTGAAAGGAATGGAACCATACACTTTCAGGCAGCAGATCAAGATAAATGGCTAGTTGCTGGCAGATATTAAAGTCAGCTTAATTCACCACTAAGAAAGCAGAAGGCTATAAAGAAAACAGAATACCTACTAGTTGGCTATACTGCTGCATGCTGCAAAAATGAAAGAAATGACAGCATTTAGGCCTTAGAGGCTTTGATGAGTATGAAGAGTTCTTGTAATTTTACAGGATGAATAACATGGCCTATCATTACTGCCTCTGTACCTACTTTTATGTAATTTTTGATTTTAAAATACCCAGCCTTTGGCCCAGAGGGGACTAAATCTTGGACTTAATACTATAGTCTCTCCTTATTGACATCTATCTATAAAATGATACTAAGTTCTAAGGGCTTTGTTGTCCATGTGGCAAGATGAATCCTCTATTCCTTCTTGCTCCCTACCCCCGTGAACAGGAGGTAGAATGAGAATACAAGGAAAGGAGCTAAATGAATTATTAACTTCTGGTGCTAATATTTGGCCCTGCTTTGGGATATGTACCTCTATTCCTTCTTGCTCCCTACGACGGTGAACAGGAGGTAGAATGAGAATACAAGGAAAGGAGTTACATGAATTATTAACTTCCGGTGCTACTATTTGGCCCTGCTTTGGGATGTGTACCTGATCTTTCAGTAAGTTAAATGCTTAAACATTCTTCTGAGTTATCATCTGTAAGGTCTGGGAAAGCCCCATCTTGTAGTATCGAGAAAAGAGGCAGCACTTGATACCCAATTGCTTAGTGAGGCTCTCGTGCCTATATAGATCTTGTGGGCTACAAGTTGCAATCATATTCAGAAGAGCAGATGACCCCTAGGATGATAAGGATCATAAAAGACCATAAGGCTAATATACCCTTATGCCCAACAGAAAACAACTTTAGATTGAATACTACAGCGGAGTAAACAAATACAATATAAATATAGAAAAGTCTCTTATAGTCACCTTTTAATTTATTTTTCTCTAAAATTTCAAAGTTGTCCAAGTGAACAGCAACAAATTATAAGATTCCAGAGGTGCAATATGAACAAAACAAAGAGCAAGTTAACAACATTGCAGAAAACCTGGGCTAAGGTACAAGCACTAAAGCCTACCCTTCCTTGGACAGCCTCATTGCACCAACTTCCTATAAGCCAACAGAATTATCTGCAATTCACACAGCCCTGTCATTCCTCTTAAAGTATGCCTCATATTATACATGGCTCAAGCAAATATGTTTGGGGCAATTTTTCTTAAACATTTTATATGTAAAAATAATGTCTGTGAGTGCATGTGTCATGTGCTTGTAGTGTTTGTGTGTTGTTGGGGAGGTCACAGAGAGAAACAAAACCTGCTTTTATGTATACATAAATTTTCTCAACAAAAAAATACACATATTACATATACATAAGTTACATACATATACATACATATCTATAAGGTACAAAGCATATATATGTATATATAACTTATATGTGTGTATATATATACACAAACTCATATATGTGTTGTGTATATATGTGTGTGTGGGTGTGTGTGTGTGTATATATATATATATATATATATATATATATACACACACACAGAGAATGACTGCATTTTCTTTATCGTTTTCTTTTCTAGCATTGTGGTGTTATGCTGATAAAGGGCAAATTCATTACCATATGATGGATTTTCTTTTTTTTTTTTTTTTTTTGAGGCGGAGTCTCGCTCTGTCGCCCAGGCTGGAGTGCAGTGGCGGGATCTCGGCTCACTGCAAGCTCCGCCTCCCGGGTTCACGCCATTCTCCTGCCTCAGCCTCCCAAGTAGCTGGGACTACAGGCGCCCGCCACTACGCCCGGCTAATTTTTTGTATTTTTAGTAGAGACAGGATTTCACCGTTTTAGCCGGGATGGTCTCGATCTCCTGACCTCGTGATCCGCCCACCTCGGCCTCCCAAAGTGCTGGGATTACAGGCGTGAGCCACCGCGCCCGGCCATGATGGATTTTCTTAAAAGCAAAATAAAAGACAAAGCAAACTTTATTTTTAGTTGAGGGTTAAATTGATTATTTACTTAGAAAACAGTACTTTCGAGTCAGGGACATTAGAGCATTATTAAAAATTCACTATTTAATTATTTTCCACTTAAATCTATTTTTCTCTTGATATTAGGGTTTTACCACTGAATATAGCCCAGTATGAGTATTGTACAATATTAATGCTTTTTTTATTTGGTGTTTCAATAGAAGGATTTTTTTAAGACCTTAATGAATAATTTCGGCTTCCTTCCTGAATAGCCTCTAATAACTAAATGCCATCTATTTGTTCCTTTTGATTTTTGAGAAAATTGCCCAGGTTTGGTTTCCTAGGAAATAGTTCTCTGTCCTGGAGGAATGAATTTGGACTGATTAGCTGCTTTACTTATTTGTCCTATCATTACGCCACAGTATTGAACATTCTGCTATGAAAAGAGATGTGTTGGTATGGAAGAACTGTATTCATTTATGTGATAGACATCAGCAGGACATGGAAGCCAGGACATTGAAATAAGAACTGGCTAGAAATGGGTTCCAAAACCGATTTGTCCACTTACTAATTGTGTAAACTTAAGCAAATCACTTCAATTGCATTGATCATCAGTTTCTTATCTGTAAAATAAAAGGGGGAGATTCCTAGATTCCTGCTACACCTGCCTTGGAGATTTGTTGAGGAGATAATGGATATGATAGTACTATAGTCACAGGAAATTTATGTATTAATATTATCTAATCTGATGGCATGGTTAGATCTCCTCATTTCTTCTTCTTTGTTTTTGAGGTGGAATCTCTCTCTGTCACCCAGGCCAGAGTGCAATGGTCTGATCTCGGCTCACTGCAACCTCCACCTCCCGGGTTCAAGTGATTCATGTGCCTCAGCCTCCTGAGTAGCTGGGATTACAGGCACCTGCCACCATGCCAGGCTAGTTTTTGTATTTTTAGTAGACATGGGGTTTCATCATGTTTTTCAGGCTGGTCTTGAACTCCTGACCTCAGGTTATCCACCCGCCTCGGCCTCCCAAAGTGCTGGAATTACAGGCATGAGCCAGTATTCCTCATTTCTAATCTCATGCAACTAAGAGCCTAATGAGGAGGTCTTGTAAATATTGGCATTAACAACACAAAGCACCATGAGTGCTATCGTAGAACTGACAGAAGACATGACATGGGGCACAAAGCGGTAGAGGTGGGGAAAGCCTCAAAGACACTATGGAGGCAGTAGCCATGGAGCTACATCTTGATACTTAATATGGGTACTTACCAGGCAGATAGGATCGGGTAGAATATTCTAAGCAGAAGGGATAAAATGAGGAAAAGTAGGAAACAGCATGGTATTTTAGGCACAATAACAAGCTATCTAGTGTTACTGGAGCACAAAATGTGAGGCTATGAGAATCCAGAGGTAAAAAGGAACCAGATCATGGTGGCTTTTCAAGCCACAGTAAGGAAGTTGATTTTATTCTGCAGCAAATGGGGATCCTTGCTTTAGGGTCGTCTTCCAAATATTCACACAGCATCCTTCATTGTCCTGTGGTGGAACACTAATTTTAGAGCACACTCTCATCAACTGTATTCTTGTTTGTTTGCTAAATGAACTGTGAGTACCTCTTATCTCTAGCACCTTGAAGTGTTCAGGATGTAGGAGCTTAGCAAATACTAATTGAGTAAATGAATTAAGCAAATTTAACTTGGGGAGTGACATGGCATAGATTTTCCTGTTGTATTAGTCACCCCGGCAAAACTGGGTCAGAGTAGTTAGTAGATATGAAAACAATAATGATAGTTCTCTGATTTTGTATCTTCCCACTAAAATTTGGCTGACGATAGTCAAGTTTTATTAGATTACCCCAACCATGAAAGTTACAAACCATAAATAAGATGCCAACATGTTCATTGGGTGTGCAAATAGAGTAGTCGATACCATGGAAAAAGGAAGTAATAGTAAAACAAGTACAGCAACACCATGCCTATTTAGTAAAACCTGTTTATTTGATCTAACATTCCTGAAATTCTCTATTAAATATCCTAAATTTCATGGAGCTTTTCTTACAAATTAATTCTATAGCAAAGGGTATATTTTTGGGGTGTGTTTGTTAGAGCTGTGGAAACACTATTGCTTAGAGGTGTTAAATAACCTCATTAGCTTCTTATTTTGAAACTGTCTCCTCATAAAATTGAATGTACTATCACTTTTTTTCATTCATGACTATTTTGATGATAAATTTTCACATGTCAATATTCACTAGTTATTCAAAAAAGTCAGTGAACATAGCATCTCATCTGTAGCTTCTCTAGAGTGAGGAGTATGCTACTTGGTTAAAATTTCTGGGTTTAGAAAACCATCAGTTTTATTGAAATGAACCATCAGCCCAGTTTGTTTTTTTCTTAACATCACCTCAGCAATGGAACTGCCTTAATTATAATAAACCTTTACATATCCATTATAAATATCATAATATGATTTTTTAATGGAGGAACAGGAAAATGAGTACTTCTTCTTGATAATCCTCTCTTTTTGCTGGCAAGTGTGTATTTTCTTAAAATTAACAGATGAATTATGTGCTAAGAGGGAGATTTGAAAAAGGATAATATAGTTGTATACTAGGGAATAAGGCAAATGAAAATTACATTTCAGAAGTCACAAGAAATATTTTGAAAGGAATTTCATTACATTTTTTGTCTCAAGTGGATTCTGTATCTAAGTCATATCAGCTTTTAAAAATCCATCTTTGTCATAAATTTATAACTGAATTTATAACTGGTTTAATCTGAAGAAGAAATCTAAGTGCAGCCTAGAGGCCGAGAGAGAGAGAGAGAGAGAGAGAGACAGAGAGAGAGAGAGAGAGAGAGAGAGAGAGAGAGAACTGTGCTATTAATATAAGAAACTCATCAACACTTTCTGAACAATTCAGTGTAGGAATGTGTCCAAAGGAAGTTGCTAAAAACTAAAAAGCACACACAGTTGTAATCACGTTACAATCACTATCACATATATCACACGATGGTCCACAGATCTTTGCCACGTAAGTCACTGAAGCTCAATGTTATTCTGCTGTCAGCATAAAAGAACGTATCTTCAACTTTGGAGTCTAATCTTCCCGATTTTTGATGATGAAGACAGCTGACAAATCTTTAGCTTGGAGCTATCTGAATCTCATACCATAATGTAGAAACTTGGCATCATGGGCTCCCAATTATGCCATGCCTGTAACATATTCTCCTGTTGATATTAAAAGTGTTGACAATCTGAGAAACAGATTATCCACTGAAAACTTTCCACACTCAAGTCTCCCTGTATTCATTCTAATTGCACTCTTAAATTGAAACATCTACTATTTTCTCATAGTTTTGCAAATCTAATTATAGATCATGATCTTAAAAATCTAGATGTATAGATTCAATTTGATTCCTTTCTGCTTCCTATAAGATAAAGAAACTTGGATGATTAAACTCTTTAAGAATTCATTGCAAAATTGGCTGAATCAAATAATTTTCTATAAGTTGATCTTGAGATATTTACATTACATGGAATTTCCAAATTCTGCACAAAAAAAAAAGTCCCATTCATTCAGAGAGTAGACTGGTTTTATTTTATTCATGTTGCTCCATGTGACAGAATCATAGTGGAACAGCATGCTTAAATGGAAAGAGCAGTATAGTGCAACGGGTTAAGAGCAAGCTTTCTGGAGTCAGACCGAGAATGTTGAAATACGAGATTTACGGACAATTATCTTTGTAACCTTCAGCAAGAAAATTGACCTCTGTGAGCCCTAGTGTACTTACTCGTGAATAGGGAAAATAGTTATCTCCCTCACAGAGGCTGTAAGGATTGCTGGTACTATTTATCAAGGACCTGATACACTGGCTAACACAAAGTAGGTGCCTGATATGCAGTAGCTATTGTTGTTAATTTGACAGTTTTCATACCAATGGTATATTTATTTATAAATTGATAGCCATAATTTGCCTGCCATTTCTGAAGAGAAAAAGTGATTTTTTTCTTTCACATATAATATGCCTTTGGAAAAGAATAAGCTGCCATTGTTGATGTCACTTTATTTAACATACTCTGGCAATATTCATGCAGTGTTATTATACAGGTAATTTACTGTCCATAATTGGCTTTTGGCAGCTGAAGGAGGAAATTTATTTTCATTACAAGACTTTTAACAAATAGTAGAAATCAGTATTCAGAAAGCAATGTACTTTTGACTTTCTTAATACTCTAAATTCATTATCATGTTATTTTTCTGTTTCACTCCGTTTTTACAGGCCAAATTGAGGCAAAATGTTCTACTTGAAGTACACTTAATTTTGTCTTTTTCTACAGGAATATCTAAAAATCTTTGCTGCCTCTGATATCTAAGGGTGAGCCATTAACGAGCTGGGCAGTCAGGCACTCTCCTATTGCAATTTCAGATTTTATGCTATTACATTAAAATGGTTACCGGCTTCCTATGACATTCTAATTAGCCAGGGCACTGTTAGTGTTGATGATAAAACAGTCTAACAAGAAGTAAGTTATGCCAGCAACTTTAGCTACCATAACTGTCAAGGTTCAGACCATTAGATAAATATCACCACATAATTACTTCTACACTCACCCAATCTCTGATATGTACACAAATATGTGTGTACATATATATGTGTATATAATAGATAACATTTTTGAATTGAGAACTACTTCCCTTAGAAAGTTTATTATCTGATATATTAGGCAAAAAAAAGAAGGTCACTCCCCTACAATAAATTCTCACTGTTAACTTAGAAGTATGCCTAGAATGGAGTCAAGTTATTGTGGAAAATTGTGGTATGCACAAATTTGTATTTGTATATTTTGCTAATAACACAGGGATGCTATTTCACTTCTGATGGACTTAGAATGAAGAAAAACCAAGGATGAAGAGAAAAGGGAATCAAAGCAGAATTCTATGTAATGAAGCTTTGGGTTAGAAAAATTAAACCTGGGCTATAGAATACCATTTAGGTATCTGTTATCAATGAGAAAACTGTACAAAAGATAAATGCCTCAGATAGGACATTATAAACAGGTAGAAATAAACAAGTTATAACATTAAAATACACTGAATATTTGAATGGATGATTGGTTGGTTTTTCTAGAAAGGAAGAAAATTCCTGAAGTCTGTTACTAATAAGGTTTGGTAAATGAATATTATTTGTTGAGTCTTCATTATTATTCACTTAAGGTATTAAAAAGTCCACTGTTTCTTTTTGGGTTTACTGTGTACAACTTGTTTTATTTCAATGAATGACTTCCATATGTTTGTTCCATCATTATAAAATTCACTGAAGTTTCAGAGTGCCAAGAATTATTTTAAAGTAGTTAGAGGGACTTTACTGTTTTTTCTACACAATAGGAGTCAGGTATGAGGAAACTCCTTCCCACTGAATCTACTCACAAAGAGAAAGTCCCCCAAAAGGAATGTTTTCCCCTTTTTTGTACACAATCACTAGATGTTAGTGTCCAACATGATCAACAGTCTGCACCGCTCCTTTCCTTAATCTTTCCAAAACAACGTCCTTCTCAACGTGATGCAACTCTTCATTATACAACCCAAAACACACTTATCTCCTCTCTAAATGAAGACTCAAATTCTCCTGAATTATTTCTTTCATTTTCAAGTCAGGATCTCTTGGTGTTTTTCCTTCCATTCCTAATGCTCCTGTGGCCATTCACAGTGCTCTTCAACTCATGGACTAATATGTGAAATATGATTACCGTCAGTAAACCTATGTCAATAGTAGGAGAAATGGAGATAAAACTGAGACAAAAAAGAAAGGAATATAAAATATGGTTAATTTGGTAAATTTATATTGTATTTTATTACTAAAAGTTGAACTCTGTTTCCCAGGATTTTCCTCCCACCATAGGTCTAAGTTACCATGGGCTTTAAAAGGTATCTTGCATGTCATTGGTAAGGCAGAAATTTAATGTAAATTATATTGTTTTTATGTTCAGAAGGTTGAAGTTAAGCCAAAGGCACAGTTGAAGTTCAGGCATGAAGTTTGTCTACTGGCTTACTTTCTCTATTTGCAGTAGCAGCTAGGCCTACAGGTCCTACAGTGCCTGTAAGATCTACTCTTCAGCTTCCCCAATACCTATTCCAGGTATGGATTTAGATCCATGATTCAGGGCACCAGCTTCTTCTGCAAGACACCTACATTGTGTAAGCTGGAGGCAGTGAGACATCAACGTGGGTTCCAACTCATCTTTATGAGTTCCTGCTCATCCTTATAGATTCCAGTGTTCTCTTGCTCTCCCCCATTTCACTTCCAATATGTTCTCCCTGACCACCTATCTGCCTTTAATTAAGTCCCATCTATTTATCTTTGTTTTTGTTGCATTTGCTTTTGGGTTATCGGTCACGAAGTCTTTTCCTAAGCCAATGTTTAGAAGGGGTTTTTTGATGTTATCCTCTGTAATTTTTATGTTTTTAGGTCTTAGATTTAAGTCTTTGTTCCATGTTGAGTTGATTTTTTTATAAGGTCAGAGATGAGGATCCAGCTTCATTCTTCTACATGTGGCTTGCCAATTATCCCACCACCATTTGTTGAAGAACAAAACTCAGAAGAAAAAAAAAACCCATAGACTGTATAACCTAATAAATCTTTCATTATATACACACATATACATATATGTGCATACATATATGTATACATATGCATATATGTGAATGCATATATATGTGTGCGTATTTATGATGCACTATATTAAGTACAAATTGGTGGTGAGAAATGAAGGTTTTTTTTCTCAAACAATATAATCAGTTACAGAGACTACCCAAGATAAATTTAGTTCACAAGAAGACAGGTAAAAAAAAATACAGAATTATTTGTGATGGCAAAAATAAATTAAAACAACCTATATGGCACTCAAAAGGAACATGAATAACTATAATCATAATAAATTAACATATTGTAATACTATACATAAGTGAAAATTTATCATGGGGTGTTCTTATCTTGAGCAAAAATATAAATAAATAAGAGTTTCATTGGATGAGTGGCCAAGGCAGCCAACTAGAAGAAGCTAGGGTGCATGACTCTCATGGATAGGAATGGAAGGGATGAGTAAATAAAGCACCTTCAAATGAAACATTCAGGTACTCACATTGGGACTAATCAAGGAAACAACTCAACTCATGGAGAATGGAGAAAAGCAAGGCAGGGTGACGGCTCAACTGGGAGCAACACAGAGCCAAGGGAATCTTCTCAACCCAGGAAAGTGGGGAGTGAATGTGTGACCCAGGAAACCATGATTCTCCCATGGATCTTTGCAGCCCATATGTCAGGAGATCCCCTCATGAACCCACTCCACTGGGGCCTTCAGTCTGATACCCAGAGTTATGTAGAGTCTCAGCAGAGCAGCCATTCCAGAGTGCCCTCTTCCCTCCAAATGACTGCATTACCTCTCCAACAGGGTTGGAAACCGAGCTGAAGCTGAGATGGCTGAAATGATAGAAGTAGAATATAAATAGGAAGAAAGTTCACTGAGCTAAAGGAGTACATTGTAACTCAGTGCAAGGAAGCTAAAAATCATGATAATACATTACAACACCTGCAAAAAAAATGAAATATTTAGGAATGTACCTAAACCAACACGTGAAAGATCTCTACAAGGAAAACTGCAAAACACTGCTGAAAGAAATCATAGATGACACAAACAAATGGAAACACATCCCATGCTCATGGATGGTTAGAATCAATATTTTGAAAATGAACACAGCACCAAAAACACTTGACAAATTCAATGCAATTACCATCAAAATACCATCATCATTCTTCAAAGAACTAGAAAAAACAATTCTAACATTCATACGGAACCAAAAGAGATGCCACATAGCCAAAGCAAGACTAAGCAAAAAGAACAAATCTGTAGGCATTATATTAACCAATGTCAAACTATACTACAAGACTATAGTTACCAAAACAGCATGCTACTGGTATAAAAATAGGCACATAGATCAATGGAACAGAATAGAGAAGCCAGAAATAAAGCCAAATATTTGCAGCTAACTGATCTTTGACAAAGCAAACGAAAACATAAAGTGGGAAAAACATACCCTACTCAACAAATGGTGCTGGTATAATTGGCAAGCCACACGTAGAAGAGTGAAGCTGGATCTTCATCTCTCACCTTACAGAAAAATCAACTCAACATGGATGAAAGACTTAAATCTCAGACCTAAAAACACAAAAATTACAGAAGATAGCATAGAAAACACTCTTCTAAACACTGGCTTAGGAAAAGACTTCATGACCAATAACCCAAAAGCAAATGCAAAAAAAAAAAGATAAATAGATGGGATTTAATTAAATTAAAAAGCTTCTGCACAGAAAAAGAAATAATCAGCAGAGTTAGCAGACAACCTACAGAGTGAAAGAAAATATTCACAAACGATGCATCTGACAAAAGACTAACATCTAGATTCTACAAGGAAATCATACAAATCAGCAAGAACACAAACAAATGAACCCATCGATAAGTGGGCAAAGGACATGAATGGTCAGTTCTCAAAAGAAGATATACAAATGGTCAACAAACATAAGAAAAAAATGCTCAACATCACTAATTATCAGGGAAATCCAAATCAAAACCACAATGAGATATGACCTTACTCCTGCAAAAATGATCATAATTAAAAAATCAATAAATAACACATGTTGGCATAGATGTGGTGAGAAGGGAACACTTTTACACTGCTGGTGGGAATGTAAACTAGTACAACCACTATGGAAAACAGTATGGAAATTCCTTAAAGAACTAAAAGTAGAATCACCATTTGATCCAGCAATCCCACTACTAGGTATCTACCCAGAGGAGAAAAAAAGTCGTTATACAAAAATACACTTGTACAGGCATATTTATAGCAGCAAAATTCACAATTGCAAAAATATAGAACCAGCCTAAATGCTCATCAAGCAACAAATGAATAAAGGAAATATGGTATGTATACACCATGCAATACTATTCAACCATAAAAAGGAATGAAATAATGACATTTGCAGTAACCTGGATGGAGATGGAGACCATTATTGTAAGTGAAGTAACTTGGGAATGGAAAACCAAACATTGTATGTCCTGAGTTATAAGCTAAACTATGAGGGTACAAAGACATAAGACTATTATAGTGGACTTTGGGGACTCAGGGGGAAGTAAGGAGGTGGTTAGTGATAAAAGACTACACAATGGGTACAGTGTTTACTGCTTGGGTAATAGGTGAACCAAAATCTCAGAAATCACCACTAAAGAACTCTTCCATGCAACCAAGCACCACCTGTTTCCCCAAAACTATTGAAATAAAATTTAAAAATTAAAAAAACTGTCATCACAAAGGTTAAAGAAGAATATAATTTCTCCCTAAAAATTGTCTTAGCTGTCTATTAAGACACTAACTTTATATTTATTTGTCTACTTACTAATTGTTTCCCCAATGAGATGGTAAGCTCCATGAGGACAGGTGTCTGCTTTCTGGCTGCATCTTTCACCTGCAGTTTAGCAGAGTGTCATGGTATTGCTTTGGAAACTTTAAATAAATATTGGTTAAAATAATGAAAAAAATTGCAGAATCTATCAGACAAAATAGCCAGTATAGAGAGGAATGCAAATGACATGATAGAGCTGAAAAACACACTACAAGAATTTCACAATGCAATCACAAGTAGGAATAGCAGAAGAGACCAAGCAGAAGAATGAGTCTTAGAGCTTGAAGACTTCCTTTCTGAAATGAGACAGGCAGACAAGAATAGAGAAAAAAGAATAAAAAGGAAATAACAAAGCCACTGAGAAATGTGTGATTATGTAATGAGACTGAATCTGTGACTGACTGTTGTGCCTGAAAGAGATGGGGAAAATGGAACCAACTTAGAAAACATATTTTAGAATATCATTCATAAAACCTTCCCCAACATAGCTAGAGAGGCGAACATTCAAATTCAGGAAATGCAGAGACCCTAGTAAGACACTCCAGGAGAAGACCATCACCAAGACACATAATCACCAGATTCTCCAAGGTTGAAATGAAAGAAAAAATGTTAAAGGCAGCTAGAAAGAAAGGCCAGGTCACTTACAAATGGAAACCCATCAGACTAACAGCAGACCTCTCAGCTGAAACTATAAAAGCCAGAAGAGATTGGAGGGCAATATTTAACATTTTTAAAGAGAAATTCCTTTCCAGAATTATATATCCAGCCAAACTAAGCTTCATAAGCAAAGGAGAAATAAGATTCTTTTCGGACAAGCAAATGCTGAGAGAATTTATTACCACCAGAACTGCCTTACAAGAGCTCCTGAAGGGAGCACTAAATATGGAAAGGTAAGACCATTACCAGCCACTGAAGAAAAACACACTGAAGTACACAGACCAGTGACACTATGAAGCAACCACATAAACAAGTCTGCAAAATAACCAGCTAATATCATGGTGACAGGATCTAATCCACACATATCAATGCTAATATTAAATGTAAATGGGCTAAATGACCCAATTAAAAGACACAGAGTAATAAGCTGGATAAAGAATTAAGATCCATTGGCATGGTGTCTCAAGAGACCCATTTCACATGTACACATATAGGCTCAAAATAAAGGAATGGAGGAAAATTTACTAAGAACATGAAAAACAGAAAAAATTAGGGGTCACAATCCTAGTTTCTGAAAAAACAGACTTTAAACCAGAAAACATCAAAAAAGAAGAAGAAGGGCATTATATAATGGTAAAGGGTTCAATTCAACAAGGATATTCAACAAATATCCTAAATATATATGCACCCAACACAGGAGAGCCGAGATTCATAAAGCGAGTTCTAAGAGTACTTCAAAGAGACTTAGACTTCCACACATTTACAGTGGGAGATTTTAACACCCCACTGACAATATTAGACAGATCATTGAGACAGGAAATTAACAAAGATATTCAGCACTGAATCAAATTGATCTGATAGATATCTACAGAACTCTACACCCAAAAACAACAGAAAATACATTCTTCTCATTGTCCCGTGGCACTTATGGTAAAACTGATCACATAATCAGAAGTAATATACTGCTCAGCAAATGCAAAAGAACTGAAATCATAACAACCACTCTCTCAGACCACAGCACAATCAAATTAGAAATCAAGACTAAGAAATTTACTCAAAACAATACAATTACACGGAAATTGAACAACCTGCTCCTGAATAACTTTGGGGTAAATAATGAAATCAAGGCAGCAATGAAAAAGTATTTTGAAACTAATGAGAACAAAGATAAAATGTACCAGAATCTCTGGGACACAGCTGAGGTAGGGTCAAAAGGGAAATTTCAAGCACGAAATGCCCAAACCAAAATGTTAGAACTATCTCAAGTTAACAACCTAACGTCACAACTAAAAGAACTAGAGAAACAAGAGTAAACAAAACCCAAAGTTAGCAGAAAACAAGAAATAACGAAAATCAGAGCTGAACTAAAGGAGATAGAGACACGGAAAGCCATTCAAAAACTAAATGGATCCAGGAGCTTTTTTTTTTTTTTTAAGTCAATAAAATAGATAGATTGCTAGCTAGACTACTAAAGAAGAGAAGAGAAAAGATTCAAATGAACACAATAAAAAACAACAAGGCAGATATTACCACTGACCCCACAGAACTACAAACAACCATCAAACAATATTATGAAACCTCTATGCACATAAACTAGAAAATCTACAAGAAATTGATAAATTCCTGGACACATACACCTTTTCAAAACTGAACTAGGAAGAAATTATTCAATTTCTTAACAGAAAAATAATAAAACTGGTTCTGAAATTGAGCCAGTAATAAGTAATCTACCAACCAAAAAAAAAAAGCCCAGGACAAGACGGATTCCCACCTGAATTCTACCAGATGTACAAAGAGGAGCTGGAACCATTTCTCCTGAAACTATTCCAAATATTTGAGGAGGAGGGACTCCTCCCTTACTCATTGTATGAGACCAGCATTATCATGAAAGCAAAACCTGGCAGAGATACAACAACAAGAAAGGAAACTTCAGGCCCATATCCTTGATGAACATGGATGCAAAAATCCTTAACAAAATACTGGCAAACTGAATCCAGCAACACATCAAAAAGCTTATTCACCATGATCAAATAGGCTTCATCCACACTATGCAAGGTGGGCTCAACATAAGCAAATCAATAATTGTTATTCACCACATGAACAGAACTAAATAAAAAAACCATGATTTTCTCAATAAATGCAGAAAATGCTTTTGATAACATTTAACATCTATTCATGTTAAAAACTCTCTATAAACTAGATATTGAAGGAACATATACCTCAAAACAGTAAGAGCAATCTGTGACACACCACAGCCAACATCATACTGAGAGGGCCAAAGTTGAAATCATTCCCCTTGAAAGCTGGCACAAGTCAAAGGTGTCTTCTCTCACCACTCATATTTAACATATTATTGGAAGTCATGGCCAGGGCAATCAGGCGAAAGAAAAAAAAATAGAGGACATCCAAATAGAAAGAGAGAAAGTCAAACTATCCCTGTTTGCAGATGACATTATTCTCTATCTAGAAAACCCTGTAGGCTCAGAACAAAAGCTTCTTAAGCTGATACACCACTTCAGCAATATCTCTGGATAGAAAAATCAGACTGAAAAAATCACTAGCATTTCTATACACCAGTAACAGTCAAGCTGAGAGGCAAATTAGGAACAAACTCATTCACAATTGCGACAAAAAAAGCAAAATACCTAGAAATACAGCTAACTAGGGAGGTAAAAGTTCTCCAAAAGGAGAACTACAAAGCACTGCTCAAAAAAATCAGAGATGACACAAACAAATGGAAGAACTTTCCTTGCTCATGGTAATAAGAATCAATATTGTTAAAATGATTATATTGCCCCAAAGAATTTACAGATGCAATGTTATTCCTATTAAACTACCGTTGACATTCTTCACAGAACTAGAGAAAACTACTTTGAAATCCATATGGAACCAAAAAGGATATCGAATAGCCAAAGAAATTTTAAGCAAAAGGAACAAAGCTGGAGTCTTCATGCTACCTGAATTTAAACTATACTACAGGGCTACAGTATCCAAAACAGCACAGTACTTGTACAAAAACAAACAAATAGACCAATGGAACAGAACAGAGAACCCAGAAATAAGACCACACACCTACAACTATTCAAAACTTAAACTAACCTGACAAAGACAGGCAATGGGAAAACAATTCCCTACTTAATAAATGGTGCTATGATAACTGGCTAGCCATATGCAGAAGATTGAAACTGGACCACGTCCTTATACCATATACAAAAATCAACTCAAGGTGAATTAAAAACTTAAACCTAAAACCAAAAGCTATAAAAAGCCTGGAAGAAAATTTAGGCTATATCATTCAGGAAACAGACATGGGCAAATATTTCACATTGACGACACCAAAAGCAATTGCAACAAATGCAAAATTAGACAAATGGGATCTAATTAAACTAAAGAGCTTCCGCACAGCAAAAGGAACTATCAACAGTGTAAACAGACAACTTACAGAATGGGAGAACACTTTTGCAAACTATACATCTTAAAAAGGTCTAATATCCAGCTTCTGTAAGGAAGTTAACCAAATTTACAAGAAAATAACAAACCACCCCATTAAAAAGTGGGCAAATGACATTAGCAGATATTTTTCAAAAGAAGACATATATGCAACCAACGGTCATATGAAAAAAAATCAACATTAGAAAAATGAAAAACCACAATGAAATACCATCTCGCACCAGTCAGAATGGCTATTTTTTAAATTATACTTTTAAGTTCTAGGGTACATGTGCACAATGTGCAGGTTTGTTACGTAGGTATATATATGCCACGTTGGTTTGCTGTACCCATCAACTCATCATTTACATTAGGCATTTCTTCTAATGCTATTCCTCCCCCAGCCCCCCACCGCCTGACAGGCCCCAGTGTGTGATGTTCCCTGCCCTGTGTCCATGTGTTCTCATTGTTCAACTCCCACCTATGATTGAGAACATGTGGTGTTTGGTTTTCTGTCCTTGTGATAGTTTGCTGAGAATGATGGTTTCCAAGAATGGCTATTATTAAAAAGTAAAAAAACAAAAAACAAAAACAAAAACAAAAAAAACCATATGCTTGTGAGGTTTTGGAGAAAAAGGAAGACTAATACACTGTTGGTGGGAGTGTAAATTAGTTTAGCCATTGTGGAAAACAGTGTGGCGATTCCTCAAACACATAAAGACAAAAATACCATTTTGCTCAGCAATCACATTAACCCAAAAGAATATAAATCATTCTATTCTAAAGATACATGTAAGCATATGTTCATTGAAGCACTATTCACAATAGCAAAGACATGGAATCAACCTCAATGCCTGTCAATGATAGACTGGACAAAGAAAATGTGGTACATATACACCATGGACTGTTATGCAGCCATATAAAAGTAGGAGATTATGTCCTCTGTAGGGACATGGTTGGAATTAGAGGTCATTATCCTTAGCAAACTAGTGCAGGAACAGAAAACCGAACAATACATGTTTTCACGTAAGAGTGGGAGCTAAATAATAACATGTGGATACATAGAGGGGAACACACACTGGAGCCTATTGAAGGGTGGAGGGTGGGAGGAGGGAGAGAATCAGAAAAAATAACCAATGGGTTCTAGCTTAATACCTGCATGAAGAAATGATCTGTACAAAAAATCCCCATGACACAAGCTTACCTGTGTAACAAATCTGCGCTTGTACCCCTGAACATAAAAGTTTAAGAAAACACACACCCACACATATGAATCAACACATACGAACAATATACGAATAAATACATAAAAGCAAGTTGATTTGCAGAGGGAGCCAGATAATATATTCACATTTATATAAAATGTAAAAACATAAGAATAAATGTTATGTATATTTTTGTTGATGTAATAAACAAAAATTTATCTTCCCACCCATATCTTCATATGTAATAAACAGGTAAATAAATAAATTCAAAATAGTTTCTTTTGAGGGAGGGTATAGAGAGTATGGATAATGAAATCATGAAACATTGCCTAGGTACTTTAAAGAGCACTGGTGATGCTTATGGGCTGAGCACTGTGGCTCACGCCTGTAATCCCAGCATTTTGGGAGGCCAAGGCGGGCAGATCACTTGAGGTCAGGAGTTCAAGACCAGCCTGGCCAACATGGCGAAACCCCGTCTCTACTAAAAATAGAAAAACAAATTAGCCAGGCCTTGTGGTGTGTGCCTGTAATCCCAGCTACTCAGGAGGCTGTGGGAGGAGAATTGCTTGAACGCAGGAGGCAGAGGTTGCAGTGAGCCGAGATTGTGTCACTGCACTCCAGCCTGGGCAACAGAGCAAGACTCCATCTCAAAACAAAACAAAACAAACAAACAGTACTGGTGATGCTTTATTTCTTAATCTGGTTAGTGGGTACAGAGGTTTTTGTTATATCTTTGAATTCCTTTTTTGTACACGTGAAGTAGTTCATAAAAGTTAGAGCCTTCTCTGCAATTAAGATCTTTCTCTGAGATTTACATGGGCTGCAAATATTCTTACACTCAGAGTTTTCTGAAATGATCTTAGGCACACTTCTTCCCCAGATCTCCTTGTCTTGTGTTTTCAAATCTTATTCTTCCCAAGTCTCTGGCCATTTGACTAGAGAGGACATTAGCTCCAGTCTGTGACTTGATATAGATTCAAATAATGGACCATGTCTCATTTCCGTCTCATCCCATTCCATGATTCCAGGATCCATGTATTCTGGTGTGGGAGAAACAACACTATAATTTTGCTTCTGATTTACACTGTATACAGCATTGTGTAGGACAGCCCTCCAAACTCCAAAAGTTATGACCTTGCTGCTTCCTTCATTGGGTCTTCATTTGGTCAGTTTAGCATTTCATATGGGCAGCTGCTTTTGTGCTATAGGCCATTTAATTTCATAGGCAACAGTACATATTGCACTTTTTTAGGAAGAGTTAGCCATTATTTTGGAGAGCATCATAAAACATTAAAGTAACTGATAAATTTTCAGACCAGAAGGGTAACAATATGCAAATCCCAAATAAATTTCATTCCAATGTGAATATTATAGCTCCACAATGATGGAAGGAATCTAGAAAGACTAATCTTGCTTCCAGTAGCTGGATTATTTATAGTGCCATAAAAGAGACAGAGTGTTAAGCTTTATTATTGGCAGTTTGGGCACTCAGGAGTTGTGGGAACCAGATCATCTTGGTGAAGGAAAGCCTATAAATTACCTTCATTCTAGGCATTACGTCTTCTTCGTTCATGAGCCCATTCAGCAAACAGCAGAAGGATAGTGATTCCCTCAATATACGCAAAATGTGCCATTTTGTCCATCTGATTATTGAGACGCCTCTACTCTGGATGAACTTTAGTGAGCCTTTATAGGGGACAGAAATTTTATGTTCAACCTAGGTGCCCATTCTGAGAGGTCTATTTACATACCTCTTCTGTAGAACTCCGTATCACCAAACTTCCAATTCTATTCTTTCCAAATCCCTGATCATACAGCAATGGCCGTGAATTTATATTTTAAGCTTTCCTTCTAGAAAAACTGGACCACAAAATGTAATGTTTAAAATTACGTTTATTTGGAGGATTTTATTCAACTGTGTCTTTTAGGGCCACTCCTGAGTGGGAGGTTAGCACCCCCACAGTCCACTTTCTACTAGTGGGGCTCCATCTGTAACAGCCACAAATATTTCCTTTTCTGCAGTCAACTGGCCGTTAGGAACTAGCTAGGAGGAAATAGATGTGGGCTGAGAGAGTTATAGCCATTTAGCAGGAGTAGTCACATTGGGAATGTAAGTTATCTGCTCCTACAACTTATTTTTCCTGCTGGATCTGCTCAAGACATGCCTTATAAATCATACTTCTCTACTCGGGAGGCTGAGGCGGGAGAATCGCTTGAACCCAGGAGGTGGAGGTTGCAGTGAGCTGAGATCGTGCCACTGCACTCTAGCCCATCTCAAAATAATAATAATAATAATAATAATAATAATAATAATAATACTTCTACCTGATGGTAACTTATTTATTGCTGGGCCTGATTTTTATCACTTCAAGTTTGAATAGTACATAGTTTATGGTGGAAAAATTAGATTACATTGTCATATAATGCCCTGTGGTCAAACTTTCAATCTCCATTAAACCCCTTAATATGCCAGCACCTTTTTATGAAAGAATAGTTATTTGGGGAAATGGTCATAACCCTGCTGAACATTCAAGAGGCCTCCACCTTAATTCTATTGAGACTTACCTCAATTTCCATTCAGCATCTATATCTGCCACAGATACTTCTGACCACTGTATCTGAGGGAGTAGGCCTCCATTATTTAGTTAAGTAATTTGCTTTTTCTTCAAATTGGTTAATTGAGGAAAGTTTTTAAAGAAGTGTTTTTGATATTTTGGACACAGAGCCCCAAGACTTTTTTAAAAATGTGTATGTTTGTGTGGTAGTGGTGAGGATGGGACATAATGATGCAATATACATTGGTAATATTGTATGATGCCAAAACGCTATTTGCTAAAGCTATTTTGGAGCAAGCAAAAGTTAAATATAGCCTCCTTGTGGATAACATGTAAATAGCTGATGGTGGCTTTCATTGTAAGGTAGGGAGGGAGCAGTGGTGAGAGAGCAGAGGAAGAAAGCCTACAGTAAACACTTGTTTTTGTTTTCACTTTACAAATTTCCACAGCAGCTACTCTTGTCTTATTTGTGTTTTCTGACTGTAAGAGAAAAGTTTGAATTGCATTCTCTTTGTCTGGCTTCTAACAGAGAATGTACATGATCAGCCCTTCATTAACAAAGAAAGTAAAGAGACAAAAGCTGTCTCATGAACTGAAAGAGAAAAGTTGAAATACAACAGCAATGAAGCCAGGTGATTAAGAGAAATTAACACATACTCTTGTGAAAAAACAAAAGAGGTTCAGAAGTGGAAAACTGGTTAGAATTTATTTCTACTGTGGTATATTTAGCTGGTTCTAGGCTGTTACTGATTGTGGATGCATCACTTTCAATACATCAGTTTACAAATAAATTTCCCCAATACTGATCTAAATAGCTCATTACCTTTTATTCCTTTTTTACTTGAATGTAAGACAGTGCATCACATTTCTGTAATATTATGCAGCAAAACAACACCAAATCCTAAAAATCAACTATCAGCAGGGACAGCAGTGGGCTAGATAGATACTTCACACTAATTCCATTCCTGAATCATCAATCAAGTAGATGCATCAAAGAGCAGCTGGCTACCACCTCAAAATGGACTTACCTGCAAATGTAAGATCTCCAGCTTTCTTTGTTCTCCCTACTGGAAACATGATGGTGTGCATTTTGGTTTGGCTCTGTTTTGTCTGACTTTACATAATGACAAATAGGTATAAAAAAAGTGACGGAAAGGCCCAGTGTTAATAATGATTGGTTCCATTAATGCTCAGGGAGAACTTCTGTCTTTCAAGACCACTGATTCAGTCATTATTTTATAAAACATGTTTGTATCAACGAACAAGTGTCAGGAAAATTAGTGTGGAGGCTTTTGCATGTGTGACATATATCAGTAAAAAAAAAAAAAAGAATTGTAAATCAAAGAGTCAGGGCTTCCATTGGACTTCACATTATTGAAACACAGAAGTTGCAATGATTGAGATAAACAATGTGAAAATTAGAGAAGGCTGAATTTGGACCTACTCAAGCTCTCTCAATAACAGCACTTAAGAGGATTTAATAACAACTATTTATGTTATAACTCGGATTCTCACTCCTGCTTCTTTGTTTACTTTCTGTTACTTGCTCTTTGTCTTTTTATTGTTAAATTTCCTTTAACTGTCTTATGCCTTTCTTCTTGGCATTTATAGTCAATTTAATTCCTCCCCCTAGAGTGCTTAGACTTCCAAGTCTCCAGGATTAAATGTTAAATTCTGATGAAGAAGTAGCTTAAAGTGATGGAAAGAATATGAACTTTGCAGACACACTGGTTAGGGTTTTATTCCTGACTCTACCACTTAGTGATGGAATAATCCTGGGAGGAGTATCGGGAGGTGTTCTTTAACTTCATTGAGCCTCAGTGCCTTCATCGTTGTATTGGAGATAATGACACCTATCTTAGCTCTCATTATCATACCTCTATGCATAATCTCAGCCTGACCTCTCTTCTGGAATGTCCTTCCTCTATATCTGCATTTAACTAACCCCTACTCACCTACATTTCAAGTCTCATTCAAGCAAGTACCCCTCAAGAAGACCTTCTGATAGCCCACATATTGGAATGCTTCCACAGTAACATTTGCCATGTTTTTATCTTAGCACTTAATATAGCATATTGGAATTATATACACATGTGTGTTTCTCACTGGACCAAGGGTTACATGAAGATAAAATTCATGTCATCTTACTCTTGGGACCCCAGCATCCACTACAATGTCTGCTCTTGGGGAACTACTTAATAAGTAAATGTTTATAAAATTCCATTATCTTTCAAACTATGATTAATATTGAAGATTAAATTGCACGTTTCATATAAAACATCTTGTGTGACTGTCACATAGTTGGTTGTTAGGTCTGTTTAATCTAATTTAAAAAATCATAATGGGAACTCAATGACAAGGTATGATTTCTATAGACTGTTTTTATTTATTGGATTCATGTTAGTTATAGAGTAGATGGCCGTGAGGCTTAAGTCAAGTTCTGCTGCCTCAGGGCAAATAAGCAAAGGCCATTGCTTAGCACTCCTGCTTAGTGCTTAATGGGTACAAATTAATTATCTGCTGAATGAATGAAAGAATAAAATTCCATTTCCCTGTGAAGGTCTATTTTTTTCTTCTGGGCATATTTAGATTCTTTCTTCTTTGCAGTTTCATATAACATTTTTCATATTTTATTACAGTGCTTTACATGCTATAGATGTTCATTTTTTTTTCTACCAAACTATGAGGTATTCCTAAACAGGTGTTATTCCCTGTCTCATTTATTCTCAATACCTAGCAGTGTCTGCTAGAATAGATAGTCAATAAACATATATAGAACTTGAATTTATAAATGTTAACTGCATTAGTATTCAAAAAAATGCCCTTCTGGTTCTTTCCATCATTCAATATGCTAAAACTCTAGCAAGTCAAACTTTCTTAGGAGGTTTTAAAAATCAACCACTGAGCTGTTGCCACCTAATTTATTCCACGAATTGCTCGTTAGATATTTAAAATAAATACCTAGGTAAATGTCAGTTTGAATATCAAAATTTTCAAACCAGTGGAGGAGTGTGGCAATAAATATTTCCCATAGGTAGTGAGCCATCTATTGTAGATCTCCACCTGATAATACTTGACTTGGGCTGATATTTACATACAGTGTTCCCACTTAATCATGCTTGTTAGGGGGAGTTGTAACTCACTGCAGTTTAGGCATGTGTTCTGTGATAGAAGAGACTCAACCTGGTAAGTAAACTTCTATTGATGATACATCATGTGGACAACTTTTGATGAATAGCTTCTATTTAAAAGTTTTAAGTTTGAGAAGAGAGAAAAAGCTCCATTGATGGCTTTTAGTTTCCAGTAACTATTTCAAAGGATATTCCTCGGACAGACATATCCAGGTGTTTTTGAAGAGCTCTTCTGCATGCACAATTCATTCTGATATTTTCCAAAAATCTGTGTCTATTATCAGTAGAAATTAAGATAAATGAGATTTCTTGGAGATCATCTGGAATTGAATAAGAGTGCTCAAGTACAGCCAATTTTGGAGTGGATTCACTTAAAGCTAATAGGAAGGCTGGACATGTAAAACCATTTCCATTGTTGCTTTTGAGAGAGAACACTGGTCTTACCAGCATAGTGGCACCAATTTGAAAGCCTTCCATTTAATGTGACAACATGGAAAATTATAAAGATTTTCATTATGATTACACAGCGCGTGAATTTATATTTGATGTGGTTATAAATGAATAATATAATCATCATACAAACTAGTTGAAATCCAGATAAGCAAAATACATTGACATAACAGTGAAAGAATTGACATTATTCTCTGGAGAATAAAGTGATAAACAAAAGGTTCAAGAAAGAAAATGGATTAATATGATGGATAGGAAGCAGGACTAGTTTGCAGCTCCCACTCAGATGGACAGAGCAGTGTGTGGAGCCTCATATTGTGAACTTTTGCTCCAAGAACTACGGCAGGAACATACCAGGAAAGCCAAGAGAATCCACAGACCTTTTGAAGGAACTGGATCCATGCTGCAGGCTCTCCCAGATGCCGAAAAACTGTGAGTAGGCTTCCTCTCTCAATGGGGACGCCTCTGGTCTAGGGCAAGTTCTCAGCCTTGGTCACTGGCTGCCTGGAAATCAACTCAGTGCTGTTTGAAGAGGGAAGAGTGGGTGTGAGACCAGCTTTTAGGACTCCAGGCTGGGTAGGAGAGGGGTGAGGCCTGTGACTGCTGGCTTTCCCTCACTTCCCTGGTGACCTGTCTGTCTCAGCAGAGGCAACCATCATCCCCCTGGGAACATAACTGCCTTTGCCTGGGAAGCCCCACCCAAGGAGAGGCTGAGCTCAGACATGCCTATCCTTGCCCCCACCTGGTGGTCTTTCTATACCTGCTCTGGAAGCTGAAGACAAAGGTCATAATCTTTTGGGAGCTCTATGGCCCTGCCCACCATCTGAGAAACCTGATACTTAACCAAGTGTCCCTAGAACAAGTTTGCATCCTTCCTATAAGACCACTCTTGAATACACCACCTTCTGGCTGGAGGCCAACCAACACAAAACCAGCACACTAAACCAAGGACCCTCACAGAGTCCAATTCACTCCTCTGCTACCTCAACCACAGCAGGTGCTGGTATCCATAGCTGTAAGACCTGAAGATGTATCTTATCACAGGACTCTTTGCAGAAACTCCCCAGTACCAGCCCAGAGCCTGGTACCTCCACTGGGTAGCTAGATCCAGAAGAGCAAAAATGGTAACTACAGTTCAGCTCTCAGGAAAACCCATTCCTAGGGAAACCATATCAGGGGAGCACCCCATGGGACAAAAGAATCTGAACTGCAGCCTTTGAATCCCAGATCTTCCCTCTGACATAATCTACCCAAATGAGAAGGAACCAGAAAAACAATTCTGGTAATATGACAAAACAAGGTCCTTTAACATCTCCAAAAGATCATACCAGCTCATCAGCAATGGATCAAAACCAAAATGAAATCTCTGCATTGGAAGAAAAAGAATTCAGAAGGTTGATTATTAAGCTAATTAAGGAGGCATCAGAGAAAGGTGAAGTTGAACTTAAGGAAATAAAAAACATGATATAGGTTATGAAGGAAAATTATTCAGTGAAATAGCATAAATAACAATTACAACTTCTGGAAATCAACGACACACTTAGAGAAATGCAAAATGCATTGTAAAGTCTCAGCAATAGAATCAGACAAGCAGAAGAAAGAACTTCAGAGCTCGAAGACAAGGCTTTCGAATTAACCCAATCCATCAAAGATAAAAAAAAAAAAAGAATTTTAAAAAATAACAAAGCCTCCAGGAAGTTTGGGACTATGTTAAATGTACAAACCTAAGAATAATTGGTGTTCCTGAGGAAGAAGAGAAATCTAAAAGTTGGGTAAACATATTTGATGGAATAATTGAGGAAAACTTCCCTGGTCTTGCTAGAGATCGAGACATCCAAATATAAGAGGCTCAAAGAACACCTGGGAAATTTATCACAAAAAGATCGTTGCCTGGGCACATAGTCATCATGTTATCTAAAGTCAAGATGAAGGAAAGAATCTTAAGAGCTGTGAGGCAAAAGTATCAGGTAACCTATAAAGAAAAACCTATCAGATTGACAGTGGATGTCTCAGCAGAAACTCTAGAAACCAGAAAGTATGGGGGTCCTATCTTTATTCTTTTTAAGCAAAACAATTATCAGCCAAGAATTTTGTATGCAGCAAAACTACACTTCATAAATGAAAGAAAGATACAGTCATTTCCAGACAAGCAAATGCTGAGAGAATTTGCCACTACCAAGCCAGCAGTACAAGAACTGCTAAAAGGAGCTCTAAATCTTGAAACAAATAATTGAAATGCACCAAAATAGAAACTCCTTAAAGCATAAATCTCACAGAACCTATATAACAATAACACAATTAAAAAAAAAAAAACAGGCTGGGTGTGGTGGCTCACACCTGTAATCCCAGCACTTTGGGAGGCTGAGGCAGGTGGATCACGAGGTCAGGAGTTTGAGACCAGCCTGGCCAACATGGTGAAACTCCATCTCTACTAAAAATACAAAAGTAGCCAGGTGTGGTGGCGTGTGCCTGTAATACCAGCTGCTTAGGAGGCTGAAGCTGGAGAATCGCTTGAACCCAGGAGGCAGAGGTTACAGTGAGCTGAAATCACACCATTGCACTCCAACCTGGGTGACAGAGTGAGATGCTGTCTCAAAACAAACAAACAAACACAATAACAACAACAGAACCCAAGGTATTCAGGCAACAGATGGCACAATGAATAGAATAGTACCTCATATCTCAATACTAGCATTGAATGTAAATGGCCTAAATGCTCCAGGTAAAAGATACAGAATGGCAGAATGGATAAAAATGCACTAACCAAGTTTCTGCTGTCTTCAGGAGACTCACATAACACATAAGAACTCATATAAACTTAAGGTAAAGGGTTTGGAAAAATATATTTCATGCAAATGGACAGCAAACATGAGCAGAAGTAGCTATTCTTATATCAGACAAAACAAACTTTAAAGCAATAATAGTTAAAAAAAGACAAAGAGGGACACTATAAAATGTTAAAAGGATTAGTCCAACAGGAAAATATTACACTTCTAAATATATATGCACCTAATACTGGAGCTCCCAAATTTATAAAACAATTAGTATTAGGCCTAAGAAATGAGATAGATGGCAACACAATAATAGTTGGGGACTTTAATACTCCACTGACAGCACTAGACAGGTCATCAAGACAGAAAGTCAACAAAGAAACAGTATATTTAAACTATAACTATACAACAAATGGACTTAACAGATACTTACAGAATATTCTACCCAACAACTGCAGAATACACATTCTATTCATTAGTACATGGAACATTCTCCAAGACAGACCATATGATAGGCCACAAAACAAGTCTCATTACATTTTAAAAAATCAAAATTATATTATGTACTCTCTCAGACCACAGTGTAATAAAATTGGAAACCAATTCCAAAAGGAACTTTTAAAACCATGCAAATGCATGGAAATTAAAGGATCTGCTTCTGAATGATAATTGGATCAACAATGAAATCAAGATGAAAATTTAAAAATTATTTGAACTGAATGATAATAATGACACAACCTATCAATCCTCTGGAATACAGCAAAGGTTGTGCTAAGAGGAAAGTTCATTGTCTTAAATGCCTATATCACAAAGTCTGAAAGAGCACAAATAGACAATCTAAGGTCACACCTCGTGTAACTGGAGAAACAAGAGCAATCCAAATTCAAACCCAACAGAAGAAAAGAAATAACGAAGATCAGAGCAGAACTAAAGGAAATTGAAACAAAAATAAAAACCAACAAATAAATGAAAAAAAACCAAGTTCTTTGAAAATGTAAATAAAATTTATAGACAATTAGTGAGATTAACCAAGAAGAGAGAAGATCCAAATAAACTCAATTAGAAATGAAACAGGAGATATTACAACTGATACCACAGAAATATAAAAGATTATGAAAGGCTGCTTATGAATAACTTTATGCACATAAACTGAAAAACCTAGAAAAAAGGATAAATTCCTGGAAATATACAATCCTTCCAGATTAAACCAGGAAGATATAGAATCTCTGAACAGACCAATAACAAGCAGTGAGATTAAAATGATAAAAAAAAAAATTGTCACCAAAAAAGGTCCAGGATCCAATGGATTCATAGCTGAATTCAATCACATATTCAAAGAAGAATTTGTATTAATGCTGTTGACACTATTCCAAAAGATAGACCAAGAGGGCATTCTTCCTAAATCATTCTATGAGCCAGTATTACCCTTTTCCCAAAACCAGGGAAGGACATAACAAAAAAAGAAATCTAGAGAACAATATCCCTGATGAACATACATGTGAATATCCTTAACAAAATACTAATGAACTGAATCCAACAGCATATCAAAAAGATAATTCACCATGATTAAGTGGGAAGGGATGCAGGGATGTTTCAACATACATAAGTCAATAAAGGTAATATACCACATAAACAGAATTAAAAACAAAAATCCCATGATTATTTCAATAGATGTAGAAAAATCATTTGGCAAAATCCAGCATCACTTTATGATTAAAACCCTCAGCAAAAACAGCAGAGAAGGGACATACCTAAAAATAATAAAAGCCATCTATGACAAATCCACAGCCAGCATTATACTGAACTGGGAAAAGTTTAAAGCATTATTCCCCCTGAGAAATGGAACAAGACAAGAATGCCCAATGTCACCATTTCTATTCAACCTAGTACTGGAAGTCCTAGCCAAAGCAATCAGACAAGAGAAAAAAAAATAAAGGGCGTCCAAATTGGTAAAGAGGAAGTCAAACTTTGGCTGTTTGTTGATAATATGATCATATACCTAGAAAACCCTAAAGATTCATCTGAAAATCTCCTAGAACTGGTAAATGAATTCAGCAAAGTTTCAGGATACAAAGTTAATGTACACAAATCAGTAGCTTTGCTATATACCAACAACGACCAAGCTGAGAATCAAATCAATAAATCAACCCCTTTTACAAGAATTGCAAAAAAAAAAAAAAAAAAAAAACCAAAATACTTAGGAATATACCTAACCAAGGAGGTAAATGACCTCTACAATGAAAACTATGAAACACTGCTGAAAGAAATCACAGATGACACAAACAAATGAAAGCACATCCCATGCTCATGTATGGGTAGAATAAATATTGTGAAAATGAACATACTGCCAAAAGCACTCTACAAATTTGATGCAATTCCCATCAAAATACCACTATAATTCTTCACAGAACTAGACAAAATAATCCTAAAATTCATATGGAATCAAAAAAGAACCTGCATTGCTAAAGCAAGATTAAGCAAAAAGAACAAATTTGGAGGCATCACGTTACCTGATATCAAACTACACTATAAGGCCATAGTCACGAAAACAACATGATACTAGTATAAAAAATAGTCATACAGAATAGAGAACCCAGAAATTAAGCCAAATACTTACAGCCAACTGATCTTCAACAAAGCAAACAAAAACATAAGGTGGGGAAGGGACACCGTATTCAACAAATGATGCTGGGATTCATTGGCAAGCCACATGTAGAAGAGTGAAGTTGGATCCTCATCTCTTACCTTATACAAAAATCAACTTAACATTGATCAAAAACTTTAAGACCTGAAATCATAAAAATTCTAGAAAATAACATCAAAAAAACCCTTATAGACATTGGCTTAGGCAAAGACTTCATGATAAAGAACCCAAAAACAAATGCAACAAAAAACAAAGATAAATAGATGGAAAAACTTCTTCATAGCAAAAGAAATAGCAGAGTTAACAGATAACCCATAGAGTGGGAGAAGATATTCACAGTCTATACATCTGCCAAAACACTAATATCCAGAATCTGCAAAGAACTCAAATCAACAAGAAAAAACAAACAATCCTATCAAAAAGTGGGCTAAGGATACGAATAGGCAATTCTCAAAAGAAAGTATACAAACAGCCAGCAAACATTTGAAAAAATGCTCAACATCACCAATGATCAGGGAAAAGAATATCAAAACCACAATGTGATATCACCTCACTCCTGCAAGCATGGCCATAACTTAAAAAATCTAAAAATAAGAAACGTTGGCATGGATGCAGTGTAAAGGGAACACTTTTACACTGTTGTTTAGAATGTAAACTAGTAAAAACCACTATGAAAAACAGTGTGGAGATTCCTTAAACAACTAAAAGTAGATCTACCATTTGATCCAGCAATCCCACTACTAGGTATCTACCTAGAGGAAAAGATGTCATTATACGAAAAAGATACTTGCACATGCATGTTTATAGCAGCATGATTTGCAATTGCAAAAAAAAAAAAAAGCCCATCAATCAATGAGTGGATGAAGAAAATTATATATATATATATATATATAAAATGGTATACTACTCAGCCATAGAAAGAAGTGAAATAATGGCATCCACAGCAACCTGGGTGGAACTGGAGACTATTATTTTAAGTGAGGTAACTCAGGAATGGGAAACCAAACATCTTATATTCTCACTCATATGTAGGAGCTAATATATGTGTTTGTTTTTCTGGTCCAGACCTAGGACATGTTCTACAACGGTGTTTCTAAACCTTTTTGTTTATTTATTCATTACCACCCTCGTAAGGAGACTTTTTGTACTTGTTTTTGTTTCTAATAACCTCCCCATTGAATTTTAAAACTAAAGATGTACCAAATGTCTGTTTTTATGCTGTACGTATCTGTGCCTTCAAATAGCCCCTGTTGAGAAATAATGTTATGAAAGTTAAATGGCTCATTAGAACATAAATAATCACTGTGTGTTGCTCTTTCTTTTACCTTTGCTTTCCATTCCTGATACCAGCCCACAAGTTCTGTTCTCTATTATTTTATAATATAAAGATGAGTGTGATTTTCTCATGGGTATTATTTGGATACCCTATGTTCCACTCTGACCCTGCAACTAATTGCCAGCGTGACCTTTCACAAGGCAAGCAAGATTTTGGTGGTGCCATTTATTTATTTTGTCAAAAGGGCACAATGTTGTAAGGTAAAACTTGGTTATAATAGAGAAAAATAATTTGACGTACTTAAAGTCCTGCCTGATGGAAGAAAGAAAAATTATTTATAATGTGAAAAAGATAAATGTGAAAAAAGAAGTTTCTATTTCAGAAGCAGGGATTTAGAGATAAAATAAAAGATGTTTGAATTATGTCGAATGTTTTTTAATGGTATTGGCAGTTCTCATTTGAATTTTCTGGTGATTCATTATGTTGGAGCGGAGGCCAAGGACAGCACCTGTGATCGTAAAATAACTGAATTTGTAATCAATCAAAATTCATGGGATCTTGGGCTGCTTTTTGGTATATTATTACCTCCTGGCCATTGAGACAAATATGCTATCTTAAATATTCTTTCCAGAGCCATTATACCTTGTGTTTATGTTACAAAACAAGGCAGAAGCCATGGTGCTATTATCAACCATTACCCTAGACATAGTATACGCTAATTGTTTGGTATATATTTCCAGCACATGACATTTATGAGGTTCTTTGCAAGATTTCAACTAAATAAATTTTACTAGCTTCTTGCATCCTGAGTACTGTTGTTAAAATTTGAGCTTCGTTCAAGTATGGGCCAAATTCCAGTATGTGTGATTTAACTTTTATTTACCAAAACTTCAACTTAACAGTTTGAAATTTCCACAAGGCAAAAACACATGAATGATGGCTTTTGGCACTATATTCTACCAAGATTTATTGAACGATTAAAAATATGGAGTCCAAAGTGTATCTGAAAAATCAGATTGGAGTTTCTTAATATTATGCTTTTAGAATTAAAATTTATGTTTTATATACATATTTGTTTTAAAAATGTTGCTTCTTTCATTTTGCCACAAGTCTTTGCTCACCATTTGAAAACTTCTCTGCTATTATGTTTCAGGACAATTTTGACCGTTGTGAGATTATGTTTTCCCTGATGAACTAAGCAGTATGGTTTCGGAGAAGCTAGAACTCATGGTGTAAGTAAAATATTTCAACTTTATTTTGCACTCAGGACACCAACAAAGCTATTATGTTCTCAAATAGAAAATGAGAAAATAATGTCATTGTTTGGCTGAAAATATCACATATATTACACTTGAATTGATGGACATAGTATGGAATTATCTTTATCATGGTTCAGTAGTGTCAAAGGAGAGAAACTAGGCTTGAAGGGTGTTAGACAAAAATTTCTAAGCACATAGAGAGAAAAATACATCCCCAGAAAATTTAAACTGAGGTTTCATTTACAAAATACTACCATTTGCAAATGAATCACATATTTGAGCCCCAGACACTTGATTTATCTTCATCTCTATTTCTGGAAAGCAACTGATGAGCTAAAGAAAAATTGGTCTTGGTTCCAAGATCCAAAGGAGTTATGGATTCAGGCTTCAGGTAAAGCCTTTCTACAAATCCCTGCCTGAGAGATATCGCCTTCCTTCTATCGTTGATCATTGTTTTCTGAATGCAAAGCACTAATACAACTGAAATAGGTAACCTCCAAAGCCTTCTAAGCTATCTGATGCACTGACATGAATGACTTACTCAGATTTCTTCATCAGAGTGTAGAAAGAGCTTCAAAGTGAAATAACAGATTGCAGAGAAAGATAGGTGAGAGGCTGTGATATTTCACCAACTGAAGACCGTTTTAAGAAAAATATATCTGTCTTTTAGAAAATGATATTCCTAAAGGTGTTCCTTCAATTAATTATGGGCCCATGCCTTTCCTGCCTTCAGTCATTTGTTGATTGTGTGAGAACCCAGATGAATGCTTCCAAGCAACCCTGGTCCCTCTCCCTTGTTCAGCATCTCTACCATTATAGGTAGCTGTTATAGCACATATTGCAACTATGTTTTTACTTCTGGCTAAGCATGCAAGCTTAAAGCTCCCCTAAAGTAGTAGTGCATTTTTATTCACCTTTATTTCTGTAACATCTTTCTAAGGCCTGACACTTAATACATGATCAGTTGAATGAATGAATGAATAGATAACTGAGTGAATGACTCACCATCTATAATGCTGGAGACTTAATCTTATCTCAGCCCTCTTTTCTTTCTTTTTATTTATTTTTTATTATACTTTAAGTTCTAGGGTACATGTGCACAATGTACAGGTTTGATACATAGGTATTCATGTGCCATGTTGGTTTGCCACACCCATCAACTCATCATTTACATTAGGTATTTCTCCTAATGCTATTCCTCCCCCAACCCTCCACCCCCTGACATGCCCCAGTGTGTGATGTTCCCCGTCCTGTGTCCAAGTGATCTCATTGTTCAGTTCCCACCTATGAGTGAGGACATGTGGTGTTTGGTTTTCTGTCCTTGTGATAGTTTGCTGAGAATGATGGTTTCCAGCTTCATCCATGTCCCTGCGAAGGACATGAACTCATCCTTTTTTCTGGCTGCATAGTATTCCATGGTGTATATGTGCCACATTCTCTTAATCCAGTCTATCATTGAAGGACATTTAGGTTCATTCCAAGTCTTTGCTATTGGGAATAGTGCTGCAATAAACATACGTGTGCATGTGTCTTTAGAGTAGCATGATTTATAATCCTTTGGGTATATACCCGGTAATAGGATTGCTGGGTCAAATGGTAATTCTAGTTCTAGTTCCTTGAGGAATTGCCACACTGTCTTCCACAATGGTTGAACCAATTTACACTCCCACCAACAGCGTTCCTATTTCTCCACATCCTCTCTAGCATCTGTTGTTTCCTGACTTTTTAATGATTGCCATTCTAACTGGTGTGAGATGATATCTCATTGTGGTTTTGATTTGCATTTCTCTGATGATGAGTGATGGTAAGCATTTTTTCCATGTGTCTGTTGGATGCATAGATGTCTTCTTTTGAGAAGTGTCTGTTCTTATCCTTTGTCCACTTTTTAATGGGGTTGTTTTTTTCTTGTAAATTTGTTTGAGTTCTTTGTAGACTCTGGATATTAGCCCTTTGTCAGGTGAGTAGATTGCAAACATTTTCTCCCATTCTGTAGGTTGCTTGTTCACTCTGATGGTAGTTTCTTTTACCGTGCAGAAGCTCTTTAGTTTAACTGTATCCCATTTGTCTATTTTGGCTTTTGTTGCCATTACTTTTGGTGTTTTAGTCATGAAGTCTTTGTCCATGCCTATGTCCTGAATGGTATTGTCTAGCTTTTCTTCCAGAGTTTTTATGGTTTTAGGTCTAACATTTAAGTTTTTAATCCATCTGGAATTAATTTTTGTATAAGGTGTAAGGAAGGGATCCAGTTTCAGCTTTCTACGTATGGCTAGCCAGTTTTCCCAGCACCATTTATTAAATAGGGAATCCTTTCCTCCTTTCTTGTTTTCATCAGGTTTGTCAAAGATCAGATGGTTGTAAATGAATGGCACTATTTCTGAGGCCTCTGTTCTGTTCCATTGGTCTATATATCTGTTTTGGTACCAGTACCATGCTGTTTTGGTTACTGTAGCCTTGTAGTATAGTTTGAAGTCAGGTAGCGTGATGCTTCCAGCTTTGTTCTTTTTGCTTAAGACTGTCTTGGAAATGCAGGCTCTTTCTTAGTTCCATATGAACTTTAAAGTGGTTTTTTCCAATTCTGTGAAGAAAGTCATTGGTAGCTTGATGGGGATGGCATTGAATCTGTAAATTACTTTGGGCAGTATGGCCATTTTCACGATATTGATTCTTCCTATCCATGAGCATGGAATATTCTTCCGTTTGTTTGTATCCTCTTTTATTTCTTTGAGCAGTGGTTTGTAGTTCTCCTTGAAGAGGTCCTTCACGTCCCTTGTAAGTTGGATTCCTAGGTATTTTATTCTCTTTGAAGCAATTGTGAATGGGAGTTCACTCATGATTTGGCTCTCTGTTTTTCTGTTGTTGGTGTGTAAGAATGCTTGTGATTTTTGCACATTGATTTTGTATCCTGAGACTTTCCCAAAGTTGCTTATCAGCTTAAGGAGATTTAGGGGTCTCAGCCCTCTTTTCTATTGTAATAGATCAAGTATTTGGCATACAGATGTTTACTGAATGAGCTATAAAATATTAACACAGGCAGATTTATGAAGAGGCCACAATTCTGAGAGATAATTATCTTTTATAAAACACTTATCCATGAAGGTAAATGGAGAGTATTTCTAACACTGCTACAACTTAAATCTACTCATTCCAAAACTATTTATTGTCCAGCTGTTATGTGTTCATGATTGTTTTTTTTTTGGGGGGGGTGGTGGTGGTTGGGAGTGGGGGCTACAGTAGTGGAAAAAAAAGCCCTATCCACATGGAGTTTATATTCTGGCAGATAATAATTTAGTTGTGCTTTTTTATTCTGTGTTAAGTACTGTAGTATATACTTCATGTATATTATTTCATTTAATTTCCAAATCTACCTTAGGAAATAGATCAGCTTATTGTTCTCATTTTTTCAGGGAGAAAATTAGGGCACAGACAGGTTACACAATCATCTATAATATTTCCAATTTGTTTCCATGGCTTATATTTCAGAGACTTTCAGAAATTATAATGGCTGTCACTTTGGCTATGCTGTGGTTGCAAAGTTCCTAGTATGTAAAACAAGAAGGATTCTCTGAGTTGAGAATAATAGATCAATATTTTCTTAGCATACATGGTAAAGAAAGCTTTCCACAATGGAAAGAAGCAATATCTGGGAAGACATAATTTCCTAAGCGTATCTAGCTTTTCATATGAAAAGCTATTGTCATTAAATAGCAAAGTTCAATAATGTGTTATAACTATGTAACACAAATCATGATGTAATAGAAAAAATATAAAAAATTCATCATTTAATTTATTAATGTATACCATGTTTCAAATCTAGAATGGTCTTATTTTTAGGTTAACAGATAAAATTGCAGCTTTATTTTAACATATACAATTCAGACTCTCTGTATCATTTATTTGTCAATTGTTTTTATAGCATGCATTATTCAGTCATATATCTTCTACCTGTCTGTTTGCTGGGACCACACAACTTTAAAATTATTAATAAAATCCAAGTTTATTCGTTCTAAAAATATAAAGAAATTTAATTACAAAGTTTGTATAAGGTGACATCAGAAAAAAATTTTTGATTCAAAATGTGATAAGAGGATTATGTTACTCCTAAACCAGGGTTACTGTATGATTACCAACTTTTTGCATGTTTGAATTACTAATTTCTCCATTGCAAAATAACCATAGAGATGCTTGGTTTTTTTTAGTGTTTTTAAATTTTATTTTAACTTTGTCATTTTATTTGCCTTGTGTCTCTACACTTCATCCTTTAGTCTTTTGCCTTTCTCTCTCAAAGAGAATGTACTCCCCTCTGTTTCCCCAATGCACTCTCCTTGCACTTCTGTTAAAGGTCTTATTTTACATTGCCTGGTATTTGAAGATTTAGTTGTTTACTTGCCTATCTCTCCAGTGAAATTGTAAATTCTCTGAGAAGAAGGGCTACGACTTATTTAATTTCCTATCCTCTTATAGCCTTTAGTACAGTGATTTTGCACAAAATAGGTGCTAAGAAAATGTCTGACGAATGAATGCTAGTTATTCTATTTTTAAAAATGTAGAGTGTTAAATGGCACCAGTAATTTGTCAGTGTACCATACTGCCTCAAAACATGGAACCCACTTGGTGGAATATGTCAACTCTATTTTTACAAAATCCAGGTGCAAAGATTGTTTCAGAAGAGTTGTAAATAGTCTCATTAGAAACCCCCAAGCATCTCCCGACTTTAAGGCCATATTATTTCTTCAACATATCCAAAAGACTGGAATTTGGAACCTTTCAATGAATCTATAAAACCAGCCTCGTTATAAAGTTGAACCAAAATAGGAGACACTGGCTGCAGGTTGAAGGACATGGACTCTGTAGACAGATTCCCTGGGTTCAAATTCCTTCTCTGCCATTCATTAGCTCTGCAATCTTTACTGACTAGATCTCCTTCCTCATAACATTACCTTAGTGGAAGGATTTTTATGAGGACTAAATGAGATAATGCACATAAAGCAATCAGAAAAATTCTTGGCACACAGTGAACATTGCCATTGCCATTCCCTTACATAGTTTGTATAGATTCCAGATCTCTAAACTTAAGCTTCTTTGACCCCATTTCTTCAGAACTTCACTTTGCTGCCCAACTTTGCTCAACCCTGCATGTCAAGTATCAATGGTTGTGAATAGGATTTCCAAATAAAATACAGAATGCCCAGTTAAATTTGAATTTCAGATTTTAAAAATGCTACTTTTTAATAATAAGAATGCCTTACGCAATATGGGGGCCGTGCTTATACTAAAAACTCATTTATTGTTTATCTGAAATTTTAATTTAATGAAACACCCTGTATTTTTGTCAAATGTGATAACTCTTGTTTAGAAACTGTTACCCATCAACTGCCGTCCATTGCCTCAAGCCCTCGCAGATGAGCACAGGTTTGCAGAGTCTGCATTTTAATTGCTTTCCCATTCACTCAATTTTAGTAGTAGCAATTAATCAGGGATCCAACATGGGGACCCAGCCGACAAGGAAAAGCTGGATGGCTTTATTTGAAGTTAATGTGAAGAAGTTTTTCATTTTTGGAAGACCTAGTATATTTAATCAGAACAAGTTCTGTGTCAAATACTAAATCTCCAATTCTGTTATTTTTCTACCCTTAAAATATTTGGGGCAGCTATATAGAGGTTGCCTATCTGAGAAAATAGGGGTTTACCAGCACACATGCCAATGAAGAATAGCCAAAATCAGTACAAACCATTATTTAGGGACAGGGCTTTTGGTTACATATACAACAATTGATACATATAATTTTTCCTTTTTCCACAGAGTGGTTCTTGATGTGACAAAGAGATTTAGTGTTCCCGAAGTAAAGTACATCTTGGGCTGGGCTCAAAGAAGCAATATTAAGTGCATTGAGCAGAACATATCCCTGACCTCATACTTATTTCTGACATTCAAACATTTTACATAAGGAATAGTTTTGAGAGTATTCCATGAGTTGCCATGAATACTTCACAAATATTGTGCATTTGGAGCACTGACTACGTGATTATCTTTTCAAAGATTATTTAAGACAAATTTTTAAATATATACATTTGTGTACATGTATACATATATATGTATATGTGTGTGTGTGTATATATATGTATATTTATCATTTAAACTTGATTCAGTTTTGCCTGTTTTTAAATTATACACACACACACACACACACACACACACAGACAGACATATATCCAAAATTAGACAAGCTATTTTGAAGATGCCTTTTTATTTTACATAAAATGAATTATTTCAATTGTTACTACTTCAAATAAACAACAGTTTTGAATCAGAGTGTTTTCTGGTTATTCCCCTTGTAGCTATTCCACATGGGATACCTGTCTGTCACTTGCTCACTTCATCTCTCAAATTGCCTTCTCAAGTAAGTTTTTCCCAATAACACTGTTCTAAGTAGCTAACTCCATCTCTACATTTACCCTTATCATACTGTGTTGTTTCTTCATATGTATTACCTACTTACTTGATATTATATTGTATTATGTTTTCTAAGTGTTTCCTTTTACTAGAATGTAATGTTGATAAGGACAGGCATTCTATTTTGCTCATAGACATGGCCTCAGTGTTTAAAACAGTGCTAAACACATAGTAATCACAAAATAAGTATTTTTGAATGAATACATAAATAAAATAAATAATAGTAGCTATTTATGTAATGGTTACAATGTGCTATACACTGTTCAAGATGATTTATATATGGCCGGAGAAACACATAGTTTACTTTTCTTAAATGTGTCTCCATTTTCCAAGGATGAATCCTGGTTACTGAGAGATCTACATTTCCTTGTAATAATTAATAGGTGTGGAAATTGAGTATTGAAAGAACTGAGAGATCTATATTTCCTTGTAATAATTAATAGGTGTGGAAATTGAGTATTGAAAGAACTTTATGTCTTTAAACAATTTTGCGTAAGAAACAGAGAGAAAAACAGACAGATATCTTGGAAGATCCAAGAGCTAGTACTGGGTCTTTAGAAGAAAAGAAGTAAGATCAGGAGTACCAGCCACTTAAAGAAGGAGCTAGTAAAAGAAAACCCAGCAACTAGAGTTAAACAAAAGACACTTGGGGTAGAAGAAATGTATCTGATGGGGATTTTAAAGTGAAATTTTATGTTCAGCTGATATAAACTGCTCTCCTCTAATTCTTTAACCAAATGTTCTGTAAATTGTTTATTTCTTTATCTGGGAGGAAAATAAAAATAAGTGCTATGGCTTGTTCCAAGACACAGGTATGAGATGACACAAAGGGCTGCCTACACAGATCGTTACAGACATAAATAGAATGAAAGAATCTAATAGTTGGGAGTCATTATGTAGTCTAACCTCCCACCTAATATGGAAGTAAATCCATCAGACTCTTCAAAAATTGCCCCTATATGAGTATGTCAATTGATGACAGGCACACATCACTAGGAAGTCCATCAGTTTTTTTTTAGACAGCTCTTTTTTATCTCTGTTCAAGTATTCTTTGTAACTGATCTGAAATCTTCTTGTCTATCACTTGCTTAATGTTATTTAAGTAATATGTATGCAAAAAAGAAAATAATGCCTTTTAAAATCAGGCCCTTTACTGGATCTTTAGAAAAACAGAGACCCTCAACATTCCTTTATTCGTGTGACATTTTGTCAGGTTAATGAAAACAGCTATATGCCTAGCAATACCGGACACTCAAATATTTGTTGAATAATTAAAGAATGAGCTATTATGATATCATGCCCTCTTGTCTTCTATAAGAAGTTAATCATCCCTCTCTTTAGGGATCATTTCGATGTGTTTTGCAAACAACAATGACAATAAACACATAGTCTCATAATATCAGAAAAAATTATATGTGCTAGAGCCACCTTTAAAGGAAAGTAAATCAAGTCAGAGCACAAGTAGGTTTTGTATAAAGTCACAATGGCAGATAAGCACTTGTGTGCGGAACAGATATTATCAGTTATTGCACTTGTCCATTTAAATGTCTACTTGAAATGTCTGATGGGACATGGCACATAGACCAAAATATCAAGCCAGGGAAAAATTATTCCCTTGGCACATTTTGGCAGATGGAAAGGAATAAAGATATTCAATAATGATATCAACCTTTCTCAGTTTCCTGGATGAACTCCCCAAAAAACCCTAAGCTGCATTTCTCTCTCCAGCCTTGGTTTTAAGCACCACTCTTTTCCTTGAAATATGTTAGCATTTGGATTTAACAACTACCCATTCTCACAGGACCAAATCCATGTGTAATCATGTATTATAAAACTTAGTCCCTACTTATTCATACACGGAGCTATAATTGAAAAAAGTAATTATAGAGATACAGGAAGAACAGGAAAGGAGAGGACAGGAGGGTCTCTAAGAATGCGATATGAATATTGATACCTTTCTTCGGCAGTAACTCACCACAGGCATAAAGAAGTTTAGTCCGTGACACTATCAAAATATTATTGTTAACTGAGGCAAACAACATACTAAAAATGGATTAGGCACACTTAGGGGATGGGAGTGCTTGTTTAAATTCTTGAACAGTTAAGTGCCTTTATCATTTTGGTCAGACAAAACCCTGCAAAGTCCTTGTATTGGGGAAAAATATCTTATACTGCAGAATAAATCTCAGTATAACAAAGGGGAATTTCATCAAGGGTTTTGAAGACAACCGAGAGGAGAAAACTGTGGGGCTCATCAGATTACTGATGTAAAAGAGTAAAGGGAACTTCATCAGAAACACGACTCAGCATTTGGCATTCTAGAGAAAATATCTTTATCCTTCCACCTGCAAAGAGGTGGAAGTCATTTAGCTGTTTCTAAATTATTAGTGTGATTAGCCAAATCTGGCCTTTTGTTCCAAAGAGAAGCTGGCTTTTGCAGTCAGATGTGGGCATGGCAACCATCCATTGGCATCAACAGATTTGCCTGGTAAAAGATTCCAGAAATCATCAGTGTATGTGAATGCCAAACATATGAACATGAAACTTGCAGAGAGAACACTGTGAAGAAAAGAAATACAAGGAAAGGACAGAAAATGAATATAAGCGAGAAGTAATATTACAATTGATCGTGTTTTCTCTAGTCCCACTTTTACCTGAAGTAATAGGATACTTCAAGCTTCCTAGTTTTCCTCGTCTCCGGCCTCATCCCACTTCTGACCTATCTTCCACATTCTATCCAGATAATTATTTCTATACCAAAAATACATTCTAGATTAAATGTTTGCAATAGTTCACGATTGCCCACAGAACAGAGTTCAAGTGTGGTAGTGTAGTATGCAAAGTCCCTTAAAAACTGAGCTTAACTGCTCTTTGTTAGCACTTCTGACTACTCTCCTCTTGCCCTCCCCCATCATCAACATATATATCCTGCACTTCAGCCCATAGAACCTTTTCTTCTTTGCAAAATTTTCCATGTGTTTTGTTCACAATTCTATGTCTTTAAAAATCAGGTGCACTAGGTCTAGAATATCCTTTCCTTTCTCATATGCTAGTAAAGACTAGTTATTGCAGAGTAATAGTGCCTATATGAGTTCTCAGACTTTCATAGCTGAGTTATTTGATCTTGCTCTGTGCTAGAGCTCTTACCACATTTCATTGCAAATATCTATGTGTGCATCTAACTTTCCTGTCAGACACTGTGCACCTTAAGGAAAAATATAAGTTAATCTTCCATTTTTTTAAATTAACTTTGTTTGGCATGGCTATAGGGCTCAGTAATAATTGTGTGCACTTTTATCAGTAGGATAGTTTTCTCTAGAATATTTTCAATGTTTGTTTCTATATGAGATGGTATTAACTCAGGTTGTAAAAGAAATAGTATAAACCTAGAATACCATAGTATTTTTTCAATTGTATTTCAGTTACGCCTGGTAACTCTGAGGTATCTGTTTAGGCTGTCCTTGAATAAGGAGGCTCTACCTCAGCACACTCACAATATAGTGAGGGCCAATGTCTGATCTTCACTTCTATTTCTTGAGGATAACATATATAGTCTTAGATGGGTAGAAGAAAGGAGATAATTTGGGAATGGGAGCATGGAAATAGGTTACATTCAATTACTGGCATATGGACTTTGAAGACCCAGGTAAAGATCCAAATATGTAGTTAAGGCCACAGGACTTGAGCCTACACAAGCTTTTGAAGCTTGAAACAAAGGAGGGGAATGTATGCTTTAATTTATAATGCAATTTAATTTCATCATTTCTGTTTTTGACAAACTGGCTCTTATTTAATTACTAGCTAACAAATTACAAGGCAAAGTTAAGCACACACACATACAAATCTGCTAAATCATAAAGCAGGAAAATATTTAATAATTTGTATCATTCAATAGCCAAATTTGTTTGCATGCTCATATTACTGTAGTCAAAACCAAAATCAACACTTTTTTCTGAAAACTATTGTTCTAAATTATTGAATTTATATTAAAGGCACATATAGCCTATCCAGGCCATGTCACCACTCACAGCTCTATCCTCCCTATTTTGAGTAATGATGCTTATGGGTATTCAGGGCAAAGGAGGTATGTCAAGAATATGTTTGGAATTATTGCATGAAGAGAATATTATCAAAACCCACTTAGAATAATGGAGAGATCAATTTCAAAAGCAGAAAGAGAGGGAAGAAATGAGTTCATACGGTACATCTGTATATCTTATAGAGAAGATCTGTAGAAAAATGGACTAATAATAATGGGCTGGTGAGGAAGACTGAATCATCTGATTCTATTGAATGGTTAAAAAGAATATATAAAAAATAGAAACATAAAAACATCTGTGAGGGAGACAAACACGACTATGTTTAAAAGGCTCATGAATTGAGGTTTTGTTTCCTTGTATGCCCCCCAGCCCCCCAAAAAAGAAACTACAAAATATAATTTTCTTAAAAGCTTCAGAAAGTACAATTTTTAACAAGAACAGAAAACCTTTGTGACTATACAGGCCACAGCTGACACTGATCGCGTGTTTTGCAGCCAACCTGTAAGGATGTTAATAAGCTTTTAATACCTATGCTGCCATTTCTGAACACAATAAAAAAAAAGATGATGCTGATTGGTATACAATCAATCAACCCTGCTTGATATGGTTTAGGGAACATGTGTGAGTTTAAAAATCATTTTGTACAACAATCACTGAATCATCAGAGAATACAGAAGTATCTACTGTGTTACATGAGAAATAGAATCTGTTTAGGGTTTAAATTAGACATCATACATTATGTGTATGATAGGTTTAGGTTTAGACATAAAAACATATGTTTAACTAGCTACATCTTTAATATACAAGTATAAAGAAACCATTCATTCATGAACATCTAAGTTAAATTCACAGTATATACTTAGTGCAGCCATGATTCTCTTTGCTAGATTACTGACATCACAGTAGGTTTCTATGATTCTCTCTTGAATAAAGCAATGATGTGAAAAGCTCCAGGACACAAGCTGCTATTATAGCCTCCTGAAATCAGATTTCCAACTACAAATGGTCCTGACAGATCCTTAAGGCATTATTCTTCTATTGATAACAGGGTAATTGTCACTAAGTTGTCTTCCTTTGTTCTTAGGCTGAGGTCTTTTCTGGTTCCCTGTTCCTTCCACTTGCATTATAGTGATACAGACATTAAATTCATAAACTCATTTATTTTCTCATTCTAATGTTTAATAAAGGACTAAGACCTATCAGATACTATGTTTTATACTGGGAATTCAGTGGTGAACACTACAAAACCTAGGCTCTCACGCCCTTCATACTGATGTGGAGGAGTGTAATAAATGTCAATTACATTGGTTTCCTCAAATGATTCTGTGGTCTCAAGGTGGCATTAGAAACACTAGAAGACGTGCTTAAAAAAAAAAAAAATATATATATATATATATATATATATCTCCCTGAATTCCACATATAGAGATTCCTTTTCATTAGATTTGAAATAGAATCTGGAAATTTACAGTTAACAAACAAACGAAACAAACTAAAAATCTCTCCAAGTGTGCTTTGTGGTACACAGTTAGGCTTAGGAAACATTGGTCTAGTGTAAAGTAACATTTGATTTTGTAAAAGAGAGCAACAAAACCATGTATTTATTCTCTTCCATCAGAAATGTTGAGGGCCAGCATAGCTCATATGAGCTCTGTGGGTGGTAATAGTGATAGAGGAATGAATGACCAGAACATAACCTACTGGAAGTAATGACTTCCTGAAGTTAGAGTTTGAAAGTCACATATGTAACAAACTTGAACATGTATCCCTGAACCTAAAAGCTAAAAAGCACCAAAAAATTAATTTAAATTGAAAAATACTAATGAGGTAGTAACATTTTATTTTAGAATTTCTAAATTTAGAACATGTGTATTTTAAACAAAAATCAGCTTTTTAAATTTCAGCATTTAATTACATAATATTTTAATAGGAGATAGAAATGTTTAACCTTTAAATTCTGCACATATGTGGTGTATATGCAGGAATATTTCCACATCTCTCAATCACATGCAGGCTTTAATCCATTTAAGTATTGAATTAAAAAAAATTCCCCACTAACAGATGTATCAGAAGCCAAAACAACTGGTTAGCTAATTAATACAAAAATGCCTGAAACTAAGAATATGTTCATACTTAAAATAGTAATTACTGGTTTATGCTCATGAGATTGATGAATATCTATCTACTCTGTGGTGATATAGTTAACCAAGTTAAGACTTCAGGTTCAAAATAACAATTAACCATATGGAGTTATACCTTCTCCACTATGTAACATGAGAAATAGAGTCTGTTTAGAGTTTAAATTAGACATCATACGTAATTTGTAGGTATAAGTAATTTTCCTAAGAATTTTCAAACAATTTGGTTAGCAACAAAGAACAAGCAAAACTCAAGAAGAAAAATGTCTAAAATAATCATAAAAAATAAACATATGTTTAATTAGCTACATCTTTAATATAGAGGAGCTGATATACAAGTATAAAGAAACCATTTGTTCATGAGCATCTGAGTTAAATTCACAGTATATACTTAGTGCATCCATGATTCTCGTTGTTAGATTATAGACATCACAGTAATTTTCTGAGATTCTCTTTTGAATGAAGCAATGATGTGCAAAGCTCCAGCAAACAAGCTGTTTTTATAGCCTCCTAAATGACAAAAAGGCACAACAATAAACACAAGGGGAAGAAAACCACAATGAAGAAGTGATTTTTAACAATTATCTGAAGTTGGTGCTATAGACAATGGTTGTGACTCCCCCCCAAAATTCATATGTTAAAATCCAATATCCAATGTGAGGTTATTAAGAGCTGGGGCCTATGGGATGTGATTAGGTCATGAGAGTGGAATCTTCATGAATGGGATGAATGACTTTATAAAAGAGGTCCCAAGAGTTCTTTTGTCCACATCCATTATACGAAGGTACGGCATAGAACTGCCATCTATGAACCAGGAAGTGGGTCTTCACCAGAGAACAAATCTGCCTGTGCCTCTATCTTGGACTTCCCAGTCACCAAAACTGTGTGCAATACATTTCTGTTATATATAATGTCAAGAGGCCAGCATGATACGTTTCTGGAAAAGGTTCTCTTTCTGGCTTGGAGATGATGGCTTTTTTGCTGTGTCTTCACGTGGCTGGCAGAAAGAGAGAGAGAGAGAGAAAGCAGATAAGCTCCTGTGTCTCTTCTTATAAATCTCATAATGAGAGCCCCCCCCCAGTGACCTTGTCTAAACCTAAGTATCTCTCAAAGGCTCCATCTCCAAGTGCCATCACGTTGGGGGTTAGAGCTTCATCTTGTAAATTTGGGTGGGACTAAATTCAGTCCACAGTAACACTTTTAGATGTGAACTTTTCCACACTCTGTTGCAAATTAAATCAATTTCTTTGGGACGATATTTGGAGCACTCTGTTTATAGCCTCCTCTTCCCAAGAAAAATCCTTGAGCCATGGCTTTGGAGTTGAAAATGGGGACAACGTCACACTTATCCCTGAGCGACACTCCCAGTTTAAGACTGGGTGCTCAGTTCCAGGAGAAGACTCAGATCTTCTGCTTGCCTCTCCCAGCATGAAGTTGCCATCCTGCAAGAGAGGAAAAGGCTAATCAGTGACGCGATATTCTTGGCAGTGTTTCACCCAAGGTAGAGCCTTAGTCTCACAAGCGTGAGCTGGGAAGAAAAAGGAAGCTCCTATTTCTTAGTTTCACTCACCCAGAATTTAGCAACAGGTAGCTGGGGACTGGATGAGGAATGTCGACATCCTGCCCATGCTTCCTGGGAGGGTAGTCCCGTGACTAAAAGCTGGAGGCAGAAGAATTCCTCCATTTTTGGCTGCATCAGTCTGGAATGGAGTTTCTGGCTCACTGAGCTCTGACAGAGGAAAAAGAGAATGGTTCTTAGTTCAATAACCACAGACTCTCACTGTTCTTGAAGAATTTTAATAGATTTTTGGAATAAAGGTTTCTTAATTTGCTATATACATTTAGTACCATTTCCTGAGACTTAAATGTAGACACACACGCACATGCGTGCACACACACGTACATATATAATAAATACAACATATATATAAAATATATGTATAATTTTCAACAATTTCACTGGGTCACAAGTCTAAGAAGATTCTCACCTTGTAACACCAGAAGTGGAACAATCCTAGTAGTAATGTATTTAACTGCTTGAAAAAAAATTAAAATTATTCACTAGAGAAATAAAATTAGTTAAAGAAAACAGAGGTTATTGTTTGGATATTTTCGGCTCATAGCAAATTAATGGGTGTTCTGCAATTTAGTAGTTCCAGAACATACATTCAAGCTTCTACTCTTTTTTATGATAAACTAAAACCCATCATTTGAAATCTCCAACCATGTAAACAACAGTCTCTAGTAGGTTTTTGCTGCTTCATTCTAAAATATGAACAAAGAAATATCACCACACATCTAAGAAAAACATGTACAGAAAGAAAATAAGAAAAAACAAAAAGCAAATCAGTCCAGACGAAAGAAACAAAATTAAAAGAATAAAAAAACTATAGTAAGTTTCCAGAGAGTGAATCCAAAAAAAAAAAGGAGGAAGAAACACACAACTATGGAAAAAGAAAAATGTCTTTGAAATTTAAAATCACCAACAAAATTTTTAATATAAAAACTTGAAATTAAATTTAAATAAATCTCATAAAAAAGATTAAAAATGTGGAAAAATATAAAATTAGTCTTTGTTTCGTAGTTTTAATATATGATTATTGGGCATTCTATAAAGGGAGAATACAGAATCTATGAGTAAAACATATTCAGTAAATAATAGAAGAGACTTTCCCAAAGAGGACACAACTTTTCATATCAAAATACCCAGAACAATAAATGAAAATTGATAACCTTTCTTTTCTATATAATTGTAAAATTTTATAACAGCAAAGAAAATACAAAAACAAAGTGTTCCTGGGAGCTAGGACTGGAGTTGTTGATAAGCAGTCAGTTACGTACAAAAGAATGTGTAGTTCTGACATCAAACTTTTCATCAATTATGCTGAATGCGAGAAACCAATGAAGAAATGCTTCAAACTTTGAGAAGAAAATGCACGGATGTGAGAAAGTTTTTGCTCCCTAAACTATCAAATGTAAAGGTGAAAATAAAGAACTTTTCGGCCGGGCGCGGTGGCTCATGCCTGTAATCCCAGCACTTTGGGAGGCTGTGGGGGGGGTGGATCACGAGGTCAGGAGATCGAGACCATCCTGGCTAACATGGTGAAACCCTGTCTCTACTAAAAATACAGAAAATTAGCCGGGCATTGTGGCGGGGCGCCTGTAGTCCCAGCTACTCGGGAGGCTGAGGCAGGAGAATGGCGTGAACCCAGGAGGCGGAGCTTGCAGTGAGCCGAGATCGCGCCACTGCACTCCAGCCTGGGCGACAGACGACAGAGCGAGACTCCGTCTCAAACAAAAAAAAAAAAAAAAAAAAAAAAAAAAAAAAAGTTTCAAGCAGGAAGGTCTTGAACATGTTCATTTCGCTCATTTCATGTATTTCAAGATGTTTTTTGAGAATATCCTCTAGGAAAAATGCAAAGCCAGGAAGATGAAGACATAGAATCCAATAAAGCAATAAGGGAAATTTCAGCATTGCAGCCATTTAAGAGTCCTACAGAACAGTCCAGCTGACAGTGTGAGGACAGGGGATCCAGAATGGAAGATTCTGCATTATGAAAGAAACTGAGAGACTAGATAAAATGATTAAAATGATTGTTAGCTCAGAAAAATTTGAGATGGTAAAATCAATTGTGGCTTATAAAAAAGAAAAAGCCATTTGAAATAGCTAAAATATTTGAAATGGCTAAAAATATTCTACTATATGCAGTTAGGTGGCTGTGACTTTGAATGTGTAGAGATAGGAGTGTGGTCTTAAGCATACTACTGTTGGTTAGTAGAACCGACATAGCTATTTTTAACTAAAAATTTGGAACAAATTGCTGTTTTTCTGGGTGAGCTACACAAAAAAATAGTCGGCTTGTGTTGCAAGGGCGTTTTGTATGAATACGTGTTCTTAAACTTTGTAATCTCATTAGGAGGACTTTAGGAATCGATATATCATGTTTCATTTATTGGCTACATTCATTAAATGAAGTGACAGGCACTACTTAAGTTGCTGTTTTTTTCTCTTCTTTTTTATTTTTATTTGCTGAATTTGTATAATTGAATTCGTATAAAATAAATGGAGAAAGGTGCAAACTCTCTGTCATCCTTCCTTTGGACCTTTCACTGGAAACTGTGCAGACCTTATCATTCGATATTAAAACGATACGCAATATAACTTAGGTTAAAAGCATGGTGGAGAATGATGGATTAATGAATGACAAGGAGATGAAAGAGGCATAGATGCAATTATGAACAAATAAAAATATCTTGTAATATATTAACAAAATGTTAGATAGCTGCTTAGATACAGATAGGGAGCTTTAGGTATAGAAATGGATAGATGAATAGTTGGGATGATGAGTGAAAAACCTGACAGACAGGCTTGTAGAAGTGAAAGTAGGTAATAAAAGGATGATGACGAGAAAGAAACTGATGGAGCGATGGTCAAAAAGAGTGAGAAATGGATAAGGATATAAACACATGGGAGATATTTATGCATTCATTTAATGAATATGTATTGGGCAACTATTAAAGGCCAGTCACTCACTGTACTAGGATTGGAGACACAATGTGAGCACAAAGAGATATATGTCCTCTGCCCTCATGGAGCTTGAAATTAGATGTGTTATTTGTGGGGCGTGTTAGGTGCTACAAGTCATTTTTTTATATGTAAGGAGTCAGAAAGGGATAGTGATGCAAGTTTTGCAATGGTTTTAAGTACAACTTCAAAATAAAGAGAAGACATTATATGATACTAGACAAATAGATAAAGAGTTGATGAAGATGGACACTTGCAGGGCAGCTAGGTCAATAAATAAATGCACAGATGAAAAGAGGGATGGTTGATAAAGAGATAAAAAATGGTAACTATAAATAATTAATGTTAATGAATGCAAATATGAAATAATGCAGAGGTAAACGGATTCATGATAAAATGGTAATATATAAAGACACAAGTGTGAAGAAATCAACAGTTCCTTCAGAAGGAAGTTTCAAATCTACCCTCCATATTTGTATTGTTTATATATTATTGCATCTCTTTAATTCAGGGAAATAAGGACACGGGAAGAAAATGTCTACCCAGATGAAGTACGATTAATATTTTTAAATAGAAAAGAAATCAATGCAAACAAAGCCTTTAATCTGAGGAACAGTTTTGGCTGTAGAAAATTATTGCAGATTCACACACAATATATTTTAATCCGTTTCAAAAGCTGAATCTTATAGTAATTATGTACCAAAGTAATTGGCTTGTAAAAGCTCCTTAAGCTTTCAGAGTCCCATAAATATGATAGTTGTTCCCTATTTTTAGCCATCAGTAATGGTTGCTTAGCAGCACTGGAAACTCTTGTCAGAAACCACCATCACATTGTAGATGGCACTGGAAACACTACTCTGCTTACAAACTCTCACCCAGTATGTAAGCCAATCAACTAGAGCTGCCAAGGGATAAATTTCACAAAACACCCAAAGAAAGAAACCTACCCTGCCAAGGAGGGAGATAAGTGCAACATGAAACAAACAAAGACTTGGAAGTTCTTTATTTTTGTTCAGATGTCTTCTAATTACACAACGATGAAAAAACAAGGTTGAAATTTCGGTGTAAATTAGATGAGTATTGACAAGTTTCCAAATAAACTGAAAAATGCCTTACATCTGTAGGGTGCCTTGTTTTATCTACTTCATCAGAGTTGGCATTAATTCATTTATTACACACTTCATATACATTACAGCAGAAGCCTTATTATCTAATTGTGACCAATACTTAGTTGATTAATCGAAAACATTGGCTGAAGCTGAAAATCATTTACAAATTACATATACTTATCTTAGATAACGTATGTATTTTACATAATATAAACAAACATTTATGTTTCTCTGTGTTGGCCTCATTTTTCTTTCTCATGGCCTTTTAAATGTGCGTGGGTCCTTTGACTAAGCTTATCATTGTAAACCACATGATAAGGCATCATCTCTAATATTAAGTTTCACCTTCTATGAAATGTAGCAGAAACTTGAGGACACCCCTTAAGCAGAATGCTTCTAGATTTTTGTTTTATTTTTTCTAAACTCTCTCCCATATCTAATTCTATAAAAAAAATTAAAAATAGTAAAAATTTTTTAATTAACAAATTTCCTTTATCAAATCTTTTCCAATAGTTTGAGGTTTCATAAAAAGAATACTTCTCATTTTAAACTTATATTTAATTAGTTTCTATAATTTTCAATCAAATCAAGTTATAATAATTTGTACATTTGGCATAAAGTGATTTGGAAATGAACATAAAGGCTGTTGGTGAGCATACAACTCAACAGGTGGAAGCAGATGTATACAAGTGGGTAGGCAATTAGCTGTGAGTTTTCAGTATGCCTTAGAGCATTCATCACTATATTTTACAGAAGTAATAGAGTGCATTATTAATCTAGCAAGAGGCTAGATAAGAGTGTTTTGGGCCTGGTGCGGTGGCTCGTGCCTGTAATCCCAGAACTTTGGGAGGCTGAGGCGGGCGGATCACAAAGTCAGGAGTTTGAGACCAGCCTGGCCAACATGGTGAAACCCCGTCTCTACTAAAGATACAAAAGTTAGCCAGGTGTGGTGGCACACATCTGTAATCCCAGCTACTTGGGAGGCTGAAGCAGGAGAATCGCTTGGAGGCGGAGGTTTCAGTGAGCCAAGATCGCACCATTGCACTCCAGCCAGGGTACAGGGCGAGACTCTGTCTCAAAAGAGTGTCTTGACATTCTGTTCCAGCCATTGTGCCAAGCTTTGAGCACATCAACTTGTAAGTCTCTGTCCTCAAGGAACTAACTACATTAAAACTAAATTTCAGAAACGTTTTCTTTGTACAGTTGAGGTGAGTCTTTATTCCATCTCTTACTCAAGCTGTGGCATTTTCCAGTAATTTCCTCTCTCAGGGGTTCTCTCTGTCTACATAGTGAAACTTTATTACAGATATCTCGAAAGTCCCTTGCTACTTTCTTGTTCTAATAATTAGTTTTTGCAGTTTTGGAGTTGGTACGCATGTTCTTGCTTAGGATATACAAAGACAATGATTAAACCATGGACCTTCATATTTTGATATTTCTGATTAAGATTTAATAATGCCCTTAGAATTATATTCTAGGTTTGGGAATATAATAAATAAGTTACACATGACTGATGGCAGTCTGATATAATGGTAGGACTAATGAATTAGGAGTTACAAGGCTAGGGTTTGAATGGCAGCTCTAAGAATTTATAGCTTTTTGTTCATGGGACAAACCCATTGACCTCTTGAGATTTCAGTTTATTCCTCATAAGATAGGATAACCATATGTGTATCCGTTATCTATTGCTGTGTAACACATTATTTACATCTTTGAAGCTTAAAAAACAAATGCTTGCTACATCACTGTTTCTATGGGTCAGAAATCCAAAAGCTACTTAGCTGAGTGGTTACAGCTCAGAGTCTCTCATGATCTTGCAAGTCAAGCTGCTGGTCAGTGCTTCAATCATCTGAAGGCATCACTGGGGTTAAGGGACTCATTTCCAAGCCCACTTATGTGGCCTCAGTTCCTCACTGGATACTGGATAGGGGGCAAAGGAAGAGAGTTGATTGTGAGGGGGTGCTGGAGAACAGCAAGAAGGAAGTCACAGTCCTTCTGTACCCACTGGAAGTGACATCTCATCACTTCCACCATATTCTCATTGCTGGAAGCAAGTCACTAAGTCTAGCTCATACTGAAAATGAGTTCAGCTTCACTTCTTGAAAGGAAGCCTATCAGAGAATTTGTGAATATAATTTAAAGTTATCAAATATGTAACACTGATATTACCTGTCCTCCACCTACTAAGATGGCCCCCATCTAGTATATTTGAGAGATGCAGCAGCAACAATGACAAGAATAACAAGAAAAAAGATATATCTATGATTGAATTATTTTCAGGTGGAAGCAGCTTCTTGCACCTTCCTCGGCTCCACTGCCTGGGACTTCTGGACCACTGCCTTCTTCCTGACAATTAGGTTATCTCTAGAGACATCACAGAGAGGTTACTGTAGGGCAGCACATAGTTTCTTGTATGGTGTGCCACAGTAATCTCCGCAACATGGCCACACAAGCTATGTTGAATACAGCCTCATTATACTTTAATGTATACTTGATGACCAACAGAGGACATCTCTTATTGCAATATCACAAACCCAGACATGAACATTCTATGTATCTATTCTTCAAAGCCTCACTGGACTTTTCTCACTCAAAACTTTTCTCTAAAATTCTTCATCTTTCTGTCATATTTGCTAACCTCTCTCTTTTGGTTATCTCATCCTTTATTTATCCAACTTCAGATATTCTTGTTCACCTCTTATGCAGAGCAATTTAACTGTTTTTTCCATTCCCTTGTAATTCATGCCTTCAGGATGTCACTTTTGACCCATAAGTGGCATGTGAAAACATTTTCCTAAACATGGTTCTCTCCCTAATAGTGCCCACTGTTAAGATAATATTTTCTCATACTATCTGTTCATTTATTTATTTATTCTTTCACTTATTGCTACATAATTTATTGAACCACATATGATACATTAAGGTACTATGCTATATTTTGGGTATGCAAATTTTATGAAGACACTTCTATGCTTTCCAAACCATCATAGTCTAAAGGGAAAGATGAACAAATAAAATGGAAGGTGAATGCAAGGAGCTTTCTTAGAGAGTAAGAGGTAAGATCTACGATAAATCTTGAAAATTTCTTGTACGTTCTTCAAGCAAAATCTTGAGGACCTTGGAAAAAGATATCTAGGCCAGCAGTTCTCAAACTTGATTGTGCAACAGAATCATCTGCTGGTTTTCGTAAAGAACATATACCAGAACCCGCCCCCATAATTTCTGATTCAATAGGTTGGGGGTGGAGCCTAATAATTTGCATTTCTTATGAGTTCCTTGGTGGTGCTGATAGTGATGTGGCTGGTCCATAGATCATAGTTTAAGAACAACTTCTCTAGGCCAAGACAGATGAGCATCATGCACCTAGAATATTGAACACAGTTAAGAGAGGCTGACACTAACCATCCAAGGAAAATAGTGATGAGAAGTGAAATTAGAAAACCACGAACAGATCATGACACACATTGAAAGTCATGTTAAGAAGTTGATCTTTATATCATAAGGGCAGTGGAGACATTGCTTTTTTTATTTTCTTTTTTTTTTTCAGACAGTCTCACTCTGGTTGCCCAGGCTAAAATTGCAGTGGTGCAGTCTCTGCTTACTACAGTCTAGACCTACTGGGCTCAGGTGATTCTCCCACCTCAGCCTCCTGAGTAGCTGAGATTACAGGCACATGCCACCACATCCAGCTAATGTTTTGTGTTTTTAGTAGAGAAGAGGTTTCGCCATATTTTCCAGGCTGGTCTTGAACTCCTGGACTCAGGCAATCTGCCCACCTTGGCCTCTCAAAGTTCTGGGATTACAGGCATAAGCCACCACTCCCTGTGAAAACATGGCTTTTAAGCAAGAGCATGTACATTATCATAAAGCTTTAAAAAGACCACATTAGCTGGAATGTCAGGAATTGAATAAAGTTGAGGGCAGATACCCAACAAGCAGATTTAGGAAATTCATACATCACATGAAAGATGAATTAATCTAATGGATATTGGGTTAACAATAATTGCCACCGGGTGCGGTGGCTCACACATGTAATCCCAGCACTTTGGGAGGCTAAGGCGGGTGGATCACCTGAGGTCGGGAGTTCGAGACCAGCCTGACCAACATGGAGAAACCCCGTCTCTACTAAAAATACAAAATTAGCAGGGTGTGGTGGCACACGCCTGAAATCCCAGCTACTGGGGAGGCTGACGCAGGCGAATAATTTGAACCCAGGAGGCGGAGTTTGCAGTGAGCCGAGATTGTGCCATTGCACTCTAGCCTGGGCAACAAGAGAAAAACTCCATCTCCACAAAAAAAAAAAAAAAGCACACAATAATTGTCATTAAAATATAATAATATCAATAATGATGATGATGGCCAGTATTTTAAAACACTATGGGGCATGTATGAGTCTAAGATTTTACATGAATTATTACATTTAACTCTCACAGCAGCCCTATGGCAAACATTTGATTATTAGCCCCATTTTATCAGTAAGGAGAATGAGCTGTAGAGAAATGAAGCCATTTGTCTAATGCCACACAGCTCAGAAAGATGAATTCAGAGTCCTATTAATCCATTACCTTTAACAGGAAAAAAACACAATTACTTTTGCACCAACCTAATGTAACGCTTAAGGTTCTTGCCTAGCCACGCCAAAGAATTGGTGTGGTGGCGGACCGCGGCGAGTGATGGAGACAAGGACCGAGAGAGAGAAAAAGCTGTAGGCTTTATTGAGCAGAGTGACACAACAAAGCTTCCACAGTGTGGAAGGGGTCCCGAACGGGTAGCCAGAGTTAGATTATACGATTGCCTTTTAAACTCTTTAAGGCAGGAAATACGTGCAGTGGGAAGATGTTACCAGAGCGAGAAACACAGACAATTAACCACCTGTGACATGTTTTAGATCTTGAGGAAAACCGGAATTGCAACTTAGGTTTCATCTATTTTATGACCTTTCAGTGGCATGGCAAAAAAGACAAGATCTCACAGGACTTTACAAAGTATGTTTACAAGGAATTGGAATTGGGAGCATAGATAAGGTCTGCTGGTCACAGAAAAACGGGCAGTTAATATTCCTTTTACTTTAGTCTCGGAGGAGGGGGAAGGGAGAGAGGGAGAAAGGACACAGGGAAACTTAGAGCAAAATTTTCAGTGTTTATAGCTTTCTTGGGGAAGAAAACACATGCACAAATCCTGGTGTTAGGAATATTTTAAGCATATATCTTCAATATTATCCATCCAGGACCGAAGGAAGTCCTGATGCAGGAAATGAGTGAGTTTCACAGCTTTCTGAGCCCCTATTTGACCCAGGAAGTCCAGCTGGCCCCTCCTCTCACTAATAGTATAGACACTCTAGTTCTGAGTCCATTCTTTTAACCCCATTATTTGAGGCACAGGGAGGAGCTAATGGTCATGGACAGGTTTACATTTTGTGCAACTAGGTGATTATAAACAAATATCAGGGTTGAACTCTCTTCCAGGTTGTGTGGTGACCTGGCCTATGGAGCTGAGTGCACCTCTTGTGTCCTGGCTCTCTCTCATTTACTATAACAGTGTCTAAGAGTGAAAGCCCAACCAAAGAGGAATTTTTTACCCCATTCTACTTTCACTTTCTGGGATTATAACCCCATTAACCACTCAATGTGACCAAAAGGTCAGGGGCAAGGGCCTTTGAATGGCTAAATGAAGAAAGTTCATTGCAATATTTATAGCATACAACTGTGTCACAGACATTTACAGAGATATTCTTCTTTGAGACAGTCTCCTCCATGATCTAGCTCTTTCCTACCACACTGATCTGAGCTCCAAGCGCTCTGCTTGGTTACTCAGTGACAGTCACACTGGCTTCCATGCTGCTCCTCAAATGCACTAAGCATGCTCCTCCTAGAAGCATTTGCATTTCCTCTTCTCTGCCAGAAATCCACGGCTCATTTGCTCATGCATTTCCTATTGCTGTGAAAATATCTCATTAGAAAGGGTTTCTCAACTCTTACCCATCAATCTCACAACCATCACCCTGTTCTGTTATCTTCATAATACTTACGACTATATGTTACCTTGTATACTTGTTTACCAAGTATCTATTTTTTGGTGTCTTTTTATTGTATGTCTCCCCTTGAGGGAAATATCCTAAAGAAAAGAAAAAAAAAACTTAGTCTGTCTTGTTCACTCTTAGATTCTCAGTTTCTAAAACAGTATCTGGCACATAATGATTATTCAATAAATATTTATTGAATAAATAAATGCATAGTTGAATTTTATATGATGTCAAACTTGATTACAAGCTCCATTAAGAGAGGAACTTTGTCTTGTTCACTGCTGTATCTATATTTACATAGAACAGCGTGCGGAACATAGCAAGCACTCAATAAATATCTGATGAATTAATGTCTCTACCTTTTTATTTAATTGTGTGATAAGGAAAAGGTAGGGACTCAGTCCCAGGGCGACAATTCAGCCCAGTGATCAAAAGAGTCTGATGAAATTCAAAACCATTTAAAACTACTTCCCATTCCTCTCAAAATAAAGATCATCTTTAAATACATTAACATAAGAACAATGCCTGGGTCTATATAGGTTGTTCTGTTGGAATGTCAGCCCCTTGAGATCAGGAAATGCATTTTAGCTCACAATTGTATCCCCTGTGCTCAAGGAATATTTGTCAACTGAATGAAGGAAAGGAGGATACTTTTATTTGCTGTCAATCTCTCTCACTGGGGATATATAGAATAGTATTTTGGATACATGGAGAACATATTTTTACTACTACCCAGCTTTCCATCTTTGGAAAATTCTAGCTGGGCACAGTGGTTCATGCCTATAATTCTAGCACTTTAGGAGGCCAAGGCAGGAGGATTTCTTGAGGCCAGGAGTTCCAGACCAGCCTGGGCAACATTGAGAGATCCTGTCTCTACAAAAAAATAAAAATTAAAAAACCGCCATGCTGGCGGGTGCCAGTGGTCTCAGGTGCTCAGTAGGCTGAGGTGGGAGGATTGGTTGAACTCGAGAGGTTGAGGCTGCAGTGAGCCATGATTGCACCACTGCACTCCAGCCTGGGTGACAGAGTGGTTAATTTTGGTTAATTAACATTGGTTAATTATATTCAGTTATTTTCTACTTTTCTTTTTTGGAAAAGATATTATAGATACAGTTAAAGCCCCAGTGTGGCCCTGCCTGAATTCATCTCCCTCCATGCCCTTCCAGAAGTAATCATTTTTCTGAATAAGTATAAATCATTCCTACACACATCTATATATTACTACTTCCTGTGTATGTGTCAATAATCAATATTCAACACTGTTTGCATATTTTCAAGCTTTACATACATTACATATTTTGATAAATTATATTCACCTATACACTTTATTCAGTAGCTTGCTTTCTTGCATGGCATTATAATTTTGAAATTTCTCGATGTTGATATATGTAGATTTAATTTGTTCATTTCAATGGAAAAATATAATTGCATTGTATAAACACACAATAGAATTTCTAGATATTAATATAAAATTAACTTTTTTCTCTTGATAGATACATTGCTTCCCACATAAACAATCTAAATACAATTATAAACGATGTTATAAATGATGCTTCATTGAATATCTTTTTCATTTTTTTGTGTTCCTGTTTATGAATTTATGTAGGTTACACAACAATGTGAATATACTGAACACTACCGAACTATAAACTTGAAATAAGATGGTAAATTTTGTGTTACGTATATTTTACAACAATTGAAAATATTTTCTCTAGAGCAGCAGTTCTAAAATGTTTTGGTCTCAGGACCAGTTTACACTCTTAAAAATTATTGTGGACCTCAAAGAGCCTTTCTTTTGTTTATGTGGGTTATATGTATCAGTATTTAGTTTTAAGAATTAAAACTAAAAAATGTTAATATATTTATGTTTTAACTAATTTAAATATAATAATAAACCAATTACATATTAAAATAAATGACACTTAGGAAAAATAATTATAATTATAAAATAAGACATGTAGTGAGAAATGTGACATCATTTTATATTTTGGAAAATATCTTTGATTTCTGACCAAAAAAAAAAAAAAAATGCCATCTGAATTTTCCTAATCCAATCTGGAGTGAAACATCTTCTTTGCAGTATATCAGTAAAATCCAGCCCCAGGCAGAAATGAGGTAAGAAAAGACAGCAGTGTCTTAATAACCTTTTTGGGTAATTATGGATATTCTTTGATATTACACCAAAACTCAATAGGTGGTAGTTTCTTAAAGGTTATTTGCAATGTAGAATCTGAAACCAAATCAATGAAAAGTTGTATACTTATTTACGTTAAACTCCATTTGTTTTTCTTGTGCTTTGGATTTTTACTGATGACTAATTTGTAACATCTTGAATTGGTGATTTAGAAAACGGTGGTTCCCTAAAGTATGTAGACCTTCCAAACGCAGATCTTTTCATTTATACAATATAAAAAGTTATATTTATGGATTTCATTGCCAAACTCATCAGAAAAGTCTTTAAGTATTAGGAAACGGTCAAGATTGCATGGTAGATAAAAATTTTTGAAAAATTCCCATTTTTGCTTGAATTTTCAAGTAAGATCATTGGCAACAAACACTCTCATTTGTTTTCCTTGAAGTGGTACACTCCCTTCATTTCTCAGAAAATGTCTGCCAAAAGCTTGTCTAAATAACAATAGTTTGACAAAGCTATAGTAGCCAAAACACCATGAAATTCGTATTGAAACAGAAAACATAGACCAATTGAATAAAACAGAGAACCCAGAAATAAATCCATGTATTTGAAGCCAACTAACTTTTGGAGGAGGCTTCAAGATTATATATTAGAAAAGGAACAACTTACTCAACCAACGATGATGGGAAAACTGGATACTCATATGCAGAAGAATGAACACAAATCAACTCAAAATACATAAAATACTTTAATGTAAGACCTGAAACTGTAAAACTACTAGAAGAAAACATAGAGGGAAAGCTCCACGACATTATTGTAGGCAAAGATGCTATAGGAAAGACTTCAAAAGCTTGGGCAACACAAACAAAAATAGACAAATGAGGCTACATTAAGCTTAAAAGCTTCTGCACAGCAAAAGAAACAATCAACAGAGTAAAGAGACAATCTGAAGAATGAGGGACTATATTTACAAACTATATATCCAGCAAGGAACTGATATCCAGAGTATACAAGGAACTCAACTCAAAAGCAAAACAAACAAACAAACAAAAAACAAAACACAACATTACGGAACAAAATAAAACAAAATTCTCATTACAAAATAGGCAAAGAATCTGAATAGATATTTTTCAAAAAAATACAAGTGGCCAAAGGTATATGAAAAAATGTACAGCAGCACTAATCATTAGTGAACGTAAATTAATACCACAATGAGATATCATCTCGTCCCAGTTAAAATTACTATCATCAAAAAGACAAAAAAACCACAAAGGCTGGTGAATATGTGGAAAAAAGATAACCCTCGTATACTGTTGGTGGGAATGTAAATTATTAAGTCATTATTGAAAACAGTATGGACGTTTCTCAAAAAACTAAAAATAAAACTACCACATGATCCAGCAATTCCACTATTGGGTATACATTTTTAAAAAATCCATATATCAAAGGGATACCCACACCCCCATGTGTATTGAAGCACTATTTACAATAGCCAAGATATGCAATATCCATCAGCAGGTTAATGCATAAAGAAAATCCAGTATGTATACATAATGAAATACTATTTGGGCATAAAAATGAATGAAATCCTGTTATTTGCAACCACATGGGTTAAGCCTGGAGGACATTGTGCTAAATGAAATGAGACAGACACAGAAAGACAAATAGCACATGTTTTCACTCACATGTCGGAGTTGAAAAACAGCTCTGAGCTCATAAAAATAGATAATAAAATAGTAGTTATTAGGGACTGGGAGGGTAATGAGGAGGAGGAATAAAAGAGAGGTTGGTTAAGGGATACAAAATTGCAGCTAGATAGGAGGAATAATTTCTAGTGCTCTATAGCACTGTAGTGTCAATATGGTTAACAGTAATTTATTGTGTATTTTCAAAAAGCTAGAAAAGAGGATTTTAAATGTCCCATCACAAAGAAATTACAAATGTTTGAAGTGATGAAAATGTTAATTACCCTGATTTGATCATTACACATTGTATACATGTATCAAAGTGCCACTCAGTATCCCAAAAATATATCCAAGTATTATATGTCAACTAAAAATAGAAGGAAAAACTAGTAAGTAGAAAACAATGGTTTGTCATTTATCTTTTCAATTAAAATGGCAGTCCATGAATAAAGGCAGCTAGTTCAATTTGGAACTCAATCACAGAAGTGCATTTCCTTAAGACATTATCTACTTTGGTATAAAGTAGAAGTACTTTGTGTGTACCTCCCATTTTGTCACCAATAATATTTTTTAAAGATACATTCTCAAGGTTTAAGATTTAGTGCAGTTACTAATTTTTTTGTTTCGTTAAAGATATTGTTAAATAAAACTTGCTTTTTTCTTCTTGTCTTTTATTTTCCACTGTGAATATGTGATCATGAAAAATAAGATGTTTACTAGTATGTTTTGTTACTCCATCTTGATTCATGTTAATGTGCTATCAGTTTTAGTCATTGATTTTACTCCATTAGTACACAAGTCAATATGGTGAAAAAGGCAAATAATATCTTAGTAATAATATAAATCTAACTTGTCCTTTCCTGACCATCTACAAGCATCTCAAGGACCTCCCCAAGGGTCCCCAGCTCACTCTGAGAACCACTGTTCCAGGTGTATGCCTTAGAGTGAAACTAATGGATCAAACAACATGCACATATTCAACTTAATTAGAAACTATGAAATTGCTCCCTGTTTATGTCAATTTAAGTTTACATTGGCAGTGTATGAAGTACCCCATTTCTAGCCCCTGGTATTGTCTTACCTTTTATTTTTTAGCCAAATTCCTTTCCTAAGAATAGTTTCGTTCCTGTTGCATCTTGTAACCTACTGAGTACAGAAAATGTATGTGCTTTTCAAATACACATATTCAAAGGTAGCATACTATACACACTGTTCTAAATCTTGCTTGATTTCATTAATAACATTTCATAGATATATTTCCTTATCAAAAAATATAGATCTGCTTTATTATTTAACAGCTGCAGAGTTTCCCATTTTATGGGTATACTATCCATAAACTAACCATTATTTTTATTCGTAGCTATTTACCAATTCTATATATTAATCTTTTTTAAGCTATTCATTTTTTCAAATAAAATTTCCCCAAGATTCCACTTTTCATTCCACTTCATTTATGGTAATGTTACCAAATATTTTTTATTACAACCTAAGCCAGTGATAGAATTATTTTCTTCATACTGTCATTGTTTCATCATTTGTAATGCATACTTTCCCATCTTGTAGTCATTGAGCCAGTTTTCTATATAGTATTCTAAAAGTGTTGCAATTTTGATTTTCACATCCAGTTCTTTTATCCACCTGGATTTAGTTTTGATCTGCTGTGATGCACAATCTAATTTTATTTTTTTACACGAATAACCAATTTTCCGGTATCATTTATACTTTCCCCCTCATATTTGAATTGCCATCTATTTCATATTTTCAGTTTTCACACATAGATATACCAGTTTCTAGGATGTCTGTTCTACTTGTCCGTTTGTAATCATTTCAACAGGACCACTCTGTCTTAATTGCCATTTTTGGATAAATGTTGATATATAATAGGACAAGTCCCCATACTTTGTTCTTCAAAATAGTATTATTGGTCTTTGCAGATAAATGGCAGAAAATGACATTGTGGATATTGATTTGTAATTTTCCTTTGTTTAAACGTATCAGTTTCATAGTCTTTACATATTGTTTCTTTAAATTGATTTAATTTGTAATAAATATATATTCGTAATACTGATTATTTTGTTTGCCTAAGTTCTTAGCATGAAATTTCTCATTATGTTTTAGAATTCTCATGTACAGGCTTATCTTTAAAGGGAGAATTTTTTCTTTCTCATTTTCTTCCTCTCTCTCTTTCTGTCACACACACACACACACACACAAACAGAAAATTTATCTTGAATAAACTCCCGTTGCTTGTTTGTATAATTTTATCCACCAAACCCCTTAAGTGCCATGCAGACTCTAGTTTTTCTTATGATGCCATTTATTAATCATAAACAAGAGAAAATCACAGGGCCATCAAATGGATAACAAAGATTTCTGGTCATAGATCCTATCTTTATATTTTCAATTTCCTAGTTCTTGAGTTCTTTAAAATTTCATGGTCCCAAACATTTTCCCAGCTAAAGAAGATGGGAAGTGATAATTCAGGGTCTGATTTCTAGCAATGAACTTTGCTTTGGTAACCTGTCTTTACAGAGGATGCTAAGTTCCTAATACTACACAGGAGCACAAGTCCTCGTTCCATTTGTCCGCTTACAAACAGAAAGCCTAGCGCAGCTGCACCTTCAGCCCACTTTAACACTGTGTTTCTCTGTTGTCCTTTTGGTTCAGAGAGAAATTATATTGCTTTTGAATTTGCTATGTTTTTGTTTGTCTTTCCTTCTGATAGTTTATCAGTCATTTCCATATGCTTGGGACACAAGTGGTTAGTTAAACTGGACACTTGTTGTGCCATCTTTATTAGACTTGTTATTCTGTTGTAATGGTTTCAAGTACTAATTTTATATTGTCTTTTGCTAGTTTCGTTTCTTTGTTTTTCTTCGAAATGCGAAAATGTTCATGCTCTTAAAGAATATTAGGGAGAAGTTAAGTAGGTGGGCTTTTCAGTTTCCCTAACTCATTTGGTTTATGTGTTATGAATGTGCTGATTTTTAAATTTAAATTTTCTGATCTTTCTATTCAATGATTGACTCAAACAGCACAATCAACTAAATAGTTTGTTCTTAATCCATTTTGTGAAAGACCATCCTGAGTTCTCTCTCCTTCTCTCTCTCTCTGTCTCATTTCTATACTAAATAAATCCAGAAAATCCTGGGCTGTCATCATCTTCATTGGGAGATACGCTGTCATATTAGATTGCTGATCTGGTTCATTTCAGAGTCACCCACCATAAATAACCATCTTGGATTTCAGAGATATGTATGGGTAATTCACAATGAAAGCTAACACTTTCAGGTAGAACACAGCATGTGTTTCCAGTCCCAAGGCTACAGTAGTTCTAAAGGACTTCTCTGTGTGACCAGATGGTGCTAGGGACAACACGTGACCCTGATAGTGTTCACATTGAGGTTCTAAGTTCAGTTAAAGACTTGCAAACAATAAGACACTTCAGAAAAGCTTACTACTTTCAATGTTAATACTGGGTATTTTCACCTCAAATTATTTCAAAAATAAGAAACTGAAATCTTTAAGAATACAATGGGAAGGTAACATCTTGTTATCATGATTTTCACAGTTTTTCCAGTCCACATTGAAAAAATATCTTTCTTTGCTCTTATTGGAGTTATAAATTAAGCTTACTTGTATCGTTAATCGTAGCAAGTTGGAACCCTTCAAGATTTCTTTTTTATAAAAGAGAAATAATTTCCAATCAGCCACACAGGCTGCATTGTTGCCCACACAATCACCAATAATTGACATAACATTAAATAGTTTCCATGGCTTCATTAGAATTTATTCTAAATATATTAGCTTCTGAATGCAGGATTGAAAAATTAAAGTAGGTGTGAAATTGTTTGAGTTAAAAAAAGACCCTGAAACACATTTTTGCCATCATTTAAATGTGAACGTGCACGCACACACTACACATACATTTTGAAAAGCCTAGTAGTTCATGTTCAGAGTTTTTAAATATTTGGATTATGCAGTCTGGGTGAGGTAGGAGATAAATTTTAAGAAGAGAGATGGTGGTGATGATAATGATATAATAAATTGATGGGAAAATAAGTCTCATTCTTAGAAGCATAGGATTTTTGTCTACTAGAGAAATATGTAACATGCTTAACTCATCTAGTATAGAACAATACTTGTTTCTTTCTGATTATAAAAATAATACATGCTTATTATTGAAAGTTAAAAGTTGAGTTTTTTTAAAGTAAAATCACCAGTAATCTTACTACCCAGATAGCTGCTTAACAATTTCTTTTCTTTTATTCCAGTCTTTGTCCAGTGTTTGTGCGTATGTGAATGGCAAAATAAGAATCATAGTTAATATGCTTTATATATTACACTGTACTTTTTATTTTTCACTTGATTAATTTTTGGCCACTATAATTTTTCTCATTAATGTTACTGTGAAATATTATTTTTAAATTCTTCATAATAACCTACCCAAATCCTATGAAAAATCTTCAAGATTTTCGTCATTTATTTTGGGACATTTTGTGACATTAAGGCTCATTTCTTTCTGGGCCGTTGTAAATAAAGCCAAGCTTAACATCTCTGTGCATAACCTTTTGCTAATTGTCACAACATCATTTCATTACTCTTTCTATAACCTTTTACTAATTGTCACAAGATCATTTAATTATTCTTTCTCTACCCACTGACATATGATAGAATCTTTAGCTCCATTTTAATGCACTCAAATATTTACATCTTTAAAAAAATTATCCTGTGATTTTACTTCTCTCTTCGGCTACTGCTCTGTTGACCTTCAAAGCCATTTAAAAAAATTAATTGTCCATATTAACTCTCTCCAATCCCTTACTTCCCACATACTACTAAGGTGTTTCAACCAGATTTTGCTCTCACTGCTGTACTGAAACTTCTCCAACTAAGTTTACTTCCTCCAGCTAAGGAAACCAGTATCACCAATGTAATGTAAACCTTCAAAAATTGTATTTCTTAATGTCACAGTAATGTCCAATGTAATTGACACCTACCTCCTTGAAATACTCTTTGCCCTGAGTTTGTATGACATCACAGTCCCCTAGTTTCTTCCCTTTGCCTTTTCTTTCACATTTCCTTTGCTAACTTATCCAATCTACCTAACCCTCTAATATAGTTAGGACGTTTGTCCCCTCCAAATCCCATCTTGAAATGTCTGAGGTGGGGACTAATGGGAGGAATTTGGGTCATGCCATGGGGGAAGATCCCTGGCAAATGGCTTGGCGCCCTCCTGAAGTAATGAGTGAATGTGAGATATACTTGTTAAAAAGAGTCTGAGACCTCCCCCATCTCTCTCTTGCTCCTTTTTTCATCATGTGACATGCCTACTCTCCCTTTGCCTTTCTTCACGGTTATAAGTTTCCTGAGGCTTCACCAGAAGTAGATGCTGGTGTCACGCTCCTACAGCCTGCAGAATCTTGAGCCAAAAAAAACTTTTTTCTTTATAAATTGCCCAGTCTCCAGTAATAGTCTTTATGGCCAAGGCAAAACAGACTAACACACCCTTGAATCTTGGAATTATTCAAAGCTCTTGTTCTAAGTTACCTTCACTTCTCCATCTAGACATTCAAACATCTTCACTTTGCAAATATGTGCTTATTGCTCAAGACAATTTTAAATCTTGTCTCATTTGACCTGACTCTACCGGCTTTTTCTGACTCTACCAGATCTTTCAGATTAGCTAACATATTGTATTTTTGCCTAATGAGATCATAATATTTACCACTCATCTCTAGTTTAGCACTCATTACATTGTGTTTTAATTATATTTTATATTTGTTTTCTCCACTATTGATTTTCTGACTGACAGAAACCATATTTTGCTCGTGTTTTTATCTTCCATAGTGCTTCCAACAGTCCAGGCCCTTAGTAAGTGCTCATTTAATGCTTATTGAATGAATGAGTAAATTATAGCTGCTCTCATAAAGCAAATCTGATTGCATGGAGGAGGAATCCCATCAAAATAGCATAGCTAAATATTAGAAGTATGGTAAGGATACATGAGAATTTACAGAATTTAGTGATAGGAAATGTAACATGACCTCATGAGAATTTAGAATCAAGACAATTTTTCTGTGTGTGTGTATGTGTGTGTTTATGTCTGTTTGCTGCTCCATTCTCCTGCTTCTCTCTCAGAAAAGCCTTTTCTCCTTAACTCTCAGCAAACACACATGACTAATCAGAGATACCCCAGAATTGGAGCCTCAGCCCATGACTCTACATGACTCTTGAACTAAATTTCCTACTAATGACTGACCCAGTCACTGGACCCCAATTAAAGTTTCTAGTGAAGAGTATTTGAGTGGTCTGATGAGAATATAATGGTCAGGTGTCCATCTGTATTCCATTCGTTTGTGATGAGGGATTGATATCATTATATGGTGCATGTGTAAACTTGCCCTTATTATAGGCTATGGACTGGGAATATTTTTAAAAGTGATGATATAGGTTGTATGATCACACTGGGAATCTCTAAGAAACAATACCATGATTACCTCTTAAAGTTTTTAATACCATTAGAATTTTCGCTAATTCAGAACTATGTTCCGTGCAACTCTGCGCTCTGTAGTCCCTATTCCTGTCTTGATCCTCAGCGATTTTAACATTCATGTGGAAAATTATCTCAACACCAGGGGTTCTCAGTTCCTGAACTTTCTCTCTTCCAATGATTATGCCTTCCATCCCACTTCAGCCACTCACTCCCACTCATATCTGAAAATAACTACCAATAACTGCAAATGCTAGGTAATCTCAATGGCAAGTAACCCACCCTCTGATCGCCATTTCCTATCTTTCTGGCTCAGTTCCTCTAGAACTACAATTCCAACATCCTTTGCTCCCACCAGGACCATAAATATTTTTATCTTTTGACTATCATGTATTTGATATGTTTTCTTTCCTCCTTGTCTATCTTAAATTTGACTTTGAATGATAATAATCACCGTTTGTACACATCTTCAATACTCTTGAACTTACCATTTTATAATATATTCTTGATAAAAGTAAAACTTGCATTAAATCCGATGTTTCCTATTCAGCATATGAACCAGTAATCTTTGACACTTTTTCCCTTCTTTATTTATAACATCTTTTACAAAGTCCTACCAATTTTGCCTCTTAAAAGTTTATTTTCTTCATTCAAACATTAATTTTTGCCAGTGTTATTTCAACAGACTCTTCACTCTCTACTTTCTCTTTATGTGAGTACTTCTCTAATCCAGTCTCCACAAAAATATCGGAGTTTTCTGAAATTCAAACATGCATGTATTACTTCATTGGTTAAAATTATTTAATGGTTTCCCGTTACATGTTGAATAAAGTCAAATCTTTTAAAATAGAGCATAAGCTTTTCTAATCCTCATTTCTTAAAGCTTCTTGGCTTATATTTTATACCACTGCAGCAATGAAGTTCATAGAGCCATAGCATTTGGTTGTGTACAACCATATTTGTTGGGATGACAACTTTCGTAGATACCAATATTCTCTCTACTGTTTCATGATTTTTCTCATATCTTTTTTTTTTTTTTCATGGAATACTCTCTTTGTTTATTTTTATCTAGAAATACCGGAAAGATAGAGGCAGATACTGTTTAATGATATCAGGATCCTCTATTGACACATTCAAATTATTCAATCCCTCCCTTACCACCACCTGAATGAGAATGTAGCTTTTCTGATACTAATTTTAGTTTTAAAACCATGCACACATGCCCTGAAATGGTCTAGGATACACTGCTTTGCTCTGTTCTTTCACAATAAAATTACTAGCTCTGAGTATAAAAGAGTAGCGGGAAAGAAAGTGCGGAACTTCACAAATCAAGCAAGATGCAAATTTGTCCAGAAAGTATAACTGCAACTGCATGGCGCCAAAAGAAAAAATACATCAAAATATGCTACATCTGTTCTTACCTTGTGTTGCCATTTCACTTCAGGTAAAAACTTCTTATGCTTGGAAAATTAAATTGAGGATTTAATAAAATGTTATACTTGGGTGTATGTGTGCTAACTTCTCTGACATTCAGATATATTTTTAATGAGATGTATAAGTTTTTAAGTATCAAATTTGTAAAGATTAAGCAGATGTTAGAAGTAAACATTTCTCAATATTTATAGCAATCTTTTAGAAATATACGTAAAACCATTTTAAATTGCAATCTTTTTAGGTCAAAAATTCAAAGTCTAGAAATATATAAAAATGGATTAACCTGACAATTGGGTGAGGTATGCATGCACACACATATACATATGCAAACAAATGATCTTATCAAATAACTGTCTAAATAATAAAAAACTGGAAACAGATGGTTAATGAAATGTATTGTAACAAGTCCATAAAATGGTGCACCATGTAACCGTTGGTGGTAATGAAAAATATTTGTATTAATTGACATAAAAAGGCACCACGACATATTTTGGAGTGTCAATAGCAGTGTGCATAGAGCATTTAGAACAACACACACACCTGCATCCTCAGACATGGTGTATATATGACTAAGGATACATCTGAAAAGACATTTTCAACATATCGAAAATTTTTAATGCTACTATTTTTGGCTCCTTTTACTTTCTTTATTACAATTTTCTGTGTTGTTTGAATTTTTCACAATGATTACATATCAATTTTTATAATCTGATGAAAAGTTATTAAATTTAATTTAAATGTTAAACCATTAAAGTACAAGGAGAATATATTCATGAATGGTTTTATTTTTAAATGGATGGGAAATGGATTTTAAGCCTAATACCTAAGTCAAATTTAATACAGAAAGAGATACCTAGTTTTGACTGCATAGAAAGAATTTAAGCAATGCAAATTGCAAAACTCATGAACAAACACTAACAACCATAAACAAATATTACAGTTACATGGGATAATGGATTAAAGAATGTGTTTACAACACGCTGAGGCTGAGATGGCTGAAATGACAGAAGTAGAATTCAGAATGTGGAGAGGAATGAAGGTTACTGAGTTAAAGCAGTACATTGTAACCCAATGCAAGGAAGACAAAAATCATGATAAAATATTACTGGAGCTGATAGACAAAATAGTCAGGATAGAGAAAAATGTAACTGACCTGATTGATAGAGCTGAAAAACACACTACAAGAATTTCATAATGCAATCACAAGTAGTAACAGCAGAAAAGACAAAGTGGAGGAAAGAAACTCAGAACTTAAACACTACCTTTCTGAAACACCACCTGTTCCTTCAAAACTATTGGAATTTAAATAAATAACTAAATAAATATCTCATTACAAAGAAAGTTAAAGAAGAATATGATTTCTTCCTAAAGAATTGACTCTGCTATCTATTAAGACACTAATTTTATTTTTCTTTATTTGTCTACTGATTGTTTCCCCAATGAGATGGTAAGCTCCCTGAGGACAGGGACTATGTCTGCTTTTATATTGCATATTCCACCTTCAGCTTAGCACAGTGTCTTGGTAATATTTTGGAAACTTTAAATAAATATTCGTTCAAATAATAAAAAAAGAAACATTGCAGAAGCCAACAGACAAAATAGCCAGTATAGAGAAGAATGTAATTGACTGGATAGGGCTGAAAAACACACTACAAGAATTTCACAGTGCAACCACAAGTAGTAATAGCAGAATAGACAAAGCAAAAGAATGAATCTCAGAGCTCAAGACTTCCTTTCTGAAATAAGACAGACACACAAGAATAAAGAAAAAATAGTGAAAATGAATGAACAAAACCTCTGAGAAATATGAGATTATGTAATGAAATTGAATATATGACTGGTGTACCTGAAATAGATGGGGAGAATGGAACCAACTTAGAAAACATATTTCAGAATATCATCCATGAAACCTTCCCCCAACCTAGCTAGAGGGGACAGCATTCAAATTCAGGCAATGCAGAGAACCCCAGTAAGATACTCTATGAAAAGATCATCACCAAGACACATAACCACATGGTTCTCCAAGGTCAAAATGAAAGAAAAAATGTTAAAGGCAGCCAGACAGAAAGGCCATGTCATCTACAAAGGGAAGTACATCAGACTAACAGCGGACCTCTAAGCTGAAGCTCTATAAACCAGAAGGAATAGGGCGCTAAAATTCAATGCTCTTAAAGAAAGAATCTCCAACCCAGAATTTTATATCTGGCCAAACTAAGTTTCGTAATCAAAGAGAAATAAGATCCTTTTCAGGCAAGCAAATGCTGAAGAAATTTGTTACCACCAGAACTGCCTTACAAGAGCTCCTGAAGAAATCACTAAATATGAAAGGAAAGACCATTACCAGCCACTACAAAAGCACACTGAAGTACACAGACAAGTGACACTATGAAGCAACCACATAAACAAGTCTGCAAAATAACCAGCTAACATCATGATGACAGGATCTAATCCACAAATGACAATAATAATACTAAATGTAAATGGGCTAAATGACCCAATTAAAAGACACAGAATGACAAACTAGATAAAGAACCAAGATCCATTGCCATGCTGTCTTCAAGAGACCCATCTCACATGCTAAGACACACATAGGTTCAAAATAAAAAATGGAGGAAAATTCCAGTCTTTCCAAGGACATGAAAAACAGAAAAAAAAAACAGAAGTTGCTAGCCTAGTTTCTAACAAAACAGACATAAAACCAATAAAGATAAAAAAAGACAAAGAAGGGCATTACACAATGGTAAAGGTTTCAATTCAACATGAAGATCTAAGTATCCTAAATATATATGCACCCAACATAGAAGCACTCAGATTCATAGAGACCTTCAAAGAGACTTAGACTTCCACACAATAATAGTGAGAGATTTTAACACCCCACTGACAATACTAGACACATCATCGAGGCAGAAAATTAACAAAATATATTCAGAATCTGTACTCAGCCCTGTATCAAATGGACTTGATATTTATCTATGGAAGGCCCCACCAAGAAACAACATAACATTTTTTATTAGTCTGGTTTCATGCTGCTATAAAGAATTACCTGAAACTGGGTAATTCAAAAAGGAAAGAGGTTTAATTGACTCACAGTTCAGCATGGCTGAGGAGGCCTCAGGAAACTTACAATCATGATGGAAATGGAAGCAAACATGTCCTTCTTCACATTGCAGCAAGGAGAAGCATTGAGCAAAAGGAGGAAAAGCCCCTTATAAAACCATGAGATCTCGTGAGAACTTACTCACTATCACAAGAAGAGCAGCATGGGGGTAACCACCCCAATGATTCAATTACCTCCTACTAGGTCCCTCCCATGACACATGGAGATTATGGGAACTACAATTCAAGATGAGATTTGGATGGGGACACAGCCAAACCATATCACATTCATTCTTCTCATCACCACATGGCACTTACTCTAATACCAATCACATAATCAGAAGCAAAACATTCCTTAGCAAATGCAAAAGAACTAAAATCATAACAACTACTCTCTCAGACCACAGCACAATCAAATTAGAAATCAAGACTAAGAAATTCACTCAAAACCACACAATTACATGGAAATTGAACAACCTACTCCTGAATGACTTTGGGGGAAATAATGAAATTAAGGCAGAAATCAAGAAGTTCTTTGTAATTTATCAATCAGAACAAAGAAAAAAAAATACCAGAATCTCTGGGACACAGCTAAGGCGGTGTTAACAGGGAAATTTATAGCATTAAATGTCCACATCAAAATGTAAAAGGATCTCAAACAACCTAACATCACAACTAAAAGAACTAGAGAAGCAAGAGCAAACAAAACCCAAAGCTAGCAGAAGACAAAAAAGTAACCAAAATCAGAGCTGAACTGAAGGAGATAGAGATGCAAAAAACTATTCAAAACATCAGTGAATCCAGGAGCTTGTTTTTTGAAAAAAAAAATTAATGAAATAGATAGATCACTAGCTAGACAAATAAAGAAAAAAAAAAGAAGGTTCAAATACAATCAGAAATGACAAAAGGGATATTACCACTGACCTCACGGAAATACAAACAACCACCAGAGGATATTATGAACACCTCTATACTTATAAACTAAAAAAAAAAAAAAAAAAAAAACTGGAAGAAATGGATAAATTCCTGGACAAATAACACCCTTTCAAGATTGAACCAGGAAGAAATTGAATCTCTGAACAGATCAATAACAAGTTCTGAAATTGAGCCAGTAATAAGTAGTCTACCAACCCAAAAAAGCCCAGGATCAGATGAATTGAAATCTGAACTTTACCAGCTGTACCAATAAGAGCTGGAGCCATTTCTGCTGAGACAATTCCAAAAATTTGAGAAGAAACTCCTCCCTAACTCATTGTATGAGACCAGCAACATCATGATACCAAAACCTGCCAGAGATACAACAAAAAAGAAAACTTCAGGCCCATATCTTTGATGAACATGAATGCAAAATCCTCAGCAAAATACTGGCAAGTAGAATCCAGCAGCACATCAGAAAATCTTATCCACCACGATCAAGTAGGCTTTATCGCCAGGATGCAAGGTTGGTTCATCATATGAAAATCAATACATGTGATTCATCACATGAACAGAACTAAAGACAAAAACCACAAGATTAGCTCAATAGATGCAGAAAAGGCTTTTGAAAAAATTCAACATCTATTCATGTTAAAAAGTCTCAATAAACTAGTTATTGAAAGAACATACCACAAAATAATAAGAGCCATATATGGCAAACCCATAGCCAACATCATACTGAATTGGCAAAAGCTGAAATCGTTCCCCTTGAAAACCAGCAAAAGACAAGGATGCCCTTTCTCACCACTCCTATTCAACATAGTATTGGAAGTTCTGGCCAGGGCAATTAGGCAAGAGAAAGAAATAAAAGGCATCTAAATAGAAAGAGAGAAAGTCAAACTCTTACTGTTTGTAAATGACATGATACTATCTGTAGAAAATGCTGTAGTCTCAGCTCAACCACTTCTTAAGCTGATAAACAACTTCAGCAAAGTCTCAGTATGCACAAATCAATGTGCAAAAACCATGAGCATTCCTGTATACTAACAACAGTCAAGCTGAAAGCCAAGTCAGGTATGAACTCACATTGACAACTGCCACAAAAAGAATAAAATACCTAGGAATACAGCTAACTAAGGAGGTGAAAGATCTCTAAAAGGAGAACTACAAAACACTGCTCAAATAAATCATAAATGACACGAACAAATGGAAAAATATTCCATGCTCATAGATAGGAGGAATCAATATCATTAAAATGACCATACCATCCAAAGCAATTTATAGATTTAATGACATTCTTGTTAAACAGCCATTCATATTCTTCACAGGACTGGAGAAAACTATTTTAAATTTCATATGGAACTGAAAAGGAGCCTGAATAGCCAAAGAAGTCCTAAGCAAAACACACACACACACACACACACACACACATACACACACACACAAAAAAAACAAAGCTGGAGGCATCACACTACCCAACTTCAAACAACACTACAGAGCTACAGTAACCAAAACAGCACAATACTTGTACAAAAACAGGCAAATAGATCAAAGGAACAGAATAGAGAACCCAGAAATAAGACCACACACCCACAGCTATCTGATCTTTGACAAACTTGACAAAAACAAGCAATGGGGAAAGGATTGTGTGTATGCAGAAGACTAAAACTGGACCCCTTTCTTACACCTTATACAAAAATTAATTCAAGACGGATTAAAGACTGAAATGTAAAACCCAAAACTATAAAAAAAACCCTGGAAGACAACTTAGGCAATATCATTCAGGATATAGGCATGGGCAAAGATTTCATGAGGAAGATGCCAAAACCTATTGCAACAAAAGTAAAAATTGACAAATGGAATCTAATTAAAATTAAGAGCTTCTCCACAGCCGAGGATACTGTCAATAGAGTAACCCGACAACCTACAGAATGGGAGAAAATATCTGCAAACTATTCGTCTAGCAAAGGTCTAATATCCTGAATCTATAAGAAAGTTAATAAATTTACAAGAAAAAAAAACCCACCTCATTAAAAAGTGGGCGATGGACATGAACAGACACTTCTCAAAAGAAGACATACATGTGACCCACACAATCCTATGAAAAGAAGTTCAACATCACTGATCATTGGAGAGATGCAAATCAAAACCACCATGAGACATCATCTCAAACCAGTCAGAATGGCTATTATTAAAAATTCAAAAAATAACAGATGCTGGTGAGACTGTAGAGAAAAGGGAATGCTTATACACTGTTGGTGGGAATGTAAATTAGTTCAACCATTGTGGAAGACAGTGTGGTGATTCTTCAAAGACTTAAAGATGGAAATGTCATTCATCCCAGCAATCCTATTTCTGGGCATATACTCAAAGGAGTATAAATTATTCTATTAAAAAGACACATGCATGTGTACGTTCATTGCAGCATTATTCACAAGAGCAAAGACATGGAAACAACCTAAATGCCTATCAATGATAGCCTGGATAAATAAAATGTGGTACATATAGACCATGGAATACTATGCAGCCAATAAAAGGAATGAGATCATGTCCTTTGCAGGAACATGGATGGAGTTAGGGGCCATTATCTTTAGCAAACGAATGCAGGAACAGACAACCAAATACTGCATGTTCTCATTTATAAGTGGGAGTGAAAAAATGAGAATACATGGACACATAGGGAGGAACAACACACACTCGGGCCTATCGGAGGGTGGAAGGTGGCAGGAGGGAGAGAATCAGGAAAAATAACTAATGGGTACTAGGCTTCATACTTGAGTGATGAAATAATCTGCACAATAACCCCCCATGACGTAAGTTTACTTATGTAACAAACCTGCACTTGTACCCCTGAACTTAAAAGTTAAATAAAACCCTCAAAAGTAAAAAGAACAAATAATAATGGATTAACATTTCTAAAATATAAGGAACAGTTACAAATAAGCTTATATGATTTAACTAACTGACATTAAATGACATTACCAAATTATTTAAAAATTGAATACAATATGAATTTATTTTAATAATCATGTATCTATAGCAAATAGAAAATGTCAGAATATCACTTTTTCTTATGTCACCTATTGGAATGGACAAGGCTTTTCTGGGAAGTCATACACAAAATCAGTGAAAATTCTCAGGAACTGGCTCTATGTGCTTTTATATAAATGACCCTTTTAAACTATAAGTAGGTTTCCATTTTTTTTTTCCAAAGACAGAATTGTTTTTTTCTTTAAAAAAAAAGACATGATACTATAAGCTGTAACTCTCAACACCCTAAGTAATAACAAAAGAAGCAAAACATATCTGTAGATGTTTACAAACCATCACTGATTGATTCTGATTCTGAATAAAAAAAATGTAAGGACACTTCTTAGTTGTTCTGTGGTTTTCTTTTCTTTAATCTCAGATGCTGTACATAGCAGACACATCTCTCAACTCCTTTCACCTTTATTTAAATGGAGCAGCTACAACATGGTGACAAAAACATGGACTTTAGAGTCAGTGAGTGATTTTTTTTGAATGACAAATGTTGTAAGCCTCAGCATTTGAAATTACTGAATCAAAGAATATAAGGTTACTAATACCTCCTAAAAAGGCAGCCAGTAGGGTGTATATAAAGCACCTAGCACAATTACTGGCACATAGTATGAGTTCAATAAATATAACTATAATAATTGTCATCCTTAACAATTATGGGAGGTGATAAGGGTGGGAATGTACTTTCTGTCTCTGAGGAGGACTTATGAATTTCTTACCATTTCGTCTTCATTGGTAGGATTCAGTTTTATGACAATCACATAGGAGTATAGTTTCTCAGTACATGCAATGTGAGAAGCTTTGAGACTTGAAATCTTGCCCTTCAGAGATGGACACTGAAATATTTGTTAGTACATGAACAGGTCACTCAGTTCAAGCATGAAGGACTAATTTTGTGGAATTCTGCTCTGAGCTAATTATATTTTTAAATTGTCCTCATTTGAAATTTGTGAATATTAGTAAAAATTATTTAACACAATGAAAAGCAAAATAAAACACTGAATGTACAAGGTATCTATTTGTTAGACTACTAGACTGGGAATTGCTAACCACTGTTTTAACTGCAGCTCTTTCTCACTACGGGGGACATGTATTTTTAAGAATTTATAATTTAAGATTTACATTTATAATTTGTAATTTAAGACAAAATTTTAACTTTTTTAAGAATTTAGTTTGTACATAGGGAAATTTGAATTGCATATTTTTCTCTTTTTTGAGGATACGAAGCTGAGTTAAAGTCTTTTTATTTTATTTTTTCTTCATTTCTTCTAAAAAAATGGGATATGCATGCAGAACATGCAGTTTTGTTATATAGATATATGTGTGCCATGATGGTTGCTGCACCTATTGATCCATCCTCTAAGTTCCCTCCCCTCACCCTCCACACTCCAACAGGTCCTGGTGTGTGTTGTTCCCCTCTCTGTGTCCATATGTTCTAAATGTTCAACTCCCATTTATGAGTGAGAACATGCAGTGTTTGGTTTTCTGTTTCTGTGTTAGTTTGCTAAGGATGATGGCTTCCAACTTCATCCACATCCCAGGAAAAACATGATCTCATTCCTTTTTATGGATGCATAGTATTCCATGGTGTATATGTACCACATTTTATTTATTCAATCTATCACTGATGGGCATTTGGGTTGGTTCCATGTCTTTGCTATTGTAAATAGTGCTGCAATAAACCCCTTCCTTACACCTTATACAAAAATTAACTCAAGATAAATTAAAGACTTCAATGTAAAACCCCAAACCATAAAAACCCTAGAAGAAAAGCTTGGCAATACCATTCAGGACATAGATGCGGGCAAAGACTTCATGACAAAAATGCCAAAAGCAATTGCAACAAAAGCCAAAATTGACAAATGGAATCTAATTAAACTAAAGAGCTTCTGCTCAGCAAAATAAACTATCATCAGAGTGAACAGGCAACCTGCAGAATGGGAGAACATTTTTGCAATCTACCCATCTGACAAAGGTCTAATATCCAGAATTTACAAGGAACTTAAACATATTTACAAGAAAAAAAAACCCATCAAAAAGTGAATAAAGGATATGAACAGACACTTCTCAGAAGAACACATTTATGCAGCCAACAAACATATGAAAAAATGCTCATCATCACTGATGATCAGAGGAATGCAAATCAAAACCACAATGAGATACCATCTCATGCCAGTCAGAATGGTGATTATTCAAAAGTCAGGAAACAATAGATGCTGGTGAGGCAATGGAGAAATAGGAACACTTTTACACTGTTGGTGGGAGTGTAAATTAGTTCAACCATTGTGGAAAACAGTATGACGATTCCTCAAGGATCTAGACCCAGAAATACCATTTGACTCTGCAATCCCATTACTGGGTATATACCCAAATGAATATAAATCATTCTATTATAAAGACACATGCACATGTATGGTTATTGAATTGTATATTTTTCAAAGGGAGATGGGGAATCTAAATTGCTCTGTGGCTGGTATTAACCTGAAAAAATAAAACTGGATAAAATAAGCACTAAAATTGTATTTTAGTTTTGAACATAGTGATAAAGATGTAAGTGCACAAAAGATAGGACAAGAGCAAAACAAGTCATTGAGGAGCTTGGTGTTGTGGCCCATTCCTGTAGACTGGAGTCTGACTTAAGTATGAATCCTGACTCTAGAGTGTTGCAGAAGTTACTCATACTCTCTGCTTCCAATGCTTCCTTTGAAAATTAGGATAATATTTACCTTTTAAGATCATTGCAAGAATTAAATGAAATAAGATGTAATAATTAACATAGTTCCTGACCTACACAAGGGGCCTCCCAGTGAATATCATTCCTTTACTGCCTTTTCTACATAAGATAGCCATTTTGATTATACTTGTAAGCTGCTGGACCAGTGACTCTGTCAATTGAGGGTATTCTAACCGAACACCAAAAAATGAGTACAATCAAGTCAATTCATTTAAACAATCAATTCTGACAAATAAGTAAGTTAATCATTTTTCAGAATAAATTAAAATAAATAAATAAACGAGTATCTAATGCTCCCTTCGATTTCTCCTGCTGGCTGAGTATAGATCAAATTCAGGTACAGATATCAAATATTTAATCTATGTAGTACTGAACTAATACAGATCAAAAACCACAGAAGATTTTAATGTTTAGATTTAAATATTACATCAAGTGATTGTTTAAGAAGAGTTAAATTATTGGAAGTATTTCACACTGACTTAAAGCAGACAAGGTAGTTGCCAGACTGAGCTTCTTAGCTACTAATACATTTATTACTGGCATTCTAAAGCTTTTGTGAGAGATATGCTCTTGGAAAACGACATGTAACTTAAAAATGAATGTCAAAAGCAATCTTCTCCTAGAAAAAAAAGTGATGAAAAAGGCATGTGAAAATCATTGCTTGATACCCAGCTGCAGCAGCCAAGTCTCTAGGGCTGTAAAACAGAAAAGCTGAGAATCCTCACTGCTCGAACGCTATTCTGCAACCAGGGCAAGAGGAACCATCCCATGAGTGAAGAAGAGACCAAAAGCTTCAACTAAGAATATCTGTGGAAAGAAACGGCTGCCAAGTTTATCTGACACCACTTTAAAATGCCCAGCTTAAGGTACTGTCTGAAAGTAGCTTCAGGGAAGATAAATTTTGACTTTTCCCACATCATAGCTTGCCTAATGAATTTGATGGAGCCAAGTTTATTTTACTGAAATGATGCAGGGCCAAATAACAAGGATTTAACAGAAAAAAAAAACTTTGCAGTGCAAATGAATAAAAATACAGCACAATCTGCAGGCTTGAATTATTAGAAACCTAGTGCTGAAGAAGTTGGGCCAGTTGCTGTCATTCACGCATAAACTCTCTATCTGCATTGCCTATTAATGTTCTGATTATTTGCTGAGGACAAAATTATTCTGAATAACAACTCAAGTGTGATCATGTGATAATTAAACTATTATACCCATAAGTTAACGTTGTGTAAGCAAAAAAAGAAAAGGCTAGAATATATGTATTGAGTAACTAGTCTGTGCCAAACCCTGCACTGAGGATACTTCAAAAGAATCACCTCCGTCATGATCTTAGTAATCACATATAGATAATATCAATTTCACATTAGAGATGTTGCCACCCAATGAAAGCACATTTGAGGAGCTGATTGGCTGGCAACACATTCCCTTTCTCTTGTAACCTGTATTGTTCATAAAGAGCTTGTACAAATATTACACTCTACCTTCACGAGAAGCAAGTAAGAAAACTAGGAGCTTAGTGATTTTCCAAAATTGTTATACCTATGAAGTGGGAGGGAGATTGCAGTCCAGTTTGTTCTGATTTCAAAATTTCTGCTGTATTTTCCAGTGTACCATACGGTGAGTATTTGTTCCCTGAACAATTGCTTGAGAATACTACATTAAAAACACCATGTTTCAAGTTATGTAACTATCACAGTATAAAAATATGATAGGAGGCCTATAGAAAAGCATTTTCTTTAGATTTTAGTACTTTGGCTTTCAAATGTTTTTCAAATATAGGATTCAAAAATTACAAATGCATTCAATTGTGCTCAAAATGTTTCTATGGGTGAAGATTCACAATGCCTTTCATGAAAGAAAAAGCACTGCTCCAGAAGGATTATCAGGGTTTCTAATTTATTTTTTTTTGTCTCCCTGTGAATGCTCTCACATTTTCATAGAAATTTGAAGAAAACACATTTTTTCTCATTCTCCTGCCCTCCAGTCCACGAAAAGTTTCTTTCTCTTCCAGTAGGAAGCAGAGGATATGCAATTACTGAGTGTTGAAATTCATTTTAAGCCTTAACAATTTTCTACATCTCTTTGCTTAAAATGTATGAACTTTAACAAAATCCTAATATAATTCAGGAGTTAAAGCTAGAGTTAGGAGACATAATATTAAAAAGGCAGGAAAAGATGGGGAAAGACATTAGGAGAAAAAAAGAAAAAAAGATAAAAAGAAACAACAGCATACATTATTGATTTTAGCTCTGATCCCCACAGATGCATTGGGATCAGATTCAATTCCATCCTCCACCTCCCAGATGCACCCTGCTATCTTATTTTCATCTCCGCCCAAACCTTTGCTCTTACTGACTCTTAGAGTTGAAGAGCCCTTTGAGATCATGTCTTTCCAGTGAGTACAATGGGGACCAGTCTAGGGAAAAGGAACTTCTGCAAGGTCATGACATTGGTCCACGGCAAGTCAGGATTGCAATCAAAGTCTTTCAATTCCCAGTCCTTCCACTGTCAAACATTTCAAAATGAATAAAATAGTACAATTGATTGTGTATGGGAACTTTTTAAAGTTAGAAACAAAAAGCCGCTACCCCAGAAGGATTTTAACCAGAACTAAAAATTGGAAAGATTTTTCCATGCAATAAACTGTTGTTGCCTCTAACTACAGATCTAGTTTCTCTCAAATCATGAGTTTTAATGACTTTATTAATACTGTATCTTAATATTCATATTCCACTTTTTAGGTAAATATATTTGACCAAGATATAAACTTTCTGGTAATGAACTTTATAATATGTTAGTTACTATACATATAAACTTATTACTTTTTTGGTTTTTTTTTTTTTTTTTTTGAGACGAAGTCTAGCTCTGTTGCCCAGGCTGGAGAGCAGTGGCTCGATCTTGGTTCACTGAAACCTCCGCCTCCCGGGTTCAAGCAATTCTTCTGCCTCAGCCTCCTGAGTAGCTGGGACTACAGGTGCACGCCACCACGCCCAGCTAAGTTTTTGCATTTTTAGTAGAGACGGGGCTTCATCATGTTGACCAGGCTGGTCTCAAACTACTGACCTTGTGATCCGCCCGCCTCAGCCTCCCAAAGTGCTGGGATTACAGGCGTGAGCCACCGTGCCGGGCCTACTTTTTTGGTTTCAAAAAAATTGGGGAAGCCAACTGATCTACTTACATCACCTTGACCATCAAGTCAGTCTTGTTTCCTTTTGCTATGCCTAGAAACAGAATCACAATCAAACACCAAGGCAATATCAGAAAATGCCTCCAGGCTTCCACTTCTTATTTCTTCCTCTGACTGCTGGGCAGTTTCTGACTCTTTCAATTTTACATCTAGATTCTCCCCTGTCATTGTGTCCCATTTTAATGTGGCAGCCTACCTCAGGTGAGTGTACACTATTAACAACCTGGTAATGTGACATTGTAGAAGGTTGTCTCCGACAAATGGCCCCAGCACTCCATGGCTCACATTATGTGCATGAGAACATAAACCTGACTTCAGCATAGACAGCCAGGATACCATATACAATGGTCCTGGCTTGCAGGAAATACCACTGACTCTACTATCTGTCTTTTGCCATGTGATATTATGGAAAGAACAAAGGATTAAGTATCAGGAGAATTTTTTTCAAGTTCCTGCTTTGGGATCTCAATCTTCCTCCCTCTGCCAGATATTCCTCACTTGTAAAATGAGGAATCTGATCAGTTCAGGTGTTCTCAATCTTGGCTGTTCATTGATATTCTAGGAAGATTCTTTAACATGCAAACTCCTAGCCACCGCACTTCATCTATTGAATCATAATGTCCAGGGACCGGCTCTAGAAACTGGTAATTTTTAAAAGCTTCCCTGGGGGCTTATTTGTTCATTCAGTACAGGGCTTCACTGCGCTAAGCATCCTCTGTAATCCTTTGCAGGTTTATAGTTTGCTCATATACTCTGAGTGAATTAACAGGCACTGATAATAGCAATAGAGTCTATTTAAGCTTTGTTATGTTGATCAGTTCAAAATCAGTTGACAGCTAATTAGCATCTCTACCTTACTTCCAAACTCTTTTGTCTAGGCACATTGTCCCATTAGGGAGTGGCTTTCTAACAAATTATCAAGATGCCCGTGGGTTTGACTTTCTACATCAGCCTATAACTATCATAAGGAAATAGATATACACAAGATGTTTTCATACATTATTTACATAATTTTTATCATTACCCTGTAGGAAAAGAACTATCCCCTCTGTTTTATTAATGGGAAATTCTAGGTTTAAGGAGGTTAAGTGACTTAGTTGAAGGTCACTCAGTAAATGAAGAAACAGGATTTGAATTCAAAACTTCTAGATTCCTTCTTATTTTACTATGACATATCATACTATGTGTCTGTAAACACTAGTTATGACCAAAGCAAGTCATATAACCTGGAAGAGATTCCCTTCATGATTTGATCCTGTGGTAAGAACAGACAAATAAGAATCAATAGTCAACAGAACCAGACTGAGAAAACGTCTGCTCTCCAACAACTTAGATCAGTATCCAAGGACTGGGTACTCTATACCAGTTTCTAGAAAGTTCTATCCCTGAAAGAGCCTTTAGAGTTCACCAAATCTAGTGTCTTCGTAGAAATGGAGAAAGTCAGGAACAGAAAAGAAGCACTACTGCTTGGGCGTTATAGGTAATTTCCAGCAGAGACGAACCTAGAAATTAGGTCTTCTACATTACTACATTCAAAGCTTTTTTTTTTTTCTTTTTTTCCCCAATATTAGATGCTATCATAGCAACTTAAAAAGATAGTCAGTGGAGTAGTTCCAAATGACTACAAAAGTAAAGGACATTTATCAAGAAAGAAGAAAGCTTTGAAGTTGCTTTTTTTCCCCACTTGAGAGTTTTCTTAGAGATAAAAGCCACTGAAAATGTTCCTCAATATCCTAAGTTCAAAAAAGAGAAGCAGCATTATTACTCATCAAATACATAATTAATTAATATCTATCAGATTTAGCACATTTTATGGTCACGGTTTCTTTGTTCTTATGACATATTCTTGATTATATATACATGATGTCTTCAATGTCATATTATTGGTTAAGAACACAATTTTCAATAATGGCATTGTTTCTTTGTGAAAATACCATTCATTTTACAATTATTTGCTTTGTCTTGCAGTTTATAGGAGTGCACTATGGCAGAAAGTAGATATTACATATCTGATCATTAAGTGCCTGATTTACCACGATAATATAGAAGTTAGATGGCCATTTTAAACTGTGTACTTTAGGGCAAGGTACTTATATTCTCTAATATTCAATTCCACAATTTTCAAAAATTGCTATGTTGATTACACGAAATTATATATGTAAAGTGCTTAGTATAGTATCTGAACTATGATAGATGTTTGCTAATTGCTAGACATAATTATTATTCCAATGCTTCTGCTGTATCAATGTGTGACCTTTCCCACACTACTTCTCTATTATATACGCTACAAAAACAAAACAGATATAAAGTATATCTTTGCATTTTTCCACTAGAAAACTATTTTTAAATTTGTTTTCTTAGTTTTTATAGTCATAACAATTCTTTTGCTGAAAGAATCCTGAGTTATATACAACACGTAAAGTATTGCAACCTCTGCTGTTGAAACTTCACCTCATTATCACTCATTTGGCTGCTGCCACTGTTGAGTTACTGATTTACTCTCAAGAGCAGCCAAACATGGTCCTCTTCAGGGCCAGTCAGATAATCAGATGTACCCATAGTGTAATTTAATTCACAAACAAGTTACATTTGAATAGAAGACACATGCATTATTTCATATTATTACAATAATAGTTCTATCAGATAGGTATATTATTGATGTCTCTATTTTAGAGATGAAGAAACTGAAGGCTAGTGAGGTTAAGCAACTTTCCCCAGCACACAGAACACGTAAGTGATGGATCCTAGATTTCAGAGCTAGAAATATAACCCACTCCTCGGCAGTGCTTATCATAAAGTTTGGTATTTCTGTTTAATAACCTAATAACTATGTATTTTTGATGCTTTTGAATACTGGAGGTAACTGCCACCACCCTTGCCAGCATGGATGCTGTGCAGGGTCTTGTATATGATTGGCTATGCTAACTATTGTGTGTGTGTGTTTGTGTGTTTCTCCTCTCTCTTTTCCCTAGTAATTTTTTAAAAAGGAGTTCATTGATGGTGGTGACCTTCCCAATTTAGTCCCTTGAGGTAAATTGTAATGAAATTATAGAAGAATCACAATCACCTGCTGATGAGAGCTGCAGCTCAACATAAAAATAATAACTATTTGGATGACCCTCTTTTGCAGAGACAATAAATTAGTCTTGCTTTCCTATTTGCCTGCTTATCAGGGGTTGGTTTTATTATCTGAGTCTCTATTACTGAGTACATATTAATACACTGGTATTGGGCAGTCTAAGACGTGGACCATTCCAGTAGTAGTTTTGGTTTCCCAGAATTTGAACACACTTACTCTATTGTAAGAAAATTTATCATGTATGGGTGTCCATGGAAAGCAGATGCAAACATTTCAGAGGTAATATCCAGTGTCCAGTGCTAGGAGAATTGGTGGTGTCACATGCATTGTCTGTGAATCGCAGAAGCAATTGTGACCTTTCTATCAGACCAAATATGTCCTGCAGTCTTGGACATTGTCCATCTGTACAGCACCTCAGCATGATTTGCAATTTCTGGGAAATCTTTAAGTTGATATTCTTTAATAATTTTTTTAATGTGTAAACTACGTGGTTTGTTTTCATTATCTGCAAGTAATAACATGACTGATAAAAGGCTGTTGTATGACTTAAACTAGCCAATCCGTGTAAAGCATTTAGTACAGTTCCTGGTATATAACATTCTCACAATAAATACACAAGTGTGAGTTGTGAATGGATTATGGAGTGATAAGAAAGAATATGAATGAAAACAATAGTTATCTCTGCATGGTGTGATTATATGAGACTATTTTTATACGTACACCTTTATAGGAAGTCCTGAGACACTTTATGAAATTAAAAATTGCAAAAATAAAGGCAGTAAATAAATGCAAATGAAGTGTGGGTGTTTAGCATCACTTCAAATTCAAGACTCCCTCTGATTACTACCAAGGTTAAAAGTCCATTTTTTGAGTTCTATGTGAAAAGTAGAAAAACAAAAACAATAAGAAATTTGATCCAAAATGTTTCAAGTAAAAATTTAATGGTTATAAAATATTAGTGCTTTGAAGCTTCTTAAGGATAATAGAAAGTTATGTTCAATACCACATGACTTGTAAGGTTAATAGAGACTACATTATGAAATTGTAAACATCCAAACATTAGCATGACTGCTACCAACTCCTGATTTCCATTCCAAAATGCCAGAAAATTATTCCTCCTGAAATTTTACATATTTTATTAAATGGCAACTACATTTTTTCATTTCCTCAAGGCAAAACTCTTTAAGTCATCTTCGAGACATTGTGTGTGTCTCATATACAAGAATGAGTGTTAGGAAATTCTTCTCATTACTTCTGCAGTTATGATACTGGTGTAAGTCACCACCATGTCTTGCTATAGCCTCTTCACTAGTCTCCTTACTTCAGTCTTTACCACCCTTTAGTCTATCTTGAATGAAATCCCAGAATCATTACATTAAAAAGTAAGATCTGGCCAGGCATGGTGACTCATACCTATAATCCCAGAGCTTTGGGATACCAAGGCAGGAGAATGGCTTGAGCCCAGGAGTTCAAGATTACAGTGACCTATGATCACACCACTTCATTCCAGCCTGGGAAACACAGTGAGACCTTGTCTCTGAAAACAAAAGTCAGATCCTGTCAGATTCTATCATTCCTATATTCCAAACCCTTCAATGGCTTCCACTTTCATTCAGTAGAAGACAATGTCTTTATAATAACCTATATATATATAATTTTTTTTCTGACTTCCTGACTTTACCTCCTACCTTTTCCTTTTTGCTTACTGAGCTCCAGCTGGACTGGCCTCCTTGCCTTACCTCAATATTCCAAGTACATTTTCACCTTGGAGCCTTAGTCATTGTTGTGTCCTCCACCTGTAACCTTTTACCTTAGATATTTGCATGTGTCAGTTCGTCACTTTCATCAAGTCACTACTCAAATATTAAATCAAATAAGCGTCCTTTGGCCACCCTACTTAAAATAAAATCACTCCATTGTCACAGGCTATCTTCCTTACTTTGTTCATCTGTATGCGTAGTATTTATTTTCTTCTGACATTTTAAATATTTCACTCGTTCATCCGTTGGGTACATCTCCCTGTATTAGTCCATTCTTGCACTGCTATAAAGACATTCTTGAGACTGGGTCATTTATAAAGAAAAGAGGTTTAATTGGCTCATGGTTCTGCAGGTTGTACAGGAAGCATTGTGGCTTCTGATTCTGGGGAGGCCTCAAGAAGCTTCCAGTCATGGTAGAAGGCATAAAGGGAGTGAGCCACTTCGCATGACTGGAGCAGGAGAAAGAGAGACGAGGGGGAAGCTGCAACACACTTTTAAATGACCAGATCTCATAAGAACTCACTCACTATCACTAGAACAGCACCAAGGGCAAAATCCACCCCCATTATTTAATCACCCCCACCGGGCCCCACCTCCAACACTGGGTATTACAATTTGACATGAGATTTGCACAGTGACACAGATCCAAACCATATCACTTCTCCTACTAGTAAATAACTTCAATGAGGACAATAATAGTTTTTTTTTTCCTCCGTTTTATTCCACTGCTATATGCTAAGTATCCAGAAGTATAGGTGATAAAAATATTTGTTGAATGATTGAAAGGATCTCATTAAAAATTCCATCCTTCAACTCAAACTTGGGACAGCAAATGACTAAATGTCAACTAGTGAAGTTTTAAATAGAACAATATATAAGAATTAAATTGATTAAATAAACAGGCAGACAAAGAAAACAGATCATTTTAAATAATTTAGAAACAGTAAAAGCTTGTCTCGATGATAGATTATAAATTATAAACACACTTGCTTCTTGGTGTGATTAGTAATAAACTGAGACAGTTTTTTAGACATGAAATTGGCTGATGCCACACTAATATTTTGGGAGACTAGAATGAAAAGATTTAGTAGGGAGCACTGTTTACCTTTCTATCATTTAATGAACCTCTGTACACACCACTGTAGTTTGCCTTTCTCTCTTTCCCTCCCTTCCTCCCTCACTTCCTTCTTTTCTTCTACCTTTTCATTCTTCTTTATATGTTATTTATTATGAAGATATTTAGGCATTGTGATTAGTGCTATGTATACCCTAAAATGGCTTCTTTCTCCACTTTTACTGAACACGAGCATTATAAATTTCTGTGCTCCATATCACATAGAGTTATGTACATTGCTGTAACAAGAAAACAGTGGGGATCTCGATAGAACAAGTGACTATATTAAACATACTGTTTGGAGATAGTGGAATATGGTTGAAAAGGGAGATATATATATATACACACATATATATGTGTATATATATACACACACATATATATGTGTATATATATACACATACACATATATATGTGTATATATGTATATATACAAAAATTGTATATATGTATATATATACGTATATACACACATATATATACATACACATATATGTGTATATGTGTATATATATACACATACATATATATACATATACATATATGTATACAATATATATACATATATATATATACACACACACATATATATATATATACACACACACATGTATCTATTTAGAAAGTTCCTTTAAGTAAAATATATCAGGGCAAAAATAACAGGGTCTAAGTACTTCATTATATAAACAAGTTTCCTTTTTATTTAGTTTATTTTATTTTTTTTGAGACAGAGTTTTGCTCTTGTTGCCCAGGCTGGAGTGCAATGGTGCAATCTTGGCTCACTGCAACCTCCACCTCCTGCGTTGAAGTGATTCTCCTGCCACAGCCTCCTGAGTACCTGGGATTACAGGCATGCGCCACCATGCCTCGCTAATTTTGTATTTTTAGTAGAGACAGGGTTTCCCCATGTTGGTCAGGCTGGTCTCCAACTCCCAACCTTAGGTGATTCGCCTGCCTCAGACAAGTTTCCTTTTTAAAATGAAAATTCCACATTTACTGAACTACTGTTATTCCCAGGACTTCTCTGGGTGTTTGGTGATCTCACATAGTTATATAATTTTTGCTCTCAATCTAGTTTCAATCAAAAAATTGTTAATACAATTACTTAATTCCTAATTAACATACTCAGTTGAGTGATTATTAAACTCCTGGGGCCATGTCCTACATATGTGAGGCCAAAGACCTGTATACAAAATAGAGAAGAAACTACTGGATAAATTTTTCAGTTAGAGGATATTACAATAAGATATAAAAGTATACATATATGTTCATACTCTTTTCTAGCAAAATAGATAATATGAGAGTCACACATGTTACTCTCCAGCTCTTTCCACTAGAAGATGATCATGTGCGGTGTAGGTGGGCCATGGAGCCCCTAAAGCTTTGCATGGTGCCTGGTCCACAGTAAGTGCTAAATAAATATTAGCTGAGTAAGTGGACATATGATTGATATTTAAATCATGAAATGTGCATGGCTTACAATTTAAATATTAGAAAATTGTTTAGAATAGCCAAATTTGGATCACTACACAGACTGTTAAAATTTCCTTGAATCGTCTTCAACCACATCATTATTAATTTACAATTGTATAGGTTATTCATTTCCATTACTCATTTGATATTAACAAAAGCTATGAAGATAAGGTAAGAGTAATATATATTTATTCTTATAGATGAAGAATTGAAAAGTCAGAAAAGCAACGTGATTTGTGCAAGGATGCTGAGGTTTTTAAATGTGAAAACAACTGCAGATCTTCTGACTCCTTGTATAAGAGGCATTCGGCTATACTTACTTCCAATTTAGAAATATTATGACAATAAACTGTCTGTGTTCTATTTTGTTTTATTTCACCACTCAAATCACTGCTCTTCTTCTTTAAGCAATTAGCATGGCAGAAAATAATAAAATAATTAATTTTTAAAAAATTTAATAGCTTAATAGTGATCAGTAAACATAACAAATTACCATCAACTGAATGCTGTGTTACATAGAGTGTCAGCTAGAAATTATTAACTCTAAAGTATTTGATTTGTAAAATGTCAACCATACATCTACTCTCCACTCTTTATCTTTTAATTTAGGAATAATGAATTTCTCTTTGTTAAAAAATGCTTTCTCAACTGTCTTCAAAAGTCTAAGCTAAAATATCAAAAATAGACTGAAAACCATCTACAGAATACTAATCAAAATTCTCACAGTGATTTTTGGGTTCAGCAGTTTGCCTAGGCTGAAACTCAACCTTATTTTCTTTAAAAATATGCATACATTTGTAACTATAACAATCACATTCCCGAAGAACCCAGGAAAAATGTATTTTTTTATTATTATTATACTTTTAAGTTTTAGGGTACATGTGCACAACATGCAGGTTTGTTACATATGTATACATGTGCCATGTTGGTGTGCTGCACCCATCAACTCATCATTTAGCATTAGGTATATCTCCCAATGCTATCCCTCCTCCCTCCCCCGACCCCACAACAGTCCCCAGTGTGTGATATTCCCCTTCCTGTGTCCACGTGTTCTCATTGTTCAGTTCCCACCTATGAGTGAGAACATGCGGTGTTTGGTTTTTTGTCCTTGCGATAGTTTGCTGAGAATGATGGTTTCCAACTTCATCCATGTCCCTACAAAGGACATGAACTCATCATTTTTTATGGCTGCATAGTATTCCATGGTGTATATGTGCCACATTTTCTTAATCCAATCTATCATTGTTGGACATTTGGGTTGTGTAGAAAGAAAATGAAGCACATTTCCTAAAAAGCCATATAAGGACATTTAAATATTTTTATAATTATTTGCACTTACCATTTTATTTACATAATTTTGACAGCTGAGTAACCTAGTAATATTTTAAAATATATTTTCTAATTAAACACATTAAATTGTCCCAATGGCAAACACCTGGAACATAATATTCTTGCAGATGAAATTTGACTCAGAGCCAAATAATTTGATATAAATTCTGAATTTTATCTTCTGTCTTCTTTTTGTAAAGGGTTCATGTAATTTTCTCTCTCCTAGAAACTAAGAAGCGTCAATCAGGGTACTATTTCTACTTTTCTCAATATATTGCTCTGGAATTCTGGATCAGTCATAATCTTTTAATGTCTCTCAACTGTAAAATGGGGCTAATCACAAGGAGTGGATCCAGACTTTGTGGAAACAAAAGCTTATATATTTGGACATGTGGTCTTTAAAACCTCTCCAAATATATACCTGTGAAATTATATGGCTTTTAATTATCTTCACAGAAAACCCATATCTACTAACACTGATCCTATCTGAAGATAAAGAAAGGTGCCATATATACAGAAGGCGCATTCACAAAACATCATGTTTTTACTCTGTTAACCTCACTCAAATCTAAGGAGAATTGGTAGTTACAGCACAGCTTCTGGACTGCAATCCTATATATCTCCAGAAACTTAGAATGCACTTAAGAAAAGGTGGGTATCCTGCTAAGAGTAAGAGATTAAGAAACCACCTTCTCAGACCCCAGTGTGCATTGTTCACCTCAAGAGAAAGAAGTGTGAAGTCCATTTTAATAGCTGACACTTTTAATTAGCTATGGGAATTCTATTCAAAAAGCATTTATTGAGAGTTGAAAATATGCAAAGGCACATAGGTACATATGTGAATAAGACAGCTAAACAAAGGTTGTTCATAAAAGAGGTAGTATTGGTACTGGAGACAGATTGGTATGTAAAAGTTATAAAACAGTGCTTTTATAATAAAAGGGAAATACAATCGAAGAATTCTTTAAAAAGATAATGGGTGGAAACAATTCAGAGCTAAAAAAAAAAAAGCAACCTGGTATCTTCGAGATGGAAGACATAGGGGATTTAAATTCAGACATATGTAACATGGAAAAAAGGGACTAGCTAGATTTTACTTGAGAAGCAAATGTTTTGGTCCATATGATCCAGATTCATATGTCTTTGCAAACTTGGCCTAACTGCACCATGCTCCATCAGATGAATTTTTAAAGACCCAAAGTTCCCCAGTGAAATCACAATGTATCTTTAATTTGAAGTTGTTTTCAAACTCATAAACTCAAAGTGTTCAAAGGCCAACTAAAATGAGTTCAGATTCCTAATTTTCTTTATTAACAGCAAATACTAAAATACTGAAATAAAGCATTTAATGTAAATTCGCATAGCTGTAGCAGTATAACACACTATTTTAACTTGCTTCTGTCAAACACTCCTGTTAGTCAAAGCTAAAAATAAAAAGCATCCTTCCAAATGATTCATCAGGTTATTTCCTAATCAATAGTACATAATCCTGACAAAATTACATTGACTAATAGTTTAATAACATCTGCAGTAACAATTTTATTGTTTTCAAAGAAATTATACTTTCCATCTTGATTTAATTTACTTCAGGTGCAACATTTCCTTATTAATAACAGGAAATATTAAATGTTAACAAAAAAGAAACCGGTACATGCATTTTTGACCCCAGAAAGTAAACATTCACCGCAGTTTAAGTCAACTCTGCATTGAATAAATTTCCTCTATCCCTCTGATTTCTGCCAATCGATTTCATTTGAGAAAACATTAATTTTCTGAAAGCTCTTCGCTAGTCAAAAGTAAACACAGCCTCTGAAAAAAAAAGACACATTCGACCTTGATTTGTATAAAGGTCAGATTGCTCAGTTTACGGTCCAGCATATACATCTGTCTTTCCTACTCTATTCTACAATGTTTGAGAGTAGGGGCTCTAAATAATTTCAGCATTCCCTGTATCTAATATCTTGCTGAAACAGAGTAGGTTACATCAACCATTTTTGGAAAGAAAAAGTGAAAGCATGAATCAATCAGAACTAGAATCAAGTTCCTCTGTGTCTAAGGCTTCCTTCTACTATGTTTATACTGTCTCCTATTAACAGGTACAAATTTATCCCAGAACAAGTGCTAACTTGAAGTTTGCTACATAATAGGCATTAAAAGAATACAATCATCTCTCATTATCCATGGGAGAGTGTTTCTAGGATCCCTGTGGATATCAAAAGCCAGGAATGCTCAAGTCCCTTATATGAAATGGTATAGTATTTGCAAATAACCTGCACACATTCTCCTGTATACTTTAATCATCTCTAGATTACGTATGATGTCTAACACAACGTAAATGCTATTCAAATAGTTATTGTACTCTATCATTTATTATCTGTATAATTTTTATGTTGTAATTGCTATTTTGTTGGGGTTTTAAAATATTTTCAATTTGTGGTTAATTGTATCCAAAGATGGGAAATCAGTGGATACAGAGAATGAGAGGGCAGCTGTATTTGTTGAATGAATAAAAGAACTCACAACAAACAGTTGATGCAAGTATAACAGTGAAAGAAAAATAATTCTTTGTACCTACAAGTCTCCTCTAAAAAGATGAATCCCGTGTATTTCTACTTAGAAATTCATTTTTCACGTCTGTGTAGCTGTATGGGTTTGGATATGCAGGCTTGAGAATCAAGGCTGAGAGAGACAAACACATCTGCCTAACATGAGGCAAAGAATTTGGATTTCTCCATGCAGTACTGGATGGAGGGTATGAGAAGTGGGAAGAGGAAGAGAAGAGAAAGTAGCCAGTATGGCATGATGGTGTGATGTTAGAAACTGCATGGAAGGAAAGTGTCTGTGCAAATACTCCAGAGACGGGTGGTTGGTGAGCGTTTTTAGAATACAGATATCTAATACTGAAATTAAGCTTTTTGGTACTTTGAAAATGCAAATTCTTTCCTCAGTCTCTATCCTTCACAAACCTTGAATAAACTCGACTACATTTCCAAAGAGTTTGTGGCATGTTTTATGAAAACCAAGAGAGAAGCTGTGTTATGTATTTGAATTGATACTATGAGGGAACAGAGACAGGACTCATCGGAGCAAGATTCCCATGTCAGTGGTGATCATTAAAATATCTCCGTGAACTGATGAACGTCTTGAAGAGTGTGTTAGGCTACCACAGGGTGTGTCATCCGGGCTCAAGCCAATTAATCATATGCCCAAGTTTTGGTAACACTTGCTGACACCTGGATTCCTCAGGGTATGGGAAAGTACTAATTTTTATAACATTAATGTGCTAGAAATATAAAGGGAGGTTTGTACTCAATGAAATAAGGCTCTCAAGAAAAAAATCACATTCTATATAGGCAATGCATTAAAAAGAGCTAAATATACTTTTCTGGATGGGTACCAAAAGAAATAAATTATATATTTTAAAACATTTCCTGAGAGGAAATGAAATTTTAAAAAGGCTTGTGTAACTCACATTTAAGTGAGCAAGGAACAGCAAAATGGCAATTTCTCACTTCATCCAGGAAGAGAAGACATGCTGAACAGGAAGAAAGCAACCGTAATGTAAGTGACTTTTGAGTGGTGCAGGGAGAGACTCCTAACAGCATTCAAAATAGAATTTGTCCATTCAGGGAATCACATAAAACTACCTCTAGGACAGCTGCATTGGGCTTTAATTTGAGTGTACAGGCAGCTGCAAAGACATTTGCAGAGCTGGAGGAGTCACATATCTTGCATTTACACAGATTGTATAATTAGCAATTAAGAGCAGAAACAGGGCATTAGTAATATCTGTACTTTGAAGGGTGAGTTTTCAGCAATTGCTGACGCATAAACTGAAAACTCTTTGAAATGCCTACATTCCCTCTGATTGTGGCAGCCAATACTCTGATGTGTACACAATCTACATTTGCAGGAAGAATCCTGAGACCCACAGCAAATCAGCAATGCTCCTCATGGGAGAACTCCAAATCATACCCCATCCCTGACTCTTAGGACCTTTGATAAGATGGTTCCTTGTGCATTCAGCAGCAGTGTTATGTTCTGATCATTCTGTTTTTACTTTATTTTAAAAAAACAAAACAAAGAACAATAAAAACAACCTCAGCTTTTCCTTCTGTTAATAGTCTGAGAAGGCATGACGTGAACAGAACTTGGAGGCTGGAGCAAGCCAGAGACTGAAAATAATTTCATACCTGACACTCAGCTCTGATCCCTACTTCTCAGTCAGAAACAGTACAGAAGCTCCTCAGGTTTCAGACAGCCCCCTTTATTACCTCCTGATATTTTGAAATGGGTGGAGACAATCAAAGTAGTGCTCCCTCTTGACTTCCACTTTTCTAGTTAAGAATCGAGAGATTTAAGGACACAGTAAGAAATGAGAATTAAATAAATGCTAAGCAGTTCAGCACATATGATCAGAAGCAATTCCAACTGTTCAGTTGTGGAATAAGTCCTACTCAAAAGCCAGGCTGTGGAAGAAGAATCATGAGGTGTTTAGGGAGGCCCAGTCACCTGCTGGTGTGTGTCGGAGGAGGAAGTTAGTCCAGTCATTGTCAGGTAACCCAATACAAATACCACCTCTGGATATTAGAGCTCGAAGTTGACCAAAGGCCATGGGTTCAAGCCCCTGAATTAGCTCGGAGACTGGAGAGGTTATGTCTCTTGACGGAGACAGGAGAAGCTCTTTATGTTAACATTCTCCTCAAGGTTTGACTCACCAGTTCAAAATATGACTTCTCTGAGGCCCTCACAGTTCCTACAGCCCACAGCAACCCCTTCTTCCCCTTCTTATCTTTGATAAGATAACCATCTTATCAAAGGTCCTAAGAGTCAGAGATGGGGTATGATTTGGAGTTCTCCCATGAGGAGCATTGCTGATTTGCTGTGGGTCTCAGGATTCTTCCTGCAAATGTAGATTGTGTACACATCAGAGTATATTACCTTTGACTGAGCAGGTAATATAGGGGCGGCAGTTTTCTCGGTGTTTTATATACACCCTCATTTAATTCTTATCAAACTTCTACCTCAGATGTGTAGAGTGAAACTTTCTCTCTCTCTCCTTGGACACCTAATGGCAGGCTGTAAAATAATTTCTGTAGGTAGAAATTGTTGCTCTTCCTCTATCTCTCACAAGCTTCTCCCTATGTGAGCAGGAGTGATTCATCTGATTGGTTAGATGGCAAGAATCTGACTCTAACCCCTTGGTGCGAGTTTCCCCAGTGCGAGGGGAAAATGAATAAATGTTGAAGCTCACTTGTGCTCTTTACCTGGAGCTCTCACTACACTGTAAGGCAAGCTAGGATTATGCAAGCAACTAGATTGCAGACCCAATTATCCCCACATGTAGGGGCCAAGGTTTAGACTTGTAGGAAAACAGTAAAAAGTCTGTGGCATTCTCTAATATATCTATTGTGTAATTAAAGCTAATATTTGGTTCTCTGACCTTAGTGCATACATTTCAGTTTAGACCATGGAAAATAAAACAGTATGGTAAACGATTCACCTTAAACCTGGCAACAGGTAATTTGAACCCATATTATAAGAAGAACTCAAGTTCTAAGTGACTCATGTAACTTGTCTGCTTGTTTCCTATTTCATACCCACAATTCTTTTCAGCTTAATTTATCAAATGTAAGCTACCAGAAGGCAGGGATTGCATCATTATTTTATACTTGTATTTTTATTTTTTGAGACAAGGTCTCACTCTGTCACCGAGGCCGGAGTTCAGTGGTGCAATCATGGCTCACTGCAGCCTCAACCTCTCTGGGCTCAGGTGCTCTTCCCACCTAAGCCTCCTGAATAGCTGGGCCTAAGCCTCCCAAAGTGCTAGGATTACAGGTTATTATTATGTTTTTAAAAACTCAAGGCACAATAAACCGCTTAGAGGGTTCAGAAATATATGCAGGTGATTTAGGTGTACTAATGCATTCATTAAAAATAATCAAGAGGTACCTCCTATGAGGAAGGTACTATAAAGAGCACTTTTATTATATAACATTTACTTTTCACCTGTTAGGTTGGTATTTGTATCCCCATTGTAAAGCAAAAATCGGCTTAGAGAGACAAAGCAAATTGCTGAAATTCACGCAACTAGAATATGGCCAAGCTGGAATTAGAATAAAGCTTTTTCTAAGTCAACTTTTGCATTAACGCTCATTTGCCTCCAACAGGTTGGAAAGTTTCCTAATAGTCTTTCTTATCAGTAAGGAGGCCAAATTCTCACATTCCTACAATTCAACATCACTCTATAAGAACTGATAACAGCAAAGGAACTTCTAATCCTGGAGGCGCCACATGGCTAGCACGGTATTTGGCAGAGTGGGTATTGAATAGATTATTGTAGGTTGAAAAATAATAACAAATTCCACAAAAATAAAAAAAAAGCATGCCTCAGTAACATTTATAAAAACTGGGTTACATTTCGGTAGAGAAAATCTACTGTCTTTAAGGCCAAATATATGTGAATGTTTTAAGTATCAAAAAATCTAGAATTAACTTCTGTTTTTTCCTCTCACTATGTTTGCTACTATAACTGCTGTGGTCTACAGAGTCTTTATCTATATAATGTAGATATTCATATGCTTGGCTTATTTCATAGGGTTGTAAGGAGTATGAAAGAGATGAAATAATTCCAGGGAATACATCTGTCATAAAACTTTTCATCAAGTACTGTCATTATTTGTTTTCGTGACTATCTTTCACACCAAGCTATGAAATTCTTAAACAGAAAGACAATTTTATTCTACTTTGTGTTCTCCATATTTCTCAATATAAAAATCATTAAATGAATGAATTATATAAATAATTGATAAAATAATGAAAAATAAACACTTTTTTATAGAAGAGGTTCATTATGTTTATATATATATAAATGTTCATAAATATAATCTGTGTATATATGCATAACTGTATGCGTATGTATAATAAAGTGATTGAAATGTTGTAAAAGTGAGTTACTTTTAATTGTTAATTTCCCTGCCCCCATTCCACCCCTCCTCATCATCGGAATTGGTAACGGCTGTACAGCTCTGTAAATTTACTAAAAATGATTGAATCATACACTGAAAATGAATACATTTGGTGGTATGTAAATTATAGCTCAATTGATTTTTTTCTTAAAGTATTTGTTTTATTCAAGTTGAAATAGTTTTTGTCTTATTTTGTTTTTATCTGGTGTTTGTTTCACATAGACCTGACACTTCGGATTTAATACAACATTCAAATTCCCTATCGGGATGCTCTTTCCTGCTTTCAGTAGGCCTGCCATATTCTCTATTTCAAAGTTAGTATCTTAGGGAAGAATCCTGTGAACTGCAGAATGTGCTCTGAATATCTACTGGTCTCCAGTTCAGCGAGGTGTCTCTGTTCGTGTCCTGTGACAGAGCACACTGAAATGCAGCTCCACCTCTTACAAAATTTTGTCCTCCACGCAGATATATGTTGCTGAAGTTCATGTTCCTGCCATGGCCTATGACTGTGAGATCTCTGTATTTTGTGGCTTCTTTTCATCAGTCCCAGACTAATTTTGATTTACTGGTTTTCCCAACCCTTAGGGGTCTGGTAAAAATATCTTGGCTACTTTCTTCCTATCAATCTGGAATGAATAGGGTTGTTTAGAGTCTGCCCTTAAATGCAGATTCAAGACGTCTTTCTCAGGCGTTCCTAACTTAATGCCTGTGTGGCACCTTGTCGCTCCAGAGTTAGGCTAATGTGGGGAATCTTTATGATTATTTCCATTTCCCCAGGCTACTGTCAGACTTTCCCTGCTCTGAGAATACTGCCAAACTCTCCTCTGTAGTGTGTCCATACAGAGGAAGAAGCCAATATACCCACATCTGACCACTGTGCCCTGTTTTGGGAACCAAAATCTAAAAACCAAACTATCTGTCTTTGCTTTCTTGTTATAATAATCTTAATATACCCACCCACCCCCTTCTTTCAGGAAATAAGTGGGTGGCTCTTTGTCAGGGGAGGGGAGCTCAAGCTGAATACAAAAAATTATAAGGAAAAGCATGTCGATATATTTTAAAGCTATTATCTGCATTGAATGAGATAATTATTTTAATACATACCTCCCCTTCTAGATCATATATGACATAAATTACGGAGGAAATATTACACTGTAATGCAAATGAATTTGAGGTCAGAACGAATTTTAATATCAGATCCAAAATACTAGTTTCAAAAAAAAAATGTTTCAAAAGGGTATAGAATCAACACATCAGAAATAGTAAGCCACATAGTATACATTTTACCTGAAGGCAGAAACTGAAAGGGATACCTTTTCAATGCCAAGGTAGAATTGCTATAAATCCACATTGTTTATCTGTGACTATGAGGGCTAAGATGATGGATATAACTGTAGCTAATTTCAATTACAGTAACACATAGCCAGATAATGGGATCATTAGCACTAGAGTAGACGGAAATATATGCTAATAGAAATTCTGCAGGTATCTCTAAGATAAACTGTTTGAAAAGAGAATGCTTTGTCATACCTGTATCAGATTAATTGAATCCAAAGACCTAATCCATGGCTTGGGAAAATAAGTTTTTTATGATGTTGTGAACTGTCTTACAATTATGAAGACAGCTTGACAGCTAATAACACTCACAGCAAATACAGAATAAAGAAAACCTTACTTGATGTCAGATCCTGCCCTGCCAGTGTTGTTTCTACTTTTGGATAGACTGTGCCAATACCTTGATCAGTCAGAGCTCAGCAAGTGGGTTCTGAGCTATCGTATCTCATGAGCATTCTGGGTGGTCTCTAACCCACAGATTCATGATCTCTAGTTATGGGCAGCCTTATCTGTTAATGCAAAGTATTGTCCACATTTTTCATGACCTACATGTGCTATAAAGTCAAAGAGACTTGAAAGTACTGGCATAGACCCACAATAGCAAAGAGGTTTCAACATATGAGGTTGCATCACTTGTTAGTAGCTTCCTGGAATACTACACTGAGAAAGGTTTTGGCATGAAGATCAGATAAAGATCAGTGGAAAGGAGTGTTGTACTCAATTATTAATACTTATCATATGTCTGGGGGGAGGAACCTATGGCTCACTGTCTCTCTATTTGTTGATCTTGGCATATGTATTATAATTCTGAGTGTAAAAATAAACGGTATTTGCTAAGGACATGAGATGAGCTGGTATATATACAAAGTGGGGGGTGGCCTGGAGACGAGTAAGAAACTGTTAATCTAATTTAGCGTGAGACAGCATTTGACTGCAAATCTTTCCCGTGGGCCTGCAACGTGTTTATAATGTTTGTTATGAAGCCATTCTTGGAGAAAAGCAATAAATACTGTAAAGTATCTGTTAACAGCAAATGGCTATAATGATTAGTGTTTTCATCTCCACTTAAGGTAAATGTAGCCTGCGTCTGTTATCCTGGCTTAAGATGTCAGGGTCCCAAATTATCCTCTGTTAATCCAATGCGTGCTGTGGCAGCACCTCATTTATGCCACATTTTATTATTCAGAAATGGTCTGCTGTATTACACTATTCTAGCTAGAATAAAGGCAAAATTAATTAATATAAGATTTGAAGTTTGAGTAAAAATGCTTATTAATAGATTCTAAACTTTAATGATCTCTATATTTTGGAAATAATTATATTAATGGTTATTTTTTTCATTCTCGTGTCTTACCATCACCAGCTATCTTATAATTAAATGCTCAGTTCTATTACTAACCGTGTCCTAAAATTCACGCTAGATAATAGTAATTCTCAAAGGCATTTCCTCCTAATATTTTCCATATTTGCCAAAGCAAGAGTTAGAAAGGTGAACACTATTTAAAAGTTTAAAAACCATCTATACCTACGTATCAAACTAAAGGCAAGAAATATTTTTATTATGTCATATCTTTAAGTGTAATTTAATTGCTGTATTTATTTCAGTGTAAAGGAATCAATTAAAAATGAAACTATTTCATATGATAAAAAGTAATTTGTTTTACTTCAACATTTAAAACCATGCTTTACAAGGGTGCATTATTAATACAATAATATTTTAATATGAGCAATTTTTGTAATTGCATCTAAACTTCATATCTACATTTTACTTAGTATCTTTTTTTCTGCAAGGTTTCTTCTACAAAATCATAGTTGCAAATGCATTACCAATATCTTTATTAATATAACTAAACTTCACAATATCTCACAGCCTTTAAGAAGTCCCAGAATACTTGAACATTTAAAATCACATTTTACCCCTCCTTCAGAGGTTAAATGCTACCACCTGGAGGACAACCATAATCTAATTCAATGTGCATATTTGTACACTGATGTTGACTAAATTGGATTAGAGTTCTTCCGACTCTAGATCCCCAAATTCTTCACAATTCTCAGTCAGTGACACTATAGTACCATTTGTTTTATTTAATGTAGGTGGCCATCTGAGGGAAAATTATAGATGAAAGCAGAATACTGGGAAATAATGAAAGACTTTCACTAATGAAATAAAAATTGTAAAGATCCTATTATTCAGAAATACTGTTTTCACATTCTCTGAACATAGCCTATGTAGCTTTTTCTTTTGGCCATCCAGGTATCTTAACTACCCTAGAGAGGAGTACCCAATGAGACAGGGGTCTGGCTTTCATCAGTTTCATCTTTGATTTTTAACTTAATTCTCTTGATGGCTTTTTAAAATCACCAGCACAGCATATTTTAATCTCCATGTATTTTATTCTCTGTAGCAAATGGCAATTTCTCTTCAAGGAGAATCAGAGTTCCAATGTCTTAGAGTTTCAGCTAGGCTATATTTACATTCATCAAACACAGTTTCCAGAATTTTCATTTCTAAAATTATGTTTTAAGACAGAAGCTAGTAGAACTTGTCTTATCCACTGACAGCTGAGACCACTAACTTGTATAGAAAGCTGCTACAAATTACTCAATGGTTTAAAAATTCAATATAGCTATTAAAGGATGCTGTTTCACTGTAAGCATCAATAGAGAAACTGAGCCTCCAGAGAGTTATAAAGAGGTGGAGTTTGATTTAGAATTCCTCCATCTCCAAATTACCTAGCACTTGTCATGTTATCCTGGACTTATCCAAAACCCTTTCTTGCTTACCCCAGTGCTTTATTCAAATCATTGGTTTAAACCCATATTTCTAAAACATGTTTTTTCTCTTCATTTTAGTGTCAATTTTTTACTAGCTAGGTTTTAGAAATAAAGTAATAAGATTTCATTAAACATCATTACTAAATAATTTTTTTTATTTAGAATGATTGTTACATTTAGAATGACTTCATTTAGAATGATTGACATCTTTCTATTAACCCCAATTCATTCATCCAATGAATGTTATATTGAATACCTACTATAAACCAAGCATTAGGCTTGGAAATTAGATACAACTTTTAGAAAAAATAGACACAATTCCTTACGTTATTACTTAAAATCTCATAAGAAGCAATAGATATTAATAAAATAACCACAAAGAGAAGGACCTGATGTCATGAGTGGTTTTGACCTAGACTTGGAATTCAGGGAAGGTGAAGTTCTGGGACTGTGCTGATGGAGGTGATATCTATAAAGTAAGAATGAATAAGAAGAGAAAGAGGAAGAGAAGACTATTCCAGAACCCATGGTAGGTAGGAACTTTCCAAGTACAAGGGCATATGAGAAGGCCAGCATGACTAGAGTAGAAATCATGGGGAAACAGTTGAAGATGAAGCTAAAGTGGTAAGGGGAAGCCACAGGTACTTGAAGGTCATGATCCAAAGTTTTTATTTTTGTTCTTTTAACCACAGAGTGATGTGAAGTTATTTAATTGTAGAAGATTGTAGATGATGATGAGGTTTGATTAGATTTGCAATTCGAAAAAAAGGCAGTCCTGTTACTGCAGAGATAATAAATTGGAAGGTAGAATACTTAGGAGACTGTTGGAGTACTACATGTGAAAGAGGATCATGATAATAGCATCTACCAGGAGTTTAAGCATGTGAAGCCCTGGACACATCCAAGTGGAGATTTTGAATAGGCCCACTGAAACATGTCCTTGGTATTCAGAGGAAATATCTGGGCTAAAGGTATGATTCACCACATTGGGGTAGTTGATTTTAAATGGTTTGCTAATTTAAGCTAGCATATTAGTGTGTTCTCATGCTGCTATAAAGAAATACCTGAGACTGGGTAATTTATTAAGAAAAGAGGTTTAATTGAATCACAGTTCCTCATGACTGGGGAGGCCTCAGAAAACTTACAATCATAGCTGAAGGCACCTCTTCACAAGGCAACAGGAGAAAAAATGAGTTCCAGCAGGGGATATGTCACACGCTTATAAAACCATCGGATCTCATGAGAACTCACTCCTCACTATCACGAAAACAGCAAAGGGGAAACCGTCCCCATGATTCAATTACATCCCACTGGGTCACTCTCAGGACACTTGGGGATTATGGAGACTATAATTCAAGATGAGATTTGGGTGGGGACACAAAGCCTAAATGTATCATTCCACACCTGGCCCCTCCCAAATCTCATGTCCTCACATTTCAAAACATAATCATGACTTCCCAATAATCCCCCAAAGTCTTAACTCATTCAGTATTAACCCAAATGTCCAAGTCCAAAGTCTTATCTGAGACAAGGCAAATCCCTTCTGCCTATGAGCCTGTGAAATCAAAAGCAAGTTACTTACTTCCTAGATACAATTGGGATACAGGCTTTGGGTAAATATACCTGCTCCAAATGGGAGAAATTGGCCACAACAAAGGGGGTACAGGCCCCATGCAAGTTCGAAATCTAGCGGGTCAGTCATTAAACCTTAAAGTCCCAAAATTATCTCCTTTGACTCCATGTCTCACATCCAGGTCACTCTGATGTAAGAGTTCGGCTCCCACGGTTTTGAGCAGCTCCGTGCCTGTGGCTTTGCAGGATACAGCCCCCCTCCTGGCTGCTTTCATTGGCTGGCATTGAGTGTCTGTGGCTTTTCCGGTGCACGGCACAGCACAAGCTGTTGGTTAACCTACCATTCTAGGGTCTGGAGGACGGTGGCCCAAAGCTGCACAAAGCATGGGCCCTGGGCCTGGCCCAAGAAACCATTTTTCCTTCCTAGGCCTCCAGGCCTGTAATGGGAGAGGCTGCTGTGAAGGATTCTGACATGCCCTGGAGACATTCTCCCTTTTGGTGATTAACATTTGGTTCCTCATTACTTATGCAAATTTCTGCAGCAGGCTTGAATTTCTCCCCAGAAAATGGGTTTTTCTTTTTTATCCCATCATCGGGCTGCACATTTTCCAAACATTTGTGCTCTGCTTCCTCTTCAATGCTTTGCCACTTAGAAATTTCATCCCCCAGATACCCTAAATCATCTCTCTCAAGTTCAAAGTTCCACAGATCTCTAAGGCAGAGGCAAAACGCCACCAGCCTCTTTGCTAAAGCATTGCAAGAATCACCTTTATTCCAGTTCCCAACAAGTTTCCCATCTCCATCTGAGATCACCTCAGCCTGGACTTCATTGTCCATATCACTATCAGCGTTTTGGTCAAAGCCAACAAGTCTCTAGGAAGTTCTAACCTTTCCCACACCTTCCTATTTTCTGAGGCCTCCAAGTCTCTAGGAAGTTCCAAACTTTCCCACATTTTTCTGTCTTCCTCTGAGCCCTCCAAACTATTTCAAACTCTGCCTGTTACTCAGTTCCAAAGTGGCTTTCACATTTTTCAGGTATCCTTACCACAGCACCCCACTACCTCGGTACCAATTTACTGTATTAGTCCATTCTCAGGCTACTATAAAGAAATACCCGAGACTGGGTAATTTATACAGAAAAAAAGGTTTAATTGACTCACAGTTTTGCATGACTGGGGAGGCCTTGGGAAACTTCCAATCATGGCGGAAGTCACCTCTTTGCAGTGCTGCAGGACAAAAAGTGAGTGCCAGCAGGGCAAATGCCACACACTTATAAAGCCATAAGATTTGGTGAGAACTCACTGTCACAAGAACAGCATGGGAGAAACTGCCCCCATTATTCAATTACCTCCCACCAGTTCCCTCCCACGACATGTGGGGATTATGGGGATTAAAATTCAATGTGAGGTTTGGGTAGGAACACAGAACCTAACAATATTAACTAGCAATTAAATATATTTGTTCAAATGTATACAGTAATGTTTAAGTTCCATCACTGCCTATCTACTTATAAGTTTTCCCCCATCTCAAAGACATAAATAAATTTTAAAAAAATGCTTATTTGATTATAACAAATCATCAAATAGAACAATGATTTTGTGAAATTGCAGGCTGCCTTTCTTACTGCCCTCCAGGAATCATTAATTGAAGTCTGAGAAACCAAATTCTAGGATTAAAATTAAAATACAAAATGTGAATTCTATGAAAGTACACAGCCTTTATTAAATAGGCTAAGAAACAAAAGAGTTCAGGAAATTTCCAAGGAATTCTGGAAGTTATTACGATGTCCTATATTCTTTCAAAAAATGATTTGTGGCTTTTAAATTTACACATAATGCAAAAGAGAATAATCAAAAATAAAATTACAACAAAATCAATAAAATGAAAACAATGACTTTGATATTGTTAATCATAGCAGATAATTACATACAATAATTGGGCTCTGAATTGAGTATTCTGCATTCTTATCAGTTAAAAGAAAAACATAGGAGAAATGTTGAGGTACATCAGTTCTATATACTGAACACAAATTGAAATGTATTATCTGAAAATTACATAAATCATAAAGTTGAAACTTTCCTGCAACATCTAGAATGCAACCTTGTCTTTGTTGCATAATTCTCAGTGTTGGGCAAAAGAGGTTATCCGTATTTTCTCTTGAGATAAGTTATTTTGTATTAAATTCAAGAAAACCATTATTCTCAGCAAACTAACACAGGAACAGAAAAGCAAACACTGCATGTTCTCAGTTATAAGTGAGAGCTGAGCAATGAGAACACATGGGCACAGGGAGGGGCACACCACACACGGGGGCCAGTTGGGGGAGACTGTTGGGGGAGAGAGTTTTAGGGAAAACAGCTAATGTATACTGGGCTTAATACCTATGTGATGGGTTGATAGGTGCAGCAAATGACCATGAAACATGTTTACCTATGTAACAAACCAGCACATTCTGCACATGTACCTCGGAACCTAAAAAAATAAAATAAAAATTGTTTTAAAAATAAAAAGGCATTCATTGTGCCTCGAGAACCTGATAGAAATTTGGCATAGGTAAAACAGTTGTTTGGCAAAATGATTGCTTAGTTGTCTGAACTCTTCAGCATGTACCAGTGGCTTTTTAGAACTCCGTTTTCTCCTCTTGTGTAGACCTTCAGTCATTGAATGTCATTTATAATGAAGCAATTTTAACAGACTTTAACTCACAGATGCAGAAACAGAGCTTAGCACTGATGTGAAGATCATATTCTCTTAGATATCGTTTCTTAACGTGGAAGCTACTCTTTCCTCCAAATAAAACAATTATTGATCTACTTTTTTAGTTTAGGTAACAAATGGTTAAGTTTTGTAAGTTATAAGGGAGCCAGGCAACTCCTGAAACACATTTTTGGTAACAAGCTACTTTAACTGGCTTGTCATGCGGAAGACTAAATAAATGTGTTTTGTAAATGCACAAAACAACAGTGTTATCTGTATGAATTTGTTTGTAAATATAACTCTTGTAAATTCTTAAGTGGCTTTCGACTCATCTATTATTTTAACGGAAATATAAAAAATAAGAGATGCAGGTTGTCTTGTTTCTAAAAGAGACTTGTTACATACTGCGGTGCAAATTATATATTGGTTCAATTCTATCTTATGACAATAGTGAGGTCTTCTTGAAACTGAGAGTACTCCTCTTTAAGTACTGATAAATGCTAATAAATGCTTTACTGAAAACTTTGTTACATGAATACAAAACCTTAATTACCAAGCCAATTATTATGTTTGCCATGACTTCAAAGGGATATTTCTTCAGGGTCTTTCCTGTGAGGGGATGTTTAATAACTTCTTTGGGACCTTCTGCCTGTGAAACAGTATAGACCTATACTTTGGTGCTTTTAAAGAGCAGGATACTAGAAAAGAAATTGGTTGTTTGGGGATTGATTGTTGAGATGTCAGAAAGAGATGCTTACAAAGCCAATATTTGGTTAGGTAATATAATAATGATAGAAGTCATTTCAATGTAACCTTAGAATTTCACAAAGTATTTTCACATTTATATAATGTGAATATGAACAACATTCTGGTAGGTAATACATAAGACATAAATATAAAACAGTAATTCAAAGAGATAAAATCTACGGGTTTTAAATATTTCTGTCTTTTGTAAATTTGCTGATTATTATCAGCCTCAGTCCTGCATTGCTGTATCTTCTCTTTCTCTTTCAAGTGTCCAAGAGCTTTTCTTGCTATTCCTATGAAACCCTAGGTTGTGGCTATATTTAGCAGACTATGAGGAATACTCTTGGCCTCATCCAATTTTTTCTCCCTGGGTAATTTTAAGGAAACAAATGATCCGCAATCAAGATATACTAATTGTTCTTTCCTTGCTGATGGATGACATGGATTACTTTTTAAGATTCAATTCAACAGGGCATTTATGAAGTCACCACTATGTGAGTCTTGTATGAAGGTTCTGGTTCTGATGCATATCATTGTTTTCAAGGAGCTTGCAATTTGACCGACTTGAGGGAAATATACATCATTAAAAACATAGCAAGGAAAAAGGAAATAATCACTCTATTAGAAGTTTAAGCAAACATAGTCAAGTGCAGAGGAAAGCACAGCAGTTATAGAAGGTTTCACAAATGAAATATTGTTTGATCTTGATCTCAAAAATTACCAGACTTTAATAGAACTATATACACAAAAGAAACATGACTGTGGGTGGAGGGTATTTGGCAAATACTGAAGAGTTGATAAGGCTAATCAAAACATCTCATTGAAAATATCAACTATAATATGAACAAAGCATTTTCTTCAGAAATAAATGATTATGTCAGAAACATATTTTTTAAAATAACATTTTCAAAGCTATGCTTCATGCTTTTATAATGGTCCAAAAAGAAAACATCTGCAGACCTATAAGAAAAAATCTAATATAAATTTCCCTTTAACTGTTCATCTCAATTCCTTCCACATAAAATTCAATAATCAGTTGCTTCTCTGTGAGTGTCTCCAGGACTTGTATGCACATGATTGTTGACTGGGGTTTATGGGAAGATTTGCAAGTATCCTATCATGTGGCTTTTCTGGGTTGATCATATTCGAGAGACAGTAAATACTTAGAGTTTGCTGGGAACCGTGTCTTTAAAAAATATAAGTTTTACTATGTGTTTCCCTACACTTTTGTCTTAGCAGATAGAAAATAGCCTCAAGTATTCATCTTGTTCTATTCAAACAAAGCTGAGTTGCATGATACCTTAGTAGTAAACAGATGGATTTTACTTAAGGCAGAATCGGCATAAGCATTAGCCTTCTGTTCCATTATATATCTAGGGTTACATAATCAATTTTGTTAATACCTTAAAACATGCATTACCATTCATGGAACAGATCTGCCATTGTGGCGAATATAAAGGAATGGTTTTACAACTTTTCCATTTAGAGTAACGGGAAACTGAGAAGGTTTATGCATTTATTTATCCAGTGCTATTTCGAATATCAATAAAAACCAAGATGTTATTTTCAATAGATTTGTTAAAGTTATCTGAGATGACTTGTTCAGGAGACTAGTGTGTTTTTCATTAATTTCTGAAGCAAGAGAAGTCGTAATATGACAACTGCTACGTTTCACCAACAAAGTCATTTAGTAAGAAAAAAATAAATTGATTGTTTACCATTATAGAGTCAAAACAATACATTCTTTGATTAATTTTTTTCACTGCTCAACTTTTTGAAAGGAGGTATGAGTATACGACGCATTCCTTATTCTTGAAAAAAGCTTGCATAATTATTAAAACATCAAAGCAAAGCATATTCTGGTCACTAGAGTCCACACTTAATCTTTTTAATTGCTGTTTCCTCGCAGGTTATATCATGATGTTTAGAACACAATGGGTATTTATAAATGATAGATAAACTTATACAAAAAAGATAACACAGTATCTTCAAGATGCTGCTACCACTTTTCCTAGGTTTAAGTTTGGGTACATTTGATGGCATGTAAACTTTAATTGAATCAACACTATACAGACTCCATCACCATATCTTAGGTGATTAAAAAGGTACTCACCTCAAACACACCTAAGAAATCTATTTTAGTATGTGACCATTAGATGTATCTTGATATTCAAATATGGAATATGTTGACAAGTAAAAACTAAGATATTAAACACAGTATCAAATATAGGTTTAAGCATTTAAGAAATTATAAATTATCTCAGGAAACTGATGAATGATGTCATGTTAGTTTCATATTGTTGCATAATAAACTACCACAAATTTAGCAGCTTAAAAGAACATTCATTTATTATCTCAAATTTCTGTAGGTGAGAAGTCTGAGCTGGGGTTGGCTGGAGTTAGCTGAATTCTCTGATTAAGGTCCCATGAAACTGAAATCAATATCGCCAGAAAGACTGGTCTTATCTGAAAGCTCTGAGGGGGAATCTGCTTTCCAGTTTATTGAGGTTGTTGGCAAAAATCAAATTTTCATGGTAGTAGATGTAATGTCCCTGTTTTCATGTCCTAGAGGCTGCCCACATTCCCATATACCTTAGCATGCGACCTTCTCCATCTTCAAACCAGTAACACTGACTTGAGGTCTTCCTGTGCTTCATAACTCTCACTTTCTTTTCTATGACCAGCTGGAGAAAAGGCTCTGATTTTAAAGGGCTCTTGTAATTAGCCCTGACACACCCAGATAATCTCCCTATCTTAAGATCAACTGATTTAAACACTTAAATATATCTGCCATATCCTTACACAGCAGTACCTAGATTTGAATTTGATTGAATAACTGGGACAAGATAAGTAACTGGAATAAGGAGTCAGGAATCTTTGAGGCCTTCAAATAATTTTGCCAACCACATATGGGCTTCATAAAATCGGGTAGTAAATTAGGAAAAGAGAAGGGTAAGCAATACAAAGAATAGCTGCTTAATATAGAAAGCCCCTTATAAGCTTTATTAGGCTTATATAATAGCTTATATTAAGCTATTACAGATTTATGAGGAAAGTCATTGTCAGCTACAATTTCATCTTAGAGAGCTCCAGATCCAGCTGAGATCAAGAAGACCAGAGAATGTCAAAAGAAACCCTTGAGAGAAAAAGAAAGAAAAGAAATGAATCAATGAGTTCATTTGTTTGAATGCCTGAAAAAATAATATTAAAAGGTCTTTTACAGATCTAACATATTTAATAATGTTTAAATTGAATTGAATTAGGCCAATAAAAAGATGGAAAGTTAACACTGGGATATGACAAAGAGTTGTACAAAAAAGCAAATGTAACTACAGCACCCTATGTGGCCCAATTGTGGGCAGTATTTACATACTCCTGACAAATGAACCACTGAATATTAATTTAAGAAAAATTGAAATGTAATTCTATTGATAATGTTGAAAGAGAGATAAAGTAGAGTGAGATAACTAAATTCTCATCTACCAAAAAAGGAAGTCAATACATATTATATGGAAAGAAAAAATACAAACATAGCAATCAAAGCTATTATCCAAAAATGTGGAAGCAAACACATGAATTAAGAGATAAAACTTAAAAGTGCTTGCTCTGGAGGAGTGGCACATGGGACTGCTATTCTCCATAAGCACTTTAGTGCCCTTTGACTTTTTATAGTATAGTCAAAAGTTACATTAATAAATATTAAACTAATTAAAACATATTTTAGACATATACATGTTTGTCAATAAGGATTTATGAAAACATATTTCAAACTTCAGGAAATCAAATAGTCTCAAATTCTACCTTCAAATATTAATAAATACATCAACTGCATGTGTTCAGTTGAAAACTCAGTAACATCACTTGCATTAGTTAAAATGAGACATTCATAACTGGCTAATATCTAACTTGATACTCATTTTCCTGAAAGCAACGCTAACTAATATATGCATATATAACTTCACTTCAGGCTTGTTGAAGCTAGCTAATTCTCAATATTTTGCTAGTCTTAGCATCATGATAATCTTTTGTCAATATCAAAAACACTATTTTGCTAATGTGTCCTAATGATGATACCTCTGAATGTCAAATAACAAGTCTTTACATTGGGAGAAGAGGACTCAACACAAGCACACAGTTGCCAGGGCACTACCAGTCCAGGATATATTTTCTTACACTTCACTTTCATACTTCAATTGCCTCCCTTCCAAGCCAATTGTAAAAATTCATGCATAATCTCAAGAAATGCCTTAAAACAGACCAATACGTTCAGGTAATGTGAACGGTGCAACATCAATACTTTTCTGTGTTTTAACAGTGTTACCAGAAAGGGGTCCTGATCCAGACCCAAGAGAGGGTACTTGAATCTCGCACAAAAAAGAATTCAGGCCGAGTCCACAGTGCAAAGCAAAAGCAAGTTTATTAAGAAAGTAAAGTGGTGAAAGAACAGCTACTCTATAGACAGAGTAGGGTGTTCCTGAAAGTAAGAGGAGGGACTTGTCCACTCTAGGTACAATACTTGCTCATATATGGGATAAAAAAAGATCTCAGTTAATTTAGAAAGTTTATTTTGCCAAGGTTGAGAAGGTCCACCTGTGACATTGCCTCAGGAGGTCCTGACGACATGTGTCCAAGGTGGTCAGAGCATACCTTGCTTTTATATATTTTAGGGAGACATGAGATATCAATCAACGTATGTAAAATAAACATTTGTTTGGTTCGGAAAGGCAGGACAACTGGAAGCAAAAGCAGGACAAGTCAAAGTGGGGAGGGGGCTTCCAGGTCACAGGTAGGTGGGAGACAAACAGTTGCAGTCTTTTGAGTTTCTGATTAACCTTTTTAAAGGAAGTTATCAGATTTGCATTTATCTCAGTGAACAGAGAAATGACTTTGAATAGAACGTAAGGCAGGTTTGCCCTAAGAAATTCCAAGCTTGAATTTTATTTTTTTCTTTAGCTTAGTAACATTGGGGGCCCAAGATATTTTCCTTTCACATAAGAAAACAGAGCAATAGACCTAAGAAGAATCTGCCTATGACTCTTGAAACTCCACAAAGAAAACAGAACACCCCAAAAGGAGTGGGTGGTGCCTTTGTTTTGAATTCTTTAAAGGGATTCAAGTCACTAGAAGCCTTCTTTAGATTTTTTTGGTACTGCAGATGGCAAAGGGAGAAGGAGATATAGGGTGGAAGAAAAGTACACAAAATAACATTTTATTTTAAAGACAGGAAGCAAACACAGAAACCGAGCACTTTTGTTTGTTTCTTGTTTGTTTGTTTGTTTGTTTGTTTTTCTTCTTTTGAAGCTGCGAAGAAGTTTGACCAGATTAGAGCAGCTTTATTACCTATAATTTGGAATTCTCACTTGAATTTGACCATGTCAGGTAGAGTTGGTCAAATCTGATGGAAGAAAGACCAGAACACACAACAACAACAACAAAATACCCCAACAATATGATCGCAGAATGTTCTAATGGTAGAGAGAAATTAAGACCAGCTGGTTGTTACACCTTAGCCAAGACAAAACCCTAACTCAGCTATTTACCTAGGGATGGGTCTCAGGCTGAAGACTGCTCTCTATCATCCTAGAAACAGGAAAAAACTCAAACTCATCTTCCCTGCAGGAGCAAAATCAAACTTCATAAAGGAGTTATTGGCCTTCCATCATCACAGAAGCAGGAAATCTTGCCTTACTCGTTGAAGGCAAATACAACTCCAGAAAAAAAGGTGAATTGTACAGCAAAATAAATTTTAGATTTTGACCAATTTTTGGACATTAGGGATTCTCTGGAGAGGGTGCTCCCAGACCTCAGCACACTGTCCTGTTGCTTTGGGCCATAAAGTTAGCTCATGCTGGTACCAAGCACCAATAGGAGATTTGTCAAAGGTCAAGTCCGTAAGAACTTGTTTTATAATCAACAGAATAAACTTTTAATTTTCTATCAGAAAGGAAGATTCACTTAACATAAATTCATTTCACACAAAAAAATGTCTAGAACACATCTCTTCTATGGAGGAAAGAACATCTAACACCAAAAAAGAAATTACCATATTGTGTTCATTTTAATTTCTAACTTTAATCTCTAATATGTGGCTTAGCTAGTATGTCAGATAAAAACGCACCAGTTATTGATTTTCATTTCACTTGAGATTGTCTTATCTCCTTAAAATTTAAGTGGACCAATTTTTATTGTCAGTAAATACAGTTATCCAGCAGCTAGGTCTACCATCTTTCATAATACTTTTTGAAATATCCTGAAGAATCACAGTAAAAAGGTCCTGAAATATATTGTTAAAAGTATAGGCAAAACAGAGTAATACCATGTGCAGTCTTTGAATGCCAAGAATACATACGTAATATAATGGGCATAAGGAAAAAGGGCAGTAGATTAATTGTGGAATGGTATCCAATGTGAGAATGTATTTTTCACACAGTCACAAAAATGATTTCCCTTCTGACCTAAGAAAATTTTTTATTTAAAACAATTCAATGCATCCCTATTCTAGGTAAGTTTATACACGGTTATAAAGTCATTTAAATAGTTCTTAACAACTTCCATTCTAATGTTGTTTTTTTTTCTCTGACATTCTTTTAAGTTATGCATATTGTGCCAGAAAGACGAAGGATTTATTCTGCCCATTAGTCATAAAATATTGTTTTTATGTTATGAAGTATCACTATCACATGTCTATATTTGAACTGCATATCAATCTCTTCTTGTTATCACCTCTAGCCCCTGAGTAAGGAAGATGAATAATACAGAATTTTATATTTTCATTGTAGCTAGAGAAACTGAGGCATGGAACATAAAACACTTTGTTTTAGTCTTATAAAATATTCCCAAAATACACTTGGGATTCAAATTGAAATCCTCCTGACTCTTGTTTATTTTGAAGGATTAAGATCAGTTCACTCTTTGATGTTTGCAACGTTGTGAAAGAGTCATTAAAGGACGAGGATGCTCCCTTTTTCATCCTTTATTTTTTCCTGTTCATCATACTGCAGCTCTGATGACTAGACCTCAGGCAGCCATCTTGGTCCAGAAGGTGGAAATGACATTTTGACAGTAGAAGGATAATCTGATAATCACAGAGTTGCCATGCAAATCTTGAACTGTTTACTTCTAATCTTTGTTAATGTGTGAGAGAAATAAACTTTTTTTAAAAAAAACAGTAGTTTATTCATTGAAGGGAGTAGAAGGACATAGTTTTTGGTAGATAGGTTCTCCTGTGTTCTAGCCTGGGAAGTGTGCCAACTTATGGAAAAAGTCATTATTCTTATTCATCAGGTTTTTTTCACATAATGAAAATTTTACAGTGAATTCTGGCTGGAAAATGCATGGGTGTAGTTTGTTTTAATGACTTCTATGAATGATAATTTATTTAACTTTCTTATCTAAACTGAAAATTAAGTAAGGGCCTCATAACACATTGCAGGTTGCCTGAGAATGTCAAGTAACACTAATGCTCAGCTTTACGTTTAGCCTATCATTTGGTTTTTTATCTGAAACTCTTCATAGACTGTTTCTTTATTCCTTGACTTTAAAAATGAACAATAAGTGACCAAATTCTATCAGAATTTTACATACTATCTCACAAATGAACATTTATTGCTTTTGTACGATTAATTTCTTAGAGTGGTGTGTATCCAAAATGCCATCATCTGAGAAAGCAGATCAATATTTTATTGTGATTATAGGCCCCGCCACACTTAGAATATTCTCCAGGCTGTCCCTCTTAATTTCAACTATATAAAGAAAAATTGCGAAGAGACTTGACCTAGTATTTTGATTAAACTATTCTTTTCACAAATATTGATCTATCATATGTCAAATTTCACTAGAATTACTGAGTATTTGGATTATAGTTCAGTCTTCTCCATTTATACACATTTAATTTAATTGTAAAGATAGCTGCATCTCATGCTTTTACAAATATTTTTAAGAAGAAATACATTTTCCATGCCCCGATTTGTTCTTCATTTCTTTTAACACTTCTGTTTCTATCACATCCAATGTTTTTACTAATATTTTTGTGTCCAATGTTTTTACTAGTATTTTTTCTGCAATATTTTTTTCTACAAAGAAACCTCTTTTCTACTAAAATCTTGGCCCTAAATCCATTTTTGATTCCAAAAAGAAATAAAATGTGGGTGTATAATCCATTTGAAAATTAACAAATAATGATTTATGTGAAAGAAATTAGTTACTTTATTATTTTTAATAGCAGCATCGTTAAATCCTTGCATTCTAGGTTTGAAGAGCCTTACCTATGTATGTTGACCCAGTAAGTTGAAGTGGAGATTGAAATCTAGTTTTTAGAAAAACATTCATGTGTTTCTGTTGCAGCTGTTTCACAAGATCAAAACTCTGCCAGAAAGATACGCCTCCTGTCATTTTATACCAGAAATAGTCAAAATTATCCCATGTCTGCAAGTTAGAAATTTAAAATTCTCCTTGTCATTTTAATAATTAATTTCAATATTCCAAACACTGTTTTATTTTGAATGCCATGGGCTGACCAGATGGTGTCCAGAAGTACCTACTCCTCTAAAAATAAAATGTGGAGACTCAGATTCTTCTTCAAAATGTTTTCTTTCTATATCCAAAGGTCAATATCCAAAATGATGTAATAAACATTTGCTTAATTTTTTAGTGCTGTGGTTCATTGGTTTAGATTTAAACCTGTTTTCCATACAGCTATTATACATTCATTGATTTTATACACAATATGCGTAGTATATAGATGTTGTTACTCAGTGCTTCATGATGTAAAAAATAAAGGTAATACTGAATTACATTTTTCTTTTAATTAATCTTATATGATAATTAAAATCTATTTTCAGAACTAGAGGCAATAGAGCAAGTTTGTCGAATCCATATAAGTGTCATGGTTTAGCTAGGTGAATTCTTAATAAGGACTTCAAAACAGGCTAAATTAATGGTATTAAAAGAAACACTGCTTTCTAATGAGAGTTATGGATTTGGTGGCTGATTGCAATGATTATACAATGTAAAATATATGTAGTACCTAAGAGAATCACTGCATTTTAACTGGATTATTGTGCCTTTGAAAAATAGAAATCCACTCAGCTAGGTACATTATATTCCTAAAAACAAGGAGGGAGTCTAAACTTTCTTATTTCTAGTTCAGTAAGATTCTGATTTAAGCAAGGAATCCAAAACAAGAAAGAACACTTAGAAAACACACGAATGTTTTTTACTACCTGCGGTTTCGATCAATAAGATATAGACTGATACTGACAAATCTAATTGGCTCTGGCTAACCAGAGTGAGGTATTATCATTTTTACAGATATTTTCAGTGTCTGAAAATAAAATGGCCTAAGCAAAGCACACAGTCTTGGCCTTTTGCTTGGAAAACTAACATATTTTTTAAATATTCAAAAAATTTAAAAAATATTTATAGGTCCTTGACTGACACTTAAAGAATATGCATGGCTATAATTTTTTTTTTCATTTTAAAACCTGAATTTTATTTAAAGTAATTTATCAAAGGCCTGAAGTATAGCTGAATTTTTCTAAGCACAAGCTCTCGGGTCAATCATCAGGCATATCCCAGGTAGATTCCTTTCTAACTATGTGACCTTGGGTACGTGCTTAACCTCTCTGTGTTGTAGTTTCTCATTTGAAAAATAGCCAAAGTAATAACTCCTGTCTCCCATGGTGATTGAGCACATTAAATGAGTTAATGCAATTTGTGCTATAATTTGTGCCAACATCAGCTCATAAAAAGCAGTTGTGTGCATTTTATCTCAATCCCGTGTTTGTGGTGAGAGAATGTTCACCATGGAATTAATAAAATTCTACAAATAAGGGCATTTTTCATCAGAAATCTTGTTGTTAAACATTTGCCAGGACTGGACTTGTGAATAGACTTAAAATCACGTGTAACAGGGTGGTTCCATCAACAAAACAATTATGTATAATATGATTAGCTGTCAGAATATCAACACTAGAGAGGACCAAAGAAATTTATTCATTCAATTGAAATTTAAGTGTCTACTAAATTTAAGCCATTTGGTCACTTAACGTAAGTGCACAGAACATACTCGTGCAGATTACATTGTAGTATTAGTGTAGACAGAAAGTTAATAAATGCAATAGGTAGTGTAGTTGATGGAATAAAAGCTATCAAATAGTAAAGTAGAAAAGGAAGATAAAGGGGCAGGATTATTTTGTAGCATGGACAGGGAAGACTGCAATGAAAAGGGGGCATTTAAGTAAAGACGAGAATCTGGTAAGGAGGAAAGTCATGAGGATATCTGGGAGAAGACTGTTCCAGGCAGCAGGAGGAGCAAGTGCAAGGGCTATGAGGTAGAAACGTGCCTAGAATATTATTTTATTTTATTTTTTCAAGAGAGGCCAGCATGGTCAAATAAGTAATTAATGAATTCAGAGATGTTAAAAACTGTGAGATTTTTGGTGTGGTGGTTCTTTAAATATTAGTTAGAATTTATCTATAATGTATTTGTTTCTTTAAAAGTGAAATAGAAAAACACTGAAAATTTTTAACAAAGAACGATTCTGTGACCTACGTTTTAGCAAGACTGTTTGTCCTGTGGTGTAAAACATCATCTGTGATGAGTAGCAAGGGAAGAAGCAGGGGTAGCATTTAGAAGTTTTTTTGAAATAATTTAGGTCTGAGACGATGGTTCTTTGGACCATGGGGAGATAAGTAGAGGTAAATACATTAGATTGACTGTAGATAATTCTATTGCTTAATCATTATAAATTTTTGAGGCCTTGAGTTATATTTTTATTTTATTAATTTTGTCTCATGAATTTCTATTAAGCCTTTGAAAAACATGATGAGTAACTACATAGTTTCCTTGATTTTGTTGTACTTGAAGAAAAATTCATATTTGCCTTTTACTGACATTTAAAATCATGTCATTGCTGGCAATTAAAACAGTGTGGTTGCAAAGAAACAGAGATAATTTTACTTCATCCTCTTTTATTTGGATGTCCTTTATTTCTCTCTCTTGCCTAATTGCTCTGGCTAGGACTTCCAGTACTATATTTAACAGAAGTAGTGAGAGTGGGCATACTTATTTTTTTCTGATTTTAAAGTAAAAGCCTTCAATTTTAATTCCTGAGTACGATGTTAGCTGTGGGCTTGTCATATATAGTCTTTATTATGTTGAGGAATAGTCCTTCTTTACCTAATTTGTTAATAGACTTTATCATAAAATGATGTTAAGTTTCGTCAAATGCTTCATTTGTATCTATTGAGATGATGGTGTTGATTTTGTTCTTCATTCTGTTGATGTGACATATCACATTTATTGATTTATGTATGTTCAACCAATCTTGCATCCCAGGGATAAATCCCACTTGATCATGGTAAATGATGACACTTTTAATGTATTGTTGAAGATATGATCCTCATAACCCCATGATAAAGTTAAAAAATCTTAAATTGAACCACCCTAAGTTGGAGTCCATATGCATATTGTTGAAGATTTTTGCATCTATGTTTATCAGTTATATTAGCCTGCAGTTTTTCTTTTCTTGTAGTGTACTGTACTAGCTTTGGTACCATGGTGAGGCTGGCCTTGTAAAGTTAGTTTGGAAGTACTCTTTTTCTCTTCAATTTTTTGGAAGAGTTTCAGAATGATTGGCATTAGTTCTTTAAATGTTAATTAGAATTCATCCATGAAGCTATCTGGATCTGGGCTTCTCCTTGAACAGACTTTTTAATTTTTATTTAATCTCTTTACTTGTTATTGGTCTGTTAAGATTTCCCATCTTATCATGATTAAGTCTTAGTAAGTTATATGCCTCTAGGAATTGATTCATTTCTTCCAGGTGTTTTAACTTGTTGGCATATAATTTTTCACAATAGTCTCTTATGATCCTTTGTATTTCTGTATTATCAATTGTAATGTCTCATTCTTCATTTATGATGTTATTTATTTGTCTTCTCTCTTTTATTCTTAGTTAGTTTAGCTAAGGTTTTGTCAATTTTATTCACCTTTTCAAAAAGCCAACTCTTATTCTCTTTATTTCTATTTTTTCATGTATTTATTGCACTTATTTTTGCTCTGACCTTTGTTATTTTCTTTCTTCTGCTATCTTTGGGACTAGTCTGTTCTTCTTTTACTAATTGCTTAAGATGTAATGTTAAGCTGTTTATCTGAGAGCTGCCTTCCTTTTTGATGTAGATTTTAATTGTTATACACTCCCTTCTTAGAACTACTTTTGCTGCATCCCATAAGCCTTGGTATGTTCTGTTTTCATTCTTGTTTTCTCAAGATATTATTTAAATTTCCTGTTTAGTTTATTCTTTGACTAAATAGTTGTTGAGGAGTGTATTAGTTATGTTTCACTTATTTGTGAATTTTCCATGACTCTTCCTGTTATTGATTTCCAGTTTCACACCATTATGATGGAAAATGATACTTGATATGATTTCTTTTTATTTCAATGTGTTAAGAATTGTGTTGTTGCCTAAAATATAATCCATCCTGGAGAACGTACCTTGTGCACTTGAGAAAAACGTATATCCTGTTGCTATTGGGTGGAATGTCCTGTATATATCCGTTAGGTCCATTTGTTCTTACGTGTAGTTTAAGTCTGATGTTTTCTTATTGATTTTCTGTCTGAATGATCTGTCTGTTGCTGAAAGTGGAGTGTTGAAATACCCTATTACTATTGTGTCACATTCCATGTCTCCTTTCGATTTATTATTATTGTTTGGTATTTAAGTACTCCAGTTTTGGAGCAAATATAATTGTTAGTTCCTCCTTATGAACTTACCACTTTGTCATTAACTGTTTTGTCCCTTTTTACAGTTTTTGACCTAAAGTTTATTTTTTATAAATTAAATATAGCTACCCTGATCTCTTTCAGTTTCTGTCTCCCTTTAACGTGTTTCTCCATCAATTCACTTTTAATATGAGTGGCCTTTAGGTTGAGATGAGTCTATTGTAGGCAGCATATAACTGGGCTTTGTTTTTTTCATTCCTTCAGCTACACTAAGCCCTTTAACTGAAACACTTAATTCATATACTTTTTTTTTGTAATTGTTGATAGGTAAGGATTTACTACTGCCACGTTGTTAACTGTTTTCTGGTGTTTTATTAGGGCCTTTTTTTTATTTCTGTCTAGCTTTTTTGCTTTGATGTTTGATGGCCTTCTGTACCGCATTGTTTGGATATCTTTTTTATTCTTTTGTGTTTTGTTATAAAATATTGTTTTGTGGTTACCCTGAGGTTTACAAGAAACATTTTATACTTGTAACAAGCTATTTCAAGTTTAGAATAATTGAATTTTGATTGCAGAGAAAAATTCTGTAATTTTACTCTCTTTCCATTTTTTACTGTTTTGGTGTTATACTTTACATCTTTTTATAATATGTGCCTCTTAACAAATTATTGTTGCTTTAGTTGTTTTTAATAGTTTTGTTTTTACACTTTATAATAGACATATAATTAATTTATCCACCACCATTACAGAATTAGAGTCTTTCGGATTTGTCAATGTATGTACATATAGAAAATCCTAAAGACTCCACTAAGAACCTGTTACAACATATTTAAAAGTTCAGTTAAGCTACAAAATAAAATACCAACTTACAAAAATCAGTAGTGTTGCTACACACTAACAATTAACTCACCAGAAAAAAATTTAAAAAACAGTGTTATTTATAATACAATAAAAATATTTATAATTAAATTTTACCAAGAAAGTGAAAAACTGTAAGCTGAAAACTATAAAACATTGATGAAAGAAATGGAAGAAGGTGCAAGTAAATGAAAAGATATCCCATGTTCATGAATTAGTAGAATTAATATTGTTAAAATGTTTATATTACCCAAATTGATCTATAAATTCAATGGAATCCATATCAAAATTCCAATGGGAATTTTCACAGAACTAGAAAAAAATCCTAAAATTCATATGAAACTACAGAACACCTAATACTCAAAGCAATCTTGACCAAAAAGGACAAAGCTAATGGAATCATACAATGGGATTTCAAAATATATTACAAAGCTATAGGAATCAAAACAGAATGATACTGGCCTAAAAATAGACACATTGATTAATGTAGTAGAAGAGAGTCCAAAAATAACCCTGCGTAACTAGTGTGAGTTGATTTTCAACAAAGGTGCTAAGAATCCACATTGGAGAAAGGATAATCTCTACAATAAATGCTGTTGGGAAAACCGGATATTCATATACAGAAGAAAAAAAATGAACCCTGATTTCACCCTTATATAAGAATCAACTAAAAATAGAACAACAACTTAAAGATAAGATTTAAAATAATAAAATTACTAGAGTAAAACAGAAAAGAAAAAACTGTGTGACATTTAATATAGTTTCGATGTCCTCTCCAAATCTCATGTTGTGATGTAATCCTCAGTGTTGAAGGTAGGGCCTAGTGGGAGTGGTTTATGTCATGGAGATAGATCCCGCATGGCTTGGTGCTGTCTTTGTAATGGTCATCTGGTTGTTTAAATGCATGACATCTCTTCTTTCTCCCCCAACTATCTTTCTTGCTTTTGTTCTTGCCACGTGAAATGCCTGCTCTCCCTTTGCCTTCTGCCATGAATGAAAGCTTCCTGAGGCCTCATGAGAAGTTGAGCATATGCTGGTACCAGGCTTCTTGTATAGCATGCAGAAACATGAGGCAATAAAACCTAGTTTTGTATAAACTGCCCAGTGTCGGGTATTTCCTTATAGCAATACAAGAACAGCTTAACACAGAAAGTTGGTGCCAGGAATGGGTTATTTTCATAAAGATACCTGAAAATGTGGACGCGACCTTGGAACTGGATAATGGGCAAAGGTTGGAAGACTTTGGAGGACTCAGAAGAAGACAGGAAGTTGAAGGAAAACGTGAAACTTCTTAGAGACTGGTTAAATGTTTGTGACCAAAATATTGATAGTGATATGGACGGTAAAGTCCAGGCTGATAAGGTCGAGCCACTGCTTCAGACATTTTAAGCCATAAGCATTGACAGTTTCCATGTGATGTTAATCTTGCAGGTGCACAGAGTAAAAGAGTAAAGAAAACTTGGCAGCAACTGCCTAGATTTCAGAGGATGTTTGAGAAAGCCTGGGTCCCCAGGAAAAAGTGCGCTGCAGGAGTACAGCCCTCATAGAGAACATCTGACAGAGCAGTGTGGAGGTAAATTGTGGGGTTGAAGCCACCACACAGTGTACCCACTGAGGTACTGCTTAGTAGAGCTGTGGGAAAGGAGCCACCATCCTCCAGGCCCCCAGAGTGGTAGATCCACCTGCAGCTTACACCTTGTACCTGGAAAAGTTGCAGCCACTCAACAACCTGTGAGAGCAGGCATGGGGACTGAAACCTGGAAAGCCACATAAGTGGAAATGCCTAGGGCCTTGTGAGCCCACCCCTTGCACTAGTGTGCCCACCCCTTGCACTGGTGTGCCCCGGATGCATGACATGTATTCAACGGAGATTATTTTGAAACTTTAAGATTTAATTACGGCCCTGTTTGATTTTGAACTTGCACAGGGCCTTCCCTTTGGCTGATTTCTTCAATTTCCAATGGAAATGTTTATTCAATAGCTATACCCCATTGTACCCCATCGTAACTTGGAAGTACATAACTTGCTTTTGATTTCACAGACTCATAAGTGGAAGGAACCTGCCTTGTCTCAAATGAAACTTTAGACTTTGGACTTTTGAGTTAATTCAAAAATGTGTTGACAATTTGGGTCCTATTGAAAAGGCATGATTATATTTTGAAATTTCAGAAGGACATAATCCCAGTGTTAGAGGTGGGGCCTGGTGGGAGATGTTTATGTCATCGAAGCAGATCTCACATGGCTTGGTACTGTCTTTGCTGTAGTGATCTGATTGTTTATGTATGGCACCTCCCCCACTCTCTCTCTTGTTCACATTTTCACCATATGAGATGACTACTCCAACGTTGCCTTCCACCATGACTAAAAGCTTCCTGAGGCTTCACCAGGAGCCAAGCAGATGCCAGTACCATTCTTCCTATAAAAGCTACACAACTGTCAGTCAATTAAACCTTTTTTCTTTATGAATTTCCAGGTCTCAGATATTTCTTTAGAGCAATGCAATAATGGCCTAACACAATATTGCACTGGGCAGAATACTTAGATATGATTATAAAAGTTTGAGCAACAAAAACAAAAATAGACAAAAGACACTGAATCAACCTAAAAATCATTTGCACAGCAAATGAAACAATTAATAGAGTGAAGAGATTACACACAGGATGAGAAAAATATATGCAAATTATATATCCAGTAAGTGGCTAATATCCAAAATGTACAATTAACTCAAACTACTTAGTAACAATAAAACAAATACAACTCTTATAAATTGGTAAAGAACTTGAATAGACTTTTCTCAAAAGAAGACATATGAATGTCCAACAGATATATGAAAAAAAGTTCAATGTCTTTAATCATCAGAGAAATGCAAATTACAACCATAATGAGTTTTACCTCCCATCTGTTAGACTGGCTATTTTCAAAAAGTGAAAAATAACAAACATTGGCAAGGATATACAGAAGAGAGCCCTTATACACTCTTGGTGGTATTGTACATTAGCATAGCCATTTTGGAAAACAGTATGTAAGTTTCTTAAAAATCTAAAATTAGAGCTATTGTATAGTCCAGTAATTCAAATGCTGGGTATGCATGCAAAAGAAAGTAAATCATTATATCAAAGAGATATCTGCACTCCCATGTTTGTTGCAGCACTGTTCACAATATCCAAGATTGGGAAGCAATCTTAATTTTCATCAACAAATGAATGGATAAAGAAAATGTGGTACATATACACAATGGAGTACTATTCAGCCATAAAAAGAATGAGATCCTGTCATTTGCTACAACATGGATGGAACTGGAGGTTATGATAAGTAAAATAAGCCAGGAATGAAAACACAAACTTCACATGTTCTCACTTATATGTGGCAGCTAGAAACTAAAACAGTTGAACTAATGGAGATAGAGAGTAGGAGGACATTTACCAGAGGCTGGGAAGGGTACTCAGTGTGTGTCAGGGGTGGGGGGATGTGAGGATGGTTAATGAGTTAAAAAAAAAAAAAGAAAAAAAAAATAGAAAGAATGAATAAAGACCTAGTGTTTGACAGGAAAACGGCATGACTGTGGTTAATAATAATTTAATTATACATTTTAAAATCAAAAGAGTATAACTGGAGTGTTTTTAACACAAAGGATAAATGCTTGAGGTGATGCATACTCCATTTACCAGGATGTGATTGTTACACATTGCATGCCTATATCAAAGTATCTTATGTACCCTATAAATATATGTACCTACTATGTACCCACAAGGATTAAATATTAAAAATTTAAAAAGAACGAAAATAGAATGATGACATAATTATAAAATTCCACTACTATGTATATACCCAAAGGAAATAAAATCGGTATGGCAAAGGTATTTCTGCACACTCATGTTTATTGTAGCACTATTCTCAATAACCAAGATATGAAAATAACCTAAATGTCCAACTATGGGCATTTTAAAAGGTAGAGTACTATATATAATTGTAAAATGAATACGATTCAGTCATTAAGATGAAAACAAATAGAAAATTCTCTAATTTGCAACATGAATGAACCTATGTTAAGTGAAATAAGCCGGGCACAAAGAGACAAATACTGTATAATATCTCTTATATATGAAATCTAAAAAAGTCAAATTCATAGAAGTAGAGAGTAGAATGGTGGTTACCAGAGGCTGCGGGGGTAAGCGTTTGGATGGAGAAATTAGAGATGCTGGTCGATGGGTATAGTTATATTTAGATAAGAGATAAAAGTTCTGATGTTCAACTGCACAGCAAGGTGACTATAGTTAATAATAATGTATTGTGTATCTCAAAATACCTAAAAGAGAGAATTTTAAATGTTCCTGTCACAGATAAGTATTTCAGGTGATGGATATACTAATTACACTTATTTCATCATTATAATGTGTATGTGTATCAAAATATTACTTTGTGACACATAAAATACACAATTATTTGTAACCCAATGCAAAGAAGCTAAAAATCATAATAAAACAATACAGGAGCTGATAGCAACAATAGTCTATTTAGAGAGGAACATAACCAACCTGATGGAGCTGAGAAACACAATACGAGATCCTTCACAATGCAATCACAAGTATCAGGAGCAGAATAGACCAAGCAAAGGAAAGAATCTCAAAGCTGGAAGATGATCTTGCTGAAATAACAGAGGCAGACAAGAATAGAGAAAAAAGAATAAAAAGCAATGAAAAAAGTCGCATGAAATATGGGGTTATGTAAAGAGACCAAATCTATAACTGACTGAGTTACCTGAAAGAGATAGGGAGAATAGAACCAAGTTGGAAAACACACTTCAGGATATAATCCAGGAGAACTTCCCCAACCTAGCAAGACAGGCCAATATTCAAATTCAGGAAATGCAGAGAACCCCAGTAAGATACTCCATGAGAAGATCAACCACAAGACACAATCAACAGATTCTCCAAGGTTGAAATGAAAGAAAAAATGCTAAGGGCAGTTGGAGAGAAAGTCCAGGTCACCTACAAAGGGGAAGCCTATCAGACTAACAGTGGACCTCTCAGCAGAAACTCTAAAAGCCAAATGAGATTAGGAGCCAATAGTCAATATTCTTTTTTTTTTTTTTTGAGACGGAGTCTCACTCTGTTGCCCAGGCTGAAGTGCAGTGGCATGACCTCAGTTCACTGCAAGCTCTGCCTCCTGGGTTCGTGCCATTCTCCTGCCTCAGACTCCCAAGTAGCTGGGACTACAGGTGCCCGCCACCACGCCCAGATAATTTTTTGTATGTTTTTAATAGAGACAGGGTTTTACCGTGTTAGCCAGGATGGTCTTGATCTCCTGACTTCGTGATCTGCCCTCCTCGGCCTCCCAAAGTGCTGGGATTACAGGTGTGAGCCACTGCGCCTGGCTGTCAATATTCTTAAAGAAAAGAATTTTCAACCCAGAATTTTGTACCTGGCAAAACTAAGCTCCATAAGTGAAGGAGAAATAAGCTCCTTTTCAGACAAGCAAATGCTGTGGAAATTCATTACCACAAGTCCTGCCTTGCAAGAGCTTCTAAAGGAAGCACTAAATATGAAAAAGGAAACCATTACCAAACACTACAAAAACACACTGAAGTACAAAGACCAATGGCACAATGAAGCAACTACATAAACAAGTCTGCAAAATAACCAGCTAGTATCGTGATGACAAAATCAAATTCACACATAACAATGCTAACCTTAAAGGTAAATGGGCTAAATGCCCCAATTAAAAGACACAGAATGGCAAGCTAGATAAAGAGTCAAGACCCATTGGTATGCTGTCCTCAAGAGACCCATCTCACATGCAGTGACACAGATAGGATCAAAATAAAGAGATGGAGAAAAATCTACCAAGAAAATGGAAAGCAGAAAAAAGCAGGGGTTGCAATTCTTGTTTCTGACAAAACAGATGTTAAATCAAGAAAGATAAAAAAAAGACAATGAAGGGTATTATATAAAGGTAAAATGTTCAATACAAGAAAAGCTAACTAACCTAATTATATATGCACCTAATATAGGAGCACCCAGATTTATAAAACAAGTTCTTAGATACCTACAAAGAGACTTAGACTCCCACAGAATAATAGTGAGAGACTTTAACACCCCACCAACAATATTAGACAGTTCATTGAGACAGAGAATTAACGAAGATATTCAGGACTCAACTCTGGATCAAGCAGACCTGGTAGATACCTAAAGAAGTCTCTACCCAAAAACAACAAAATATAATATACATACTTCTCATTGTCCCACAGCACTTACTCTAAAATTGATGACATAATCAGATGTAAAACACTCCTCAGTAAATGCAAAAGACTTGGACCACAGTGCAATCAAATTTGAGCTTAAAATTAAGAAATGAACTCAAAACCACACAACTACATGGAAATTGAGCGATCCGCTCCTTAATGACTCTTGGGTAAATAATAAAATTAAGATAAAAATCAACAGGTTATTTGAAACTAATGAGGATAAAGAGACAATGTACTAGAATTTCTGGGATGGAGCTAAAGCAGTGTTCAGAGGGAAATTCATGGTACTAAATGCCCACAGCAAAAAGTTAAAAAGAACTCAAGTTAACAACCTAACATCACAAATTTTTTTAACAAAAACTAGAGAATCAAGAGCAAACAAACCCCAAAACTAGCAGATGACAACAAATAACCAAGATCAGAGCTGAACTGAAGGAGACGGGGACATAAAAAATTCTTCAAAAAAAAAAAAACCCACAAATCCAGAAGCTGTTTTTTTAAGAGAAATAAAATAAAATAAAATAGACTGCTAGCTAGATTAATACAGAAGAAAAGAAAACAGAATCAAATATACACAATCAGAAATGATAAAGGGGATATCACTGACCCCAATGAACTACTCACAGCTATTAGAGAATACTGCAAACACCTCTATGAAAATAAACTAGAAAATCTAAAAGAAATGGATAAATTCCTGCACACATACAATCTACCAAGGAGCCAGGAAGAAATTGAGTCACTGAATAGACTGAGAAATTGTTCTAAAATAAAGGCACTAATAAATAGCCTACCAAGGCAAAAACAGCCCAGCACCAGAAGGACTAAAGGATGAATTCTACCAGAGGTAAAAAGAAGAGCTGGTACCGTTTCTACTGAGACTATTCCAAACAATTGAGGGACTCCCCTCTAACTCATTTATGAGGCCAGCATCATCCTGATACCAAAACCTGGCAGAGATACAAAACAACAACAACAACAACAAAAACTTCAAGCCAATATATTTGATGAACCTTGATATAAAAATTTTTCAATAAAAGGCTGGCAAACCAAATCCAGGAGCACATCAAAAAGCTTATCCATCGTGATCCAGTTGGCTTCATATCCGAGAGGGTATAAACTGTTGGTTCAACATATGCAAAGCAATGAATGTGATTCATCACATAAACAGAACAAAAGACAAAAAACACATGATTATTTCAATCAATGCAGAAAAGGCTTTTGACAAAATTCAACATCCCTTCATGTTAAAAACTCTCAATAAACTAGGTATTGAAGGAACATACCTCAAAATAGTAAGATTCACATATATCAAACTCACAGCCAATATCACACTAAATGAGCAAAAGCTAGAGGCATTTCCCTTGCAAAGTGGCACAACACAAGCACACCCTCTCTTACCATTCTTATTCAACATGGTATTGGAAGTTCTGACCAGGGCAATGAGGCAAGAGAAAGAAATAAAGAGTATTCAAATAAAAAGAAAGGAAGCGAAATTATCTTTGCAGATAGCATTATCCTACATCTAGAAAACCTTATCATCTCAGCCCAAAAGCTCCTTAAGCTGGCAAGCAACTTTAGCAATGTCTCTAGATACAAAATCAACGTGCAAAACTTGCTAGTATTCCCATACACCAACAACAGGCAAGCAAAGAGCCAAATCATGAATGAACTCTCATTCACAATTGCTATGAAGAGGATAAAATAAGGAAAGTAACGGACATCTTCAAAGAGAACTACAAACCACTGCTCAAAGAAATCAGAGAGAAAACAAACAAATGGAAAAATATTTCATGCCCATAGATAGAAATAATCAATATCGTAAAAATGGCCATACTGCCTTAAGTAATTTATAGAGTCAATGCTATTCCCATTAAACTACCACTGACATTCTTCACAGAACTAGAAAAAACTATTTCAAAATTCCTATGGAACCAAAAAAGACCCTGAATAACCATGACAATCCTAAGAAAAACAAACAAAGCTGGAGGCATCATATTACCTGACTTCAAATTACACTACACTTCAAATTAAACTGCAGTAAACCAAACAGCATGGTACTGGTACAAGAACAGACACATAGACCAGTGGAACAGAATAGAAAACTAAGAAATAAGACCACACACCTACGGCCAAGTGATCTTCAACAAATCTGACAAAAACAAACAATGGGGAAAGGATTTCCTATTTAATAAATGGTGCTGGGAGAACTGGCAAACCATATGCAGAAAATTGAAATTGGACCCCTTCCTTACACTATATACAAAAATTAACTCAACATGGATTAAAGGCTTAAATGTAAAACCCAAAACTATAAAAACCCTAGAAGAAAATCTAGGCAATACCATTTAGGACATAGGCATGGGCAAAGACTTCATCATGAAAATGCCAAAAGCAATTGGAACAAAAGCAAAAATTAACAAGTGGTATCTAATTAAATTAAAGAGCTTCTGCACAGGAAAATAAACTATTATCAGAGTGAACAGACAACCTAGAGAATGGGGGAAATTTTTTGCAATGTATCCATCTAACAAAGGTCTAGTATCCAGTGTCTAGGGGAAACTTAAATAAATTTACAAGAAAAAAAAAACCATAGGCAAAGGACATGAACAGACACTTCTCAAAAGAAGACATTCATATGGCCAACAAACATGAAAAAAAGCTCAACATCACTGATCATTAGAGATATGCAAATCAAAACCACAATGAGATACTAATATGGTTTGGCTGTGTCCCCACCCAAATCTCATCTTGAATTATAGCTCCCATAATCTCCACGTGTTGTGGGCGGAACCCGGTGGGAAGCAATTGAATCATGGGGTGGGTTTTTTTCCATGCTGTCCTCATGTTGGCGAATAAGTTTCATGAGATCTGATGGTTTTATAAAGGCAGTTTCCCTGCACTTGCTCTCTCACATTGCCTGCCACCGTGTAAGACAAGCCTTTGCTCCTCCTTTGCCTTCCACCCTGATTGTGAGGCCTCCCAAGCCATTCAGAACTGTAAGTCCATTAAACCTTTTTTTCTTTATAGATTATCCAGTCTCATTTATTTCTTCATAGTAGTATGAAAATGGACTAATACAGATACCATTTCACACCAGGCAGAATAGCTGTTATCAAAATGTCAAAACAAACAAACAAACAAAAAAAACAGATGCTGCCAAGGTTGCTGAGAATAAGAAATGCCTTTACACTGTTGGTGGGAATGTAAATTATTTCAACCACTGTGGAATACAGTGTTTCAATTCCTCAAAGATCTAGAGGCAGAAATACAATTTGACCCAGCAATTCATCACTCAGTATATACCCAAGGGAATATAAATCATTCTATTATAAAGATACATGCACACATATGTTCATTGTAGCACTATTCACAATAAGAAAGACATAGAATAAACCCAAATGACCATCAGTAGTAGACAGGATAAAGAAAATATGGTACATATACACTATGGAATACTATGCAGCCATAAAAAGGGAATGAGATTATGTCCTTTGTAGGGACATGGATGGAGTTGGAAGGCATTATCCTCAGCAAACTAATGCAGGAACAGAAAACCAAACACCACATGTTCTCACTTATAAGTGGGAGCTGAGGGCCAGGCACGGTGGCTCATGCCTGTAATCCTAGCATTTTGGGAAGCTGAAGAGGGCAGATCATGAGGTCAGGAGTTCAAGACCAGCCTGGCCAACATGGTGAAACCTCGTCTGTACTAAGAATACAAAAATTAGCTGGGCAGGGTGACACGTGCCTGTAATCTCAGCTACTCATGAGGCTGAGGCAGGAGAATTACTTGAACCCGGGAAGCAGAGGTTGCAGTGAGCTGAGATTGCACCACTGCACTCCAGCCTGGGCGACAGAGGAAGACCCTGCCTCGGAAAAAATAATAATATTAGTAAGTGGGAGCTGAATGATGAGAACACATAGACACATGGCAGGGAACAACACACACTGGGGCCTGTTGGAGGCTTGGTGTTGGGGGAGTGAGAGCATCAGGCAAAATAGCTAATGGATGCTGGGCCGAATACCTAGGTGATGGGATGATCTGTGCATAAAACCACAATGGCACATGTTTACCTATGTAACAAACCTGCACATCCTGCACATATACCCCTGAACTCAAAATAAAAGTTGAAAAAAAAAGGATAGAAGAAAAGTCTAAAAACAATTAAAAACAATAAAAATATTTCTATTTTTTCTCAGTATGTTTATATATTCCTTTAAGGCCTTCTTCACATTTGTAATAGCCATTTTAAAGTTTTTTTTTTCTGTTTATCATGTTTGTTATTTCTGTGTTCATTTCTTTTGTGTGATTTTCCCCTTTGTTATATGTTATATTTTCCTGCTTCCTAACACATCTTCTAATTATTAATTGATTTCTTGATAATGTAACATTATTGGTTGTCTGGATTTTGCTTTATTTCTTTAAATAGTTGATATAAGATTTCGCGCATCAGCTCAATTCTTTTAAGGTTTGTTTTTAAGTGTTGTTAACATGAGTCAGAAGTATCCTTTACTCTGAGGACATTTTAGGTCTACTTTTTAGAAATAGCCATTCTGGTGTCTTCACTGAATGCCCTAGGTGCTAAACAAGTTTTTTCCACTCTAGCTACTGAAAATGCCTCTTAGGCCTATGTGAATTCTGGGAATTGTTCAGCATACAGTTGTCTCCCAGTTGCTCTCTGTCTAGCCTTATGGAATTTCACCCTGTGCATGTTCAGCTTAACATTTAGTGAAAGACCCAAGGGAATCCATATGTACATTTTTGAATCTATTTTTTTTTTTTTTTTTGAGACGGAGTTTCACTCTTGCTGCCCAGGCTGGAGTGCAGTGGTGTGATCTCGGCGCACCGCAACCTCCGCCTCCCGGGTTCAAGCGATTCTCCTGCCTCAGCCTCCCGAGTAGCTGGGATTACAGGCATGCACCACCACGCCCGGCTAATTTTGTATTTTTAGTAGAGACGGGGTTTCTCCATGTTGGTCAGGCTGGTCTCAAATTCCCAATCTCGGGTGATCTGCCCACTTTGGCCTCCCAAAGTGCTGGGATTATAGGCGTGAGCCACCGCACCCGGACCTGAATCTATTTTTTACTCTCACCCTCCCTTCTCTATTACTCTATCTGACAAATTCCAGTTGGTAAGGCTTTCTTAACTCAGTATCCTCAATTTAATAGAACTACTACGATATGTAGGGATTTCCTGTCCTTGCACCATAGCCTACAGTTACCCGCAGGGAGAAATCCTGGGTGATCATAGGACTTACTTCAGTGTTTTCACTTTTCTTAGTGATTGCTATCCTTTACTATCTGCTTTCCACAGCCCGAACTTATTTAATATGCTTTTCTAGTTTTTTAAGAGAATGAAACTATTCTGGAGCCAATTACTTTGTCATGGCTCAATAAATTATTTTAATGACTATTAGGTAGCGTGAAGATAGAATATATTGTACATACTGTCTCACTTAATAGAAAGGAAGGGGTACCATTAATCACTATATGAGATAATAGATGAAAATTACAATTGTCTCAGGAAAACAAGATACAATCTTACCCTATTTTAAAAAGTAGATTACGTGGCAGTTAGTGGAAGATAGATCAGAATGATGAGTAAGAGCAGAAACTGGGAAGCCAGTCAGGACTTCATTATGGAGATGATTGTGTCCTGGACTATACTGATATTTGTAAAAATGATAGAGAAGTAAATGATATTTGAGATACATTTTGGAGGCAGAACTTTGTTACCAATTGATTGAATAATAAAAGATAAATGGATAAACTAGGCTAGTCAAGGATGACTTTAAAGTTTCCCAATTGTGTTTATTGAAAGAGTATGTTTCCATTTGCTGATGTAGGAAATATTAACAGAAGGAAAACGTTTGAAGAGACAATGTTCATTTCAATAGTGGGTATGTTGAATTATATATGTTTGTGAGGCATATGGGCACGCATAAAAGTTCGAAAAATGTGGTGTGGTACAGTCAGTGTAGCCGCAAAGGAAAACAAGAACAAGGCCTAGAAGGAAGAGGTTTGATTATATTTACAGGTCCAACAGAGTAGGGTCGCCAAATGTCACAGAGGACCACAGAGGGCTAGGCTTTTCTCACGTGGAAAAAGATAGAAGCAAAGGGAATCCAGAGCCAGAGTCTTTATGGGGGTTTCTATGGGAAAAGCAAGGCCGGACAGAATAAACAACTTAATATTGGCTGGTTTGAATAATTTGAAAGGGCCTTGAGGTATAAAGACGGTCTCCAGTTTTTTTTTATATTTGGCCCTAGGTGATTTAGGGCAAGGTAAATCTTGGCTTGGTGTGTAAAGAGTTAGACAAGGCTGTGAATGGAGCTATAGACTTTGGGCTATAGACCAAAGATTGGCTCGATTGCACATGCAAGACATGCTCCCAACCTGGCCCTTTACTAACTCAAAGAATTGGCTAGCCCTGGCCCTGGCAGTCTTTACATGGCTAGTAGCCTTTGTAAGATGTCAACACATCATAAAATACATAACATTAAAAAAAATGATTAATACAGTAGTCAAATGTGACAATGTGCAGAGAGATCAGAAGTTAGATATACATTTTTAATCGATGTTTTATAGTTCACAATTGGAGCCAGGAAGTGTATTTTGATGTAGAAAAGACGAGAGTTCAAAACATATCTCAAAGATACTGTAATCTTTGGATAAGTAAGAAGAAGTGAAGGAAACAGAAAAGAAACAAATCAGAGGTGAAAAACACAAATCAGAAGAACAAGGTGTAATGAAAAACAAAGAAAGTGAAAGTTTTTAGAAGACGGGAATGATCTACTTCATCAAATGTTCCTGTTAAATAGTCTTTACTGTATTACGTTAACTTCTCTTATAGTCAGTTTTTACTTTTAAAAAAGCTGGAATATAAATACTTTGTAGAGAGGTGTTCGAAATTTAATATATAGAGCAATGCTACTCAAATTTAGGTCTGGATACCAGTGCTAATCCAGGAATTGTTTGATTCTGGTTTGTGATAAGTACATAAATTGAAACAGAATGTTAAAAAAGAAATGTTTACAGAAAACTTTATGTCTCTTGAATCTAATCATTTAAAACATAGACTTGACTCATGTCTTTGCTTTTCTCTATTAAGTTTATATTAATGAATTATTTTATTTTATAAAAGTGTGAATCCATGGTAGATGGAGAGAAAAACTGTTCTTAGACTACAGATAATTTAGGAAGTACAGATCTAAAACAAACATCATAGTGCCCTTCTTTAAATTGATATTGGTAAAACCACATCTATGAGGTTGTGTGTGTATGTGTGTGTACAGAAAAGATGGCTGAGTTATATTTAAAAAAATAAGACAAAACTGCTTTCTTATAGGTTTCAGTAACTTTAAAATCTAGCATTTCTATTATAATCCAAGCATGTAACATATACATATAAAATCACAAAGTAATTACTAAACCAGCATATCAATCTAGTCAAAATTACACTAATTAAAAGAGACTGCATGATAAAGCAATTAATGCCTATTTTTTAAGGGTTTAAATAAGGACCAATACATCAATATGGTTTGGGATTAGACTAGAATTTTCAGATACCTTAAACTTGAGTTTATAAAATTGGGACAATTGATTAAGTGATTCATTCAACCAAATTCATCAAGACCTCACTATGAGTCAAGCACTGTTCTACTGCTGATAATATAGTAGCAAACAATAGTTACGGTTTCAGTCACAGAGTTTATAATCTAGGGTTGGGGAAGAGTTAAAGTAAAACACACAGTGAATACAATATTTGAGGTGGTGATGAGTGGCATACTGAAAATTTAAAGAGGGTCGTTTGGAGTGCTGTTTTACATAGGATGATAAGGTAAAGACTCTCTGATACAGAGGTATTTGCACAGAGACTTGGACTAAATGAAGGAGTTGGTCATGCTGATATTTGGGTAAAGAGTTTTTCCAGAGAGATGGAATAGCAAGGGCAAAGGACTTGAGATAGAAGTATGTTTGCCGTTTTTATGGAATACCAATGGGGCATTGTAACTTGAGAAAAATAAAGAAGAGAGGAGTAAAAGACGAAGTCAGAGAAATAGTGGGAACACAGATCTGTAGGGCATTTTAGGACAAAATAGGGCTTTTTTGCTTATACTTTTATCTAATTTGGAATCCATTGATGATTCTGAGCACAAGTATCATATGACTTGACTTATATTTTAAGAATGGTTCTGTTTTTTGAACATGGAGGAGTGCACATTAAGAGTCAAGGACACCAATGGGGAGACTGTGCGGCAAAGTGAGAGATTATGGAGGTATAACCACATCTAGATCAAGGTTGGAGTGTCAGTGGAGATGAGAAGTGGGGGATTTTGACTACCATAGTAATCTTTCTATAATTTGGACCTGACTTATTTCTCCAGTGTCAGTTCCTATTATATCTTTTCCAATGATGACAAGATTAATATTAATGCTAATAGAAAGTATTAATTGAGTGCACGCTATGTTCTAGACACTTTTCTAAGCAGTGAGAAGAGGCGAAGAAATATACTTTTCACATAATGCCTCGTGTTAGACTATTGTATATAAGCCTGTCCTATTCACATGAGAATGTGAACACCTCAGAGATAAGAGCCATGTCTTATTTATCTTTAAAAATCCTTTAGTACATGGAATAGTGCCCTGAACATAGTATTTACTCAATAAATCTTTGTTGTGTCTGCTCATAAAGATAGTGAGGGGCTGGGCGCAGTAGCTCATGCCTGTAATCCTAGCAATTTGGGAGGCTGAGGTGGGCGGATCACCTGAGGTCAGGAGTTCGAGACCAGCCTGGCCAACATGATGAAACCCCATCTCTACTAAATATATCTATTTAGTAGAGATTTTATAATATATAATATTATAATTATATATATTATATTGTATATGTCAAATAAAAAAGAGTTTGACGTGCACAAATAAACAATGCTTGTTAAATTCTCAAATTATAAGAATAGAAGCAAGCTTGGCCTTATATTCACACTCAAAAATGAAAAAACTACCAAATTAAAAACCTATTTTTGAGTAAACATAATTGGGACCTTAATGTTTCAAAACTGAAGTATGATGTGTTTTGGTTTTTGTATGTTTGTTTGTTTCTAAATTTTTACTTTTTATTTTTAATTTTTGTGGGTGCATAGTAAGTGTATATATTTATAGGGTACATGGGATGCTTTGACAGGCATGCAATGTGAAATAATCACGTCATGTAGAATAGGGTTTCCATCTTCTCAAGCATTTATTCTTTGTGTTACAAACAATCCAACTGTGTTTTGCAAGAGTACTTATTTTTTACTGTAATTCATAGTCATGAAATCTCTTGAGTTCCCTAGGCCTTATCTATATATGACATGGAACATGGCCTCCTTCCATGAAGCAGGGGCTTAATCAACAGGAATTAGTCCCGCCCATTTACTCTGTGCCTGTTGCCTGGCTTTGGATCCCTCAGATCTGGTTTTCCTTTCTAGGGCTTCAACCAAAGTTTGTAATTGAGTTTGGGACAAAAAGGTGTCTCGGGGGATGCATGGATTTATTTAGATTAAGTCCCAGACAGACTTTGCCAAATTTGCCGTTATTAGCCAGTGGGATGGCTCCTCTGTTGCTTTCCTATCATAAGCAGAGTGCAGAGGTAGGAAAAGAAACCTCTCACATAGAAAAGGAAAAAGAAAAAAAATCGATTTAGGTGGAGAAGAACCTCTTCCTCTATGCAAATAGATTCCTTAAATCACTGTATCCTTCCTCTGGCTCGGACAAAGCCGGACCTCTCGCCCGGGGAGGAAAGACGCTATGGGCACATGGCAGGAGGGGATGGCGGGTGGGACATGCTGGCCAACTAGCCACGTGAGGCCCCTGGCCCCTGAGACTGCCCTGGGGCCTGGGCAGCAGCCACAGTTCTCTCCCACCCTGCATGGCCATTGCAAACATACCCCTCGCCCCACATGTGCAGACACAGGTGTGTGCCGTGGATCCGCCCAAGCACCCCATCCAGAAGGGAAGGGGGGTGAGAAGGGGAGCCACCATGCACCCTGCATGGCTGTGGATCTTTGGCTAGAGGTGGGGATCGCACCTCTATGAACGAATGGAAATCACATTGTTCTAAATTGCATATGTGGTGGCTAGGCCAAACACTCATTTTACCTAGTAACATTTCTGCAGTTTGTAACAAGATCCTTATCAATAATATTCAAAATGATGTTATAACATAGCAATTTAATAGCTGGAAAGTTATTAAAAATTCAAGTGTACAGCAGCAAACAAAATTTAATCAGGAAATTTGTTACTGACTTCAAATGATTTGACACAATGATTAATTATTTGTCCATTATATGAATAATGGACAAAACAAATGATTTGTCCATTCAGTTCTACTTAGAATATACAAATTTAGATAAAATATAGAAACGACTCTGTGAATACACACAAAAAAAACAAATTTTCCACTTTTTTATTCCACAAAAGCAGTCTGTTACTTATTTGAAAACAGCAAATTTATCTTCCAAATTTATTATGTAATACGAGTATCCTTGTGCAAGATGCAACTATGAACAAAACTGATTGTGCCTCTGTTTTCGTGCTTCAGTGTTTTAAAAGTACTTCAAAAAGACAAAAAAATAAAGTATCTCAAAGCCAACCAATGCTTCACAGAGAAAAAGACAGTAGAAAAGTTACATAAAATATAAATAACTTTTTCTTAAAAGCATTAGGGAACTAATACAGAAACAAGACCAGAGTGCTCAAGATTCTGGGAGAGAGAAGAAACACTGAGAGTTGAGTAGATACTTTTACCTCAGGAGTCCATTTTGTCATAAATGGACTGAGAGCTCAAAATCCAGTCTTTGCTCAGGCAGAATGGTTGCTGAAAGACAGAGGTATAAGCAAAGTGTTTGTCAGTGTCAACAAACTAGAGAGAAAATTGAAAGCTTTATGGCACAAAATGTTCAACATATTAAATAGCAGAAAACTGGGCATTGAATGTGTATTGTTTTATTTTCAAAAAGTTTGCCAAATTCTGAAGCTACAAGTAGCAAGGTGCTGAAAAGCTAAGCTGATATTCTCTGTAAAGTGGTGTAAAGTTTTCTGCAATTTATTTTTGCTCAGGAGATGAAAAGGAAAGCTGAGGACCAGCCAGTGAAGGGAACTCAGTTATGATACCAGGCTCTCAGTTGTAAGGTCTAGACTCAGTCACACTGTAGTTGAAAGTATGTAGCCTGGGATCAGTGTCAAAGCAGAAGTCTACCAAGCTTTACAAAAAGTGCAATGAAGCTCCTATTGAAATCAGTCTCTCTGTTAAGATTAAAGTGAACAGTCCTCATTCTCTCTGCTTAGCAGAGGAAATTCGAAACTATGTGTGCAGGAAAATATTACCACATGGAGTGTGTAACTTCGTTTATAACTAATACCTTGCCTTCATCAAAAACTTCCTCCTACCAAAAGACAGAATCCTATAACCAAAAGGAAGATTAACAAATAAAATAATAACAGAGCTGAGGTATTCCAGATATTATAGTTGGAAGGCAAATAATGGCAGATAAGAGAAAAAAGTGAATGATTTCATTAGAATATTAGAATTTATTGTTTTAACTAGAAATTTTGAAAAAACAAAATAAATGAAATTATAAATTGGGTAGATGGATTTTACTGCAGGTTAGTCATAGCATAACAACATACTGGGGTACTGCACGAATGGTCACACCTATAAATTAGATTTCATCAAAGTCTAAAGATTCTTTTAAGAGGAAGAAAACCAAGGTACAGACAGGGAGGAAATATTTGTATACCATGTATCTAACAAAGGATTTATATCCAGAACATGTAGAGTAGTCTTAAAAGTCAACTGTAAAAAATTAATAATAACCTAACTGGAAAATGGTCAAAAGGTATGAACAGACATTTCACTGAAAAATGATCTACAGATGGTAAACAAGCACATGAAAAGATGTTCAGCCAGTTGTCTTAGGATTCTCCAGAGAAAAAGGGGCAAGAGAAGATCGATCTATCTACTATCTACTTACTATCTATCTATCTATCTATCTATCATCTATCTATGTCTAGCTATATAAGATTTGTTATAAGGAATTGGCTTACACAATCACAGAGGTTGAGAAGTCCTATGTTCTGCTATCTGCAAGCTGGGGGACCAGAAAGAGAGTGGTATAGTTTCAGTCCAAGTCCAAAGGCCTGAGCATCAGGGGAGTTGATGTTAAATGACAAAGTCCAAGTATGAAGGCCCAGTGACCAGAGGAAACACTGTGTAAGTCCCGGTCCAAATGCAAAGGCCTAAGAACCAGAGCACTTATGTTCACAGGCAGCAGAAGACGAATGTCCCAGCTGAAGCATAGAGATTGAATTCACCCTTTCTCTGCCTTTTTATTTTATTCAGGCCCTCAACAGATTAGATGATGCCCATTTACATTGAGCAGGTTCATCAGCTTTACTCAGTTCACCAATACATATACTAATTTATTTCAGAAACATCCTCATGGAAACACCCACAATAATGATTCACTAGTTATCTGAGCATCCCTTAGCACAGTCCAGGTCAACACATTAAATGAACCATAACAAGAAGACCCCTTGTCAACTGGGCACATGTACACATCTCCTCAAGCCATACTTAATCTCCAAATTAAGACAGGAAAATGGTCATAATTCCTCCTGACATGATGCAGCTATTCTGCATACAACAAAAAATCCATTGATCTCCACACAAGAGAAAGTAAAGTAAATGAGTGATGTTTACTCCTCTCCTGACATCCCGTAACTCAAATACTATGATGTAACATTGACAATATTTAAATACTAATATAAAGTCAATATGTTTTATTTTAAATTATTATAGAATAACAGAGAAAATAAATCAAAGGCATTTGCTTTACATATATACATATATATATATATATATACACACACACACACATGTATTTGTGTATAAACACAACTGTATTCATAACAAAATAAGAAGGGAATACTCATGATGATGACAGTCCTCCTTTTGGAAACCGGTCACATCATCAAGGCTGGTATTTCTAACTACCTTCCTCTACAACTCATTCTGTATTCCATTTGCCTTCAGCAAGCATCTTAGCTGGTTGTCATTTTTTACCTGGCAGGGTAACCAAACCTTAATTCCAGAAGGGCCTAGGCCAATCATAGTCCTGCCTAAATTGGGCTGTTTTCGATTTTCACTGATCTTAATTACAGTGCACAGTCATAATAAGAGAATCCGTACAAGATTTCTATTATTCTATACATATTTTTCCTCCCCACCATTGTAGAGTCACAGTCCATATTCTTCTTGGTAGTTGGGATCATTCGTCCCAGCCAACAAAGTAATTCCCTTCTTAGCCTATTGACTGAGGCAGGAGGAGCCCAAAATTGCTGGGTGTCAGTCTTAACTTCCAGTTTGATACAATCATTGTTGTGTCTTTTTCTGGAAACATCCCTCCCTCTGGAATTAAGACCTTTAGGCTAGCAGAGCATAAAGTCACAGGAACAGGAAACAAAATTTTTGCTTGTAGGTCAGTAGAGGTAATAATGAATGTTACCACCACTCCAATTTCCGTCTGAACCCCTGAATCCTGGTAATCAGAGAAACAGCGCTATATCTTGAACACTGATTAAGCTGAATTGCATTCAATTCCATTGAAGGGGAATCCTCCCAGTGACCTGCTATAGCAAAAATACCATAGACTGGATAGTTTAAACAACAAAAATGTATTTCTCATGGTTCTGGAGGTTGGGAAGTCTGAGATAAGATTGCCAGTATTGCTGGATTTTGGTTATGGCCTTCTTCCTAGTATGCAGAAGGATGTCTTTTTACTGTGTCCTCACATGTTGAAAACCAAACACCAAGAAAAGAAGCCGTGGTTTATCTTCTTATAAGGGCAATTTTCATTTGTCTTAGTCCGTTTGAGCTGTTATAACAAAATATCTTAGAATGAATAATGTATAAATAACAGAAGTTTATATCACACAGTTTTGGAGTCTGCAAAGTCCAAGATGAAGGCACTGACAAGTTTTGTGTCTGGCGAAGGCCCATTCCTCATAGATGGCACACCCTTGCTATGTCCTCACATGGTAGAAGGGATGAATGCTGTGTCCTCACATGCTGGAAGGCATGGAAGAAACCAGAATGCTCCTTTAAACTTTTTTATAAGAGCACTAATCCCATTTATGGGGGTAGAGTCCCCATGACTTAATTACTTTCCCTTAATTACTTTCCCTTACCTATTACCACATTGCATATTATGTTCCAACATACAAATTGGGGGAGGACACCAACATTCAGGCACAGCATCATTCGTGGGGGATCCACATTCATTACCTAAAACTAAGGCCCTACCTCCTAATACCATCACATTGGGTATTAGGATTTCCACATGTGAAGTTTGGAAGTACACAAAAGTTCAGTCATAATACATGGTGTCAAAAGTTGTAATTGTAAGAAGTGAGTGCCTGGTAGGAAATATAAGGGTGATTCTAGGCACTAGTAATTTTGTTTTATGACTTTGTTTATGTTCTGTTTACATATGTACATTCACTTTAAGAAAGTTATTCTAGCTTTACACTTATGAGTCTTGTACTTTTCTGAATAGATACTGTAGTTCAATAACAATGTACTTCAAACAATATATTTCTAAGGGAAAGGAGTTCTGAAATATAACCATTTTGACATACTAAAGTATATACTCCATGAAGCATTACATTAACTGCAATATAGACACACACACACACATATATATACACATATATATGTATTTCCATGTGTAGATATAAATTGACATAATCAATGATTGAGTCATGTGTACTCAGATATGCTTTCAAATGTCTTCCTTTCTCAATCAGATCCAGAGGCTAGAAAACCTAAGCAAAGATGGTAGCTATATGGTCTGCAATGGTGCTAATGAATAATCAATTCTATGAAAATGACAAACTATCAAAGAGGCCAGATTTATCAACATAATAAATGAACTTTAAGAAATTGAAAATTTTCCCTACCATTTAGATCCTTGATCTACCTGTTTAATATCTTGAACAAGCTTAGCTATTACCAGGGATTGGAGCAAAGGAGATGATAACCAAATAGAGAAGAATTAATTCCATTTGCAGACAACCTCTTCACTGTTGGAAATTGCAGATAAATGTAAAATACAAAATTGGTGGTTCATCAGAGAGTAAATGTTCCAAACATTAACTTTCTAATAAGGTCATGATAAATCTTGATTAAAGGCATGTCAAACTAGTTGCTTATTATTTAAAAGATAAGAAATCTAGAAAGAAATATGTATCCATTAACATTGAAATTAGAAAATTCAATACATTCATAAAACCCAGGCAATTAAAGACTTCAATTTGCTTTTTATAATAAAAATTGAAAATGTCAATTCTATAATAAAGAGAAACCTTATTTCTATCTGGTAAAATCTTTGGCTCCAGATAGCCATTGTTAATTTTCAAAAGATGAAAAAAAAAAAAAAACACTTACACAAATGGAATGTATTATGTATCCAAATGATGTAAATGACAAATCTGTTCAGTGAAATTCAAGAAAAAACCAAAATTATGCATGCAAATACCCACACACTGACACTCACACATACATCCTTACATACATTAATTATCTCATTAATACAGTAGTAAAGCTAATCTGAATAATAATGACAAGTTTCCAAGATCATAATAGAGAAAAAGGGGGCTAATAAAATCATATTTTAAGATAGTCATATACCTTTCTGTGACAGGAAGCAGGTTGAATTCTAAGGGCTGGTAAGAAGAAGCAGAATTAAGAGAAGCCATACTTTTTTCTTGGGTGTAAAACCAAGATCCCTATGAGATAAACAGACACGCACGGATGTGTCTATGCATACACAGACACACACACACAAACACACTTTGCACATCACACATTAAACATATATTACATGGAATTAGAGTTTGTCTCAAATGAAACTATTGTGGCCTGTTGAAGCTTTCAAAACCTTCCAGTAGAAAAATTGCCCTAATTTGGAGGGTCTGCTTCCACAGCAGTGGGGTCTCTGATTCTCTACTCATAACATCTACATCCATTAGATGGAAAACCCCTTTTGAATGAGGGAATGATTCAACATATTTATGTCAGTTGCTATGGTCTGAATGTTTGCATTCCACCAAAAAACTGTATGTTGAAATTTAATCCCCAATGTCAGGGTATTTGGTTGTGGGGCCTTTTGGAGATAATTACATCAAGAGTAGAGTCTTCATGAATGGGATCAGTGCCCTTAAAAAAGAAGCTCCAGAGATATTTACCTGCCCTTTCTGTCATGTGGGTACACAACAAAAAATGCTGTCTATGAAGCAGGAAGTGGCCAGCACCAGGCACTAACTCTGCTGGCACCTTGATCTTGAACTTTCTGGTTTTCTAAAGCTGTGAGAAACAAATTCCTCCTGTTTGTAAAACAGCTTGTCAATGGTAGTTTGTAATAGAAGCCTGAATGGACTAACACACCAAAGCATTGGTAAAGATATCATTAAAGTAATACATACGCTCAGGAGCTAGAGTGTTTAGAATGACTCTAGGACATGAAAATGATAATTGGACAGAGTTGACCTAAATGCATCAGCACATCACAAAGAATCTCCCCAGGAGAACTCAATATCTGAATAATTGCTGGCACCACTGAGTTCACTAAATTTTTTAGTGTCTATTATGTACTAAGCACTGATCTAAACATTAGGGCTACAAAGATAGATCAAAGATAGATAATACATAATATCTCTTACCCTCACATTTTTCTAGTCTATTAAGGGACATACATGCAAACAATCTTAATCCAGATAATATCGGGATTGTGTCGGCAATATATATGTGCATAATATGATCGTGTGCCTCCAAAAGTAAGAGTAATGAAAGATGCCCATTAGATTTTGCAATTAGATCGTCAGTGGTGATCTCAGCGAAATAACTTCCTGCCGTTCCTGGGATAAGAGTCACATTATGATGAGTTGAGAAAAGCAAGAACAATGAGAAAATCATGACAGAAAGTTCTGATTATGGGCAAGAGCAAGAGCTGAACAGGATGAAGAGTTAAGAGGAGGAATGTGTGTGTACACGTGTGTTAGAATGAGTGCCGTCTGGATATATTCATAAATTTGGAAGGAAAGAGTTGAGTGAGAAGGAAAAAGTTTAAAATAAGAAGAGAAAGTGAATGAAAAATTGTATCTGTGTGAGATGGAAGTAAGACAGGATAAAGAGCACAGAATAGGAGATCATACAGAAGAAGAAGGAGCCCTCTACAAAGTTATTAGATTTTAGAATACAGAATGTTGTTCTCTATTCAGAAAGTTTCCATCCAAATATTTTCTACTAGGTAAATACCTCTCCCCTCAAAACTCTTCTCATCTTTCATCTCTATGAAGAGTTTCTCTGAAATCTCACGGTCTCTCAATTGTGACCCCACTCAACTTTTATATATATATGATCTCAATATGTTTACCATGCCTGCTCTTATTTGTTTACTGTATGCCACTAGACCAACATTGTAAGATCATTGAATCCAGATACACTGTATGCTTCATGTATATTATTACATCCTAGTGAGGTGTCAGACTTATGGCCTGCATTTAAGAGATATTTGGTAAATATAAAAGAAAATGATTGGCTATAGAATAGCATGCAAGGTAGGAGGTAGAGATGATGTTGCAGAAGAGTTTACCCAATTATAAATTATGCACAAAACTAAAAACAAAACATTCTCAGATGTGAAAATAAACAACCATAAAAACAAAACTTTTATAAGCAACCCTCAAGCAAAATTGGAAAATGTGGAACTTCCATTAGAAAATATTAATAAAAGGAAATAATTAGAATATTACCTATAAAAATCTATAAAAGGCAACCAAATTTATACTCCATGGACAATTCATAGTGTTGAGTTCTTTCATATTTGAAAAAATAATGGATGAAAAATAAAAAATGAACATTAAACTCAAGACACTAGAAATAATTTTAAAAATAAAATGTGTGATAAAGAAATTAATATGCATAAATAAAAGCAGCTTGTCCTTCCACAGTGGCTCACTCGTGTAATCTCAGTGCTTTAAGAGGCCGAGGCAAGTTTGTGGTTGCAGTGAGCAATGATTGCTCCAGTGCACTCCAGTCTGGGCAACCGAGTGAGACTCTCTCTCCAAAAAAAGGGAAAAAAAAAAAGCAGCAAAAGCTTTTTTAAAAAGCCACATATCACAGGTATACCCCCGCAACCCCAAGGAAAGATACACATTTCTGCAGGATGTTTTAAAAACACAAAAACTGGACAAGAAAGGTTAAACAGTGACTATTCATTTTTATTTTTATTCTGTTTGAGACGGAGTCTAGCTCTGTCGCCAGGCTAGAGTGCAGTGGCGCAATCTTGGCTCACTGCAACCTCTGCCTCCCAGGTTCAAGCAATTCTCCTGCCTCAGCCTCCCAAGTAGCTGGGATTACAGGCACGCACCACCATGCCTGTCTGAGTACGTATGACTCAATCATAGATTATGTCAATTTATATGTACACATGGAAATACATATATATGTGTATACATATGTGTGTGTGTGTGTGTCTATATTGCAGTTAACGTAATGCTTCATGGAGTATATATTTTAGTATGTCAAAATGGTTATATTTCAGAACTCCTTTCCCTTAGAAATATATTGTTTGAAGTATATTTTTATTGAACTACATACAGTATCTACTCAGAAAAGTACAAGACTCATAAGTGTAAAGCTAGAATAACTTTCTTAAAGTGAATGTACATATGCAACCAGAACATAAACAAAGTCATAAAACACGCTAATTTTTTTTTTTTTTTTTTTTTTTTTTGTTTTAGTAGAGATGGGGTTTCACCGTGTTGGCCAGGATGGTCTCAATCTCCTGACTTTGTGATCAGCCCACCTTGGCCTCCCAAAGTGCTGAGATTACAGGCGTGAGACACCGCGCCTAGCCTTGACTACTATTTTAAGTATACGAATATTTTGGGCCAGGCGCGGTGGCTCACTTTGGGAGGCCGAGGCGGGCGGATCGCAAGGTCAGGAGATCGAGACCATCCTGGCTAACACGGTGAAACCCCGTCTCTACTAAAAATACAAAAAATTAGCCAGGCGTGGAGGCGGGCGCCTGTAGTCCCAGCTACTCAAGAGGCTGAGGCAGGAGAATGGCGTGAACCTGGGAGGCAGAGCTTTCAGTGAGCTGAGATTGCACCACTGCACCCCAGCCTGGGCAACAGAGCGAGACTCCGTCTCAAAAAAAAAAAGTATACAAATATTTTAAATATTATTGAGTATTTACAATTTGAATTATTAAATTAAACATTACTTATTTAGTAAGCCATAACGTATTATAAAGTGGATATTAATTTGTCTATAATCTATAAAATGTGCATAATTTTCCTAATCTATGCTATGAAAATAAATTTCTATTTGTCTTTCATAAGAATTCACATTTTTGTAGGGAGTTCAGGTTGTAAAAGCATAGGCTCAGTATCTTTAAAATTACATTCTTCTGTTTTGGCCTTCGATGGATTTGTAATTCATTTAGTTCATGGACCATCCTCTTTGACTTTGGGTCTTTCGACAAAAATGTTGGATAATGACAAGCAAAAAGAGCCATTAGTTTGTTACCTACAATTTGAGTAGTGTCCTAAATTTTTATGGCTAACAGATAGTATAAACATCTGCTGATAGTCAAAGCCCTATTGTTTGATGTGGAAATTAATGAGGTTGGTGTGGGTTTAAAATAGTTTCTCAGAGAAATAAAAGTGAAAAAATTCGTCTGCACCAAGGCACAACTAAAATTGTGTTGGGGATCATGTATTTTCAGAACTGTGAGTATACATAGCTATCTGGTATTTATTCAGCATTATTCATCCACACACCAAAATATATTTTTAGGGAAGTGATGTTAGAAAATTGATCAGTTTTCCAACACTTGCAACATAAGCAGCTGGGCCATGTCTTTGTTAGGCTGCACTAGTGACCTCATAACCAATAGGTTTTTCATTACTTTGCCATGGGGCTGCAAACTCAAATGCCTCTACATGTAGGACAGGTAATCTAAAGAGACAATAGACCATATGTAAGACTAGAGGACATAATGAGATCTATATGGCCCTATCAAGATTTTTATTCTACCTTAAATCATGCAAGTCAAATGTTCTCTCAACAATGGAGTGAAACTGTGAAGACCATTGCTTAGAGCCAGGCTGTATAGATTTGAATCATCAATCCCATGCTTGCTAGGTACAATGCCTTAAGCAAATTACTTAAACTCAACTTCATTAGCTGTAAAATTGGGCTAATAATGCTTCAAAGTCTCCTCAGATTCTTGTGAGCATTACTTGAGTTAATACCAATTACGTGCTTAGAATACCGGGTCAAAGTAGGTATCATATATGGGTTTTCCGTGATCCTCATTTTGGGCCTTTTCTAACTTCCTAAATGTTAATTTAACATTTATTTCCTGCTTTCAAAACTTAAAAGTGCTAAGCACTTGAGCATATTCTGAAATCCAACCAATTTTTAGATGGAGGACTCTAACAGGCCCAAGTACATTGATCTCATTGTTATTTATGATGAGGTAATTAAAAACCACATTAATTCCAAACAATGGAGAAATAGCTATTCAATTGTAGCAAATCCAAATAATGCAGAATTAATCTACCATTATAAGTGCTCTTCTACCCCAGCCAGGCGTGGTGGCTCACACCTGTAATCCTAGCACTTTGGGAGGCCAAGGTGGGCGGGTTGCCTGAGCTCAGGGGTTTGAGACCAGCCGGACAACACCGCGAAACCCTGTCTATACTAAAATACAAAAAGTTAGCTGGGCATGGAAGCGTGCGCCTGTAGTCCCAGCTACTCAGGAGGCTGAAGCAGGAGAATTGCTTGAACCTGAAAGGCAGAGGTTTCAGTGAGTCGATATCACGCCACTGCACTCCAGCCCGGGGAACAGAGCCAGGCTCCATCTCCCTGCCCGCCCACCCCCCCAAAAAAAAGTGCTCTTCTGAAGAGTGTGCAAAAACATGGTATTCTTTGATGATGTGTCTTTAAATGAAAAAGGCAGAAAGCAAACATATATACACTGTATGACTGTGTATATATAAATACACACATAGTAGCAGAAAATAGTTTTTTTAATAGGATTAGGGATAAATTTGAATTTTCTATATTGGGCACATTTCGTATTCTTGGACTATAATACTTTTACAAAATTGTATTAAAACACAAGGATTTAGAGCAACAGGAGCTCTCAATCATCGTTGGTGGGAATCCAAGATGGCATAGCCACTTTGGAAGACATTTTGTCAGTTACTTACAAAACTAAACATAGCGCTACCATACAATTCAATAATCACACTTCTTGATATTTACACAAATGAGTGGAAAACGTTTGTCCACACAAAAACCTGAAAGCCTAAGGGAAATGTGGAGATAATGGTAAAAGGGTACACAATTTCAGGTATAAGATGAAGAAGTTCTGAGGATGTAATTTATAGCATGGTGACTAGAGTTGATAATATCATATCGTATACTTGAAATTTGCTAAGAGAGATAGATCTTAAGTTTCCTCACCTCCTTATACACACACACACACGCACACACACACACACGGACAGCATACCTATGTGTGGTTATGGAAGTGTTGATTAATTTGATTGTAGTGATCATGACACAATGCATATGTATATCAAATCATCACATACAACTTGAATACGTACAATTTTTATTTGTCAATTAATATCTCAAAGCTGGGAAATAACTGCACAGGAATTTTTACAACAGCTTTATTTATATTTGTAAAACTTGGAAACAACCAACATGTCCTTCAATAGGTGAATAAACAAACTGTGGTGCATTCATACGGTAGAATACTTTAGTGATAAAAAGGGATGTGCTATCAAGCCATGAAAAAATATGGAACAATCTTAAATGCATATTGCTAAGTGAAAGAAGCCAGTCTGAAAGTGCTACTGACAGTTGAGGTGGAAGCCAATCCTCCTAACACAGCTCTGGAATACCAGACAGTCAGAACTGGAAGATGTGCAGGTGGAAGTACCAACACAGAAGGTGAATATTTAAAGGAACATAAAAGGAATGGCTGCATCTGACCACACTGGCCACTTGCCATTCCGGTTTATACAGAAGCATCCCAGTGCTTACTACCAAAAGACTGTTCTCTAAAGAAATAATGTGTTCATGACCGGGCCCAGTGGCTCACACCTGTAATCCCAGCAGTTTGGGAGGCTGAGGCGGGCGAATCACGAGGTCAGGAGTTCAAGGCCAGCCTGGCTAACATAGTGAAACTATGTCTCTACTAAAAATACAAAAATTAGCTGGGCGTGGTGGCACGCACCTGTAGTCCCAGCTTCTCAGGAGGCTGAGGCAGGAGAATCGCTTGAACCCGGGAGGCAGAGGTTGCAGTGAGCTGAGATCACGCCATTGCACTCCAGCCCTGGGCAACAGTGCTAGACTCTGTCTCAAAATAATAATAACAATAATAATAATATGTTCAGCCTGGGAAAGTTAGGCTCATTGGAAGGTTTTCAGCACACACGATTCTGTTTCAATTAATTATGAAGTGATAAGAAACAGAGTGAGTTGGTTATTCACCAGTCCTCCAATGCACAATTAAGAAAAGTTGAGTAGGCTACAATACTTATTCAATTACACAGAACTCTTCCCTTTCAGATAAGGAAGGCACCTATTAGGGAAACAATCTGCTCTACAAATAGTCAGCCTAGGCCTTGATTTTTACAAAATGACTAACCATCAAAGATAAACCCATATTTGAAAAAATTGTACAAAATAGAAAGAGCATAAGGATTAAATTGAATATTTTACACTAGGAGAAATACATACAATTCAAGGAAGAAGTATGAAAGAAAAATATAATTAGGCTACTCAAGTATATTTGGGATGATACCAATTTCATCAATAAAAAGGGACAGGATTTTATATAAAAGCAAATGTAATAGAACAAATGAGAATGTATAGAAATTAAACATCACCAATTAAAAGTTGGAAGTCATTAGAAAGAATAAAATATATAATCAAGAATATCTCTTGAAAATAGAGTTAAAAGGCCAGGTGTGGTGGTTCAACATGTAATCCCAGTGCTTTGGGAGGCCAAGGTGAGAGGACCGCTTGAGGCTAGGAGTTCAAGACCATTCTGGACAACATCGCAAGATCCTGTCTCTACAAAAATTTAAAAAAATTTGCCAGGGGTAGTGGCACACACAGGTAGTCCTAGTTACTCAGGAGGCTGAGGCAGGAGGAACAGTTGAGCGCGAGAGTTCCAGGCCATGGTGAGCTGTGAATGCACCACTGCATTTCAGCCTGGGTGATAGAGTAAGATGCTGTCTCTTAAAAAAATAGAGTCAAAAGACAAAAAAAAAAGTGACAACATATTGGATAAATGTGACTAATAGGAATTTCAAAAAGAAATTACAGAGAGGAAGTTACCAGGGGCAAAAATATTACTCATAACTAAAGACAGGCAGGAATGAATCATCAGACTCTTTAGATTGAATGAATCACCACTTACCAAGCAGGTCATTAACTCAACCAGTATTTACTAAGTGCCTACTAAGGGCAGGCCTATTTCTGGGTGCTTGTAATACAGCAGTGAACAAAACAGACAAAAATATTTCTGGCTTTATGTAGCTGATATTCTAGATGAGGGAATCAGACAATAAATGTAAAAAATTTGTAATACGTAATATGTCAGATGGCTATGACTATTATGGAGAAAATAAAACAATAACAAATAGGATGTGCTGGAGAATTTGCTGTTTTTAAATAAAATAGTTAGGGAAAACGCCCATAATAAGGTGACATGCCATCAGAGACTTGAAGAAATTAAGAGATTGAGTTATGCAAATATATCTAGAAGAACATTCTGCGCAGTAGAAACAGCAAATGTGACAACCTTGAGATGGGAGCATGTTTAGTATACACAATCAATAGCATAGAGGCCAAAATCTCTGGAACACAGAGCAATAGAAGATAAGGTCAGAGGCAAAAGGCTTTGCAAGCCACTGTAAGAATTTTAAACTTTTCTGTCCAATAAATGGGAAGTCTGGAGGGTTTTGAGGGTAGTCCTAGTAATGTGATCTCATTTACATTTTTAAAGAACCCCTCTGGGCTTTCTAATGAGAATGCTGTCATTAGAGCAGAACAGAAGCAGAGGCTCCTCTGTAAGAGAAAGGGCTGAATTAATTCCAAGTGAAACATGGACCCTTCTACTTAAGCAACAACATATATCAAATCCTTCATAGAACCATGCTCACAACTACTGCAAAAAGTCAGTGGCACTAAGGACTAGCTTCACAAGTATTCTTTTATGGTCCCATTATCAATGTCTCTTTGTAGATTGCAGATGTAAAAGCATCTTATAGGCATTTTCAATATGACATCAATGGCCCCTTTCACACTTTAAAAAGCATTGAGCAATAAAATTATATTTATTTATAAGACAGAGCTAACAACTCAAATTCTAGAGTCAATAGGTTATATTACGTATTATGACAGTGGCATATGTAATTAATTTTGGCTTTTTAAAAAGAAGCTGTACAGTGTTCAGAGACAGACAGGTTCTTTCCTAATTAAAATAAACACTCTGACACCTAAGTAATAAATTCACATTTATTTTCTAAGCAGAAGCTACTCCTAAAACAAAGACATAAGTATCTTTTTTCCTTTTGGGAAAATTTTCTAATCAGTAAACTCTTAGATCAATTCTCATGATTCTTAGAAGATTAGACAAAAACATGAATTTAGTAAAGTGAATAAAGAAAAGAGAAATAACATCAATTAATCCCATATGAGTTCATTGTATCCTCATATTCATTGATTTTTCCCCTATAGCCACATCTATGGTTTTTTGTTGCTGTTGTTGTTGTTATTGTTTTGTTTTTTTTTTGAGATGTAGTCTCACTCTGTCACCCAGGCTGGAGTGCAGTGGCCCAATCTCAGCTCACTGCAGCCTCCACCTCCTGGGTTCCAGCAATTCTCCTGCCTCAGCCTCCCAGGTAGCTGGGATTACAGGCACACGCCACCACGCCCAGCTAATTTTTATATTTTTAGTAGAAATGGGGTTTCACCATGTTGGCCAGGCTGGTCTGGACTCTCGACCTCAGGTGATCCACCTGCTTCGACCTCCCAAAGTGCTAGGATTACAGGCGTGAGCCACCGCGCCTGGCCTGTTTTTTGTTTTTTTGAGATGGAGTCTCACTCTGTCGACCAGGCTGGAGTACAGTGGCACAGTCTCAGGTCACTGCAACCTCCACCTCCCGGGTTCAAGCGATTCTTCTGCCTCAGCCTCCCAAGTAGCTGGGATTTTAGGTGTGTGCCACGAAGCCTGGCTAATTTTTGTATTTTTAGTAGAGGCAGGGTTTCACCATATTGGCCAGGCTGGTCTCAAACTCCTGACCTCATGAACGACCTGCCTCGGGCTCCCAAAGTGCTGGGATTACAGGCGGGAGCCACCACGCCCGGCCATCTGTATTTTTTTAATCAAGGTGAAATTCGCATAACATAAAATTAACTGTATTAAAGTATACAATTTAGTGGCATTTAGTATATTCACAATTCTGTATGACCACCACTTTTATCTAGTTCTAACAATTGTTTAACAACCCTAAATAGACTCTGTTCACAGTAAGCAGCCATTTCTTTCAGCCCCTGACAACCATCAACCTGCTTTCTGTGTCTGTCTCTACAGATTTGCCTATTCTTTAAATTTCATATAAATAAAAACATACAATATGGGACCTCTTGTGTCTGGCTTTTTTCCTTTAGCACAATATTTTGAAGATTCATAGTGTAGCATGTATCAGTACTTCATTTCTTTTCATCGCTATACAACATGATATTGTATGAAATTCATTATTTGTTTTTTCATTTATCAGTTGATGATGGACATTTGCGTTGTTTTCCCCCTTTGGCTATTGTGAACAGTGCTGCTATAATTATTCATGTAGAGGGATTAGTTTGAATACCTCATTTTGCTTTGTTTGGTTATTAACCAAAGAGGAGAAGTTTCTGGGTCTTACGGTAAATTCATGTTAGGAACCCATTTATTGTTTTTGAGTCCTTACAACTCAGCCAACATGCGAAGCTTTGTAATACACCTAGTTTTGTCAATCCCTTAAATGCAAATTGAGAGCCCAATTTGATGTTGTTGGTGTCATAATGAAATGATTGTGACACATTCCTAAGAAAACAACCAAGTATGCTGTTTTCTCGTATAACTTCCAAAGAAGCTCATATTTCATCTTTTGAAGGTAATAGCCAATTTCTTTGAGGTGGTTGAGGTGTAAGTGACAAATCTGACCAGCTTATTAACTTAATTGACTTGTTGATTTCTATTCATTCATTAATACATTTATTCATTTAATCGTTTATTCAATCAATAAATAATATTTGAGATAATGTGTTGGGAATGTTGAATCGAAACAAGTGAACATGGCATTTGACTTCAAAGGATTTATCATTACAAAAATAAGTACGTTCAATTAAGTTTTAGCCATGCCAGGGCACAGTTGAAGACTAAGGAGAGAGCATAGTCAATTTTCTTTGGCAAATTAAGATTGGCCAAAAAATTTAAATTCTTCACAGGTGAAACGGCACGTAAAGTCAGATTTGAAAGATGAGAAATTATTCTAAGGCTAGTTTGTCGATTCCAGGACATTTTAGATGTAGGGAACATCATACCCAAAAGCATGAAAGCCCCACGTGGACAGAGCTGAATATGTTACATCAGCAGTTTTCACCACATAGATGATTGTATTATAATTAGCATGCTGACTGACTAATACTAGTTGTATGACTATATACAATATTCCTCTGAATGTAGGTAACCAACATGTCAGTATAAAGGGGAAGTATTGGATTTGAAAGGAATCTAGTTTAGAAGGCAAGTTACCATTTGGTTGGCAAATACTTCACCCTTCATATCACAGGCACATTTGTACACATGGGTAGATATACTCTAGTCCTGTTGTCATGTTTTTATTTTTTTGTTGTTGTTATCAGTTGTGTGCCTAGCACATATTATTCCTATCTGAAAAACGAGAAAAATCTGAATACACTTGTCCATATAAAGATGGAAAAACTCTTATGATAATGTTTTGGAAAAAAGGAAAAACAATCTCAAAATTAATAAATGACTTCAATTATTTCCTGCAGTGAGTAGTAATTATACTAGTAATTGTATGCTATGTCATCTGTAAAATTATTCTGATAAGTATAAGAATCATAGCAATCATATTTCAACCCTTACATCTCAACTAACTATAATAGTCTTTTCAAATAAAAACAGACACAATTCATTCCCTTAATTTTCTCAGCTTTGTAAATTTGTATTATCATTATTTATTTCCTATATAAATACATTATCAGTATATGCATTTTTCTTAGTTTATCTTATGCTTCATGATTACCTTTGAAACACTCACTACACATGCTTGGAAGAAAATACAATTTTTCTCTCCATAAATTATCGTTTTGGCATTAAATATTTTGTGAAGACAATATACATGCTGTTACTAGAGCAATATTTAATGTTTTTTTGTAACTCAAACGTCAATTTTCTGAAAAAATAATTTGTAAGAAATGATTAAACTTCCAAAGTTACTTTGTCATAGGTCTCTGAGAAAGTATCCTAGGACTAGCATTGATACCAAAATAAAAGAAAGGGCTTATATTTATCTATTTGCACACACACACACACACACACACACACACACACACACCACACCCTCAATTATTTTCCACCCTTTTTAAACCAAAACCTCTAATTTTGGCCAGGATGTCATTTTGTAGAGCTCGTTGAAAGCCCTTTGATGTGGTATCCAGATTTATTTTTTAGGTTATTAAACCCCAGGTTAAGACACATGACATAAAAATGAAGCCAGAGTTGTTTCTGTGTTTGTGTTTTTATCATAAAGATTTTAATCCTCATGCCATCTCAATTTGATTGTGTAACACTGCAATATTATTTTTACATTCTCTAGCTCTGAAGTTATTGGAATCGTACCAATTAACCACAAATGAAAATATATATGATACTGAATAACGTGTATTCTTTGGTTTCATTCCTCCAGAATTCATTTCTCAATCAGTCATATGTTCATTCCAAACTGATTCTAAATATATATCAAAAGGATTATAAAACAAAGATTTTCACTAAAACATGGACTACAGCCGAAACTGCCAAAATTAAATTCATCATGTAGCATCACTACATTTTTTACTGAGAAATAATGAAAATAATCTGTACTTTTAAGTAAATAAAAATAATGAAACTATGAATTAACAATTTGTACAATAGTAATATATTTTAATTTATTTTTAAAGCTATAAATTGGTTCAAAAGACAAACTACAGCAACCTCTGTCATGCTTAATGGATAATGTATAATAAAATACAAATAAATCAGGAATAGCAAGAAGCTGTATTAATAACTATTGATTGTATGAGAAAATATGTATTACTCCTTGCTAATGAATTTGGAAATCTAGAAAATATGACTTATTTTCTAGGAAACCACAGGATATCAAAACAAAAAATAGAAAACTTCTAAACTGTGAATCAACCTATACTTATGAAAAAAATAAAAATTATGACATGGGAACAATAGACACTGTGGACTTTTAGAGGGAAGAGGAAGACGTCATGGGTCGAAAAACTACCTGTTGGATACCATGCTCACTATCTGGGTGCAATGCAACCATGTAATGAGCGTGTACATATACCCTCCTATCTAAAATAGAAGTTCAAAAGAATTAAAATTAAAATCAAAATTATCTCAGATAGGACCGGGCGCGGTGGCTCACACCTGTAATCTCAGCATTTTGGGAGGTTGAGGCAGTCGGATCACAAGATCAAGAGATCGAGACCATCCTGGCCAACAGGGTGAAATCCTGTCTCTACTAAAAATACAAAAATTAGCTGGGCGTGGTGGCATGCACCTGTGGTCCCAGCTACTCGGGAGGCTGAGGCAGGAGAATCACTTGAACCCTGGACGCGGAGGTTACAGTGAGTCGAGATTGCGCCACTGCACTCCAGCCTGGTGACAGAGTGAGACTTCGTCTCAAAAAAAAAAAAAAAAAAAATTAAAAAACAATTATGTCAAATACTTAGCTCAAAATAATCTGAAAAGCCAGACAACTTTACACTGAAATATCTCCATACTTTCAAGAAATTATGAATTCTAAACCAAACTCTCCTACAATAGAAAAAATATCGAAACATGCTAATCACTTTGCCAAGCAAGAAATACCTGTATATTAAAAAACAGAAATATAACACAAAAACTGCAATGAGATTTGAGTATAGATATGAGAATTCTAGAAAATAAAACACAATGGTATGTCATCCAAATATAAGTTGGTTAGAAAAAGGTTTTACGCTTAACATGCAAAGTGGCTTAACATCAATAAATGTAATAACATATATCATCAAGTAAAATCAATGGTAATCTGGAAAGATACTAAAAATTCAGTTGACAAATTTCATTACCAATTTGATGAATTACCACTGTTGATGAAAAACAAGTTCCTAAGAAACTAGGAATATCATTTCTAAAAAAGTAAAAACACAACTGCATTGTCATTAAAAACACGGAAAAATAAGGCTAATATTGCCTTAATTAAAAAAAGAAGACAGAGCAGCAACTGAAATAAGATACAAAACAGTTACAAAAGACATGGTTATTTTCAAAAACTGAAAAGGACAAAAACAAAAAACTTTTAATATACTTCTGAGGCAGAAAATAAACCACAACAGCTAATCAAAATATAAAAAATATTCCACTTGGTATCACCTGAAGGAAGGCAAAATAATATACAAATATAACATGACTTTTCTAATGTTTACCATTTAAAAAATGCTAATAGCCATGGTTGAATGATCTAGAAGGAAGGTATTTCTCCATGAAAAGTTACCAGATGTTTAAGGCTTTTGGTATATATCTGGTAATTTTTGCACGTATGCTCATAGCGTTCTTACACAAAGTTGGGCTGCAGGAATGTTCATCAGAATATTTAATTCAAAAAATTGTTGAGAAATATTTATACATATTTATAGGATGCATGTGATATTTTTTACCAACATAGAATGTGTAATGATCAAGTCAATGTATTTGGGGTTCACATCACATCCAATATTTATCATGTCTATGTGTTGGGAACAATATCATAATGTATAAATAATCTAATTGTTCAATAATTGAGAATATTTTAGTAACCACACTGTGCCTGCATAATTCAATGGTATGCAAGCATTGAAGTAATGAGTGTGGATGTTTATTTAAGAGTAATGAAAATCTCCTGAAATTGGTTGTATTAATGGTTTCTTACCTCCGTATACATCCTAAAAGCCATTGAATTGTACTCCTTAAATAAGTGAATTGTATGGTATGTGAATTATATACCAATGAGGCTATTACCCCAAAAAAACACCACATATAGGAAAATTATGATATACAAGTAAAATTAATGGTGTTTAAAGAACTTAATTGATCAAAAGCAGTATACAAAACACTATGCACAATATAATGTACTGTTTATAAAATGTATAAGAAAAAATGAATGATAAGAAAAGTATTTTGAAATTGTAATCAAGAAGAGAACTCGAACATAAATCAAATTTTAATCATTAAGAAAATAAAATCACAATAAAGATATTTTAAAATTATAAGATAATACTGTCAATAAAATATGCTAATAAGTACAATTTCTAATTTAAAGTATAAGTTTCTATACAAAATAAAATTATCTTAAAGCAAAAGTCTTGAAAGAAACAATGACAATGGAAAACATTGAAAAAGGTAATAAAGCATTATTAAAAATATAGCACTAGTTTCATTTGGTTTTACAGAGAATTTATTTAAAATTTCAAGATCGGATAATTAATATGCTGTATAAACTCTTCTGTCACTTATAAAAATAACTAAGATTTATATTTTGCTAAGCTAGTTTAAAACTAATACCATGACCTTATAGATAATAACACAAAGTTGTACAGCCTGATCATGCACATGCTAATTTAAAATATATTTTCAACAAACCCCCCCTAGCAAATCAAACTCATTTGTGTATAAAATGATGCTATTCTGTGGTGAGGAAATTATTGTTTCATCAATGAAAAAATAGCTTTATATTTTCTTTTATGAATATGTTACTATACTAAATCATATTTTATCTATAACATAAATAGAATAAGAAAAAAATAGCTCCACAGAAGAAATGTCCACAGAAAGACATTTAATTTAGCATTCATACCTGATGTTACTAACATTGAGCCCTTAGAATATGTTGGCCACCGTAGTAAACATTTTACATTTGTTACCTCATTTAATCCTTACAATAACTCTATAAGATAAGGCACTATCAGCTTCTTTATTTCAAATGAAGAAAAAGGCTCAGGAGTTTGAGTCACTGAAAGTTCAACTAGGAAATGCAGAATTTCTCCATAGGACATACTCTTAGCCACAGTGCAAGTTTACCATAACCTAAGAGCCAACATTATTTTCATTGGAATAAAAGACAAGAAATAATATGCACTGTCATCAGGATTATTTAATACTAGTCTGAGTGTATTGCTCAGACAATAAGAAAAGAATCAGTAATTTACCTATTTGAAAATTGATGACAAAATAATCGTTATTTTAAGGTGCTATGATTAGAAAAATAGAAAATGCAAAAGAGGCAACTACAAAATACTGCAAGTAATAGAAGTAAACTGGATGATTATAAACTAAATATACAAAATCAATAATTTCCTTATAAATGAGATATTACAGGTTAGAAAATATAATAGAAATATATATTTGAAGAAACAATGAAATTGTAAAATAAAATAAAAAATTAATACAAATAACAGATAATATCTTAAGAAATTTTAGAAATTACTGAGAGACTTAAGAAATGGAAATTTAAAATTCCATCTTTCTGGACGAATTCACTTGAATATATATATATATATAATGTATCTCCACATGACATTAATTCACCTTTATTAATTTCGAAACATAAAAATTATTCTGTCACCTAAAATTACGTGAAATTATTTTAAAAAGTAAAAACAAGAAAACCTTCATGAATCATCACTGAAATATATAATAGGCAAATCAGAACAAGAGTGAATGTTTTGCTATCAGCCTAGATGTACCGAGTCCTTGACTACATTATAATATCTAAACAATCAAGAATATGTGTAAATATATCAGATAAGAAAAGGTACTTTTAAATAATTATAAAATTAAAAATATCATAACTGCAAAACACTATTAATAATTATTTTTATTCTGAAACCGTGTATCAGAATAAGTAAAATTGAATTGAATAATTTAAAGCAAAAACTATTAAAAACCTATATTTAAAATTTTATTTTTTTATTTTATTATTATTATACTTTAAGTTTTAGGGTACATGTGCACAATGTGCAGGTTAGTTACATATGTATCCATGTGCCATGCTGGTGTGCTGCACCCATTAACTCGTCATTTAGCATTAGGTATATCTCCTAAAGCTATCGCTCCGCCCTCCCCACACCCCACAACAGTCCCCAGAGTGTGATGTTCCCCTTCCTGTGTCCATGTGTTCTCATTGTTCAATTCCCACCTATGAGTGAGAATATGCGGTGTTTGGTTTTTTGTTCTTGCAATAGTTTACTGAGAATGATGATTTCCAATTTCATCCATGTCCCTACAAAGGACATGAACTCATCATTTTTTATGGCTGCATAGTATTCCATGGTGTATATGTTCCACCTTTTCTTAATCCAGTCTATCATTGTTGGACATTTGGGTTGGTTCCAAGTCTTTGCTATTGTGAATAGTGCCGCAATAAACATACGTCTGCATGTGTCTTTATAGCAGCATGTTTTATAGTCCTTTGGGTATATACCCAGTAATGGGATGGCTGGGTCAAATGGTATTTCTAGTTCTAGATCCCTGAGGAATCGCCACACTGACTTCCACAAGGGTTGAACTAGTTTACAGTCCCACCAACAGTGTAAAAGTGTTCCTATTTCTCCACATCCTCTCCAGCACCTGTTGTTTCCTGACTTTTTAGTGATTGCCATTCTAACTGGTGTGAGATGGTATCTCATTGTGGTTTTGATTTGCATTTCTCTGATGGCTAGTGATGGTGAGCATTTTTTCATGTGTTTTTTGGCTGCATAAATGTCTTCTTTTGAGAAGTGTCTGTTCATGTCCTTCGCTCACTTTTTGATGGGGTTGTTTGTTTTTTTCTTGTAAATTTGTTTGAGTTCACTGTAGATTCTGGATATTAGCCCTTTGTCAGATGAGTAGGTTGCGAAAATTTTCTCCCATTCTGTAGGTTGCCTGTTCACTCTGATGGTAGTTTCTTTTGCTGTGCAGAAGCTCTTTAGTTTAATTAGATCCCATTTGTCAATTTTGGCTTTTGTTGCCATTGCTTTTGGTGTTTTAGACATGAAGTCCTTGCCCATGCCTATGTCCTGAATGGTAATGCCTAGGTTTTCTTCTAGGGTTTTTATGGTTTTAGGTCTAATGTTTAAGTCTTTAATCCATCTTGAATTAATTTTTGTATAAGGTGTAAGGAAGGGATCCAGTTTCAGCTTTCTACATATGGCTAGCCAGTTTTCCCAGCACCATTTATTAAATAGGGAATCCTTTCCCCATTGCTTGTTTTTCTCAGGTTTGTCCAAGATGAGATAGTTGTAGATATGCGGCATTATTTCTGAGGGCTCTGTTCTGTTCCATTGATCTATATCTCTGTTTTGGTACCAGTACCATGCTGTTTTGGTTACTGTAGCCTTGTAGTATAGTTTGAAGTCAGGTAGTGTGATGCCTCCAGCTTTGTTCTTTTGGCTTAGGATCAACTTGGCCATGCGGGCTCTTTTTTGGTTCCATATGAACTTTAAAGTAGTTTTTTCCAATTCTGTGAAGAAAGTCATTGGTAGCTTGATGGGGATGGCATTGAATCTATACATTACCTTGGGCAGTATGGCCATTTTCATGATATTGATTCTTCCTACCCATGAGCATGGAATGTTCTTCCATTTGTTTGTATCCTCTTTTATTTCATTGAGCAGTGGTTTGTAGTTCTCCTTGAAGAGGTCCTTCACGTCCCTTGTAAGTTAGATTCCTAGGTATTTTATTGCCTTTGAAGCAATTGTGAATGGGAGTTCACTCATGATTTGGCTCTCTGTTTATCTGTTATTGGTGTATAAGAATGCTTGTGATTTTTATACATTGATTTTGTATCCTGAGACTTTGCTGAAGTTGCTTATCAGCTTACGGAGATTTTGGGCTGAGACGATGGGGTTTTCTAGATATACAGTCATGTCATCTGCAAACAGGGACAATTTGACTTCCTATTTTCCTAATTGAATACCCTTTATTTCCTTCTCCTGCCTAATTGCCCTGGCCACAACTTCCAACACTATGTTGAATAAGAGTGGTGAGAGAGGGCATCCTTGTCTTGTGCCAGTTTTCAAAGGGAATGCTTCCAGTTTTTGCCCATTCAGTATGATATTGGCTGTGGGTTTGTCATAGATAGCTCTTATTATTTTGAGATACATCCCATCAATACCTAATTTATTGAGAGTTTTTAGCATGAAGGGTTGTTGAATTTTGTCAAAGGCCTTTTCTGCATCTATTGAGATAATCATGTGGTTTTTGTCTTTGGTTCTGTTTATATGCTGGATTACATTTATTGATTTGCGTATATTGAACCAGCCTTGCATCCCAGGGATGAAGCCTACTTGATCATGGTGGATAAGCTTTTTGATGTGCTGCTGGATTCAGTTTGCCAGTATTTTATTGAGGATTTTTGCATCAATATTCATCAAGGATATTGGTCTAAATTCTCTTTTTTTGTTGTGTCTCTGCCCGGCTTTGGTATCAGGATGATGCTGGCCTCATAAAATGAGTTAGGGAGGATTCCCTCTTTTTCTATTGATTGGAATAGTTTCAGAAGGAATGGTACCAGTTCCTTCTTGTACCTCTGGTAGAATTCGACTGTGAATCCATCTGGTCCTGGATACACCCTCCCAAGACTAAACCAGCAAGAAGTTGACTCTCTGAATAGACCAATAACAGGCTCTGAAATTGTGGCAATAATCAATAGCTTACCAAACCTATATTTAAAATTTAAAGAAATTATATGATTGTAATATGAGACTGTGGTGTTAGGTTTTTCTCACATTGCTATAAAGGAATATCTGAAACTGGGTAATTTATAAGGAAAACAGGTTTAATTGACTCAGGGTTCTGCAGGTTGTACAAGCATGGTGCTATTAATAGCGACTGCTCAGCTTCAGAGTCGGCCTCAAGGGAGCTTTCACTCATGGTGAAAGGTGAAGCGGGAGGAGGGATGTCACAAGGCCAGAGCAGGAGCAAGAGAGAAGGGGGGATGTACCACATACTTTTAAACAACTAGATCTTGTGTAAACTCACTCATCACCAAGGAAATGTTGGTAGGCCATTCATGAGGGATGTGCTCCCATGATCCACACACCTCTCACCAGGCCCCAACACCAATACTGAGGATTACATCTCAACATGAGATTTAGAGAAGACACCCAAACTATATCAACTGTCATACAGATTAGAAAGTTATAGTCCCATTAAAGTGTCTTGTTGATTTGGGAAATTGATGTGACAAGTGAGAAAGTTAGGATAGAACATGATTGTGTCAAAATTTAACAGTGATTTCCTTCTAATACAATTATATAAACATCATTTTAAATATATTTTTAAGTTTTCTACAATGCATATATTTCTTTTCTGTTTAAAATAAACTTTACTGAGCTATGATTTGTATAGCATAAAATGCAGTCATTTTAAGTGTACAATTTGATTTATATTGACAAATGTATATACATCAATAACTATATAGAAAAAGATATTGAGTATTTCTTTTTTTCTCATAAAACTACCTCATGCTCTTTGCAGTGAATTCCTCACACATCTGAACAAAGGAAAATACTGGTCTCCTTTATCTTATTAACAGTTTTACCTTTCTAAAACTGTATATAAAGGACTTCATACTACATGCATTTTTCATTTCAACTTCTTTTTAAAGTTTTTTTTAAAATACATCCATGTTTTGTATATCAAGGGTTCATTTATGTTTTTTTCTGGGTAACATCCTCTATGTACTACTTTCTAAGGCTGCCATAACAAATTACCACAAACTGTGCAGCTAAAAATAACAGAATTTTATCATCTCAAAGTTCTTGGAGAATAAAAGTTCAAAATCAATGAGTATGGCAAGTCCATATTGCCTCCAAAAGCTCTATCAAAATATTCTTTCTTGCCTCTTCTAGCCTCTGGGAGTTACCATCAATCCTTGCTCTTCTTCAGGTTGTGGCAGCATAAATCTAATCTCAGCCTCTGTCTTTACATAGCCATTTTCCTCTGAGTATATTGGTGTCGAAGTTTCCCTCTTCTTATAGGGACACCAGTCACTGGATTAGAATTTACCCTAATCCTTCATGACCACATCTTAACTTGACTACATACGCAGAGATCCTATATCCAAATAAGATCCTATTCACACCTTCTGGGTGGACATAACTTTGAAGGGGATACTCTTAAATTCAGTACACACCATATGGATGAACCACAATTTATTTCTTCATTGGTCAGTTATTTCCATTTTCTGGCTTTTACAGTAAGTGTGCTATTTGTGTAAACACTCTTGAGAAATAATGTGTTTTTTTTTCTTTCCAACATTTATTTTAGGTTTGGGAGTACATGTGAAGGTTTGGCGTATAGATCATTTTATCATCTGGATAATAATCCTAGTACCCAGTAGGTGGATTTTCAATCCTCACCCTCCTCATACCCTCCACCTTCAAGTAGGCTGTGGTATTTACTGTTCCATGTTTTGTGTTCCCGTGTACTCATTGTGTAACTCCTACCTATAAGTGAGAATATGTGGTATTTGGTTTCTTTTTCTGCATTAATTCATTTAGGATAATAGCCTCCAGCTCCATCCATGTTGCTGCAAAAGACACAATTTTCTTCTTTATTATGGCTGCATAGTATCCCATGGTGTACATGTACCATATTCTCTTTATCCAGTCTGCCACTGATGGGCATCTATGTTGATTTCCCATTGTGAATAGTGCTGTGAAGAACATATGAGTGCACGTGTCTTTACGTTAGAACTATTTATATTCCATTGGGTATATACCCAGGGATAGGATTGCTGGGTCAAATGGTTTTCTCTACAACATCACCAGAATCTGTTATTTTTTGACTTTTTGATAATAGCCATTCTGACTGTTATTAGATGGTATCTCATTGTGGTTTTGATTTGCATTTCTCTTATGATTAGTGATATTGAGCATTTTTCATATGCTTGTTAGCCACATATATGTCTTCTTTTGAGAAGTCTCTGTTCATGGCCTTTGCCCATTTTTTAAATGGGGTTGTTTGTTTTTTGCCTGTTAATTTGTTCAAGTGTCTTATAGATTCTGAACATTAGACCTTTGTTGGATGCATAGTTTGCAAATATTTTCCGTCATTCTGTAGATTGTCTGTTTTTTCTGTTGACGGTTTCTTTTACTGTGCAGAAGCTCTTTAGTTTCATTAGGTTCACTTGTCAATTTTTATTTTTGTTGCAGTAGCTTTTGGATTTTTTTTTATGAAACCTTTGCCAGGACCTATGTCCAGAATGGTATTTCATAGGTTTTCTTCTAGGGTTTTTATAGTTTTGGGTTTTACATTTAAGTCTATAATCCATCTTGAGTTGATTTTGGGATATGGGGAAATGAAGTAATTCAGTATCAATCCTCTGCATATGGTTAGCCAGTTATCACAGCACCATTTAGTGAATAGAGAATCCTTTTCCCATTGCTTCTTATCGTCAGCTTTGTTGAACATCTCATTATTCTTCTGCGGAAATAGAATGGGCCTAAGATGTCCAATACTTTGTTCAATAGGAGTTGTAAAAGTGGGTATCCTTGTTTAATTCTGGTTCTCAAAGGGAATGCTTCTAGCTTTTACCTGTACAGTATTATGTTGGCAATGGGTTTGTCATAGATGGCTGTTAGTATTTTGTGCTATCTTCCTTTGATGCCTAGTTTGTCAAGGGTTTTTAACACAAAGGAAGTTCAGTTTTATTGAAAGTCTTTTCTACATCTATAATCACGTGGTTTTTGGTTTTAGTTCTGTTTATGTGATGCATCACATTTATTGATTTGCATATATTGACCCAACTTTGCATCCCAGGAATGATGCCTACTTGATCATGGTGGATTAGCTTTTTGATGTGTTGCTGGATTAACTTTGTTTGTATTGTGTTGAAGAATTTTACATCTAAGTTTATTGGGAAAGTTGACCTAAAGTTTCCTTTTTTGCAGTGTGTTTGACTGGTGTGGGTATCAGAATGATGTGGGCTTTATGGGATGAGATAGGGAGGAGTGCCTCCTCTTCAACTTTTTGGAACAGTTTCAGTAGAATTAATACCAGCTCTTCTTTATATGTCTGGTAGTACTACTTGACTGTGAATTCAACTGGTCTTGTGCTTCTTCTGGTTGATCAGCTTTTTATTTGTGATTCAATTTTAGAACTCCTTAGAGGTGTGTTTATGGTTTTAATTTACATTTGGTTAAATCTTGGGAGGTTTTGTGTTTCCAGGAATTTATTTAATTCTTCTAGGTTTTCTAATTTGTGTGCATAGATGTGATTGTAATTGTCCCTGAGGGTTTTTTGTATTTCTGTATAGTCAGTAGTAATGTGTTCTTCTCATTTTTGAATGTTTCTATTTAAATCTTCTTATTTTTCCCATTATTCTAACTAGAAGTGTATCAAACTTATTTATTCTTTCAAGAAACCAAGTTTTGGTTTTTTGCATCTTTTGCATTATTTTTCCCTTCTTAATTTCCTTCAGATCAACTCTGATTTTGGTTATTTCTTTTCTTCTGGCAGATTGGGTGTTGGTTGCCTCTTATTTTTCTAGTTCTTCTAGGTGTCATGTTAGGTTGTTAATTTTAGATCTTTCTAACTTTTTGATGTAGACATTTAGTGTCATAATCTGTCCTCTTAACACTATTTTTGCTACACCCCAGAGATTCCGGTACGTTGTATCTTTGTTTTCACTAGTTTCAAAGAATTTCTTGATTTCTGCCTTAATTTTATTCTTTACCCAAAGTAATTCAGCAGCAGGTTGTTTAATTTTAATGTAATTTTATAATTTTCAGAAATCTTATTGATATTGATTTCTATTTATATTGCACTGTGGTCTGAGAGTGTGGTTGGTGTGATATCAGTTTTTATGAATTTGTCGAGAATTGCTTTATGACTAACTGTGTCGTCAATTTCAGGGTATGTGCCATGTGCAGATGAGAATAATGTATATTCTGTTGTTGTTGGGTGGAAGGTTTGGTAGAGGTTAGGTCTATTTAGTTAAGTATCAAATTTGGGTCCTGAATGTCTTTGTTAGTTTTCTGCTTTGATGATTTGTCTAATTCCTTTACTGGAATGTTGAAGTCTCCCAGTTTTACCGTGTGGTTATCTGTCTATTTGTGTGTCTCTAAGAACTTGTTTGATGAATCTGGGGGCTCCTGTATTGGGTCCATATATAGAGAGAATAGTCACATATTTTTGAATTGAAACTTTTATCATTATGTAACGCTCTTCTCTGTCCTTTTTGATGATTGTTGGTTTAAAGTCTGTTTTGTCTGAAATAAGAATAGCAGCCCTTGCTCATTTTTCTTTCTGTTTGATGATAAGTTATTATCTACCCCTTTACTTTGAGCTTATGGGTGTCATTGCATGTCAGATGGCTATTTTGAAGGCAGTATACAGTTATGTTTGGCTGCTTTACCCAATTTGTCACTCTGTGCCTTTTAGGTGGAGCATGTAGCCATTTTCATTGGATGTTAATATTGATACCTGTGGATTTAATTCTGTTATTGTGTTGTAAGCTAGTTGTTATGATGACTTGATTGTGTTGTTCATTTACATTGTCAATGATTCTTGCAATAGCTGGTTAGGGCCTTTTGTTTCCAAATTTAGTACTCCCTTAAGGAACTCTTATATGGCAGCTCTGGTGGTAACAAATTCTCTCAGCATTTTCTTGGTCTAATAAATATTTAATGTTTCCTTCACTTATGAAGTGTAGTTTGGCTAGATATTAAATTCTTGGTTGAAATTTCTTTTCTTTAACAATGCTGAATATAGGTCCCCAGTCTCTTCTGGCTTGTAGGGTTTCTGCTGAATGATCCACTGTTGGCCTGATATTTTGTTTCTGTTTTCCTTTCTTTTCTTTTCTTTTTTTTCCTTCCTTCCTTCCTTCCTTCCTTCCTTCCTTCCTTCCTTCCGTCCTCCCTCTCTCTCTTTTTCTTTCTCTTTCTTTCTTTCCCTTCTTTCTTTCTTCTTTCTTCTTTCTTTCTTTCTTCTTTCTTCCTTCCTTCCTTCTTTCTTTCTCTATTTGTCTGTCTCTTCTCTCTAGTTCCCACTAATATTTTTTCTTTTTCTTTGACCTTGGAGGATCAAGGACTATGTGTCTTGGGAATGGTCATCCTGTATGGTATCTCACAGGGGTTATGTGAGTTTCCTGGATATGAATGTTGACCTCTATAGTAGTGTTGATGAAAATCTTGTGTACAATATCCTTAAATATGTTTTCCAAGTTGTTTGCTCTCTCTCACTTTCTTTCAAGGACACCAATTGAAGCAGAAGATATAAAAAGAAAAACAAGTTTTTCTGTACTAGGCTCACTCACTCCAAGACCCAGGGAAGGGCAGGGCTCTGTGGAGGCTTTGATAGCACTATCTGCAGAGCCAAGGCTAAGAAGGAATGGGCTCCAGAGTCTCTCCCTCCAAACCCAGAGCAAGGTTGGGAAAAACAAGTTTTTCTCTTTCAGCTTCCACTTTCCCCCTTACTATTCTCACAATTATCTTTGCAAGTTTTGTAAGTTCCTGTTTTTCCCTTCTGTGCAGCACAACGAAGGTCACAAGATATGCCTGAGTTGCAACACCTGGCTTGAGTTGTAAAACCTGTCACTGGTTGATAAACTGCCTTTGTTCTGCTTCTGTAAGCTTGCTTACCCGCCTTACAGATTTCACACCCTTTTCAGATGCATGTATAAAAGTGGAGCCCTGTCTTTGTTCAGGGCTCAGCCTGTGGATGTTAGTTCACTGAGCCAGTGGTCACCTAAATAAAATTCTCCTGTTCCACACATTGGTCTCTCTAGTCCCTCAATTCCCACAACACAATGACCAATGAGTCATAGGTTTGGTGTCTACGTAATCCCATATTTTTCAGAGGTTTTAATCATTCTTTTTATTCTTTTTTCTTTATAATTGTCTGACTGAGTTGATTCAAAGAACGGATTTTTTTGAACACTGAGATTCTTTCCTCTGCTTATTCCTTTCTCTTGTTGATATTTCTGATTGTATTATAAAATTCTTATAGTGACATTTTCAGCTGTATCAGATCATTTTTCTTCTATGACTAGAATTTGTTCTTATATGTCTAAGAACCCTTTGCCTACCTCAAAGTCAGCAACATCTTCCTACAATTTTTTCTAAAAGCTTTTAATTTTGGTTGTTATATTTAGATCTATGATGCATTTCCAGTTCATTTTTGTATATGGAGTGAGATAAATGTAAATATGTATTTTTTTATCTACAGATGTCCTGTTTTTCTCAGAACTATTTGTTGACATATTATTAATTCCATACTTAGTTACCTTAGCACCTTAGTCAGAAAATCAATTGATCATATACAGCAGTTATATATTGAGTCTTCAATTTGCTAATGTTAGTATTACAACGTTGGGCTTCTTTTTCAAAATTGTTTTTCTGCATTATAGGTCTTTTGCTTCTTATAAGTTTCAAATCCACTTAACCATTTTTTTAAAAATCCTCGTGTTCGTGTGAGATTACAATAAATCTATGTAACATTTTATGAATATGGGCATCTTAACAATATTGGACCTTCAAATTCATGAATACAATATCTTTTCCCACTCATTTATGGCTTTTTAACTTTTTCTCAGCAATGTTTATGTGTTACAGTGTATAATTTTTGCATGTATTTTGTTAAATTCATATCCAATTGTTTCATATTGTGTTAGTTTGAGTGATATTTTAAATCTCTTTCCAATTGTTTGTTACTAGTAAGCAAAAAATCTATTTTTTCTATATATTCACACTGTATCCTGAATATGTGCAAAAGTCATTTGCTAGTGCTAGTAGATTTTCTGTGCATTTTTTACTATATTCTACATCTATGATCATATAATCTTCATATAAGGAGAGCTTTAATTCTTGCTTCTCAGGCTGAGGCCTTGCATATTTTTTCAACCTTGTCTTACTTGTTATGGCTTTCATTACAATTTTGACTTCAAATGGTGTGCACAGATACCCTTTTCTTCTTCCCCAGTTTAGAGCTCAGTTTTTCACCAATAAATATGATATAAATTGAAGGTTTTCTTAGATGTTATTTATCAGATAAAGGAAATGCACTTCTAATTTTCTGATTTTTCTCCGCTTCTCTGTTCATGGTGAATCACGCTGATTGATTTTCAAATATTAAACCAATATTAAATTCCAGGTAAAAAATCCACTTGGTTATGATGTAGTATACATTTTATAAATTGATGGATTTTGTATCCTAATGTTTTATAAATTTTTTTGCATCTATATTCATGACAGACATTTTTCTGTAGTTTTCTATTATAATTTACGTATCAGATTTTGATGTCAGGACAATGCTGGCTTTCTACTGAAAGCTGGAAAGTGCTCTCTTTTCTGCATTTCCCGATAAAAGTATTTACTTTTTAAAATATCAATTAATTATATTTAAGCTTTGGCTTCTTTAGATAAATAGTATAACTAAAATTGTAATATAAGATATGTAGCTTTTAACTATCATTCATTCTTTGAAATATTTGGGTTATATAACAATTATTACTGTTATTATTATTGTTATTGTGCTATTACCAGCTTCTCCATATGGTAAAACTCCCCCACATTTTATTTTATCTTGTTTCAGCTTCACTATGCTATAATTAACAAAAAACTATATATATATTTGAAGCATATATGATATTTTTATATATGTATAAAGTGAGGAATGACGGGATCAAGCTAATAAACATATCCATCACCATACGTACTTATTATTTTTTGGTGTTGAAGGCAGGTAAGATCTACTCTATAAACAATTTTAAAGTATACATTATGTTAACTATTAACTACAGTCACCATGCTGTACAATAGTGCTCTGGAACTTATTCATCATTCTAACTAAATCTTTGTACTTTTCAACCAAAATCTCCTCAAACTCCTCGTTTAACTGGCAGTTTATGTTTATGGCTATAATGTATAAAACTGTTATGAATATTCTTGCTCATGTCATGGTGAAGGTAAGAACTCATTTCTCTTGGAGTGAAATTGCTGGCTCACCAGATGTATGTATTCTTAGATATAGTAGAAACAGCCAAAATTATTTCTGAAAAACTGACAGCAATTTATATTTCCACTGGCAAAATATGGGATTGTCAGTTCCTTTACATCCTTGTCAACATTTGGTATTATTTGTCTTTTTAATTTTAGTCATCAGTAGGTCTGTAGTAGTGTCTCATTGTGATTCTATTTTCATTCGATTAATGACTAGTTGTGTTGATCATTATCCTATGTGCTTATTGGTCATGTACATATCATTTTCTGAAAGTCTTGTTCAGGTTCTTTTACTATGTTATATTTATTTATTTATTTATTTATAGACAGAGACTAGACTCTCTGTCACCCAGTCTAGAGTACAGTGGCATGATCGTAGTTTACTGCAGTCTTGAATTCCTGGGATAAAGTAATCCTCCCACTTCAGCCTCTGGAGTACACACCACCAAGCCTGGCTAATTTTTATTTTTTTTTTAAAGAAAGGTTCTCGCTATGTTGCCCAGGATGGTCTCAAACTTCTAGACTCAAGCAATTCTCTCACCACAGCCTCCCAAAGTGCTGGGTTTACAAGACTGAGCCACTGTATCCAGCCTACCATTTAGTTTTAAATTTAATTGCCTATCTTGTTTTTAATGACTTCCAGGATTTCTTTATCTATTCTAAATAAAATCTTTTGTTAAATGCATATTTTAATAATCTTCTTCTGTGTGTGGGTTTATGGTCCAAAGAATAAAAGTTGTTACTTTCAACATGGTCTGATATTTTGATATAGTTTATATTTACCTACAGTAACTTTATTTAGAGATTGTGTGGTATATCTTTTCTGTCCTTTCTCTTCCAGACTTTCTGTGTTGTTGTAGTTAATATATGTCCTTTTTAAACAGCATCTAGTTGTATTTTCTAATTGTTCCGACAGTTTGCTTTTCAATTAGAGTGTTTAGTACATGTACATTTAAAACAATTACTAACATAGGTAGGTTCAAGTCAACCATTTTGCAACTTGTTTCATTATTTCTTCTTTGTTTTTGGTAAATTTATTTATTTTCAATTAATCATACATTCTTATACAATTAGTTCTATTATATTAAGTTTTACTTGTACATTCTTTTATTAATTTTTATTAACATCTTTAGGTTACAGAATGCATTCCTAGTTATTATAATCAACCATTTTTTAGTAGTACTAATATTTTTATAAAACTGCACAAATTTTACAAAGCATATATAACTATTCGCACCATTTCCATGCCTTTTGTGATATTTGTCATATATTTATATACATATTTATTATAAATCTACCAAGATTTTGTTGTTTCTGTGTTAACAATATTATTAAAATATTATTTTATAATTATTTATATATTAAAGCTTCTAATACTCTTCATTTTTTTTTTACTGTGATTCTGCTTCTCATGTGGTATCATCATTGATTTCAGCTTGAGAAATTCACTTAGCAATTCTGCTGATGAATTATCTCATCAATCTTTTGTTTGAAAATGATTTATTTAGCTTTCAGTTTGAGTGATATTTTTATTAGGGATACTATCATAGGTTGGTAGGTCTTTCTCTTTATTAGGATTTTGTTTTACTTAGTATTTTAATAATAACTTTCTATTGTCTTCTGGCTCCATTTCTTATGGAAAATAATCTAGTTGTTAGTATTACTGTGGCTGATTTGAAAGTAACATTGTATGTCTCTTCCCAAATCACAGCTATTTTTTTAAGATATGTTTTTTCACTTTGACTTCAGCTTACAGTAATTTGACTAAGCATATACATGGGGTTCTCTTTGTTTTTATTTTGGTTGGGGTTCACTCACATTCTTGAATTTGTCAATTGAAGTCTATCAATTTTTGGTATTACATATTCAAATATTACATCTGCTCTATTTTCTCTCTCTTCTCTTTCTGTACCTCTAACAACATGTATGTTAGATATTTTAATGTGCTCACATTTTCCTTACACTGTGTCCAGTAAAAAAAAATCATTATTGCCCTGTGCTTCATATTGACTATTTTCCATTGATATCTTTTCCATTTTACTAATTTGTCTTCTGCCATGTCCTGTTTGCTGTTAAACATATTTTATATGGCCTAAGTTTGAGACACTGCGTTTTTAATCTCTAGAATATTTATTTGGTTATTTCTCATAGAATCCAATTATTTAAGTTACCATACTTTCCATTATTTTATTGACTATTTTCATTGTTTCATGCAAAAACATATTTCTTGTGTTTTATTTCATGCAAAAATAACTTTAATTTTAAAGCCTGTGTGGTAACGCAACTATGTTAATGTGCTGTAGGTCTTTTTCTACTATTTGTGATATGGTTTGACGGTGTCCCACTCCAATTCTCATCTTCAACTGTAACTCCCATAATCCCCACTTATCATGGGAGACACCAAGCAGGAAGTAATTGAATCATGGGGGTGGGTTTTTCCAGTGCTGTTCTCGTGATAGTGACTGTTTCATGAGATATGATGGTTTTATAAAGGGCAGTTCCCCTGCACATGCTCTCTTGCTTTCCACCATGTAAAACATGCCTTTCTTCCTCCTTTGCCTTCTGCCATGATTGTGAGGCCTCCCCAGCCATGTGAATCTGTGAGTCCTTTAAACCTTTTTCTTTATAAATTACCCAGTCTTGTTATTTCTTCATAGCAGTATGAGAATGAGCTAATACAGTAAATTGGTATCAGTAGAGTGGGGTACTGCTATTAAGATACCGAAAAATGTGGAAGCAACTTTGGAACTGGGTAACAGGCAGAGGTTGAAAGAGTTTGGAGGGTTCAGAAGAAGACAGAAAAATGTGAGAAAGTTTAGAGCTTCCTAGAGACTTGTTGGATGGCTTTGACCAAAATGCTGATAGTGAAATGAACAATAAAATCCAGGCTGAGGTGGTCTCAGATGTAGATGGTGATCTTGCTGGGAATCTCTAGCTAGATTTCAGAGGATGTATGGAAATGCCTGGATGTCCAGGCAGAAGTAAGTTTTCAGCAGGGGTGGAAAATGCTGTGAAAGTACCCAGGAGAGAGTCTGTACCCTGCAAAGTCTCAGGGGCAGAGCTGCCCAAGGCTGTGGGAGCCTACCTCTTGCATCAGTGTGACCTGGATGTGGGACCTTCAGTCAAAGGAGGTCATTTTGGAGCTTTAATATTTAACAGCCTCACTGAATTTTGGACTTTTATGTGGCCTGTAGCCTGTTCGTTTTGCCATTTTTTCCCATTTGGGTGTATTTACCCAATGCCTTCACCCCCGTGTATCTAGGAAGTAACCAGCTTGCTTTCGATTTTACAGGCTTGCAGGCCGAAGAGACTTGCCTTTTCTCAGATGACACATTGGACTGTGGACTTCTGAGTTAATGCTGAAAGCAGTTAAGATTTTGGGGGACTGTTGGGAAGGCATGATTGTGTTTTGAAATGTGAGAAAATGAGATTTGAAAGGAAGGGGTGAGGGGCAGAATGATATGATTTGGCTGTGTCCTCAACCAAATATCATCTTGAATTTTAGTTCCCATAATCCCTACATGCCATGGGATGGACCTGACAGGACTCAACTGAATCATGGGAGCGGGTTTTTTTTCTCTTGCTGTTCTTATAATAGTGAATAAGTCTCATGAGACCTGAAGGTTTTATAAAGGGCCGTTCCTCTGCACATACTCTCTTGCCTGCTGCCTTCTAAGACTTGCCTTTGCTCCTCTTTTCCCTTCCACTGTGATTTTGAGGCCTCCCCAGCCATGTGGAACTGTGAGTCCATTAAACTTCTGTTTTTTTAAATTACTGTGTCTCAGGTATTTCTTCATAATGGTGTGAGAACAAACTAATACAACTTGTTTACATTGTCTTTTTTATTGGGTTCTAGACATCTAATGTTTGCATTTTACCTTCCCAACAAGAAAACAGATTGACACAACTGTTCTAGAAAGTAATGTGGCAAAAATAATCAAGTAATATGGTAATAAGAATATTTAAAATATCTATATCATTTAATTTTCTACATGCATTTCCAGGAATATAATTAATGAAAATTAGTAGAATTATTAAAAAATATTTGAGTACATGTATCTTCACTGCAGCACTGTTAAAGCAATTTTAAAGTAGAAAGCAATGGAAATGTTCAAGAAATGAATAAATAAACACACTATAGTCCCTTCTTGTAATCAATTACCATGTGGTCACAAAAATTAAATTTTCAACAATTATTAAAGAAGAAAGACAAGCTTGCTGTCACATATTATATAAAGCATCAGGATATACACTGTATGACTGTACATGCATTTATCTATAACTGTATATCAGCTGGATCACTTTGTCTTTTCGGAATAAAAATAAATTGATTTGCAACAACTTTCTTTTTATCTTTGGAAAGTACAAAGATTTCCTCAAGTTTACCAGGTACTAATTTTTTTTCTGACATTCATGATTCTAACATTTTTATCCTAATGATGTCTCAATCTCATTTGCATCTCAATTCCCATGGAGATTTTCTTTTATCTGCTACATACAGACATACAAACAACTAGAATAAAATATATTAACATTTATCACTGAATTTGTTTTGGTTTAAAAATCTTCAACTATTTTTATTTCATTCATTATACTTGTCAATCATTTTACAACGACACTATTGTATTTTAATCAAAATATTCTTTAAAAAACAAGAACAAAGAATCATTGATGGGAATTATGAAGAAAATCACTTAATTGAAAATATTTACTAGTTGGTAGTTTTAGTCAAATTAACACGAGAATCCAATTCATGATTTACGTAAGCAACTAGAAAATTTAATCAGAAATAATTAGTGTAGTGGCAAAATGTAAATACACATTCCCCACCAGTTAGTCAGGTATGGTTTCTGAAAGCATAGATACAGGAAAAAAATCTTCATTATTTAGACAAGCACAGAAAGTGAGCATAAGCAAATACACACATACATACACTCACACACATGCCTTTTATGAATTAATCAGGCATGAAAAGTGTAACATGTGTGTATCTTATACATTTGCCACGATCATACTGTAACCATACACAAAGATACATGCATAAAAACACACATAAAATTTCTCTGGTACTTTTGCATACATAGTTGTCATCATCTGCACTAATGGAACTTCTTAAGCATTTCAATATGCTGCAATCAGAGGTATAAAATTTGAATGTATTCTGTAGTAATATTTTTAATTCTGAAGTAAACTGTGAGTCTACACATTTTCTCACACAAATTCGAGGAAGAGTACCTAGAATTCAGCAGGGCTGTGAAAAAGCATACCATAGATTATTTTTTCAGATAATTGAGCATTAAAGTATTCTCTGGGGTGTATAGCACCAAAATTGTTTTTCCGTAATAAAACAACTTTAAAAAACAGTAAATTAGTAAACATATATTATAACTAAGTATTTTACAAGCACAAATTTTAAAATAAAGAAATATTTCTAAAGGTTTGCCTATGTTTAACCATTGCCAAATGAAATGACATTTCTCACTTTCTTTTTGCATGGAGAGAAAGGTAGAATGAGCAAAATTGGAGCTCAAGAAAAATTTGTTGATTGAATTATCTTAAATCAGAAAAACAGTTGCATTCTACACCAGATAACCAGAAACTTAAATGACGACATCAAAATTCTATCAGCTGATGTGATACGTTTGTAAAAACAATGTAAACTAAAGTAAGGAAATATATGAAGCCAGGATTTATTATTGCTGTCTACATACTAGGCAATATAAAGTGTGCTTCATGTGACTTGTCTCATTTAATTTCTCAGTAACCCTACAGTTAAGGTACTTTATTATCCAAATTTTATAGTAAAAAAATGAAGGTTTATAAAGGTTCAGTTACTTTTTCAAGGTCAAAAAGCTGAAAGTGAGAAAGTTGGAATTTGAACCCAGGTTATCTCTGATTTAAAAGTTTTTTTTATTCTACTATGGAAATCTCCTTCTGCCATACAATAAGATATAACAAAAATTATCTTTGTTACTATTTTTTTGCTAACCATAAACCTCAAGGGGTAGAGGAATATAAACATTCTCAACGGGCATCCAATACCTTTAAAATCCATTTTTTCACACACACATGCACACGCATACACACATTATTCTTTTTAACTCTTACACTTCCTTTCTGTCAATCTCATCTTTTTGGAAATTAAATAGGTATACAGATAAATTAGACAAAGAGAGCACGAGAGAGAGAGAAAGAGAGAACAGAGAGAAAGTCTTTCTGAGTTTGGCATTCTAGTAGGAAGAGGCTATATTAGATTAGATTCTACTTCATTCTTTAATCCCTGCAAGCATCATTTCCACAGGATTCTTGGTGCATGGGTATTCAGCATTAGAATGAACACTTCGTGGGACTTTATGCAGCCACCTGTTCCAATACTATGCACTATTAGAAAGTTATTCCTTAAATTGAATAAAATTTTTCTACCCTATGACTTTCTTCCCTTAATGTTAGTTATACCCTCTGGGCCTACAGAAAAAAGTCTATTCTCTCTTCTGCATGACAGCTCTTCAAATATTTCAACACAACTGGCATGGTTCTCCTTAGTTTTCTCATCCCCAGGCTAAACACCCACAGAAGATTATACTGTAGCATTAATATCTCCACCTTGCATTTCTCTACACGCCCACATGTCTTCTCCTTTGTTACTTTTCTCTAAAACAGTGGGAACAATGAAAAATTATGACATATATGAACTTAATTACATAATCTCAGTCACCTCCTACTTCACTCCCCCACATAGCTTCTTTGCAGACCTTGTAGTGAAGTGCTGTAGCATTTAGAGGAAAGAAATCATTCAGGAATCATTTGTAAACCAACAAGGTTTATTTTAACCCTAAAAATCATAGAAATGTAAAAGACAAGCACATTCTAGAATTAATCATCATTCCCATTGAAGCTATTCATGGTAGCAAAGACTAAATAAATATATGAAAATATTTTATATTTTAAAAATTGTAATGAATTTACAAAATTTACAGGAGCAGATACAGTAACAGGAATCAGCTATGTTGCTACAAGTATATTTTAGAATCAGATTTCCATTTGAATTTCAATTATGCCATTTACTAGCTGTGTGTTCCTATAGACTTTACGAGTAGTATCTGAGTCACAATGTCTTTACAAAGAGAAAATAATTCTTAACTGAGATATTTACTGTAAAGATATAAACAAACCTATGTATAGCAGATTGGAACAAGTTCAGCTTATCTGAAAGCATACAAATGAAAATATTGAAATAAGCAAATGAATGGTTTACTCCATCCCAAGGTTTAGGTCAAATATGCAACAAAAAGGTTATTCAGCAAAGGAAGAACTTCATAATGTCAAAACGAGGAGCATGCAAGAACCCTGACAGCCAGTCAAGGATTTTGAGTGCACTCAACAAGGTAAATTTAATCCACACATTAACTGCTGTTCCCTATTGAAATCCTACTAAAATGACATTAAAATATTTAAAGGCAGAAATCTGTAAGGTCAAAGAAAAGAGAGGAAATGACAGCTGACAAGAAATGAAACACGATTTTAGAAGCTGGAGAGAGCAGATAGACAAGTGGAAATTGACTTAGCAGTCCAAGGAAAGTTAAGTATCTGCAGGGGGAAAGGCCAAAGAGAAAATCAATCTGTGCTGTAGCGCCCCAGAGAGAAAGACTCCGAATTTGCAGACATCCGTTGCCTCTAAGACAGCGATGTAGATGGCGATGAAAATAAAATTACCTCTTCTCTGCTCCTTTCACACTTTGCTTAGCAGTCTACTTAGCTAAATAGTCAAGTTTATCATTTACAAATTCTGCTTTCCACAAAAATAGAACATAATTAAGACAGGTTCTCAGTCATTTTATAAAATCTATAATCTTTCTTCCAGTTTCCACTAGCATGTTTCTCTTTCACATCTCAGATATCACCAGAAGCATTTTTAACATTGATATCTCTAACAACATTCTGTTTATGATGTTATATATGTATTATCTAAGATGGTAGAAACTTTCCCTACAGCTCTTCTCTTGTCTTTCTTTCTAAGCCTTCATCATAATCACCTCTAACATACTTGTGATGATTAATTTTATATGTTAACTTGATTAGACCATTTAACTAAACATTACTCCGGATGTGTCAGTGAAAGTGTTTCTGGAATGAGATAAATATTTGAATCACTTTGGTGGTTACCAGAGATTGGAAGAGCTGGGTAGATGGAGATGGGAGATTTTGTTCAGGGGTACAAAGTTTCAGTTAGACAGGAGAAATAAGCTTTAGCAATCTATTGCACAGAATGGTGATTATAATAAATAATAACTCATCATATATTTTAAAATTGCTGAGTATATTTTAAATATTTAAACAATAAAAGTACATGAGGTGATAGATTTTCTAATTAGCTTGATTTAATGATTCCACAATTTAAACATATATCTAAACACCATAGTGATCCCCATAAAGATATACAATTATTATATGTCAATTTAAAATAAAATACATCCATTTAAATAAACAAACATAACATTTGGATCTGTAGACTAAGTAAAGAAGATTGTCCCCTCTAATGTGAGTAGGCCTCATCCAATCAAGTGAAGGCCTGAATAAAACAAAATGGCTGATGAAGAGGGAACTCATTCTGCCAGATTGATTAAGCTGAAACATTGGTATTTTCTGACTTTTGGACAGAAACTGAAATATCATTATTCTTGGGTCTCAGGCCTGCCAGCTTTCAGATTTGAACTTTCACCACAGGTTCTCCTGGTTCTTAGGTCTTCAGACACATAATAGAACTACACTTTGTCTCTCTTGGATCATAAGCTTGCAGACTACAGATCTTGGGATTTTGCAGTCTCCATAATCATCATGTGAGCAAATTTATTTTATATATATGAAAGTTGTAAGGAAGTATTACTAATTCAGTGGCTTCAAAAAACAGAAATTTATTGTCTCTCAGTACTGTAATCTCGATGTCTGAAACCAAAGTGTCAGCAGGGTTCTCTTTTTTTTTTTGACAGGCTATAAGTGCAAATTTTTCTATGCTACTATACTAGCTCCTGGTAATGACTAGCAAGCAATGTTTAGTGTCCCTTGTCTCACAAATGTATCACTTCAACTCTGCCTCCATCTCCACGTGGAATTCTCCCTGTATTGCTGTGTCTTCATATATCAATCTTTTTCAGAAGACACCAGTCATATTGAATCAGGAACCCAATCTACTGTAGTATAACTTCATCCTATCTAATGACATCTGCAGCAACTTATTTCAAATAAAGCCATATTCTGAGATACTAAGGGTAAGGACTTCAACACATATTTTTGGGGAGACACAATTAAACTCATAGTGCTATTGAAATAAGATTAACATTAACTTTAGGTTGTGTGTAAATTAAGATTTTAATTGTGACCCACAAGGCAGCCACTGAAACAATTAAAAATATAGAGTAAAACCAACAAAAATGAATCAAAATAATACAGTAACAATATTTAACACAAAAAAGACAGCAGTTGAAGAGCTGAGAGAAAAATATACCTTATATAACACAAATAGGGAAAAGACAGTAGTAAAAATCTTCCTTGTCAGCAAATACATTACATGTAAATTTTCTAGACATCCCCAATCAAAAGTCAGAGATTGGAAGAAGGTATAGGAAAAACATGATCCAATTATATATTATCTACAACATACTCACTTTAGATTCAAAGAAATAAGTTGAACATGAAAAAACATTAAACTTCCATGAAATAATAAAAAAAAGCTTGAGTGACTATACTATCAGACTGTGATGGTTAATACTGAGCATCAACTTGATTGGATTGAATCCAATCAAGTGTGTGTTTTCAGGGTGTTGACAAAGGAGATTAACAACATTTGAGTCAGTGGGCTGGGAAGGCAGACCCACCCCTAATCTGCTGGGCACAATCTAATCAGCTGCCAGCGAATATAAAGCAGACAGAAAAACATGAAAAGGTGAGACTGGCCTAGCCTCCCAGCCTTCATCTTTCTCCCATGCTAGATGCTTCCTGCCCTCAAACAATGGACTCCAAGTTCTTCAGTTTTGAGACTCGGGCTGGCTCTCCTGCTCCTCAAGCTTGCAGACAGCCTATTGTGGGACCTTGAGTTTATTAATACTTAATATAATATTATATTAATATAATATATATTAATATATTATATTAGTATAAATATATTTAATGAATATTTTTATATTTTTAAAATATATTTAAAAATATATTTTAAAAATATATTTTATAAATGGAAATATATTATATATTTATATATTATATTAATAAATTAATATAATATAATATATTAATAAATTAATTTATTAATATATTATATTATATAATCATATATGATATATAAAATTATATTAATATTATATAATATATACAATATATTATATTATGTAATCATATATGATATATAAAATTATATTAATATTATATAATATATAATATTAATATATTACATATAACACAAATATATAATATATAATATATTAATTAATATATTATTTTAACATAAATATATAATATATTTCTATTTATAAAATATATTTTTAATATATTTCAAAAATATAAAATATTCATAAAAAATATAAATATAATTATATTAATATATTAATATATATTACATTAAGTATTAACTTAATAAACCCAAGGTCCCACAATAGACTGTCAGAAACATAATGCAATTTCTCTATCTCTTCATCTCTCTAGATAACAGTTATTTAATCTTGTTTATTCTTTTCCGAGAGCTATTTCTTGGCTACATTGATCCTTTCTATTGTTTTTGTACCTCAGTTTTATTCATTTCTTCTCCAATTTTAGTTTTTGTTTTCTTCTGCTAGCTTTGGCATTGGTTTACTCTTATTTTTCCACTTCCAGCAGGTACACATTTAAATTGTTAATTTGATATATTTCTAACTTCTTGAAGGCATTTTTCACTAGAAACTTTCCTCTTAATACTGCTTTAGCTGCATTCCAGGGATTTTAGTAAGTTGTATCCCTATTTTCATTAGTTTCAAATAAATTTTGACTTCTTCCTTAATTCAGATGTTCACCCAGGATTTATTCAGGAGCAAGTTTTTAAAATTTCCATGTATTTGGATAGTTGTATGGGATCTTCTTGATATTGATTTCTATTTTATTGTACTGTTGTTCAAGAGTGTGTGTAGTGATAGTTTTTTCCTTTTTTAAAAAACTTTCTTCAGCCTCACTTTATAATTGAGAGTGTGGTGGATATTAGAATGTGTTTTGTGTATGGACAAGAATAATGTATATTCTGTGGTTGCTGGGTGGAGTGTTCTGTAGATGTCTATTAGGCCCAATTGTTCAAGTGTTGAAATTACGTCCAGAATTTATTTGTTAGTTTTCTGCCTCAATGATCTATCTAACGCTGCCAGTCAGGTGTTAACGTCTCCCATTATTATTGCTTAGTTTTCAGTCTTTTTGTGAAACTTGTTTCATGAATCTGGGTACTCCAATGTTGGGTGCATATTTATTTAGGACAGCTAAGTCTTCTTGTTGGATTGTACCATTCTTTATCATTATGTAATGACGTTTTCTGTTTTTGTTAATTTTTATGTGTTTAAAGTCTGTTTTGTATGATATAAGAATAGTGATTCTTGCTCTTTTTTGCTTTCCATTTGCTGCATGGTAGATCTTTCTTCGTTCCTTTACTTTGAACCTGTGGGTATCATTATGTATGAGATGGGTGTCATTATGGGGTAATCACTCTAGTCATTACATTATGATATACGGAACTCTGTTTTAGCAGATCGAAGAGAGATATTTGAAATGAGAGAGGTTATCCTGCTGTCTTTGGAGAAGCAAACAACTATGTCGTGAACTGTTTACAGAGGGAGTCCTGTGGCAAGAACCTGAGAGTTGAGAGTGGTCCCTGGCTGACAACTACAAACCAAACAATCAAACATACAAACAACAACAAAGGAACAACAACAAAAAAAAAACCTTTGGAACTTCTGTTCCATAACTTCAAGAAAAGGAATTCTGCGAACAACCAGAATGGGTTAGAAAGCAGTTCTGTTCTAGTCAAGCCTCCCAGTGAGGACACGGCTGACCATGAAACCCTGAGCACAAAACACAGATAAGCAATGGGTGAACTCATTATCCATGGGAATTGTGTGATGATAGTAAGTTCGAGTGTTTGTAAGCCACTAAGTTGATGGTGACGTGTTACACAACAATGAAAAACAACTTCTGTCATAGCATTATTATGAAGATTAAATGAATAAAATATCTAAATCTACATAAGTGCCTGTCAAATGAAAAATGCAGAGCATTCAGGAAACTGAAAATGAAAAGTGCTATACCTGCAAAAAAACAGAGAGAGTAAGGAACAATATTGGGACAATTTCTTCAAAACTCAATCTTTAGTCCATATTATAGACTGCTTCTTTCAAGTTAAAGTGTACTGTGGTTACCTCCACACAGTTGCACTATAATTCATTCTGAATTAATCTGAAATGTATAATCTCCTCGGAAACTGCTTCAAATATATTTTTCCTTCACTCAATACCCATTTAATAACACTGTGCTTTTCTTAAGATCCCTTTAAGCATTACAGTGCTATGTAAGATAATGCAAGTGGTATCATAGCTCTTCCAAAAATTTATTAAAGTTTTTATTTTGCCCTCCCATTATTCTTAGAATACAACACCTGTAGTGGTTTATGAGGTTGAGACTGTAAAACAAAATAATCAACATTTTAGCAATGATTTCAAGCTGCTACATGAACAATGAATCACCAAAGTTGCCAATTTTACAAGATAAAATAAAGATGTTTTATACAATCAAAGTTTATGCTCCTGGTGGCAGCCAATTTATTGTTTTATTTAGAAAGATTAACATCTAGCTATTGTAAGCTAGGTATATTTTGAAATGTGTGTCACATAGATATTGATTTATATAGATTAAGAACATTGAAACATGTTATTCTTTTTTATTGTTACAAAATCAGGTTGGAGTGTTTTGCACTCATTTTCATTGTTGTGTCATATGAAATTGAAAGTTTGCCATTGAGAAAAGAATTAGTTCACTAGGGCTCATTATATTTCTACATTCCCAACATTAGAAAATAATTATGTGATATATCCCATATAATAATTTTAATTCTACTCAGTTTTCTAAATTTAGAACATGTCTTACATCATATCTTCTTGTATAATATAACTTTTGTTGCCTAGTCTGCAACTACCAATGTTTGTGTTTAATCAGCCTGTGCTGTGTTTTTTTTATAAGTACTTTTTATTCTGTGGTTGGCTCCATGCTGAAAGGAGAGTTCACCTGGCAGAAATCCTCACCCTGCTTGATTAATGATGTTTATATATTCAATGGCATACAATGTAGTAGGTATGCATATATCTAAGCATATTCAATAGAAGAACAAAAAAATCTTACATGACATTTATTTACCAGAATGGTAATAAATTCAGTTTTGTTTTTTGAGAGCCTACCTTTCTGAAATTTCCTGAGAATATGAAGTACTTGATGTACAAAACCCCTGAAAAAAATATCTAATTTTGAACATATTATGTAAACTGCTGAGGTGCATATAGTCAAAGTCTGCGTGGTCTATTGATAGCCTGAGAATTCCATCCTCTTCATTAGTACAGGGGTTTTTTATCCACAAATTCCAAGACTCATGTTGCCCTATTGTATTGTGGCTGATCTGGTATCCAGGGTACAAGATAAAGAAGTCCCCTTTTCTCTTAGCTCTCTTCTCCTCAGGTGGAAGGAAGGCATCTCTTTTGGAGCCGCAAGCTGTGCAGACTGTGGTTGGGGGAAGGATGGTGCAAGCACTCCCTTAGCTGCCCTGGCTGGTGTCACAGTAGGTCATGTGCCCTCCCAGTCCATTGGCTCTGAGCCCAGCTCAGCACTAGGACTTGCCCAGGAATTGCAGTCCTTGTGACCTAAACTACCTTTCAAGTTTATGTAGCCCTGCAGCCCAAGGTGGTGAGGTGTGCAGGAAATCAAGTTCCACCCGCTGGGATAGGAGACTACCCTCTGGCTAGGGCCAGTTCTAATGCGCCCTCTGTTGATGGTCATCAACTAAGTACAGGCAGGTGATTTTTTTCATTATGACCGAGCAGCACTGAGTTCAATGCAAAGTCTCACAATCACTGTATTCTCACTCCCCAAGCACAAATACTCTGTGTCATGCAGCGGTTTCCAGGGGATGGTGCTTATGAAGGTGCGTTTCTGTGTAGACAGTTGTTAAAATTTGGTGTTCCTGCGGGGGGATGATCAAGGAAACCTTCTATTCTGCCTTCTTGTTCCACCCCTTCTGATAAATTTCTGAATTGCATTGCTGTGTTATCTTGAAGATCACTGAGTTTCCTTGAAACTACTATTTTGAATTTTTATTCAGAGAACTCACATATCGTTGTCTCATTATTGTCAGTTACTGGCTCTTTGCTTTCTCTGTATGGAACCATCATGCTTTCCTGTTTGCTGTTATTTCTCATGGTTGTACGTATATATCTTTGCATTGAAGGATTAGTCAATTATTCTAGTCTTATCTGTCTGGCTTATTTTAATTTCTATTAGATATGTTTGCTTAGAGGTTTTTTGCTGTTAGATAACAGCCCCTTTTTGGCTCTTAGGTGGCACCTTAAGCCCAGAATCACCTCAGCTCTAGTAAGCTATCTGAGTGAGTTCTTTCCTTCCAGAATGAAGGAGGTACCCAAAAGAATGTTTTGGCAGTGTGAGGAGGCTGGCTAGAGGTTCTTGCCCAGGGAACCTGCGGGACAAACCTCCCACAGTGTGGCATTGCTGGGCAGTCACTCTGATTTGGTGTGTCCTTTGGCCAGGTTACAAAGTAGAGTTTATTTGGCTGAGCCTGGTAGTCCTGCCTCTTCCTTTGTCTCTATCTATCTTCAGGGATAATTCTTCCTTCAGACACTCTGATGCTTCCTGTGGGTTAAAGCAAGTACAAGATGGTGGAAAAGCTAGCAGTCCACCTCAATCCCACTTGTTCCAGGGTAGAAAGAAAGAGTGAGTTGATGAAAATTTTCTGCCTGCTTGGTGCCAGGCAGAATGAGGGAAGGGCATGACAGATGTGGAAGTATGATTCTCTTACCATCTACAAGGAATGTTTGTTTTCACTTCTCTGTGCCCCAAGAACTGTCTCACCTTCATATTTGAGTTTTGATGTATTTCTGGCTGTATCCTAGGGACTGCATTTTTTGTTGGTTTTATTACTGGAGGGAGTTTAGCCAGCTTGCTACTATGCCACAATGTTTCTAGTCAAATTTTATATGTGTCTGGAAATACAAGTAGAATTATATTTTCTCTCTCTTTTTATAATCCTTTCATAATTCATAAATTTTCTTTTGTGTCTGGATTTCCAATGTGAAAAAATTTATTCAAAGGAAAATTCCATGACACCTATTATTTGGTTGCTAAATGATCCAATTTTTCCATGAATGTTAATGTTTTTTGCCTGTCTGTCTTTGTTGAGAGAGTAAAATAAGTAGAGGGGCTTATAATCTCAATTAAAGCAAAAGAAATAATGGTTATTACCTAATTGCATATGAAATACATAACCAGACTTTTTTTATTACCCAGACTTTTAAAATTTTACAATTATTCACATCTTCATTATGTAGACTTTCTGGATTAATAAAAAAAAAAAATCTTCCTTTCTCACTCTGCCCTTTACAGACAGACTTAACCGCCAATTACATTTTCCTCTCTAGGTTCAGCTCCCAAAACTATTTGGTCTTGGCAAATAATGACATAATATTAGGTAGTCTTTTAAAATTTTACAATAATTCTCATCTTCAATATGTAGACATTCTGGATTAATAAAAAAAATTTACTTTCTCACTCTGCTCTTCACAGACAGACTTACTGCCAATTACATTCTTTTCTCTAGCTTCAGCTTGCAAAACTATCTGGTCTTGGAAAATAATGATATAATATTAGATTGTCCATTCACATATAATTCAATATTTCTATGATGTATTTCTATATTTGTGTGTGTTATTTCTACATCTATTGAATATTATAGACGATTTCAAAAATTATCTGTAGGGAAAGAGTTGTACTGGAACTCATGTGGCAAAACTGAGATAGAATCGTCTACTACTTTTCTTCTAGTCCTTAAGAATAGAAATTTCAATATATATCTTAGCATAATTCTATGCATATTTGTGCCCTTAAGAAGTTCTACGTTTGATTATCAGGCAACAATCAGTGTACTGTTTTTTTCATCTTCTAAAGATATTATCTCTACTCTATGTTGACTTCACTATACATGTACTCTGTTACACGTTTTTTGAAATCATTGTCCAGCTAATTTTACTATAACAAATTAAACTTTGTTATACAAATGAACTGAGAATAACTAGGTAGTGAAGGTAAAAGAGAAAGAAATGCAAAGTGTTATCATATTACATGAACTTTATTCCAACTGTGACCAGTATTTGCTTGGTTAATTAAATGATGGTTGGAGCAGATCATTATTTTGGAAGTATATAAGTTAAACGTTCTTTAAAAAGTAAAAAACATATAGATGTACATCAATTTGCCAATCTTTTGAAATAGGCTGAGGCCTTTTTCTCTTGAATATGCAACCAAGTTTTATTCCTGATTGTATAAATCTCAGCCAAATGCAAAGAATACTATTTTCAGTTTCTGCTCCTTTAAATGGAACTTAGAGACTTGTATAGAAAGCTGGGTATGGAACACTTAAAGAGTTTTATATTTTTACCCAATATTTTATACTTTTCTTTCCCCACATTTAATTTGACAGCAACTTGTTTTGACTTTCATAGAGTCTTCTCAAAGTACTGCTCTTGTTTTTAATAGCCATAACACTAGTTTTAAAAAATCATATTTTTCAATTTACGTAATATTTAATTAAACTAGGTAATTACAATAATAAACATAAGTAGTATACACAGTGTTTTAGTCTGTCTGAGCTGCTATAACAAAAACACCATAAACTGAGTAGCTTGCAAACAACAGAAATTCATTTCTCACCGTTCTACAGGAGGGGTAGTCAAGATAAGTTGATGGCAGATTTATCGTCAGGAGCGGGCTCTCTTCCTAGTTCATAGAGAGTGATTTCTCACTGTGTCCTCACATGGTGGAAAGCTCCCAGGGATCTCTTTTATGAGGACACTAATCTCATTTCTGAGGGCTCTGCCCTCATGATCTAATCACCTCTGAAAATCACCACCTCATAATACTATCATCACTTTGGGGGTTAGGATTTCAGCATATAAAATTTGTGGGGGACACAAACATTCACATAATAGCAAGCAGGCTCTGAAATAAATACAGTTAACTCTCAGAAAGCATATAATTCAGTTGTTGGGGGTTATGTGCTTTGTTACAAATGATGATGCACTGGTAGGTGCCAGGGTGCCATAGTCACTGTCCACTGTATCGGAAGGAAGAAGGATACATGAAATCTGATGAGGAAGTTCAATGGCCTTAACAGCAGTTGGGACAGCCAAAAGTGAGAAAAAATTGTGGGGAGGAGGTAGATGGAAAGAAGAAACTTCTTTGACAAAGGAAAAATAGATACTTTTATATAAATATATACATAGACATTTGTTACTTTATATTTCTAAGAGTATCCAATCAAGTGAAATCCCAAAATATCTGCTCTCACGCAGGCTGTGATCTGAAGGGATTTTTTTCCTAAGAAGTAATATCCCTGATGGGTTCATTTTCTAATCTGAGCTTGAATTAATTACCTTAAGCATTTTCAGAAATAGTCCTAAAATATATTTTTGCAAAGATGCTATTGAAGTTGTACTGTGTAACTAGAGACAAATATAGAAAATTGACAGCCTAACTTTCTCTTCTGCTTTTTCATTAGTGTGTCTTCCGAAGTCCAAAAACAGAAATAATGAAAGCAATAACACTTGGTTCTACAAAAGGTATGACATATTGAATGAATGAAATATTTCCACAGCTTATTTTTGGGATGTGAGCTATACTTTCATTTTGCCCACCTAATAGCATAGTTCTTTGGGAATTCTTATCAGAATTAAGGACTCTTTTGAAATGTTTCCATCATTAAAATATGCCTTTAAAACTCCCTATTAGTCAATTTACAGTTGTTACACATGATGGTGCACTGGTAGGTGCCAGTGTGCCATAGTCACTGTCCGGTGTATCAGAAGGAAGAAAGATACATGTAATCTGACGAGGAAGTTCAGTGAGCTTAACAGCAGTTGGGACAGCCAAAAGTGAGAAAAATATGTGGGGAGGAGGTAGGTGAGAAGAAGAAACTTCCATTTCTACTATTTATTTCTATTTCTACTTACAGTTGACTAACCATACCATGTACTAATCACACAGTATACTAAAAATACACCAATAGAAATTATATTCAATAAGATGCTTTCTATTTTTAGCAAGCAGATGATTGTTTTGAAATTGAAGCTTGCTTTTATTATATAAAATGTCCATGCTTTAAAATAATTCAGTTCCTTTAAAATGTTATCAATCTTTCTAGAACACACAATCCCAGAGACACCCTCCCACTACCAAAAATTATAAATGGTCAATTTTCTTTTGAGGGACCATGATACAAGATCACACACATTCAGAACTGAAATTCATTTTTACCCAGCTTATATACCAGCATGCTATCTATTTTAAGTGGCCAAAGTAGCAATGCCTACTTCTGCTGTGGCTGATACCAGTTTTCTATCTTTTAGCTATAGGATGCAGTCACCTTCGCTCTGGTCTCATTACCATGGCCATGAGAGAATTTTCAAAAGAACATCATTCTATCTATCTATCTATCTATCTATCAATCATCTATCATCTATGTATCTATCCATCCATCCATCCTGGAAGTATATTTTGCCTTTGCAATGTCATTGGAAGTTTTCAGAGAATATGGTGTCGTATTTGTGAATTAGAAATACAGGGTCCAGCAATAAATTTAATGAGTTTTCATTCTCATTTATGATTAATTTAATCTGGACCTCAGAAGAATTTTGGCAGATGCTGATATCAGCCCATTTCTAAATAACTGGTTTGTAAGCCTGTATATTGGACAGGGCATTCATTCTCATTGAAACACCTTTGTGTAAAATTTTAAAATTGAATGCCACTTTTCCCTAGCGAAGTACAATTTCTGTTCCTTTGTCAGTGTTATCACCACAGTTGCACAAGTCTTGAAATAGTAAAATGGCTTAAATCCCTGGTAGTGTGCCAATAAGAGCATTAATGTTGCTTTTCTATGGGCCAAGAAAAATCGATGGCTATTTTCAGGTGTATCTGTGTGTGAGTGTGTGTATGTGTACATACATATACACACACACACACACATATACACACACACACACACACACACACATATACACACACACACACACACACACATTTTTCCTTTCTGGTAAATATATGACGCTTTACCTTAAATCATATTTAAAATCCCAGTATACTTCCTGCTATGTTTTTTTTTTTTTAAGCCTCTAGGTTAAAAGCAACATTTCCTTGAGGTACACACACAAACATACTGTTACAGAAATAAAGTTTTTAGGACAGTGTCATTACCTGTACCCTCTGCAGTATTACTACTAGTAATTTCAGCCACCGCCTTATTTTCAGTTACCTTGGATTTAAAACATTATGCACTTATCGAGCTGTAGGAAGTAATTGATAGGTTTGATTATTATAACAATCATGACTAATTGAGAATCACAAAACTATACTTGTTTTACTTCTTTTTTTTATTATACTTTAAGTTTTAGGGTACATGTGCACAACGTGCAGGTTTGTTACATATGTATACATGTGCCATGTTGCTGTGCTGCCCCCATCAACTCATCATTTACATTAGGTATATCTCCTAATGCTATCCCTCCCCACTCCCCCCACCCCACAACAGGCCCTGGCGTGTGATAATGCTAAATCATCTTCCAAAGTGGTTGTAGCAATTTATCCTCCAATCAATAGTGTGAGATTTCATTTTGATCTGCATTCTAGACAATTTCAACGTATTTCAACTTTTGCTAAGTCTGTAGGTATTTAGTGATGTAACTTTAATTTTAATTATCTGAATATTAATGATGCATAAGGCCTATTCCTGTGTTCATTACTATTTTGGATTTACTTGCTTGTGAAGTGGCCACTAAAATTCATATCCTTTTTCTGTTGGGTTTTCTTTCTTTCTTTCTTTTTACTGATTTGTATCTTTTGCAAAAATATTTCGGATACAAAGTCTTTGTTGCTTATAGGTTCTGGAAGTATTTCGCTCATTCTGTGCTTTTTAAACTATTCTCTGTGTGGCATTTTTGGTAAATGTAAGTTGGTTTAATGTGGACTTTTTTCCCCCTTTTTTATTGTATGTGTTCCTATGTTTTATTTAAGAAACTACCTAATGGTCATGAATATATCAACTTTCATTTTCTTTTAAAAGCCTTATAGTTTTGCCTTTGACATTTAGGTCTATAACTCAACCGGATTCATATTTGTATGTGGAGTGAAGTGGGCATATACATTCATATTTTTCAAAATGAATATCTAACTATCTCAGCTTGAGTAAAGTGAACATCTTTGCTAATGGTTCTTCAATTAAAATTCAAATATGCATATATGCATGGGTCTTTTTCTGGGCTATCTGTTCTTTCCATTGATTTATTTCTGTAAACATGTTACATTTTCTTAATTAGTATAAGCTTTTATTAAATCTTCAAGCCTATACTAGAAGAAGTTCTACTTATTTTTCTTCTTTAAGATTGTCTTAGGTGGTAGCAGACATTTGAATTGCAATATGTTATAATCAGAATTTCAAGGTTAAAAAATATTGGGAGTTTTATTGTAATCACACTGACTTAAAAATTAATTTAGAGATAAATGACATTTTTACAGTATTGTCTCTTCCAAATTAGCATTTCTAATCTCTATTTATTTAGGCGCACCTCACTTGGCAGATCAATATCTTCACATTAGTTTAGTTTACATCAGAATCTCAGCATCAGTTTACCAATTTCCCCCAAAATAATCTGCTCTGAGTTTTATTGCAACTGTAATAAACCCTTAGGTTAATTTTTAAATAATTGATGTCTTTACCAAATTTTTTCTGAATCTAAAAGCATGGTATATTCTTCTATTTATATTTGCGTTCTTTACTTAAAATAGTCTGTTCTTTTCAGTTTTTGGGTTATAAATCTTACAAATCTTTATAGTATTAATTCTTAAATATTTAGTGTCTGTTGATACTAAATTGCATATTTTAAAAATATTATTTTAATATATTTTTCTTACATAAAGAATACAATTGCTTTTGTGTTTAACTATGTATCCAGTAACCTTAAGTCTACTATGTTACTATAAATGACATTGCCACATATACGTGAGCCATAAATGATAATACACAGTTTATAAATGTGTAATATGTAAAATATAAACTAATAATATAACATATAGCATATAAGCTACATTATAATTTTAGAAGATGATTTCAAGTAATGACATCTTAATTTTTATTTCCAATTATTCTGCCTTTTATTTCCTTTATCTCCAGTAAAGAATTGAATATGAATGGTGATAACAGGCAGTCCAGTCTCCTTGACCTCAAGGGAAGCATTTGAATATTTAACTATTGAAAATTATATCTCCTATAAATTTTTATAGATATCCATTATATTTAAACATCCCCTCTTGATTTCTCAATTGCCAATAATTTTATTATGAATAGGTTCATTCACTCATTCTTTTCTCAAAGTTCTCTATTTCAGTTAAAGGAGCCATTATCTATCCATATATGCATGCCTGAAATCTAGGAACTATCTTTGCAACCTCCCTACATTCAGTCTTACATTATGTCTTACAGATGTTATCTCTTAAATATATCTCAAATCCATTCACATTCACATCTCTTTACTTCTACCACCACCACCTAGTCCAAGCCATCAAAATGTCTTGCTTGCATCAGTTTTCTGATTCATTTTATAATTGTGCTTAAGTACAACAGATGCTTCACATTGCCCTCAATCGATCACACACGTACCAACACACGGTGATCTTTTAAAATGCAAATCTGACTGTTACCCCCTTGCTTAAAACACCACACACCACGATGACTTTCTAAGAACTCTTAGTATGTTATAAACTTCAGGCCAGGAGCCGTGGCTCACACCTGTAATCCCAGCACTTTGGGAGGCCAAGGTGGGCAGATCATGAGGTCAGGAGTTCGAGACCAGCCTGGCCAATGTGGTGAAACCCCATCTCTACTAAAAATACAAAAATTAGCTGGGCGTGGTGGCATGCACCTGTAGTCCCAGCAACTTGGGAGGCTGAGGCAGAAGAATTCCTTGAAACCGGGAGGCGGAGGTTGCGGTAAGCCAAGATCACGCCACTGCACTTTAACCTGGGCGAAAGAGCGAGACTCTGTTTCCTGACCCCCCAAAAAAAGTCTATTTAGATATTTGCTTGTTTATACGTCATATAATTTGTTTTGTTGCTATTTTGTTTCTATTTAATTGTTTGACCTCTCTGTATGTATATATCCTGTGAAGAAGTGTTTTAGCTTGATGCAATCTCATTTATCTATTTTTCCTTTTGTCACCTGTGCTTTTAAGATCTTACATGAAATAATTTTGCCAAACTCAATGTCCAGGGGTATTTTACCAAGGTTTTCTTCTAGTAGTTTCATAGTTTCAAGTTTTATATTTAAGTCTATAATGTATTGTTACACTTGATGTTAGTATATGGTGAGAGAGAGGGGTTCAGTTTCATGCTTTTTGCATGTGGCAATCTATCACCACCATTTATTGAAGAGGGTGTCTTTTCCTCAATGTATGTTCTTGTTGGCTCTGTGAAAGCATAGTTGAGTGTAAATATGTGGCTTCATTCTGGGTTCTGTATTCTGTTTCATTAGTCTATGTGTCTATTTTAATACTAATACCTATGCTGTTTTGGTTATTATAGCCTTGTAATGTATTTTGAATAATATACATTGAATATATATATATATATATATATATATATATGCAATATATATTGAATAATTTGATGCCTCCAGCTTTGTTTCTGTTTTTGCTCAGGATTGTGACTACTTGGTCTCCTTTTTAGTTTCATATGAATTTTAGGATTGTTTTTTCTAACTCTGTGAAGAATGTTGTTGATACTGTGATATGGATTGCACTGAATCTGTAGATCATTTGAGCAGTATGGTGATTTAAATGGTATTAATTATTCTGATCCATGAGCATGAAATGCTTTTCCATTTGTTTGTGTCACCTTCTGTAAATGTCTGTTAGGTACTTTTGGTCAAAGTCCAATTTAAATCCAGTGCTTTCTTGCTGATTTTCTGCCAGCATTATCTGTTTAATGCTGATAGAAGGGTGTTGAAGTCCACCACTGTTATTGTATTGAAGTCTCTTTCTTCAGTTCTAGTAATACTTGCTTAATGAATCTGGATGCTCCAGTGTTGGGTACATTTACATTTAGAATTGTTAGTATTTTTGCTAATATATTCTCCCTTCTTAATTACATAATGACCTTCTTTGTCTCTTTTCCCTGTTTTTGACTTAAAGGCTGTTTTATCTAAGTGTAGCTATTCCTGCATGCTTTTAGTTTTCTTTTCCCTGGAATATTTTTCCCAGCCCTTTTATTTCAGTTTATATGTGTGTCGATGGTAAGGTCAGTTTCTTGTAAGTAGTATATAGCTGGGCTTTGTTCTTTTTATCCATTCAGTCAATCTATATACTTTAAGAGGGTAATTTAATCTAATTAATTTCGAGGCCATTGTTATGTGAGGCATTGTTTCTGTCATATTGTTAATTGTTTTCTGATTGATTGTTTTATATATTCTTTATTCCCTTCTTTTTCTCTTATTGATTGTCATTTTGTTTCGATGATTTCTGTATTAGTACCATTAGAGTCTTTTATCTTTCACCTTTTTGTGATTGTTTTTTACCTGTGAATTTTGTAATTTGTGTGTTTCCATTATGGTAAAGGTGATCCTTTTGCTTCCAGGTTTAGGAATTCTTTGATGATTTTTTTGTAAGGCTAGTGTAGCGATAACAAATTCCCTCAAGATTAGCTTGTCTCAGAAAGACTATTTTTTGTTCATTTATGGAGAACCATTTCACTGAATAGTATTCTCTGCTGACAGTATTTTTTTCTTCCAGTATTTTTTTTCATTTTTATTATTTTAAATTTTGATTTTATTTATTTTTAAATTTTAGATTCACAGGGTACATGTGCAGTTTTGTTACTTGGATACATTGCATGATGCTGAGGTTTTGGCTTTAATTGAACCCTTCACACAGATAGTCAATACAGTACCCAATAGGTAGGTAGTTTTTCAGCCCTTGTCTCCTCTCCTTCTTCCCCCTTTTTGAGTCCTCAGTATTTATTCCCGTCTTTATGTTCACGTGTGCACAATGTTTAGCTTCCACTTATAAGTGAGAGCATGCAGTCTTTGGTTTCTTGTTTCTGTGTTAATTTACTGAGGATAATAGCCTCCAGCTGCATCCATGCTGTTGCAAAATACATGACTGTATGATTTTTATGACTGTGTAGTATTCCATGGTGTATATATATACCACATTTGCTTTATCCAATCTACCATTTATGGGCGTCTAGGTTAATTCCATGTCTTTGCTATTGTGTATAACGCTATAATAAATGTGCAGATACAGATATCTTTTTGTTGTTGTTTTTGAAATCGAGTCTTGCTCTATTGCCCAGGCTGGAGTGCAGTGGCACAATCTCAGTTCACTGCACCCTCCGCCTCCCGCGTACAAGCGATTCTCCTGCCTCAGCCTCCCAAGTGGCTGGGACTACAGGCTCATGCCACCATGACTGGCTAAATTTTTGTATTTTTAGTAGAGACAGGGTTTCATTGTGTTAGCCAGGATGGTCTCGATCTCCTGACCTTGTGATCTGCCCACCTTGGCCTCCCAAAGTGCTGGTATTACAGGCATGAGCCATCACACCCAGCCTCTTTTTAGCAGAATGATACATTTACCTTTGGGTATACACCTAGTAATTAGATTGCTGGGTGAAATAATAATTCTATTTTTAAATTTTTGAGAAATCTCCAAACTTCCACAGGGATTGAACTAATTTTGAATATGTCATCATATTTTCTTCTAGCCTATACTTGTGTCCGGAACTGGTGGGTTCTTGGTCTCACTGACTTCAAGAATGATGAAGCCGCGGACCCTCGCGGTGAGTGTTACAGCTCTTAAGGTGGTGCGTCTGGAGTTCGTTCCTTCTGATGTTCGGATGTGTTCGCAGTTTCTTCCTTCTGGTGGGTTCGTGGCCTCGCTGGCTCAGGAGTGAAGCCGCGGACCTTCGCGGTGAGTGTTACAGCTCTTAAGGCGGCACGTCCGGAGTTGTTCGTTCCTCCCGGTGGGTTCGTGGTCTCGCTGGCTTCAGGAGTGAAGCTGCAGACCTTCGCAGGGAGTGTTACAGCTCATAAAGGCAGTGTGGACCCAAAGAGTGAGCAGCATCAGGATTTATTGCAAAGAGCGAAAGAACAAAGCTACCACAGTGTGGAAGGGGACCCGAGCGGGTTGCCACTGCTGGCTCGGGCAGCCTGCTTTTATTGTCTTATCTGGCCCCACCCACATCCTGCTGATTGGTAGAGCCGAGTGGTCTGTTTTGACAGGGTGCTGATTGGTGCGTTTACAATCCCTGAGCTAGACACAAAGTTTCTCCACGTCCCCACCAGATTAGCTAGATACAGAGTGTCGACACAAAGGTTCTCCACGTCCCCACCAAAGTAGCTAGATACAGAGTGTCATTGGTGCATTCACAAGCCCTGAGCTAGACACAGGGTGCTGATTGGTATGCTTACAAACCTTGAGCTAGATACAGAGTGCCGACTGGTGTATTTACAATCCCTGAGCTAGACATAAAGGTTCTCCACGTCCCCACCAGACTCAGGAGCCCAGCTGGCTTCACCCAGTGGATCCCGCACCGAGGCTGCAGGTGGAGCTGCCTGCCAGTCCCACGCCGTGCGCCCGCACTCCTCAGCCCTTGGGTGGTCGACGGGACTGGGCACCGTGGAACAGGGGGCGGTACTCGTCGGGGAGGCTGGGGTAGCACAGGAGCCCATGGAGAAGGGGGGGAGGCTGAGGCATGGCGGGCTGCAGGTCCTGAGCCCTGCCCCGCGGGAAGGCAGCTAAGGCCCAGCGAGAAATTGAGCACAGCAGCTGCTGGCCCAGGTGCTAAGCCCCTCACTGCCTGGGGCCGGTGGGGCTGGCTGGCTGCTCCGAGTTCAGGGTCCGCCGAGCCCACGCCCACCCGGAACTCGCGCTGGCCCGCAAGCAATGCACGCGGCCCCGGTTCCCGCCCGCACTTCTCTCTCCACACCTCCCGGCAAGCTGAGGGAGCCGGCTCCGGCCTTGATCAACCCAGAAAGGGGCTCCCACAGTGCAGTGGCGGGCTGAAGGGCTCCTCAAGTGCCGCCAAAGTGGGAGCCCAGGCAGAGGAGGCGCCGAGAGCAAGCGAGGGCTGTGAGGACTGCCAGCACGCTGTCACCTCTCATACTGTTTCTGCTGTAAAATCTACTGTTAGTTCAATGGGGTTTTCTTTATAGGTAACTAGATGTTTTTATCTTGGTGCTTTTAGGATTTTCACTTTTTATCATTTATCTTAGAATGGTTTGATTTCAATGTTCCATGGAGAAGACCTTTTGTGTTGTATCCACCTGGGCATTATTAAATTTTCTGTATTGGAAAGTCTAAGTAAGTCTCTTACTCGAACTGGAAAGTATTTATCGATAATGTAATTAAGTAGGTTTATAATCTTTTTATTTTCTCTTTGTCCTCTGGAATACCAATAAATATAATATTTTTTTTTTTTGCTTTATGTAGACCCAAGCGTCACAAAGTTTTTGCTACTCATTTTTAATTTTTGTAAAAAAAAATTTCTTACTGGATTATTTCAAAAGACCTGTCTTCAAGTTAAGACATTACTTTGCTTCTTTTTGATCTAGTCTATTGTTTAAGCTTTCAAATAAATTTTGTATCTACTTTAATAAATTATTTAGTTCCAGAATTTCTATTTTTTTACAGTATCTATTCCATCAGCATATTTTTCAATCATATATTATGTATCTGATTTCTTGGTATTGATTTTCAGAATTCTCTTTTAGCTCACTAAATTTTGAAATTTTCTTTTTGATTAAATTCAATTGCTAGAGAATTATGATGTTTATTTGTAGGTGTCATATTTTCTTGCTTTTTAAAATTTCTTGTGCCCTTACATTTATATTGGTACATCTGCTACAACCGTGACTTTTTCCTATTTTTCAATTTACTTTCATAAAGAGGACCTTTTTCCTGAAGATGTATCTATGGTGTTGGTTTTGTAGAGTACACTGGCTGTGATTGGGGGTTTGCACAGTAGTTCAGATGCTATACGATTTCTTTGCTTTTAAATGGCATTAATGGTATTTTTACATTTATATTGGTATATCTGCTACAACAGTGACTTTTTCCTATTTTTGAATTTCCTTTCATGAAGAGGACTTTTTTTCCTGAAGACGTATCTATGGTGTTGGTTTTGTAGAGTACATTGGCTTTGATTTGGGGTTTGCACGGTAGTTTAGATGCTGTACGATTTCTTTGCTTTTAAATGGTATTAATGGTATGTGTAATTTTCTTAGTTGGTTAGAGTATGATTATTATTGGAAGCTCTGGTAAATTTGTGCTGGGGACTAGGATGCTAGGCTTGCCTGTCTTCAGGCCTCAGGAGTGTCAGTGGTGGGTTGAGTGTGCCTATTCTTATGGCCCAGGGTAGTTCACGTTGACCTCATAACATTGTTTGAATATTTGTCCCCACCAAAATCTCATGTTGAATTGTAATTTCCAATGCTGGATGCGAGGCCTGGTGGGAGGTGTTTGGACGATGGGGGCAGGTCCCTCGTGGCTTGGTGTTGTCTTCGTGATAGTGAGTTCTCACAAAATCTGCTTATTTAAAAGTGTGTGGCACCTACCCGCTCAACTCTGTCTCTCATTGTCGCTTGCTCCTGCTTTCACCATGCAGCTTCACCATGCTTGTTTCTCCTTCATCTTCTGCCATAATTGTAAGCTTTCTGAGGCCTCCCTAGAAGCAAAGTAGATGCCAGAATAATGCTTTCTGTGAAGGCTGCAGAACCATGAGCCAATTAAAACTCTATTGTATAAATTACCCAGTCTCAGGTATTATTTCACAGTAGTTCAAGAATGGAAAAATACAGAAAATTGGTACTGAGAGTGGAGTATTGCTATAAAAATATGTAAAAATGTGGAACTGACTTTTGAAATGGGTAACAGGCAGAAGCTGGAAGAGTTTTGAGGGCTCAGAAAGATGAGGGAAGGTTTGAAACTTCTTAGAGACTTTTGGAATGGTTATGATCAAATGGTGGTAGTGATACGGACAGCGAAGGCCAGGGTGAGGAGGTCTCAGATGGAAATGAGAAGCTTATTGGAAACTGGAGCAAAGGTCACACATGGTATGCCTTAGCAAAGAGCTTGGCTACATTCTGTTCATGCCCTAGTGATCTGTGAAAAAGTTTGAACTTTATAGTGATGATTTAGGGTATCTGGCAAAAAAATAAGTTTCTAAGCAGCAAAGTGTTCAAGATGTAGCTTCGCTGCTTCTAACAGTCTACATTTAGATGTGGGAGCAAAGAAATGACTTAAATTTGGAGCTTATATTTAAAATGGAAGCAGAGTGTAAAAGTATGGAAAATCTGCACCCTGTCTATGTGGCAGAGAAAGAAAATATTTTTTCAGGAGAGGAATTCAGGCAAGCTGTGGAGCAACCACTTGTTACAGAAATTCACGTAACTAAAAGGGATCCAAGTGCTGATAGCCAAGAAAACGAGGAAAAAATAAAGGTCTCAAAGGAATTTCAAAAACCTTCAAGGCAGTCCCTCCCATCACAAGCCTGGAGACCTAGGAAGAAATAATGGTTTCATGAGCCAGGACCAGCACCCCACTTCCCTGGGCAGCCTCAGGACACTGCTTCTCATATCTAGGATGCTCAGGCTCCAGCCTTGGCTTAAAGGCACTCAGATACTACTTCTGCTGCTGCTCTGGAGAGTACAAGCTGCTGTAAGCCTTGACAGCTTCCAAGTGGTGGTGTTAAGCCTGTAGGCACACAGAGTGCAAGAGTGAATGATGTTTGGCATTCTCTGTGTAGATTTCAGAGGATGTAGAGAAAAGCCTGGGTGCCCAGGCAGAAGCCTGCTGCAAGGGCAGAGCCTGCATAGAGAATCTCTACTATGTTAGTGCCAAGAGGAAATGTAGGCCGGGCATGGTGGCTCATGCCTGTAATTCCAGCACTCTGGGGGGGCCAAGGTGGGTGCATCACCTGATGTCGGGAGTTCGAGACCAGCCTGACCAACATGGAGAAACCCCATCTCTACTAAAAATACAAAAAAATTAGCTGAGTGTGGTGGCCCATGCCTATAATCCCAGCTACTTGGGAGGCTGAGCAAGGAGAATCGCTTGAACCAAGGAGGTGGAGGTTGCAGTGAGCCAAGATCACACCATTGCACTCCAGCCTGGGCAACAAGAGCAAGACTCTATCTCAAAAAAAAGGAAATGTAGGCTGGACGCCCTCACAGAGAGTCCCCACTGTGGCACTGCCTAGTGGAACTGTGAAAAAGGTGACACTCACCTCCAGACCCTAGAAGCGTAGATCAATCAGCAGCTTGCCCCTTGCCCTTGGAAAAGCCACAGTCATTCAACAACCTGTGAGAGCAGCCTTGGCGGCTGAATTCTGTAAAGCCAGAGGGGTGGGGCTGCCCAAGGCCTTGTGAGCCCACCCCTTACACCAGTATGCCTTGGATGTGGGACATGGATTCACTGGAGATTATTTTGGAGCTTTAAGATTGAATGACTACCCTGCTCAATTTCAAACTTGCATGTGGACAGTAGCCCTGTATGTTTGGCTGATTTATCTTTTTGGAACAGATATTTTTACCCAAAGACTATGGACTTTTGAGTTAATGCTTGAATGAGTTAAGGCTTTAGGAACCTATTTGGATGGCATGATTGTTTTTTGCAATGTAAGAAAGACATGAGATTTGGGAGGGGCCAGGGGTGGAACGATATGCTTTGAATATTTGTCCCCTTCCAAATCTCATGTTGAATTGTAATCCTCAATGCTAGAGGAGGGGCCTGGTGAGAGGTGTTTTGATCACGGAGGTGGGTCCCTCGTGACTTGGTGCTGTTTTTGTGATAATGAGTTCTTGTGAGATCTGGTCATTTAAAAGTGTGTGGCACCTCAGCCCTACGCTCTCTCACTTGCTTGCTCCTGTTTTCACCATGTGACGTGCCTGCGTCCCCTTTGCTTTCAGCCAAGATTGTAAGCATCCTGAGGCTTCCCTAAAGGTTGAGCATATGTCATCACCATGCATTTCATAAAGCCTGCAGAATCATGGGCCAATTAAGCCTTTATTTTAATAAAAAATTACCCAGTCTCATGTATTTATATAGCAAACAATAACAGCCTAATACACTCCAGTATGGCAGTTATCAGCAAAAAGATTCTTGTACCTACAGGTAGCTTGCTCAGATGCTGAGGGTGGCAGCAGTGGGATGTGCAGGTGAGCAGTTTCTTGAGCCTCTAGACAACCATCATGGCATGGATGATGGCGGTAGCTTTCATGGAATGGTTCTCTGGGTCCCAAGATGTGTGCATTAGTGTTGGCAGTGGCTTGCAATGGGCTTAGTGTGTCCAGACTGCATGTGGTTCTTTCAGGGATGTGCCGGCTGACAGGGTAGCATCCAGAAGTTTAGGGCCAACCTCATGCTCCTGGGAAGAGTGCTCAGGGGCCCAAGTGGTGGACTAGGTTGTGCAATCCCCAAGACCCTTGACTGTGTTCTTTGTCTTGGATGGGTAGCAAAACCCGACTGGGTAGGCTTGTGCTCAGGCCCCCTAATGGTGAGAGCAGTTGGCAATGGTGGGTGAGGTTGGGGTGGTCTTCAAGGCCAGGTGGAGCACTTATTTGAGGGATTGTGCCAGCCACACTGAGGCCCTTCCACTGGAGAGGTTGGGGCACATCTTGGTTGCCACAGCCTGGGCTGGAGGATGGCGCACATATGTCGCTCTCATGTCCCATTCTAGGTGGGGCTTACCCCTAGCCCTTGTGTAAGTAGCTTGCACGTAACTCACGCCTCATCCCTGGCTGCAGTATTTCCCTCCCAGCTGATGGCTAAGTGGCTACTCACCCCATGCTTATGGCCCTTCTAGTCCTGGTGGCATTCACTTGCTAGCATTAACAACCACAGCCTATGCTTCAATTGCATCACAGCCACAGCTGTGGCAGCACTCCCAGCTTCTGCCCCAGTCTTAGCAGCAACAGCTTGAATTTTTCTAGTTCCTCAGTTCCAGCATTGCTGGGTTCCAGTATAGCCTTAAGTCTGCCAAAGGCTAGGTTTTAAAATGGCACCTTCCTGGCTGGGCACTGTGGCTCACGCCTGTAATCCCAGCACTTTGGGAGGCTGAAACACGTGGATCACCTGAGGTCAGGAGTTGGAGACCAGCCTGGCCAACATGGTGAAACCCTGTCTCTACTAAAAATAAAAAAATTAGCTGGGTGTGGTGGCACATGCCTGTAATCCCAGCTACTGGGGAGGCTGAGACAGGAGAATCACTTGAACCCGAAAGGCAAAGGTTACAGTGAGTCGAGATGGCGCCACTGCAGCCTGGGTGACAGAGCGAGATTCCATCAAAAAAAAAAAAAAAAAAAAAAAAGCACCTTGCTGTCACCACTTAATTCTCAAAAAGGGTGTGGAGCTTAGTGCTCCCATAGCCTGTAAAGCAGTTCTGTCCCATAAGAGTGTTGATGGTTTCTCTGGTGGCCAGGTTTGCATGGGTCCATGCTGGACATGTGGGCTGCTGAACCTCTCTCACCCTTTCCTCACACTGGGAAGTCACTCCCACCTTCCAGCTGATCCTGGCCAAGCTGCCTGCCTCTCTTCCATCTTCTTCCTTGCTTTTGGTGTTTCCTGCCACTTTTATGTTGAATTAACATGTTCTCTCTTGGAGAATGTATTCCAAGAGTGCTTGTCTATAGTCTATCTTGGTTCTTCTAAGTGGAGGAAGCAGGCACACAATGCTTCCAGTCAGCCATTTTGAAGTCCCTGCATTATCATGTCTGCCAAGAATAAGTAACCTGAGTCTTGTCATGATTAAGCATTGGATAAACTTACTTACTTACTTAGATCAAAAGACATCTTGCAATGTTTAAGATTTAACACTTGAAACCTTAAATACTCTCAAGCTATTGAGAAACTATGTCAGACTGACTATTTCAGATAAAATAAATCCAACAGGATGTAACAATTAAAGATATTGTAAAATATTAGCTTATATTCTGGATCAAAAAGTAAAAAAGACATTGTTAGGCAGTTGGTAAAATCTGAATGAGGTCTGCATATTTTTGAGAGTGTAGCATCATTTTTAATGTTTTAATTCAGATGATTGTAGTGGGGTATGTTAGAGAGTCCCTTTATTTTGGGCAAATGCACTAAAATTTTTAGTGGATGCTACTTATTCTCAAATTATTCAGAGAACACTTATGTGTGTATGTAAATACAACATATATGCATCCTGAGAGAAGAGGGATGATAAGAAGAGAGAGAGGGAGGGAGGAAGAGACAGGGAGGAAGAGAAACAGAGAAGTGTAGGGAAAAAGAAAGAGTAAAAATATGATAAAGTGTTAAAAAATTAGAGGAACTGAACAAATTTGGGTGAAGGGTATATAGGACTTTTTGTACTGGTCTTGCAACATTTCTTTAATTTTAAAATTAAATATTAAGAGATAAAGTGCCTATCTTGTAGACAGCATGGTGTGATTTTTGTAGTGAGTTTCAGCAATTTGGGGATTGATCAAAAAGGAAAACATATGATCACCAGAGGTAGGTAGTAACACACAATAAGCTTTTATTAGATGGCACTTAGAGTTTCATGAGAAGGGAAGTCTCTTAGAGAATGGCCATACAGAGGCTAAGGCACAGGGGGCATTATACAAAAGGGGAGGAGGGCAAGATAACTTTTAAGTGGGGAAAGAGGGATCAAAGAGCGTACTTAAGTATCTAGGTAATGTCTGTCAGCAGCACAGTGGAGATTCTATGAATTAGAGAGCTCTGAAGGGTTATGGCAGCTTGGAGTCTCATAATTATAAGGTGCTATCTTAACAGGCAACAGCTGTTAGGTGAGACTTTTTTTGCAGGATATGCAAAGTAGGAAGGCCCTAAATGGCTAAAAAATCTGTGTGTTTGGGTTATTTTTAAAATAATAGAATGTGTAAAAATTTGAGTTTGTCAGGAGTTGTCTTTTGAGCTAAAACAGGTCTCAGCCTGCTGTAGAGAAATAAACAACCTAGGGGCCAAAATATGGTGTCCATGTTTAGTTCAATTATATAACAGGTGTTTCCTTTATTACAATATTTTCCTTTAATTAGCTTGCTTAATTGTTCTGAGCTTAATGTAATTATCGATCAGCATGGGTTTAAATCTAACAAACAATTTGCAATTATTTATGGTTATCTTTTTAAAATTTTCTCCTTTTCTGCCATATTTTGGGTTAATCAAATATATTAAATATTCGATTTTAATTACTCTATTGCATGTTTAACTAGAACTCATTTATTTCAAGTGTTTTGTTTTTCTACAGATTACGGTAGGTATACTTATATCACAGTCTACTTAGAGCTCATATTGTTAAAATTCATATAAGTGGAAGAACGTTAGAACAGAAAAAATCAATTTCCCCGATTTTGGGGGCTATTATTTTAATATATTTTACATTTGCGCATGCAGTGAACTCCATAATATAAGGTTATTATTTTTGCTTTGAATAATTGGTTGTCTTTCAAAGGGGAAAAATTAAGGAATGCCTTTCCTGTTTGCTTACATATTTACCTTTCCTAGTGATTGATTGTCATTGCTTCCTGTATAACCTAGTTAGTTACTATCTGGTTTCATTTTAAAGAAAGACACACCATGAATCATCTAAAACACTTCATAGGGCCTTTTTCTGAGCAGTCCTCTTTATCCAGTACCCTAATAATTTTTGTAAATATCCATCTTCAACATTAGTTTCTAGAACTATGAGCATTTGTAATATATTTTAAAGAATGTTCTATAGAGATGATGCTGGGATCAGGGAGACTTCGGTTTGAAGACTGGTTCTGCCATTTTATTGCTATGTGATTTTGGTCAATTTACTTTATGCTGTCAAATCCCTGTTGCCTCATCTGATATATAGGAATAATCACATGTATCTCTTAGAGTTCTGTGACAATTCCAAATGCATTAATATGTCTAAGACAGTGCCTGACATAGAATAGTGTTCAATAATTAGTAGTAATGATTACAGTATTGGGAGTGACATCACTAGTACTCATAATTTTGACAAATAACTTTACAGTTCTTAACCACAAACTGTAAAAATATTAAATCTCTTGTTTCTCATAATATGCAAATTAAATTTGATAACTTTAAAATTTCTGCCTCTCAATGTAGCTTCTCTTCAAAAAGCAGAAATTATCAACAACTCCCTTAATTACCTTAAACTGTGTATTAGGTTGTTCTCACACTGCTATGAAGAACTTACCAAGACTGGATAATTTAAAAAGAAAAGAGGTTTATTTGAGTGAAAGTGCCACATGGCTGGGCAGGCCTCAGGAAACTTACAGTCATGGAGGAAGGGGAAGCAAACACGTTATTCTTCACAAGGCAGCAGGAGCGAGAAGTGCCGAGCAAATGGGGAAAACCCCTTTCTAAAATAATCAGATCTTGTGAGAACTCATTCACTATCATGGGAGCAGCATTGGGGTAACTGCTCCCATGATTTTATTAACTCCCACTTGGTTCCTCCCATGACACGTGGGGATTATGAAAACTACAATATGAGATTTGCATGAGAACACAGCCAAACCATATCAAACTGCATACACAGGTAAACACTTCTATGCTTGGAATTTGGCCATGTCTGTTTGTTTCTTAAATTTTAAAATATCTTTGGTATTTAGGCTTAGTTCACACTTCAGATTCATTCAGAAGGCATTAGATAAAAATATGAGGGGTATAAAGTAAATACTTTGTGATTTGAAATATTCTATATGCACAAAAACCACTTAGTGATATTGGTGAAGATATAAAGAATTGCTTGAGGTAAATTAATAATCCTATGATCTGTTGTTTAAAAATAATTAAGGTAGATGATTTTTGTTTGTTTGATAACTAACAACCCTCACAAAACATGAAGTAAGTATTTTACCAAATTTAATATTGATTTTGAATCTAAATATATTTGGCTGTGACCTTAATATCTCTGGTTATGTGTTCCTTCATTAGAAAAGATAGTTTTAACTTTATACTTAAGAAAATATATAGTTTGAATGTATATAACTTTATATTTATTTTGTAGAATTCTCTCATGAAAATTATAGAAATATTAGCTGAAATAATAATCAATCTATGTTATCTTATAAGTAAGTCTAATGTCTTTCTTTTGGTGTATGATTTACAGGATAGTTTCTGGATAGAGAACATATATTTTCTCCTTTGCCATATTTCGTATAATAACTTATGAAGTTTGAGCTGAAATTGTTTTGCTCTTTTTATTAAGGTATATTTATCATGAAAATATAAATCTGTCAGTCTATTACTTTGAACTATTTCATAGTCACTCTTTTCACAATTCCATACTCATGATCTGAAATACACGTTATGTACCACACTACGAATTTCATGTGACACCCTTTGAAACCACTACTAAATTTTCATAAAGTATACAGAGCCAGATAGCATGAGAAAAAGCGTGCCTGAATAAAACTTGAATGCATTTTGGAAAGGAGGGGCAGTAAAACAATGACCTGGAGTAGAACTTTATAAATAAATTAATTCTCCAGTATTTATAGTTATGTATCATATTAATGTGAATCTTCTTACAATTATTACTGCAGTATTGATTTGTAGTCAATAAACACGACTTAGGGAGAAGGACACCTTTATAAAAATAGCTCAGTTAAAAATCTCTGGGTTAATGATAGTCATTTATGTGAAAGTGCAATAAATACAATTTTTTAAAAAATTTACACACATATTTTAAGTGATTACTTGAGTTGTTTCTTCCGTGATTGTTTTGAGCTTTCAGGAGTTTTCAAGAGTAATATGGATAATGGATATTTTCTGTTGAGAGCAGAGGATGTTATAACTCATTTCTTGAATTACTTGATGCCTAACACAGTGTCTTCAATTTGATTGCTAGGTTCCGGAAACTACTCCCTGATAAACTGAGACTCAAGCAACCTCCAATGTTGGTGGCTTTTGCCTTTGCAGATTTAATCCTTAACTCACAACTGAACTTAGCCTGAGGTCTGTGCTGTATTTTCACACTACGCACAGTCATAAACACATCGTTTCTCTCAGGCCACCGGCATATCATTTAGTACTTTCTGACTATGGAGTCTTAGCTGATATCTTCATTGACTGACAACTAATACTAGTGTTAGCATTAAATTAATTAGTTGTAGAAAACTCAAAAATTCTAAAGAGGTATCTTCAAGTTCAAGTGAAATTCTGTTCATTGTATACATCTTGGTAACTCTGTGTAAACTGTACACATTCACTATGGTAATTCACTATTGGAAACTAAATAGGGTACTTTTCTAAAACCTGACAATAATTTAGTACTGGGCACTGCATTTTATTCTACCATTTGCAACAATATAGATGGACCTGAAAGACATTATACTGAGTAAAATAACTCAGCCACAAAAGGACAAATACTGAACGATTCCTTTTATATGAGGCATCTAAAATAGCTAAAGTTACAAAGGTAAACAATAGAATAATGGTTACCGGAAGCTGGGGGTAGGGGGATAGGGAGAGTTCTTCAATGGGTATAAAGTTACAGTAATACAAGATGAATAAATTCCAGAAATCTGCTGTACTACATAGTGCTTATAATTAACATAAGGTATTGTGTACTTAAAAATTTGTGAGAAGGGTGGATCTCAAGTGCTCTTGCCACAAAAACAAAAATAAAAAAAGGAACACAAGGAAAGAGGTTATGCATATGTTTGTTAGCTTCCTTGTGGTGATGGCAGCTCAAGTGTATAAATATGTCAAAACTTACTTACCAAATTGAATCCATTAACTATGTGGAGTTTTTCTGTATACCAACTATATCGCAATAAACCTGGGAAAAAATAAATCAGACATTTCAGTAGCTGATCTACTGATTTTCAAAGACTGTACTATAATAATTAACATAAACATTTAAATATTTTAGCTGACATTTTAAATGTTTCGCAAAACATTCCATGCTCATGGATAGGAAAAATCAATATTGTTAACCTGGTAATACTGCCCGAAGCAATTTATAGATTCAGTGCTATTTCTATTTTTTTCTTCAATTTTTAAAAGTTTTGGGTAAATGAGCAGGATGTGCAGATTTGTTACATGGGTAAACATGTGCCATCGTGGTTTGCTGCACAGATCATCTCATGAAATAGGTGTTAAGCCCAGCATCCATTAGCTATTCTTCATGATGCTCTCCCTCCCCCAAACGCCAACCCTCTGAGACTCCAGTTTGTGTTGTTCCCCTTGCCACCCTGTGTCCATGTGTTGTCATTATTCAGCTCTCACTTATAAGTAAGAACATGTGGTGTTTGGTTTTCTGTTCCAGCATAGTTTGCCGAGGATAATGGCTTCCACCTACATCCATGTCCCTGCAAAGGACATGATCTCAATCTTTCTTCTGGCTGCATCGTTTCCCATAGTGTACATGTACCACATGTTCTTTATCCAGTCTATTACTGTACATGTACCACATGTTCTTTACCCAGTCTATTATTGATGGGCACTTAAGTTGATTCCACGTCTTTGCCCTTGTGAATAGTGCTGCAATGAACATACGTGTGCAGGTATCTTTATAACAGAATAATTTATATTTTGGGGGGTATATACCCAGTAATGGGATTGCTGGGTCAAATAGTATTTCTGCCCCTAGGTCATTGAGGAATCACCACACTGTCATTTACAATGGTTGCACTAATTTACAATCCCACTCACAGCGTAGAAGTGTTTCTTTTTCTCTGCGATCTTGCCAGCATATATCGATTTTTGACTTCTTAGTAATGATATAGGAGTTAAGAAGGAATTACTTAAGCAGATAGCAAGGGCATGGGAGTTCTTGGTAAGGCTTTCCTTTTTAATGAAAAGCAGCCCCATATTATTTTCCTTTCTAACGAAGAGCAGCCTGTGAAATCGAGCTGCAGACATAGATACTGGCAGTTGTGCCAATCATGTTCAAGATAGTGGCTCCATCTTCCCTCTCTTTGTAGGCCATGTGTACAGTAAGAAGCAGACAAGACTGCACTGATCCTAAAGCTCATTTGCATAATAAGATTAGGGTGGGGTGACCAGCCTTCCCCCACAAACTATGTAGATGTCATACCTGATCAAATCCATCCAGCCTGCCTATAAAATCTGCTGCGGTCTGCCACCTCCCCCCTTTTATCAGAGATCTCTCTCTCACAAACAAAAAAAGCTGCTCTCCACTCTCCTTTCTCCTGGATAACAACAATTCTAGACACATTCTGAGCCAGAAGAGAATCCACTGCCCTGAAGGAAAGAACCCAGTCCAAGGAGGATACATCACTGGATGACAAAGACCCCTTAAGTTCTAAATAACCAGCAACAACATCCAGATTGTACATCATGCACCTTAGGTGACACTCTGACAATAGCTACAATCAAGTGAGACTCAGAACTTTGTCAGCTGTGGTGGCTATGAGAAAAGATGTCTTCTGCTTGGGAAAAGTAATGGGGAAAGTAAAGGGGATTTTTTTCTTGCACCTTAGATACCACCTGAGCCACAGGGTGGTAGAGAACCAAATGGGCTTTTGAGGTCCAGGACATGGCTCTTGGACAGCATTTCTAGACCTGCCCTGGGTCAGAGGGAAGCCCAAACTGCTGAAAGGTGAGTCCCAATCATTGGGTGGTGGTGGTGGTGGTAGCCAAAGGATGAGGTCTATCTGCCTTTGGGAAGGGGGAAGAATAGTGGGAAGAACTATGTCTTGTAGATTGAGTGCCAGCTTAGCCGTATTACAAAAGAGTATCAGGTAGATTTCTAAAAATTATGACTCTAGTCCCTCTCTCTGAGATGGCAGCTCTGGATACATCCAGAACCTCAGAAAACACATGAACCTAAATGGCAGGGCACGTTGTCTCTGCCACGGGCTTATTGTAGAGACCCAGGGCCTTGAGACAACATAGGCCATAAACAGGGAGTGGTTACAGCAGGCCTTGGATGAGACTCAGTGCTGTGCTGGCTTCAGGTCTGACCCAGCACAGTTATACTGGTAGTGGCCACAGCAGTGCTTGTGTCACTCCATCCCCATATCCAGGTGGCTCAGAACAGAGAGAGTGACTTCATTTGGAAGAAAGTAAGAAAACAACAACAACAAACACAAGAGTCTCTTCTTTGTAATCCAGAGAATTCTTTTAGGTCTTGTCCAAGAACATCAAGGTGGTACCTCTACAAGTCTGCAAAAACCACAGTGTTACTGAGCTTGGAGTGCACCCTAAAGTAGATACAGCTTAGAAAACAGCAACCAATACATTTTAAATATCTGGAAAGTTTTCAAAAAAGTGGGTACCAACAAGCCCAGAGAGTGAAGATTACAATAAATACCTAACTCTTCAATTCCCAGACGCTGAAGAACATCTACAAGCCATCCAGAACAACATGACCTCACCAAATAAACTAAATAAGGCAGGAGTACAATTCTGGAGAAACAGAGACATGTGATCATTCAGAAATAGAATTTAAAATAACTATTCTGAAGAAACTCACTCAAAGAAATTCAACACAACGTGAAGAAATAAATCACGATTCTATCAGAAGAAATAAAGTTAGTTAGAGAACACCAAGCTGATTTAACCCAAAGAAGACTACCTCAAGGCATTTCATTATCAAACATTTCAAAGTCAAAGACAAATAAAGGATTATAAAAACAGCAAGAGAAAAGAAACAAATAACATACAATGGAGCTCAAATACATCCGGGAGCAGACTTTTCAGTGAAAATCTTACAGGTCATGAGAGCATGGCATGACGTATTTAAAATGATAAAGGAAGAAAACTTTTACTCCAAAATAGGATATCTGGTGAAAATATGCTTCAAACATAAATGAGAACTTAAGACTTTCCCAGATGAATGAAAGCTGACGGATTTCACGAATACCAGACCTATCCTACAAGAAATGCTAAAGAGAGTATTTTGATCATAAAGGAAATGACATTAATGAGTAATAACAAATCACATGGAGGTATAAAACTCACTGCTAATAGTAAGTACATAGAAAAACACAGATTGTAACACTGTAACTGATGTCTTTAAACAACTCAAGTAGAAAGAATAAAAACAAACCAATCAAATATAACAAATATGAGAAATATTTAAGACATAGTCAATTCAATAAGACATGGATAGAAACAAGAGAATATTAAATAGTGGAATGCACTCAAGTTGTAACATTCTTATTAGTTCTATTTTTGCTGGTTTGATTGTTTTATGCAAACAGTGTTATTTTGTTATAAGCTTAAAATAATGAATTATAAGATAGATAGCATTTGCAAGCCTTGTGGTAACCTCAAACAAAAAAAAAAAACCATAAAACGTAAACAAAAAAAGCAAAATTTAAATCACGTTACAAAAGAAAATTGTCTTCACTAAAAGAAAGACAGTAAGAAAAAAAAGTAAGAGAAGACCACAAACAACCAGAAATAAAATAAAATGATAGGAGTAAGTAAGTCATCACTTTTCAATAAAATCATTGAATGTAAATGGACTATACATGTATAAATAAATTCAATATACAAATGCAATGATTTTCAATAAAAACATTGAATGTAAATGGACTATATAATTCCCAATCAGAAGACTTAGAGTGGCTGAATGGAGCAAAAAACAAGACGCAATGTTATTTTGCCTACAAGAAACATACTTCACCTAAAAATATACCTATACACTTAAAATAAACTGAGGACAAAAAATATTGTATGCCAATGGAAACCAAAACAGAGAAGGAGGAGCTGCACTTACATCAGACAAAATAGATTTTAAGAAAAAAAACTGTAAAAAGAGACAAAGAAAGTTATGATATAATGATAAAAGTGTAAATTCAGCAAAAGAATATAATGATTGTAAATATATGTACACCCAGCAATTGAACACCCAGATATATAAAGCAAATATTATTAGCACTAAAGAGAGAGCTAGACCCCAACAAAATATCTTGAGACTTCAACATCCCAGTCTCAACATTAAACAGATCTTCCAGACAGAAAATAAACAAGAAAACACTAGACTTAATTTTCACTATACCAAATGGATTTAATAGGTATAAACAGAACATTTCATCCAACAGCTGCAGAATACACATTCTTTTCTGCAGTACATGATCATTTTTAAGGCTAGCCTATCTTAGGCCACAAAACAAGACTTAAAACATTCAGAAAAATTGAAATAATATCATGTATCTCCTTTGAACACAATAGAATAATGCTAAAAATAAGTAACAAGAGGAATTCTGGAAACTATACAATTACATGGAGATTAAACAACATCCTCCAGAATGACAAGTGGGTCAATGAAGAAATTAAGAAAGAAATTTAAAAATATCTTCAAAGAAACAATAATGAAAACACAACATATGAATACATACAGAATACAGCAAAACCAGGACTAAAAAAAGTATAGCTATAAGTGCCTACATAAAAAAAATCTTCAAATAAATAACCTAATAATGCAAAGAAACTAAAATGTGTTTTTTTGAAAAGTTTTAAACAAAATAGACAAACCTTTAGCCAGAGTAACTAAGTAAAAAGTAGCGAAGACCCAAATAAATTAAATCAGAGATAAAAAAGGAAACATGAAAACCGATACCACATAAATTAAAAAGGATAATTAATGGCTAATCTGAGCAACTCTATGCCAGTAAATTAGAAAATCTAGAGGAAACTGATGAATTCTTAGACAAATACAATCTACCAAGTTTGAGCCGTGAAGAAATCCAAAACTTGAACAGACCAATAACAAGTAACAAGATCAAAGCTGTAATAAAAGTCTACGAGTATAGACAGGCCCAGAAACCAGTGGTTTCACTGTTGGATTCTATCAAGCATTTAAAGAAGAATTAATTCAAATTCTATTCACATTATCTGGAAAAACAGAGTAGGAAAGAATACTTGTAAACTCATTCTATGAGGACAGCATTACCCTGATACCAAAGTCGGACAAAGACACATGAAATAATAATTAAAAAAATTACAGACCAATATTTCAAATGACTATCGATGTAAAAATATTCAACAAAATACTAGCACACAAAATTCAACAATACATTAAAAATACTATTCATTATGATCAAGCGGGGTTCATCCCAAGGATGCAAGGACAGTTGAACATATGCAAACCAATAAATGTTATACATAATATCAAGAGAATAAAGGACAAAATCCATATTATCATTTCAATTAATTCTGAGTAGGCATTTGATGAAATTCAACATTTTTCATGATTAAAATAACCTCAAAGAACTGGGTATAGAGGAAGCATAACTCAACATAATGAAAGCCACATATGACAGAACCACAAGTAGTATCATATTGAGTGGGGAAACACTGAAAGCCTTTTCTCTAAAACCTGAAATGTGACAAGAATGCCCACTGTCACCAGTATTATTTGACATGTATTAAAGGTCCCAGTTAAAGCAATCAGACAAAAGATAGAAATACAGGGCATCCAAATTAAAAATAAATAAGTCAAATTATCCTTGTTTACAGATAATATAATCTTATATTTGAAAAAATTGAAAGGGACACAAAAAATCAAAAGATATTCCATATTCATTGATTGGAAGTATCATTATTGTCAAAATGTCTATACAATCTAAAGCAATCTACAGATTCAATGCAATTCCTATCAAAATACCATGGCATTCTTCACAGAAATAGAAAAAATAAACTATGCTAAAATGTATATGGAGACACAAAAGACTCAGAATAGTCAAAGCTCTCTTAAGCAAAAATAACAAAACTGGAGGATTCACATTATCTGACTTCAAATTATATTACAGAGATATAGTAACCAAAACGGTATGGTAATTGGCAAAAAAAATGGATACATAAACCACTGGAACAAAATAGAGAACCCAGAAATAAATCCAAACATCTACAGTGAACTCATTTTCTACAAGTTTCAAGAACATACTTTGGGGAAAGAACAGTCTCTTCAATAAATGATGCTGGGAAACCTGGATATTCACATGCAAAATAGTAAATATATACCCATATCTCTCACTATATAAAAAATCAAATCAAAATAGATTAAAGACTAAAATTTAAGACCTCAAAGTATAAAATGACCAAAAGAAAACCTTGGGGAAACTCTTCAGGACACTGGAGTGGGCAAAGACTTCTTGAGCCCACAGGCACAGACAAGCAAAGTAAAAATGAACAAATATGATCACATCAAGTTAAAAAGCTTCCACACAGCAAAGATAACAATCAACAATTTAAAGAGACAACCCACAAAATAAGAGTAAATGTTTGCAAACTCTTTATCTGACAGGGGATTAATAAACAGAATATACGAAGAGTTCAAACAACTTTTTAGGAAAATTTTAATAATCTTATTAAAAATGGGCAAAAAAGCTGAATAGATATTTCTCAGAAGAAGACATACAAATGTCAGTTTTATGAAATTGTGCTGAACATCATTGTTCATGAGAGTATTGCAAACAAAGCTACAAAGAGACATCATCTCATCCCTGTTAAAATTGGTTTTATTTAAAAGACAGGCAATAACAAATGCTGGTGAGAATGTGGAGAAAAGGGAACCCCCTTACACTGCTGGTAGGAATGTATTTTAGTACAACCACTAAGGAAAACAGTTGGAGGTTCCTCCAAAAACCAAAGATAGAGCTACTATACAATCGAGCAACTTACTACAGGGTATATACCCTCCAAAAGTGAAATCAGTATATTGAAGATATATCTTCACTCCCATGTTAATTGCAGCACTGTTCATAATAGCTAAGATTTGAAAGCAACCTAAGTGTGCATCAACAGCAGAATGGATAAGGAAAATGTAATACATTACACAGTGGACTACTATTCAGCTGTAAAAAGAATGAGATCTTTTCATTTGCAAAAATATAGATGGAATTGGAGGTAAACCAGGCACAGAAAGATAAACATTGCATATTCTCACTTATTTGTAGGATCTAAAAATTGAAACAATTGAACTCATAGAGATAGAGAGTAGAAGAGTAGTGACTGGGTGAGGAGGAGTAGGAATTATTAAGAGGTAAAAAAAGTAGTTAGAAAGTACGATTAAGACCTAATATTTGGTAGAACTGGGTGACTATAGTAAAATAATTTAATTGTACAGTTTGAAATAATTATGAGTATAATTGGATTGTTCAAAACACAAAGAATAAATGTTTGAGGTTATAGATACTGTATTAATGTATTAACCCTGATGTGATTTTACACATTATATTTCTGTATCAAAATAGCTTATGTAACTAATAAATATATACCCCTACTATGTACATACAATATTTAATAATGTAAAAATTCAATAGCACATACCAAAAGAGAGGTAGACAAAACAATACCTCCAGCATGAAAACAGAATCTACTGTTGGCCAGGACAGTTAGGTAAGGGTTCCTAGAAAAAAAAAATTGAAGTAAATATCTTGGTGTGAAGAAATGTGAGAGGTAAATTCCAGACAGAAGAGAAATAAGCAGATAGAAGAGTAACAAATACCTGTTAAATCCTGCCTTTTTCAGTAGAACAGCCTATGACCTAATATTTCATCTATCTGAAACATAATAAAAGTTTCAACATTTATTGCACTCTCATTTAACAGTTAAAATATTGTATCTAAATTCAAAAGGCTATGTCAAGTTTTAACTATACTATTTTGTATAATTCTCAAGAGCAAGTTCTTCTCCTATTTAAAGTATGAGGTACTACAAAATACCATTAGGAAACATTGTACAAAAATGAAAACTGGAATCCATACAGAAATGCGCTAAATTTAAGACACACTAAATAACATAAAGGTGCATGCCTGACATTTCACATATATAGGTGATGGTGCCATTCCAATGTTTATTGAATTTTGTACATTCAATGATTGATAGTTTGTACTTAATTATAAATTTGGCTTTTGAAATGGTTTTATGGCATATCATTTGATAAGCTAGACTCAATAAGCAATTGATGATTCATTTTTATTACTTTGGCCATTTACTATTGAAAATTAGTAATCTTGCCATGCAAACTAAATTGCAAAAATTACTATTGCTAGGATAACAAATATAATAGTCAAATCATATTGCTTGGAGCTTTGTAAAACACACAGGTATCAAAATTAAAACAGAATTTGCCAGGAAAATGATCTAATATTATTACTCCTTATATCAGTGTATAGAAACCAATTTTATGGTTGCATACTGCATAAAGGTAAAGTGTTTATTATACCAGAAAATGTATATGTGTTAAACCAGTAATTAACTGAATTGGTAGGGAAAAATTATGAAGTGTACATAACAAGTGTCTATTTCTCTCTCTCATACAAACACACATCCACGCACAAACACACAAGCGGTTGATTCTAGAGTCAAGCCACTAAACTTATCTTACCTTCAGTTTCTTTATTAATAAAATGATGATTAAACACAAGGAAACACACACACACACAAAGTTCTGTTTTTCTTATCTTACAGAATGTTTGTTTAGAGAAAATGAGATAATTTGTGTAAAAATGCTTTATAAACTCTAACTCATGGTTATAGCTAATAATGAGACATGAAGAAGACACCATTAAAGAACTCCATTAAAAACTCAACAATGTTGATGTATTTCTACCCTGAATATTTCGCTGGACAAGTAAACAACTGACAAATCCAACAGAGTCACATCTTCCATCAAATATTTTTATCCTTGAATGTCAATTGAAATTCCAATTGATAGAAACAACTCTTAGTAAGAAGTTGAAAAAAAAAGTCAATAGCCATAGCCAATGGTCATAGGCATAACCCAGATAAAACTGGGCATTCTCATTCTCAATTTAAAGCATGTTTCAGTTTGGAGACACATGGAAATAAAACTTCAATTGGCCTCTAAAAATGCATTCAGAACAATGTACATCTTTTTCGATGGAATCTTGAAGATACAAAGAAGAAAAATAGCCTAATCACATAGCCAAACTCTCTAAAACTTTTTCCTCATCACTTTGTTCTAAATCCATACCTAACTATGGCTACTTTGATCTCTTTCTCTTCTCCCACAACTCTCTTGTCTAGTTGCTTTCATGAGATTATTCCTCCTTTGGTGATTCTCACTTCATCATTTTACTTTCTGGATATTTTATTTTTCTTCACCAGTTTCTCTATGTATACATTATTTTGAATATTTTAATCCCTGTTCCTTAGATTTTTCAATTTTATGTCTCAAAAAATTATGCTACTCAGCAAAACAACAAGAAATTCAGAAGCAGAAAGGTTCCTCCTTCCTAAAAATTGGGTAAGCATTGGAAAATAATTTTACAGGAATATGTATATTTCTTTCTGAAGCAAACGGACTTCTTGGGGAGGTATTTATCTTTGTCAACCTGAACTTTTAAAAATCCATTTGATGAGATATAGCAGTCAGGAAAACAAACCCTTGAAGTTGTAGATCGGAAAGTTTATACCTTAAAAGACATACACTTTCCTCTACCCACGCACTCATAGAAGGAAATGCCTGTTTTTTGTAGAGCTTAAATTTTCCCATTACAAAAAAAGTTAACAAGACTGTAAATGTATCTATATACGTAGAAGATGATGATGTCTCAAGAAAATTGAAATAAATATAGTATAAAAACATTATAACTACAAATTTTGGGGCTAGTTCTGAAACAAGTAATGAAAACCAGATTAGAAATTAAGTAAAACATTTGGAAATATATATATATGTATATATAAATCTATCTATAAATTGAATATATCATATTCAATATAAGATAACATATATGATATATATCATTAGACATATCATATATCATATGATACATGATACAATATATCATAAAGGTGACATTTCAAATCACAGAGAGATAAATGAATTAGATGACCTTGGGACAAGTTTGAAATAAAATATGAATAGACTCCTATTTTTTCCATATACAAATAAATGTATTCTAGAGACATATTAAGCATAAATATTAAATTATTGAAAGAATATGTCAGGAAATTTACATAAATAAAGTTTGAATGGAAGACACTTAAACAAAAAATGGAAGGTTTCAGAACATAACTACAAAAGCAAATCAATATTATTAAAGATTTCATAAACAACATTCAATGTAAGTTCTTAATGAGTAAAAAAGTGCTACAAAGTTAGTAAAGATTAATTCACCCCAATATAAAAAGAGCTCTCAGAGTTCAACAAGAATACAATACAAACGACAAAGAAAATGTAATGGATGCACTAATTTTCTTCCATTCACCCTTCTAGATCTACTCCCTGCCCTTCTCTTTACAGTTCTGTCTTTAAAGAGGTTGGCTCATATGGATTTCATCAATCAGCTCCATTGTCCCTAGCTTCTGATGATATTTGGAAAACTGTAGCAGATGAGGGTAAGAAGAGAATGAAGAAGGGTAGTTTTCACTCCAGTTGTCTTCCTACAGTATTACTATGGGTTGGCTGTCTCTCTGTACCAAAGAACACAGCTCCAGTCAGGCAACTCTCCTTATCAGCTAGGCCACTTCTTGCCTTTTCACGTCTAGTGGTGTTAAAGATCTCCCCATTGTTATTGTCCTTGGAGTACTGTATTATCCATCATTGGTTTCCTTAAACCAGTGGTCCCTGAAATGTGACAACTTAGGATCCTATCACCCTTTCGTTGGCTACATTGTTGTAGTCTCACCAATGAACCACACTAGAGTAGTCTCTCATTGTCTGAGATAGATAGTACCAGGAGTTCTTTGTCTCGCATCCAAGAGAATTGAGGAGTGCAGACAAGGGTGAGGTTGGATCAAAAGTTTAATAACTGAAAGAAGAAAGCTCTCTGCAGTGGAGAGGGTGGCCCAAATGTGTTGCCCACTATGAGGCTGGGGTCCAAGGTTTTTATGGACTGGAAAGGGAAAAGAATGTGCTTATTCTGTGGGCTGTCTTGGAGATAGATAGTGTGATTCAGCTTGGTTGGAGATTTTGGTCTAGGACCAATCAGGAGCTGAAGTTGGAACTCAGCCATGGACCTTCGCCCAGGACCAATCAATCAAGAGCTGAAGTAATGACTCATAGAGGCCAGGCTCACAGTCCAAAAAAAGAAGGAAAGTGTCCACCAGAACCCACTGGAGCCCACCATGTTCATGCCCACAAAAGGAGAAGAAACTTTTTCTTGGGAGCCCACTGATTATACAAAGGACAAAAGCATTTCTATGTTGGGTCTTTTCCCTTATCTGAGTGAGCCAGAGGTTTGTGCAAGTTTTTATTTCAGTGGGTTGTAGGTTCTCTTATCTGTGCAGCCATAGGCATGTCTCCAGGCACAACCCTGTGTGTTAGGTCCCTTGTCAGTACCCACAGCTTGATTTTTTTCCCCCAGGCTGCTTTTTATGTTATGTAGGAATAAGGAGCTGATCCCTGAGTCGGGGGCTCTCTGGAAACCTTTCCCTTGCTGTCTACCTAAGGCGAGCTAGCTAACTTCTCAATAGGAAATCAAAGTTACATTCAAGATGATGTTAAGATTATGTTAAAGTGTTATTTACTCTTTCCACAACAGATTAAATATACAAGTAAATATAGAGCTATATTATATTAAGCCAGACATTAAAGAAATTTGCAAAAGTGTAAAAGAATGCAACTGTTCCCACTAATTTTATTTTAGAAAAAAAGAGTTATTTGTCATAAATTATGCTTTTATGTTAGCATATAATGGGTTTATTCATGTTTTAGATAAAATATATATTAAAATACTCAGTGTTATCTAATATGTTAAATACTGATAGATAATCCACATAACTAAAAGTTCATTGAGGCCCTTAAAATATTTTAAGAGTATAAAGATTTCTGGAGTCCAAATGTTTTATAGTCATTGCCTAAAACAATGCACTTGCCTTTATAAAATGCCACTTTTATTTAACTCTTTTAAATTTGCCACATATGTGGCATATAGATACAGGTATGTCATATGTTTCTGGCCATGACCCTGAGTGATACACTGGAAATTTACAGAAGAGATATAAATTGCTAATAAACCTCACTAATAAAGAAAAAATTAATAAAATGAGATGGTTTTTCACCTGACAAAGTTTTTTGAAAGTTTTAGAACACCCAATTTGTATGAAAGTATAATAAATAAAATGTATTCATCATTTTGTGATTGTGAATTGGTTAAAAAAATGAAGGGTAATCTTTTAGCAACTCTTAAATGTGAAAATATAGAGAGACTTCAAGATGGCTGACTAGAAGCGCCTTGTACTCCCCACCTCCACAAAGAAAACCAAAATAATGAGTAGATAATTATACTTTGAGTAGATCACTTAAGAGAGAACACTGGAATTCAACAAAGAAGTGGCTGCAAATGCCTAAAGCAAAGAAGGAGAGAGATTCAAGGCAGTCTGCTCAGCTAGGATTGAGTGGGATCCTGGAGAGGTTCCCCCAGTGTAAGTAAGAGACACCCAGTGCTCTATATTTTCACTGCAGACTTCTGTAATCCTAGCATGGGAGTCCCTTAACCCTTAAAGGCGCTGAGACTAACATAGAGAGCTTCATGGAGACCTTGAGAAAGCATTGGTCCAGAGAGGAAGCTCATGCTGGTTCCCACACAACCTCTGCATCCCAAACAGTGACTGCGTGATGCTATATTGAGAGCTCAGCCCTCACCAGGCTGCATCTTTCCTGAGGGCTCAACAGTACCTGCATCTCCACATCCTTGGGGCCACAGTGACATCCCTCAAGTGTAGACATTGCTGAAGCTGGATGCTGCTGCCAGGGCTGAAACATCAGTCATTAGCAACAACCACACTGCCCGAGCAGCAGTTACCATGTACTTTCAAGAACCCTGAGGACAAACTCCCTTGCCTGCAGCATCATCAATGCAGCCTGTTACTGCCAGAACCAGAGTGTGAGCAAGGCACCTACTCCCCAGACACCTGCTTAAAGTTACTGCAAATAAAAGCAACCCCACCATCCTCAATAGCAGGGCTGCAGTACAGCCACTGCTGCCCACATCTGAGCATTTGACCCAAGGCCTGGGGATCACCCTGCCTCTGCCTACCACAGCTAGAACCTGCAAACACCACTAGGGGTCCTGTTGACTAGCCATTCCCCCCCAACTTCATTGTCCCAATGCACAAGCAAATTTTCCAGAAGTCCTGAGTACCAACCAGCCAAATCTACCATTAGCACATGAGTACTCCTCCTAAGGACCTGTAATCAGGCCTGCCCTCTTGTCACTAACTCGACAGCTGACTCCTATCCACATAAGCCACCTGCAGGCCTGGGGACTGGGACACCCACCCAGTCTGTCTCAGACACTGCCAACAGCAGTACAGAACACATGGAAGCCATCCATTATTGCTACTGCCATCATTTACAACATGCCTGCTTCCCAGGGGCCCAATAATCTACCTACCCACACAGTTTACTGCTGCCAATAATGAGATACAAACAAGTGGATTGGAAACCCAATAATTGGCCAAACTGGACTCACTAACATAAATGCAGTTACTGGCTGTCCTGGGGCCCAAGGACAAGCCCATGTGGCATCTTTTTTCCTGGCAAAACCTCAGCATAGCCACCAATAACAATTGCATCCAAGCTACTAAAGAAATCATAGACACCTCTGATGCTATTACAGTAAAAAAAAAAAAAATACAGAAACTACGCTACTGCATGCGCCCAGAATAAAAGGATACACTAACCAACAAAATACATGCATCTTCAGGAAAATATCCTGTCCTACGGAAGCAAATTCAAGAAACTGGTATATCAGATATGTTATATCAGATACGCAGATATCAATGTAAGGACACAAGAATTCTGAAAAAGCAAAGAAAAATGATACCTCCAAAGAAACGTAATAATTCTCTAGCAACAGATTCCAATAAAAACATTATAAAATCTTAGAAAAATAATTTAAAATAATGATATTAGAGAAAGTATGTGAGATGCAAGAGAGTGCAGAACAAAAAGAAAAAAATTAGAGAAATAATTTAGAACATGAATGAGAAATTTACCAAAGAGATAAATATTACAAATAAAGCACAAGCAGAAATTCTGGAATAAAAGAATTTATTAAGTAAAATATAAAATACATGCAAAGTCTTCAAGAGTAGACAAGAACAAGCATAATAAATAATTCCAGAACATGACTATAGGTGTTTTGGAATCCAGTAAGACAAAAATAAACAAAAATGAATAAAAAAGAATTAACGAAGTCTTCATAACATATGGGACACCATTAAGTGACAAAATATTCAAATTTTGGTTGCCCAGGAGATCAGGAGAAAACAGAAAGGCTAGTAAATGTATTTCACAAAATAATAGCTGAAAACTTCTGAAGTCTAGCAAGCGATTTAGATATCCAGATACAGAAAGTTCAGAGAACCACAAATAGACACAATTCAAGAATGTCTTTCCAATAGCACATTGGAGTCAAACTGCCACAAGTTGGAAACAGAGAACTGTAGAAACATCAAAAGAAAAGTAACTAATCAATTAGAAGAAAGTCCCCATCAGACTAACAGCAGCTTTCTCCACAGAAACATTACAGGCAAAGAGAGAATGAATGATATATTCAAAGTGCTAGAAGAAAAAAAAAAAAAAAACTGCCGGAAAAATATACTATCACAGTAATGTTTTCCTTTATACGTGAAGGAGAAATGAAGTCTTTCCAGATAAGACAAAGCTTAGGGAATTCACCACCACTAGACAGACTCTAGAAATAATGTATAAGAGACTCTTACACTGGAAGTGAAAGGACAGTATCATCATTAAAAACACAAGAAAGTATGAAGCCCACCAGTAGAGCAAACACACAAATAAGAAAGAGAAATGACTCAAATTTTACCACTACAGAAAACCACCAAACAACAATGTCAAGCAAAAGAGAGACTGGAACAAAGGATAGAACAAAGGATACACAAAATGACCAGAAATCGGTTAATAAAATAAGTTCTCTTATTACTAATAAAATTTGGATGTAAATGGATGAAACATTCCACTTCAAAATATAGACTGGCTGAATGAATGATACAAATGGCCCAAATATATATTTCCTACAAGAAACTGATCTCACCTATAAAGACACATCTAGACTAAAAGTAAACAATGGAAAAAGATATTCCATGCAAATGTAAACCAAAAGTGAATAGAGTAGCTATACTTATTGCAGGTAAAACAGACTTTAATTAAAAGCCATTAAAAGAGATAAACAAGGTTCCTACATAATAATAAGACAAATCAGCAAGAGAATATAAAAAATTTAAGCATATATGCACCCAACACCGGAGCAATAGATATACAAAATATACAAAACAAATATCATTAGATCTAAAGGGAGAGATAAACTCTAATAAAATAATAGTTTAGTTTGAGAATTCAACACCCCACTTCCAGCATTAGTCCCATCATCTAGACTAATAATTATAAAAGAAACTTTGGATTTAAGCTGCACATTAGACCAAATGGACCTTAAGAGACATTCACAGAACACTTCATCTAACAACTACAAAATACAATGTTTTTATAGACACATGGAATATTCTCCATGATATACCACCTGTTAGGACACAAAACAAAACTCAGCAAATTTTTAAATATTTAAATCATATCATGTATCTTCTCAGACAATAACAGAATAAATCTAGAAGTCAAAAACAGAAACCTGGGAAATACTACAAATACATGAAAATTAAACAACATGTTCCTGAATGGCCACCAGGTAAACAAAGAAATTAAGGAGAAAATCAATAAATGTCTTGAAACAAATGAAAATGAAAACCCAATATACCAAAACCTATGAGATACAGCAAAAGCAGTGATAAGAGAAAAGCTTATAGGAAAAAATGACTAAACCAGAAAAGTAGAGATTCCAAATAATTTAATGATGCACCTCAAGGATCTAGAAAAGAAAGAAGTAAAGAAACACAAAATTAATCAAAGGAAAGAAATAATGTAAATCAAAACAGAAATAGATAAAATAGAGACTAAAATACCAATATGAAAATTCAACAAAATGGAAAGGTTTTTTAAAATTTCAACTGCTATTTTACATAAAGAGAGTACATATACAGGCTCATTACATGGGTATACGGCAGGATGCTGAGGTTTGGGATTAGGATCCCATTATCCAGATAGTGAGTATAGTACCAAATAGGTAGTTTTTTTCTTACCTCTTACCCCTCTCCCTCCCTACTCCATCTAGTACTCCACGTTGTCTATTGTTCCCATGTTTATGTCCATATGTGCTCAATGTTTAGTTCCCACTTACAAGTGAGAACATGCAGTATTTGGTTTTCTGTTCCTGCATTAATTTGCTTAGGATAATGGCCTCCAGTTGTATCTATGTTGCTTTATGAGACATAATTTTATTTATTTTTATATCTCTGTAGTATTCCATGGTGTATATGGAGCATATTTTCTTCATCCAATCCACCACTGATAGACACCTAGGTTGATTCCATGTCTTTGCTATTGTGAATAGCCCAGTGATGAACATACAAGTGTGTGTGTGAGTGTGGTAGAATGATTTATTTTCCTTCAGATATATACCCAGTAAAGGGATTGCTGGGTTGAATGGTAGTTCTCCCTTAAGTTCTTTGAGAAATCTCCAAATGGCTTTCGACAGTGGCTCAACTAATTTGCATTCCTGCCAAAAGTTTATGTGTTCCCTTTCCTCTGCAGCCTGGCCAGCATCTGTTATTTTTGACTTTTTAATAATAGCTCTTCTGCCTGGTGTGAGATGGTATCTCATTGTGGTTTTGATTTGCATTTCTCTGAGGATTAGTGATGATGGGCACGTTTTTCACCTGTTTGTTGGCTGTGTGTATGTCTTCTTTTGATAAATTTCCATTCATGTCTGTTGCCCATTTTAAATGGGGTTCTTTGTTTTTCTTTCTGATTAGTCTAAATTCTTCGTAGATTCTGGATATTAGAAGTTGGTCAGATGAATAGTTTGTGAATATGTTCTCTCTTTCTGTAAGTTGTCTGTTTACTCTGTTCATAATTTATTTTGCTGTGTGGGCGCTCTTTAGTTGAATTACATCCCATATTTCAACTTTTGTTTTTCTTGCAACTGATTTGGGGGACTTAGCCAAAATTATTATTCTCTGAGAAGGGCATTTCCTAGGTTTTCTTATAAGATTTTTTAGTTTGAGGTCCTACATTTATGTCTTTAATTCATCTCGAGTGAATTTTTCTGTTGGGTGAAAGGTAGGGGTCCAGTTTTTTTCTCTGGCTAGCCAATTATCCAAGCACAATTTATTGAAAATGAAGTACTCTTCCCATTGCTTATTATTGTTGACTTTGTCAAAGATCAGATGATTGTAAGTGTGTGGCTTTATTTCTGTGTTCTCTATTTTGTTCCATTGGTCTGTGTGTCTGTTTTTGTACCCAGTTTCATGTTGTTTTAGTTACTGTAGCCTTATAGTATAGTTTGAGGTTGGGTAGTGTGATGCCTCTGGCTTTGAGCTGAGAAAGAAATCAAGGAGGAAATCTGATTTACAATAGCTACAAATAAAAACAAACAGTAGGAATAATCTTACTAAGAAGGTGAAATACATCTACAAAGAAAACTACACACACTGATGAAAGAAATGGAAGAGGACACAAAGAAATGAAAACAATATCACATGTACATGGGTTGGAAGATTTAATATTGTTGAAAAAAATTATACTGCCCAAAGTACTCTACAGATTAACTGTGATCCTTATCAAAACACCAATACCATTTTTCACATTAATAGGAAAAAAATGCTACAATTTGTATGGTACCAAAAAAATGCCCTAATAGCCATAGCAATCTTGAACAAAAAGTACAAAGCTAGGGGCATAACACAATCTGACTTCAAAATATCACACAAGGCTATTGCAACCAAAACACCATTGTGCAGGTATAAAAAAATACACGTAGCCAAAGAGAATAGAACAGAAAATCCAGAAATAAATCCACGTGTTTACAGCCAACTGATTTTTGACAAAGGCACCAGGAATGGACACTGTGGAAAGGATACACTCTTTAGTGAATGATGCTGGGGTAATTTGATATTGACATGGAGAGAGGAATGAAACTGGGTCCCTGTTTCTCACCATATAAAATAATCAACTCTAGATGGACTAAAGACTTAAACATACCTGAAACTCTAAAACTACTAGAAGTAAACACAGCAGAAATACTTCAGGACATTCATATAGATGACGATTTTATGGCTAAAACTTCAAAACAACTGGCAACAGAAGCAAAAATAGTCAAATGGGACTATATTAAACTAAGAAGCTACACAGCAAAAGAAAAAAATCAGAGTTAAGAAACAAGATGTTAAATAAAATAAAATGTTAGCAAACTATTCATCAGACAAGGCACAAGTACCTAGAATATATAAGGAACTCAAACATCTCAACAGTAAACCAACCAACCACACACACAAAATAGTCTTCCATATTGATCTCGAGTTGGAAGAGGCAAGTCCGGTCTCAAAATGGAGGTAAAACCGCAGCCCGGTCGCCCCCAGCCCAAGTCTGGCCGCCGCCGTCGCCGTCGCCGCCGGCAGGAGGAGGGCCATGATCCAAGGGAACCAAAGCAGTTGAGAAATAATCTCACTAAAAAAGCGGGCATAGGCCAGGCACGGTGGCTCACTTCTGTAATCCCAGCACATTAGGAGGCAGAGACGGGCAGAATCTTGAGGCCAGGAGTTTGAAACCAGCCTGGCCAACATGTCGAAACCCTGTCATGAATAATAATAACAATAATAATAATAATAATAATAATAATAATAATAATAAAAGCTGGGTGTGGTGAAACTTGCTTGTAATCCCAGCTACTCGGGGGTCTGAGGCATGAGAATCACTTAAGCCCAGGAACCGAGGTTGCAGTGAGCTGAGATTGTGCCACAGCACTCCAGCCTGGGCAGCAGAGCGAGACTCTGTCTCAAAAAAAAAAAAAAAGGAAAAAGTGGGCAAAATGAATGAATGGGCATTTCTCAGAAGAAGATATAAAAATAGTCAAAAAGCATTTAACAAAATACTCAACACCACTAATCATGGGGACAATGCATATCAAGACTGCAGTGAGACATTATTTTACACCAATTAGAACAGCTATTATTAAATGGACAAAACATTAACAGATTCTGGTGAGGATGGGAAGAAAAGGGAGCTTTTATACACTGTTGGTGGGAACGTAAATTAGCATAGACACTATGGAAGGCAGCCTGGAGATTTCTCAAAAAAAGTTTAAAAGTAGAATTACCATATGGTCTAACAATCCCACTACTGGGTATTTATTCAAAGGAAAATAAATCAGTATATCAAAGTGGTATCTCCACTACCATATTTATCGCAGCACTATTCAAAATCACAAAGATATGAAATCAATTTAAGTGTCCATCAACAGATGAATGAATACAAAAACATGGTATATATACACAATGAAATAATATTTAGCTATAGAAAAAAAAACTTGTACACTGTTGGTGGGACTGTAAACTAGTTCAACCATTGTGGAAGTCAGTGTGGCGATTCCTCAGGGATCTAGAACTAGAAATACCATTTGACCCAGCCATCCCATTACTGGGTATATACCCAAAGGGTTATAAATCATGCTGCTATAAAGACACAAGCACACGTATGTTTATTGCGGCACTATTCACAATAGCAAAGACTTGGAACCAACCCAAATGTCCAACAACGATAGACTGGATTAAGAAAATGTGGCACATATACACCATGGAATACTATGCAGCCATAAAAAATGAAGAGTTCATGTCCTTTGTAGGGACATGGATGAAACTGGAAATCATCATTCTCAGCAAACTATCGCAAGGACAAAAAACCAAACACCACATGTTCTCACTCATAGGTGGGAATTGAACAATGAGAACACATGGACACAGGAAGGGGAACATCACACTCCGGGGACTGTTGTGGGGTGGGGGGAGGGGGAAGGGGGGAGGGATAGCATTAGGAGATATACCTAATGCCAAATGACGAGTTAATGGGTGCTGGACACCAACATGGCACATGTATACATACGTAACAAACCTGCACATTGTGCACATGTACCCTAAAACTTAAAGTATAATAATAATAAAATAAAAAATAAAAATTTAAAAAATTAAAAAAAAAATCTGTCACTTAAAGCAACATGGATGAAACTGGAGGTCATGATGTTAGGTGAAATACGCCAGGCACAGAACAACAAATATTGCATCGTCTCACTCATATGACAGAGCTAAAGATTTTAGTCTCAGGGAGGTAAAGAATAGAATGATTGATACCCAAGGCAGAAAGGGGTGGAGTGAAGTAGGTAAAGAAAGGTTGGTTAAAGGGTAGAAATATACAGTTAGATAGAAGGAGTGTGTTCTAATATTTGATAGCAGAGAAAAGTGACTACTAGTTAACAAGAATGTATTGTATATTTCAAAATAGGTAAAGAGAAGATTGGAAATGTTTTCAACACATTGAAATGATAAATACTTGAGGAGGTGGACATCCCAAACACACTTGCTTGATCATTACACTGTCTATTCGTGTAACAAAATATCACATGTAACCCATCAATATGTGCAAATATTATGTGTCAATAAAAAGAAGGTATAAATGTATTATGAGCCCATATTTCAAATGCTAGGAATTTATCCTACATGTATAAAAGTGTGAGTGCTTAAAAATACTATTATGATATTCACTACAGCACTGTTTGCAATAGAAAAAAAGAAAGTAAAAATACAAAGAAAAATAATGTTAATAAACAGAATGGAAGATAAAATATTATACAGCCACATTATAACCATGTAATGTTTAAGACAAAGAAACACAAGTTATAACTATATGTACTTAGCATAGAACTATAACTGTGATATATTAAAGGCAACAGGTAAGTTACAAACTAATATATACAGCATGTCCCATTTGTTCCATGGTGTACATGTCCCATATGTACACCACGAATGTACATATGCATGCATTTATGTCTTTCTTTCTAAGTATGATGAAACCTGTAATAAATTATTTAAATAGATGAGATAGAGAGAAGATTCTCACCAAAAACAATTTTTAAAATAAAATGCAAGAACTGAAAAACAGCTTATTTGAGGCTACTTAACATATGAACAAATAGCCCAATGAAATTCAAACATCCTGAGGGTTTTATTATATTGCTGATATTCACTGATAGTCATGTTAATCATCATAATTTCATAAAATAATTTTATGTTCAGTTATATCTTTGCATAACGTTATAGTATGCTAGTCCATACTAAACACACAGACACACACACACACACACATTTTATTATATTTAAGAGGTGAGTAAATTTTGCTGTAGCTTTTTCACTCTTCTATGGCTGGCTGTTTTTTGTGCCATCCTGTTATTACTGCACCTTAGCAGTAATCAATTCTGGTATCAAATATTTTGATACTCACTTAGACCAATGTATTAACTCTTCTAGATTTTGCTTATCTCCAGTACATAAACAGTAAACAAAAGAAACAAAACTTAACAAATAAATAACACCACCCTGACCTAGTCGAAAGTATGTAGGATGTGAATTTAAGTTCTGGCTATGTCACTTAAGATATGAAATTTAAGCAAGTTGTGACATCACAGAGTTCCAGTTTTCTCATCAGCAAAGTAAGAATACTATCTTATGGATAGCATTAATTTGATTTTCAAATCAGGTTAGGTACATAAAAGTGCCTAAAATTTTCACTGAATTAGTTGAATTTGAATAAAAATCTTTGTTTTTCATTATAAAAATGTTCAAGCCGTGAAGAAATAGTGGGCATATTTGAGGTATCTGGGACATTTTCTTTCTTCTAAAATCTGTCCATAGGTATAAAGGGTCATTTAATGTTTTAGGAGTGCCTGATCAATGGCTAGCTGTACGATAAACTTTCAAGGATGATTGCATTGTCACATTGCTATTCAATTCTCCTCAGGCAAGGTGCATCTGAGCAGAACACAAGAACAAGATAACTTATTCAACAAATATTTATTGAACAACTTCTGTGTGCAAAACACTGTTTGAGTTCTTGGACATACAAGAATCGACAAAACAGATGAATTATCTGTCTTCTTTAGGCTTACATTGTAGTGTAAAAAACAACGAAAATAGAATAAACATACATTTATAAAATACAATTTCATATATAGATAAGTGTTAGGAAAAAAAAAAGAGGGTGGATAAGGAATTTTTAACTAGAGAGAATAAGTGTTTTTCTAGAAGGTATAGTGGGAGGAGTCTTCTCTGAGAATGTAATATTTGACCAGAGACTTGAAAGAGATAAGGGAGTGATTCATAAAGATATCTGAAAGAAGAGCCTTCCCAGCAGAGGAAATAGTAAGTGCAAAGACTCTGAGGTGGAAATTTGTCCAGTTTTCTGAGAAACACCAGGATGTCCAATATAACAAGCTAAGAGAGTGGCAGGGAAGCTGTTCAGTAGATAAAACACGAGGTCAAAATGTACAGAATCATAGGGTCTTACTTGGAATTTTGCTTTTATTAAGATCTGCCTCAACTTTTAACAAGATCCTTTTGGCCGTTAGGCTGTAGAGACTTTATGAGGGTGCCAAACTTGGAAGAAATATTGAAGGTAGACTCAACAGAATTTTCACAATATGAACCCTGTGAGACAGACCCAAATAAAGATCTGGTCTCCCCAGTATGGCCAGCTAGACACGGCCAGGAGGAACATCTCCCACCAAGGGACTGGGACATCAGGAAGACCAGCATCCTCCTATCAGATCTTCAGAAAGAAGGCATTGAGAGCAGATGGAGGGAAGATACAGAGGGAGAGGAACAAGGACTCATTCCTGGTCTCCAATGACTCCCGCAGAAGAGGTGAGTTGAACAGGCAAGGAGCAATCTGCTCTTGCCACAGGCCTCTGGAATCCCTTCAGGCAGAGACCCCTTAACCACCACAAACCCTTGAATTGGCAGGAAGAGCTGCTTAGAGAAGTGGTAGGGGCGGAGCTCAAGTCACTGAGGAGACCAAAGGGTTTGGTGTGAAAGGATTTATAGTACCGCACGACGAGGGATTCCCATATCCCTAGGCTCAACTTGCTCTCATAGGAGACGTTAGCCCTAGAGGAACTGTTGGATCTGAATTCTGCAGGGTAGTCTTGCTCATGAGATGGGGCCAATTCAACCAGAGCATCCCTCAGTCTGCTGGCCCATCCTGGGGCTGCAGCCTAGCCATGCCCTACTTGCAATGCAGCCCCCAGGTACCTGCTGGAGGCCTCCATCATGGCTCCTATGCTGGCAGACCACACCTGACTGGCAGAGTGCTCCAGAAAATCAGCCCCCATGGACATGCACAAGCCTTCCTGGGCCCTCTCCCCACTGCAGCCTACCCCGTGGCACTTTGCCAGCACACACTCACCCATAGCCATCCCCCATATCACATCACTGGCATGTGAATGTGTAGGTGGATCTTGCCTTCATTTCCCTGCCATTGCAGCTGTGCACATACATCCTTCTATGCCACTGCTGGTGGTGTGACTGAACCCCACCCACCCTCCCCTTTTTACACTGCAATTGTCATTGGCACTTTGGTGAGTACAGAGACTGCCAGCCCTGACCCCATGAGCACCCCACCCCTGTGTTGACACTGCTGCAGGCAGAACAGCAAACTCACCCCTGCCGTGAACAGCCAATGCTGCAAGAGTAAATGCGCACAGAGGGTGCATACAGTCGTGTGCCCACCAGTGCCCTGGCCCTATGCTAACACCACCACCAATATGAACACATGAACAGTTGCAGGTGGGGGTCCCCGTTCCCTGAAGCCATGCTGCCACTGCTCCTGCTCTGAACACCCACACAGAGGCTGGCAACCCAGTACCCACTAGGGCCCTGTCGCAGCTGAAGAGCATGCACCCTGCCATGCTGCTGCCATCACTGCTGCTGGCACAAGCAAATGAGGACAGATCCCACTGATACCACCCTGTGAAGTGACTTGGCTGACACCAATCGTTGGAGTGCTGTGACAAGCAGTCTGGGAGCACCTCAGCCTCCAAGTGCAGAGGGTTCCTCACCTTGAGGAGCCAGAGGAAAAAGTAACAAACAAAACCTTAAAAAATTACGGGATTATGTAAAGAGACCTAATCTATGGCTCATTGGTATGCCTGAAAGAGATGGGGAAAACGGAACCAACTTGGAAAACATATTTCAGGATACCATCCAGGAGAACTTCCCCAACCTAGCAAGACAGGCCAACATTCAAATCCAGGAAATGCAAAGAACCCCTACAAAATACTTCACAAGAACATCTCCAAGACACATAATCATCAGATTCTCCAAGGTCGAAATAAAAGAAAAAATGTTAAGGCAGCTAAGAGAAAGGACAGGTCACCTACAAAGGGAAGCCCATCAGACTAACAGTGGACCTCTCAGCAGAAACCGTACAAGCCAGAAGCGATTGGGAGCCTATTTTCAACATTCTTTTTTTTTTTTTTTTTTTTTTGAGATGGAGTCTCACTCTGTTGGGAGTGCAGTGGCAGCACAATCATGGCTCACTGCAAGCTACACCTCGCAGGTTCACGCCATTCTCCTGCCTTAGCCTCCTGAGTAGCTGGGACTACAGGCACCCGCCACCACCCCGGCTAATTTTTGGTATGTTTAGTAGAGACGGGGTTTCACCGTGTTAGCCAGGATGGTCTCGATCTCCTGACCTCGTGATCCGCCCGCCTCAGCCTCCCAAAGTGCCGGGATTACAGGTGTGAGCCACTGCACCCGGCTTTTCAACATTCTTAAAGAAAAGAAATTCCAACACAGAATTTTATTTCCAGCCAAACTGAGCTTCACAAGCAAAGGAGAAATAAGATCCTTTTCAGAAAAGCAAATGCTGATTGAGTGTGTTACCACCAAACCTTTCTTACAAGAGTTTCTGAAAAGAGCACTAAATATGGAAATGGAAGACCATTATCAGCCACTATAAAAACACACTTAAGGCCGGACGCGGTGGCTTATGCCTGTAATCCCAGCACTTTGGAAGGCCAAGGCAGGTGGATCCCGAGGTCAAGAGATCGAGACCATCCTGGCCAACATGGTGAAACCCCGTCTCTACTAAAATTACAAAAATTAGCTGAGCATGGTGTTGTGCGCCTGTAGTCCCAGCTACTCGGTAGGCTGAGGCAGGAGGATCACTTAAACCTGGGAGGCAGAGGTTGCAGTGAGCCGAGATTGCTCCACTGCACTCCAACCTGGATGACAGAGCAAGACTCTGTCTCAAAACAACAACAACAACAAAAAAAAAAACAAAACAAAATATCCCCCCCAAAAAAACACACTTAAGTACACAGACCTAAGACACTTATAAAGAAACCACATAAATAAGTCTGAATAATAACTACCTTAAGATACTGTGACAGGATAAAACCCACACATATTAATATTAACCTGAATGTAAATGGGCTAAATGCACCAATTAAAAGTCACAGGGTGACTGCAGGATAAAGGGTTGAAGAAAAATCTACCAAGCAAATAAAAACAAAAAACAAACAAAAAAAAAACCAGAAAAAAACCAGGGGTTGCAATCCTAATTTTAGACAAAACAGACATTAAAACAACAAAAAAAGGCCAAAAAGGACAAAGAACAGTATTACATCATGGTAAGGGGTTTAATTCAAGAAGACCTAACCATCCTAAATATATATGCACCCAACACAGGAGCACCCAGATTCATAAAGCAAGTTCACAGAGATCTTCAAACAGACTTACACCCCCACAAAATAATAATGAGAGACTTCAACACCCCACTGAAACTACTAGCCAGATCATCGAGACAGAAAATTAACAAAGATATTCAGGACCTAAACTAAAAACTGGATCAAATGGACCTGATAGAAATCTGCAGAACCCTCTACCCCTAAACAGAATATACATTGTTCTCTTCTGCACATGGCACAAACTCTAAAATCGACCTCATAATCAAACATAACCAATCCTGAGCAAATGCACAAGAACTGAAATCATACCAACCACTCTCTCAGACCACAGCATAATATAAATGGAATTCAAGATTAAGGAAACCACTCAAAACCATACCCTTACATGGAAATTAAACAACCTGCTCCTGAATGACTTTTGGGTAAATAATAAAATTAAGGCAGAAATCAAGAACTTCTTTGAAACAAATGAGAACAAAGATACAATGGACCAGAATCTCTGGGACACAACTAAGGCAGTGTTAAGAGAGAAATTTATGGCACTAAATGCCCACACTAAAAAGTTAAAGATCTCAAATTAACAACCTAACATCACAACTATAACAACCAGAGAACCAAGAGAAAAACAACACCAAAGTCAGCAGAAGACAAGAAATAACCAACATCAGAGCTGAACTGAAGAAGATTAAGACATGAAAAACCATTCAAAAGATCAACAAAGCCAGTAGATGTTTTTTCTTTAAAAAAATATAGATAGATGACTAGCTAGACTAATAAAAAACAGAGAAGACTCAAATAATCATAATTTGAAATGACACTGGAGATATAGCCACTGACCTTAAATAAATAGAAATAACCATCAGAGACTATTATAAATACCTGTATGCACACCGACTAGAAAATACGGAAGAGGTGAACAAATCCCTTGACACATACATCTTTCTAAGACTGAACCAGGAAGAATTTGAATCCCTGAACAGACCAATAACAAACTCTGAAATTGAATCAGTAATAAATAGCCTACCAACCAAAAAATATAAAATAAAAAGCACAGGACTAGGTGGATTCACAGCTGAATTCTACCAGATACACAAAGAAGAGCTCTTACAATTTTTACCAAAACTATCCCAAAATATTGATGAGTATGGACTCCTCCCCATTTCATTCTATAAGATAAGCATCATCCTGATTCCAAAACCTGGCACAGACACAACGAAAAATAAAATGTCAGGTGAATATCCTTGATGCACATCAATGCAAAAATCCTCGACAAATGCTAGCAAATCAAATCCAGCAGCACATCAAACAGCTCATCTACCACAAGCAAGAATGCTTCATCCCTGAGATTCAAGGTTGGTTCAACATACACAAATCAATAAGCATGATTCATCACATAAACAGAACTAAAGACTAAAACTACAAGATCATCTCAATAGATTCAGAAAAGGCTTTCAATAGAATTTTACATATTTTATTGAAAACTCAACAAGCTAAGTATTGAAGGAAGATACCTCAAATTAAGAACCATCCATGACAAACTCACAGCCAACATCATACTAAGTGGGAAAAAACTGGAAGCATTCCCCTTTAAAACCGATACAATACAAGAATGCCCTCTCTCACCACTCCTATTCAACGTAGTGTTGGCACTCCTGGCTAGAGCAATCAGGCAAGATAAAGAAATAAAGGGCATCCAAAAAAGAAGAGAGCAAGTCAAATTATCCCTGCTTGCAGATGACATGATTCTATATCTAGATATCTTCATATCTCAGCCCAAAAGCCCCTTTAGTTGATAAACAACCTTAAGCAATGTTTCAGGATACAAATTCAACATACAAAAATCACTAGCATTCCTATACATCAAAAACAGCCAAGCTGAGAGCCAAATCAAGAATGCAATTCCAGACACAATTTTCACAAAAAAGAATAAAATACCTAAGAACACAGCTAACCAGGGAGGCGAAAAATCTCTACGATGAGAATTACAAAACACTGCTCAAAGAAAGCAGGGATTACACAAATAGAATAATATTCCATGTTCATGGAAAGGAAGAGTCAGTATCATTAAAATCGCTCTACTGCCCAAAGCAATTTACAGATTCAATGCTATTCTTATCAAACTACCAATGACATTCTTCATAGAACTAGAAAAAACGATAGCCCTGTGGTATAGCTTGAAGACAGATAGTGTTATGACTCCTGCCTTGTACTTTTTTGATTAGAATTATCTTGGCTATTTGCACTCTTTTTTGGTTCCATATCTTTTGTAATTCTCACCGTAGAGATTTTTCACCTCCATGATTAGCTATGCTCTTACGGGGAGAGTGGGAAGAGGGATAGGAGCAGAAAAGTAACTATTGGGTACCAGGCTTAGTATCTGGGTGGTGAAATAATCTGTACAACAAACCTCTATTACATGAGCTTACCTATATAAAAAACTGCACATGTACCCCTGAACCTAAAAAAGGTTTTTTGAAAAATCAAGTCCATGTATAACAGTAAAAGGACAAAGATGGAAAATATTGGAATGGGAGATTGGAACTGGAGTGTAGATATAGGTCTCTTTTGGACATGTCAAAGGCTGTATTAGTCTGTTTTCACACTTCTATAAAGATACTACCCAAGACTGGGTAATTTATAAAGACAGAATGTTTAATTAAGTCATAGTTTCACACGGCCGAGAGGCCTCAGGAAACTTACAGTCATGGCAGAAGGTGGAGGGGAAGCAAGGTATATCTTATATGGTGGCAGGTGGGAGAGAGAGAGTGCAGGGGAGACTGCCACTTATAAAACCATCAGATCTCATGAGAACTCACTCACTGTCATGAGAACAACATGGGGGAAACCGTCCCCATGATCCTATTGTCTCCTACCAGGTCCCTTCCCCAACACGTGGGGATTATAATTCAAGATGAGAATTGGGTGGAGACACAGAGCCAAACCATGTCAAAAGCCAAATGTCTCTTAGACTTCCAAGTGGAGATACTGCATATACAGTTAGATTTGTGAATCTTGATGTCAATAGTCACTGGACTTGAGATCTACTCATAAAATAAATTCATTCTTACAGTGTATGTGTGACCATGGTATTGGATGAGTATATTTTTTACTCATATATATTTTTTCTTATTTTATATATATAATATATATATAATATATATTTCAAATATATATTATATATATATTTTATATATAATATATATTTTAAATATATATTATATTATTATATATATAATATATATATATAAAATAAGAAAAACAGGATGGTTCATGAAATATGTTCCATTATTTAGAAATTAGAAAGAGGAGGAAAGACAAAAAGAGAGAGTAAAGTGAAATAACATGTGAGTTGAAAGGCAAGCAAGGCAATTGTGGGGCGTCCGAAATACAGAAAAAAAATTTAAGAATAAGTGAGTGATGAATTTTGTAAACTGCTTCTGAAAAGATGAGCAATGTAAGTGGAAACAATTGGGAATGATGGAGGTCACTAGTGATCTTGAAAGATGTGGTTTCAGGGGAGTGGTGGAGAGCACCTGGAGGCTACGGGTGGTAAGACATAGGAGTTTTGATTATGAAGGAAAGTAGGTAAATCAGGAGGAAGAGTATCTTGCATCTAGGGATAAAAAGGATGTGGGTTCTAACAGAGGGCTTTGCCTTTTTATTTTTTTTTAAAGATAGGAGCTGATTATAATAGGAAGTGGTATTATTGATGGGAATTATCTAATAAGAATGAGGAAATTGATCATAAAGTAGAGAAAGTTGGAAGAAATGTAGGAACAAAGTCTTTGAGTATAGCAGAGAAGATGGGGATCCATGGCCCAAGTAGGAATATGTCAGTCCATATTTGTCTGGTATAACAATTTGAAGGGCAGTATATATGGATACAGGTGTTGTTAGGTTGATAGGCTTGGTGGTGAGAATGTGAGAGCTGTTTCCTTTTTGATTATTTCTACTTTCTTGGTGAAATAAAAACTGAGACCTTTAGTTGAAAGTTAAAAGTGGAAGAAGCTAAGAGAGTTTTAATAGGAGGGGAAAAGTTTAAAATGCTCTTCTTGAAGGGCGAGAGAATAAATACATTGGGAAAGGCATCATGATTACCAGGCAGTGTCGAGTGCCCAATTATGTGCTTTCCTCTGGCAACACTGAGCTGCTCAGGGGCAGGTTCATGGTTTGTGGGAAACTGGCAAGAAAGACAGAGTACAGAGGTATAAGGGAGTGAAGGGCACATGTAAGAGAGTGATTTTAATGAATTAGCATACTATATAAACTGGGTAAGAAGGGAAATTGTGGCATGAGATTGAGAATGAGCAATGAAACAAAATGTGGTATAATCAATCAATTAAAAGTCATGTTGGTTTAAAATAAGTGGTGCTGGAGGTACTACAAGTGAGCTAAAAAGATGGTAGCATTGTTCAGAAAGAGGGGGCCTGAAATAGAGGTCTGGGCTTTGAGGCTGTTATCTCTAATGACAAGACCTGGAGAGTTTCTATGGTATTGTGTAGTTGGAGTGAGGTGGAATAAAATACCAATGGAAATACTCTAGATATCAAGGATGTATGATCTATACTGAGATTGTTGACAGAAGGTACGGTAGACATAAAAATAAATCAGAAATCCAGATGTCTTAACTCAAGTTTGATTTATGGTTCAAATATATGTTTTCTTCCAAAATTCATATATTGGAACTTAAAAGACAAGGTGATAATAAAAGGTGGGGCCTTTAGGAGGTGATTAAGTCATGAGGAAGGAGACTTTGTGAATGGGATTAGCAATCTTATGAAAGGGCTGGAGAGACTTAGCTCGGCCCCTTTTTGTCCTCCATTGCATCAGCCATGTGAGGCCACAACAGTCAAGGTGCCACCTTGGAAGCAGAGATCAAGCCCTTACTAGACAGTGAAACTGCTAGTGCCTCGACTTTGAACTTCCAGCCTCCAGAACTTGAAAAATAAACGTATACTATTGATAAATTACCTAGTATGGGGTGGATTGTTATTGCAGCCCAAACAGACTAAGACAGACTGTCATAACCAAATACCATAGCCTGGATGGCTTAAACAACAGACATTTATTTCTCAGAGTTTTAGAGACTGAGAAGTTCAAAATCAAGGTGTTGCCTGATTCAAATTCCCTTTGAGACCCTTCTTCCTGACTTTCAGACAGCCACTGCCTTTTTGCTGTATTTCTACATGATGAAGAAAGAAACAGAAATAAATCTGGCGTGTATTCCTCTAATTTTATTTTCTTTATAGAACCAGCCTCACTATGCTGCCCAGATTCCAGTGCAGTGGCTATTCACATTCACAAGTGTGATTATAGTGTAGTATAGTCTCAGACTCCTGGGTTCAAGCAATCCTCCCTTCTCAGACTCTCCAGAAGCTGGGACTACAGATACCAGCATGCCAGCCTCTTCCTCTTGGACACTAATGGACACCAAGCCCATCATGTGGGCTCCACCCTTATGAAAAAATGAACATTTATTTTCAAATGACTCACCTCCAAATATTACATTAGGGAGTAAGGCTTCAACAAATGAGTGAGTTTTTTGGGTGACAGTTCATAACATCAACTGTTAAAATCTACAAAGTATGAAAGGAAATGACAAGAAGAAAGCAAAAATCACTCACCAGTTGAGAGGGGATGCAGGGAGTCTGCATTGTCAGTAGAAAGCCAGCTTTCATTTAGACCAAGAAGATGAAGAAAATATATAAAGAGATAAATTGTAGTGAAAATTTGAATGAGGACTGTGAGTTTCAGTTGCACAGTGGAACATTTTGGAAGATCAGAGGATGGGCATTGGGTAAGATTAAATTATGTACAAAGCTACATGGAGATAAATGTCTGGGGAATTTAGGCACGCGGTAATGAGTAGGGTAAACATGGATTAGAGGGAACGTTTGGATTAGTCTGGATGGTCTCTCAGAAAAAGTCATTTCTCAGCCATCAGAGAAAAGTTAAGTAATGTTTGGTGATGCTCTTAAGGAAGGTTAGGAAGAATGTTCTGGTTCTGTTCAAAATGGCTACACATGGAGATGCTAGCTCTATGAGAGTCAGCATAATGAGAGAAATGCTAGACTCCAGGTTTATCACTGCCACCATACACCTAGACAAGGGATATTTAACAAGACACCAAAACTCTCCCTGCTTGTTTCTTCATCTGTAAAATTGAGATAGTGATATTACCTACCTCATAGGTACGTTATTAGAATTAAATAAATTAATGTATGGCCGGTGCTTGCCACAATAACTCAAACACGGTAAAAGCCTAAAATGCTACTGTCAATACCATTATTAAATCATGGATTTCATTTTTTATGAAAAATATATTTATAGACTAGTTCATATCCCTCAAACTCTTGATAAATGAGTACTCTCTCTCACATGCGTATATTAACTAAAACAGGTCTATGTCCCACATGAAACCATTTTTATCCCCCGTACACTTTCATTTTTTTCTCTTTTGCTCTTAATTTGCAGATCATCTGACTGCATACAGAATGAATTATAGTTAAACCTTTATTAGTTATTAAATGTTTGCTTTTTAATTCCAGTAACTTTCCTGAACATGGGTACTGGTATGATAGTGGAATTGATCTGCTGCTCTAGCTTACTAGAGGGCTTCCACCAGTTGAGTTTGAAAATATATTCGTATGTCAAGTGTAGAAGATATTCTGATACCTTAATTAGGGTTTCACATACACTTTTTTTTTTTCCAGAAAAGCTACTTGCTGAAAAGGGTAAGGGTACTAGAGCACTAACACCTACTAGTATGAAAGCTAAGGGGCATGACCGTTTGAAAAACAGATGTTTGGTCAATGAAAAATAATATATTTCACCTTAGACAGCTCTGCTCAAGTAATTTTTCTAAGAGTATGGGGGATTTTAGTCTTTCAGAATTTCCCCTAAAATATTTGCTTATAAAATATCGTGTTTTTATGAACAGTTTGTAAATATTTTACTCATTAATTGTAACAGGCAAACTATTTTGTTCTATATATTTGCTCCATAATTATACACTTATAATCCTGGAAGGTAGAAATTATGATAGTGGATTCATGCCCCTACATCCCTGCCTATTCTGGGAGTGACTTGAACAGGTGACAATTATGTAACTATCAATAAAAGAAAAAACTTGGATGTTATAAAGACAATGGAAGCCCTCAGATGAAGAAAACACAGCCATTCCCAGATTTTAATGCATGTTTTAAATCATTTCCATGGGAACCAACATTTGGCACGAAGGCCAAATGAAAAACAGTTAAAAGGCAGCTTCTACCAAGCCAGATGGTTAATTTGTAACAGGGGACTATAACTAGGAGGAACTGGGTTATATAACCCCTAAAAGCACTTGATAATGGATTCAAGTGGACTAAATCACTGGGCTGCCTTCCAATATTCTCTCAGTGCTTCTATATGTGGCAATAACATTATCAACCACAGGAGGAACCACCACTAATTGCAAAGTGTCTAGAAAGGTAAATGCCGCAGCTAAGCAAACATAGGAGTAAATATTTCTAGACTGATCAGGATTGTGTGGGTCATGAACCCTGAGGTAATCTAAATAAATTTACGCAAGGAGAAGCAGCAAGGCAGAGGAAGAAAGTGTATTGGTTTAAGATCCCAGAACAATTAAAATAAAACTAATTATTCAGATTAACCATCAGTATACCTTCAAGCCAGCATTGTGTAATGTAACTTTCCATTGCATAGAATCTAAATATTCTCTGATTTTTGTGCTAAAAGGAAGCATAGAGATTCAGTGAGTTACCCAAAGTTACAGAGCAAGTTATTGACACAGCTAGGACATTCGCCCTGGGACTAAAACTTAAGATAATCAGTACAATGAGATTTATTTGGACACACTGTTCCTTTGAGAAGGCGCTGGATCCTGTCCTTGGAAAAACTCTTGAAACAATTATTTCCCAGGATCTTCTGCCAACTTATTATGGGAATATCTACTCTTATCATACATATAGTCACATACTGGGTCCCAGAATATAAAAAGAGGTAGGACGTTATTTTTCTCCTTCCTAAAGGGTAAAATTAGTTAAAGTTACAATATTGGGAAATAACCCCCAAGACACAAACACAAATTCATACAAACACATACCATAGTGTGTTGCTATATGGAAGCAAGACATCAATATCTTGAGGTTCTATTCCTGAGGCTACAACTTTAACTTTGTTGTGACATTGTGAAAAAATCAAATTTTTCATACCTCAATTCTTCCAGTTATAAAATGGGTTTAATGATGACTATCTCAAAAAGTTATTACAAATACAATTAACACTTTAATTATGAGAAATCATATTACAACAAAGCCAATTTCACAAGAAGAAACATATTGCCTATAAGGCTTCATTAACTGGTGCATGTTTCATATTTCTTTCTCTCTTTCCTTATTCATAATAATTTATTGGTTTTATTAAACTAGTATAGTAACAAACATTTTAGTACAATCTAAAAGAAAAATATGTATAATGTGTAAATAAAATATACTTGTTGAAGAGTACATAAAATATACTTGTTGAAGAATAAATTACATTCTCTGAAAATTTCATATAATTTGAGAAATATATTTAGAAATATGAAAAATATGAACACTAACGTTTGTGACTAAAAGTTGTTTACTTCTGTCACATTTTGAAGAATTGATATTTAGCTTTTCTTCTCCCCACTGGTGATAGAATTATCTGTAAATGTAATCAACATTATTATCTTACCTTGGATGACTAATTCATCATATGAAGGAAAAGGCTCACTTTTAATTAGTTTGGCTATTAAGGAAGATAGTTAAATTGTTAACAAGTTTTTGTGAATATTAATTCTAGGAAAAGACTTTGTATCACTGCCTACACTCATTCAAAATGCCAACAAGACAACTTTGTCCTTGTAATTTTCTACAGAGTGCAACAGAATTGGCCCAAATACTATTACTTGTTCATTGCTAGTGCTCTCAGTGGGCTTTCTTGGAGCATTCCAGCACAGCAGGCATTGTTCAGTGCCTCCAGCCATAGTTTAATGGAGAAAGCTGTCATGATTAACTCTGTTTGGAAAAAACAATCAGTGCAGGATCCAACGGTAGCTCCTAACCTCTGCAAAAACATGTCTTGGAATCTAGATCCATTCTCTTTGCCCTGTGGAGTCATGCAGACCTAAAGGGCAAAATTTGGTATCAGAATTCTCATACCCTCAAATTTTGCTGGAAAGAGTGCTACATTAGTAGTTCTATAAAGAGACAATAGTCTAAATAAAGAAAATAAATTACTCTTAAATACACTGAGCTTTTTTCCTTCAGTCTTTGTGCTTCCTAGGGATATGTTTAAAGATACATCATTCTCAGTAAACTATCGCAAGAACAAAAAACCAAACACCGCATATTCTCACTCATAGGTGGGAATTGAACAATGAGATCACATGGACACAGGAAGGGGAATATCACACTCTGGGGACTGTTGTGGGGTGGGGGAAGGGGGGAGGGATAGCATTGGGAGATATACCTAATGCTAGATGACGAGTTAGTGGGTGCAGTGCACCAGCATGGCACATGTATACATATGTAACTAACCTGCACAATGTGCACATGTACCCTAACACTTAAAGTATAATAATAAAAAAAAAGTATCTCAAAAAAAATAAATAAATAAATAAATAAATAAATAAAGATACTATCAGGATTTCAATGGCAGGTCTCTAAGCGTGACCCAAATGGCCAGTTGCAAAGAAGATGCATGCAATCTCAAAGGAATCCCCTACCCCCAGCTGGTCCTAAATGACTCTGCTCTTGCCTCATTAAAGAATTTCTATCATTCCTCCAATCATAACAGGATATTATTTACTTCTGCCTTGTCTTATTCATAAGTCACCACAAATGCCAACCCAGATTTTTACTCTTTTCTGCACAGGAATTCCTTTGGGCGGGGCTCTCCCCAAGCATACATGTTCCTTACCCCCAAATAGGGCACCCTTCACTCAGGCCTTGTTCTTGTCACTTATTATAAGCTCTCACTCATCCTCTTTACGCCGTCAGTTGGAATTCTCTGCCTGAATTAATCAAGGATTTGAGGTTTGCCTCTTCGTTATTGGCTTAGTAGCAATCCCTACCCTGAGTGCACAATTTCTACCTTGATTTCAGTGTTCCCCATATATGATTCTTACTCAAATGCAAGCCCACATACAGAGACTGACTAATCCTAACATGGAACCCAGGCATAAGGTCAGAAGAGGTATGCCCCTCCCCAAATCTAATATAATATTGCTGCAAGCCGTTGAAAACTAATCCAGTGATTTAACTGAGAGGTAATGGTTTCTCAGAGCAGGGCAGTAACAGTTCAGATGGAGAGAAGTGGTAGGATTCTGGATATAATTGAAGGTAGAGCCAGCAGAATTTACTAATGGATTGGATGTGTGGCATGGGAAGAAGACAGGAGTCAAAATAACCTCCATGTGGGTGGCCCGAGCTGCTAGAAAAATGGATCTGCCATTTTTTTTGAGACATAAAAGACAATGAGAGTAATAGATTTAGGGAGTGGAAACCAAGATTTTTTCCTAAAACTTGTCAGGTTCAAGCTGCCTATGAAGCATCTGATTTATACATGAGACTGGATGAGATCACCAAGCAACTGAGTATCAAAGACCAAGGACTGGGCCCTGAGGCAGTGTTACATTAAAAGGCTGAAGACAAGCAAAACTTCCCAAAAAGAGACCAAGAAAGAGCATTCAGTGATATAAAATGAAAATGAAGAGTGTGTAGCATCCTGGAGAATAAGTGAAGACAGCATATTTAAAAAGGAGAGAGTGATCAAATGAGTCAGATGTTGCTGATGAGTCAAGTAAGGTGAAGTAGAGAAATTATTAGTGATTCTAGAAATGTTGAGGTCATTGGTGATTTTGGTGAGAGCAGTTTTAGTGGAATGCTGGGAACAAAGGCCTGAGTGAAGTGGGTTTGAGAAGCAATAGGAGGTGAAGAATTGGAGACAGTGAATATAGATATTTCTTACAAGAGGTTTTCCTGCAAACAATAAAAAGGACATGCGACAGTAACTGCAGGAGGATCAGGAAAAGCATTTTATTTTTTTGCCTGTTTGTGGATTGAGATGGAAGAAACTTAAAAAATAATGTTCTTGTGCTGATGTGAATAATTCTGTAGAGAGGCGGATATTGATGGTGCACTGAAATGAAACATGTGGCATCTAATAGTCAAATGGTGAGATATTAGGTTGGTGCAAAAGTAACTGCTGTTTTTGCCATTAAAAGTAATGGCAAAAACCTAATACCCAGGACCACATTCTTCAAAGACGATAAGCAGCTGAGTGAATACGGTGCAGCACATCTAGGAAAGTTTTCTTCTGACTGACTTAGTTTTCCAGTGAGGTATGAAGACAGTCATCATCTGAGCATGAAATTGGAGGAGGAGGAGGAAATTTTGGAGGTGTGAGGAGAGAGAGAAATGAATGAAATATAGAAGAAGGGAAGGCTGAATTGGCCAGGGAAGTATAGTATGATTTTTCTGTAATAAGCCAAAAAGTGTGAATTTAGAGCTAATCAGCTAGAATCCTGCATAACCTATAGGATGCCTCTGCATGGGAGTGTATGCAGCGCAGCAGTATGTGGATACAAAAGTGGGTAATCAGGATAGCAGTCTGCGGAAAAAGGAAACCAATAAAATATTTATAAGCAGTTCCTCTGCTTCCTTGTAGTCCCACTCTCTTCTGTTCAGCCATCCAACGTTGGAATGTCTCAAGGCTTTCTTGTCTTCTCACCCTACACTTGCCCTTCTGGCAATCATGTCCACTCCCTGGATTTCAGTTGCCTTTCTATATGCAACTGACACTCAAAAGCATATCGTCATATATACTAGTACCTTGATAGACTAGATGATATGATATCTGGAATTTGCTTCAAAATGATTCTGGATAGAGATACAGTATGTGGGCATATAGATAAAATAAAACTGATTATGAACTGATCTTTGTTGAAGATGCAGCATGCATACAAGTTGCTTATTCTAGTTTTCTGTCTACTTTTGTAAATATTTGGAAATTTTCGTAATATAAAATAAGAGTAAATAGCTACATTGCTTTTTCTCAGCTGAACCTTGCTATATGCAACTACTTAATTTACATCTCCTCTTAGATAATAATAGTCAACAGAAATAAAAACAGCTAATATGTTTTGAATACATAGCAAGTACCAGCTCTCCTCTGTGCACTTTGTATTTATTCCTTACAATAGTTATATGAGGTTACTATTAATTATTATTTATGTTTTACATATCAAGAACCTAAGGCACAACAGTGTTAAATACCTTCCCTGGGTTACACAAGTGGCTACCCTTAAATTCAAATTCAGGCAGTCTGTTGCAGAACCCTACTCAAGTATCAAAGGTACTTTAAACTCAATATGTCCAAGATGAAATATGATCTCCCCTTCCCAGCACCTGTTCTTTTCCAGTGTTCCTTTTTCTCTGTTCATGTTGACTCCATTTAACCAGGTGTGAAAGCCAGAAATGGAAATGTCAACTCTGATATTTTCACTCTCACTTCCTATCACCTATGTAACACCAAATCCTTTTGATTATACCTACTAGGTAATTACAAAATTGTTCTATCTATGTATCTATCTATCTACCTATCACTCTATCAATCTATCATCTAACTATCATGTATCTATCTATCTTTATTCATCTTCCACCACAATTCAAGACCAAGTTACCATGGCCTCTTTTCTTCACTTTTGCAGATTGTTCTTTGCAAAATAAAAATCTGATCATGTGACACCCCAAAAATTGAATCACTACAGAGATTCTAAATTAGATTATAAATTAGAATACATTTCTTTTCTTTTTCTTTTTTTTTTTTTTTTTTTTTTTTTGATACAGAGTCTTGCTCTGTCGCCCAGGTTGGAGTGCAGTGACGTGATCTCGGCTCACTGCAAGCTCTGCCTCCCGGGTTCACGCCATTCTCCTGCCTCAGCCTCCCGAGTAGCTGGGACTACAGGCGCCCACCACCACGCCCGGCTAATGTTTTTTTTATTTTTAGTAGAGACGGGGTTTCACCGTGTTAGCCAGGATGGTCTCGATCTCCTGACCTCGTGATCCGCCCGCCTCGGCCTCCCAAAGTGCTGGGATTACAGGCGTGAGCCACCGCGCCCGGCCAATACATTTCTTAATATGATCTTTAGGTCTCTGTATATCCTGATTCCTTCCTTCACTTTCATTTATCTCTCACCTTCACTCTGCAGTTAGCCACACTGGCGGTGTCTGAGTGCCTCTCATACACAGTGGACTCTTGAAAAAGTTTTATTTATTTTTTCCTAGTCCACGCCCTTAGGCTCATATACAAGGCTCTTTTCACTCCAACGTTTATCTGTTAACCCTGCCTCATTTATCATTTCTCAGCTGTAGTCACTTCTCTCATCTCCCAGTATGAGTTTACACTTTTGGGTTTCTTTTTTATTTTTTTCTTTTTAATTTTTGTGGGTACATAGTAGGTGCATATATTTATGGGTTACATGACATATTTTGATACAGGCATGAAATTTCTAATAATCGCATCATGGAGAATGTGGTATCTATCCTATTAAGCATTTGTCCTTTGTGTTACAGACAATACAATCATACATGCTTTTAGTTATTTTTAGATGTACAATTAAGTTATTATTGATAATAGTCACCCTGTTGTGTGGTCAAATAGTAGGGCTTATTCATACTTTCTATTTTTTTTGTACACATTAACCATCTCCACCTCCCCGCCATATCTCCGCTACCCTTCTCATCCTCTGTTAACCGTACTTTTATTCTCTATCTTCGTGAGTTCCATGTTTTGTTTCTAAGATCCCACAAATGAGTGAGAATATCTGATGTTTGTCTTTCTTAGCCTGGCTTATTCTGCTTAACAGAATGATCTCCAGTTCTATCCATGTTGCTCCAAATGACAGAATCTCATTTTTTTCCTCTGGCTGAACGACACTCCATTGTGTATAAGAACCACATTTTTTCTGATGTATTCATCTGTTGGTGGACACTTAGGTTGCTTCCAAATCTTGGTTACTGTAAATAGTGCTGCAAAACAAAACAAAACAAAACAAAAAACAACAACAACAACAACAACAAAAAACACGGATGTGCAGATATCTCTTCAACATACGGATTTCCTTTTTTTTTTGGCGTATATCCAGCAGTGGGATTGCTGGATCATATGGTAGCTCAATTTTTGGTTTTCTGAGGCCTCCAGACTATTCTCTGTAGCTGTTGTACTAATTTATATTCCGACCAACAGTGTATGAGGATTCCTTTTCCTCCACATTCTCACCAATATTTGTTATTGCCTGTCTATTGAATAAAAGCCATTTAAATTGGGGTGAGGTGATATCTCACTTTGGCTTTGATTTGCATTACTGTCATTATCAGTGACATTGAACACCTTTTCATATGCCTGTTTGCCATTTGTATGTCTTCTTTTGAGAAATGTTTATTCTGATTTTTTGCCCATTTTAACATTGAATTATTAGATTTTTTTCCTAAAGAGTTGTTTGAGCTCCTTATATATTCTGGTTATTAATCCCTTGTCAGATGGGTGGTTTGCAAATATTCTTCCATTCTGTGGGTTGTGTTTTCACTTTTTTGATTGTTTCCTTTGCTGTGCAGAAGATTTTTAACTTGATATGATGATTTCATTTGCTTATTTTTGCTTTGGTTGTCTGTGCAAGAAATTTTTGCCCAGCTCAATGTTCTGGAGATTTTCTCAAAGTTTTCTTGTAGTAGTTTCATATTTTGAAGTCTTAGATTTAAGACTTTAATCCATTTTGATTTTATTTTTGTATACAGTGAGAGATAGGGGTCTAGTTTCATTCTTCTGCATATGGATATCCAGTTTTCTCTGGACCATTTATTGAATAGACTATGATTTCCCTAGTGTATGTTCTTGGCAAGTTTGTTGAAAATGAGTTCACTGCAGATTTGTGGATTTGATTCTGGGATATCTGTATTCTGTTCCATTGGTCTATATGTTTATTTTTATTCCAGCACCATACTCTATTACGGCTCTGTAGTATAATTTGAAGTCAGGTAATGTGATTCTTGCCAGTGTTCATCTTTTTGTTCGTATAAGCTTTAAAAATTTTTTTCTAATTCTTTGAAGAATGTCATTGGTATTTTAACAAAAACAGCATTGAAATGATACATTGCTTTGGGTGGTATGGACATATCAAGAATGTTGATTATTTCAATTCCTGGATATGACATATCTTTCCATTTTGTTGTCCTCTTCAATTTCCTGCATCAGTGTTTTATAGTTTTCATTGTAGAGATCTTTAACTTTTTATAAGTTAATTTCTAGTTATTTAATTTTATTTATGGCTACTGTAATGAGATTACTTTTTGAATTCTTTTCAGGTTGTACACTGTTGGTATATAGTAATGCTACTGATTTTTGTATATAGATTCTGTATCCATCAACCTTACTCAATTTGTTTATCAGTTCTATTAATAATAACTTTGTGTGGTGTTTTTAGGTATTTCCAAAAATAAGATCATATCAACTGCAAACAAATACAATTTTACTTCTTATTTTCTAATATGAATGCCTGCCTTTTATTTCTTTTGGTTGTCCTATTGCTCTAGCTAAGACTTACATTACCATGTTTCCTAACAGTGGTAAAGTGGGCATCCTTGCCATATTTCAGATCTTAGAGGAAGTGCTGTCATTTTCCCCTATTTAGTATGATACTAACTGTGAGTCTGTCATATATAGCTTTTATTATGTTGAATATGTTCCTTCTATACCCATTTGTAGTGTTTTTATCATTAAGAGATGATGGAATATATCAAATACTTTTTCAGCATCAATTGAGATCATCATATAGTTTTTGTCCTTCATTCTGTTAATATGATGTGTCACATTGATTGACTTATGTATGTTGAACCGCACATGCATCCCAGAAATAAATCCCACTTGATCATAATGAAGGATATTTTTATTGTATTGTTGAATTTAATTTACTAGTATTCTGTTGAGAATTTTGATGTCAATATTCATCAGAGATATTGGCCTATAGTTTTTTTTAATGTGTCTTTGGTTTTGGTGTCAAGGTAAGACTGGCTTTGTAGAATTAGTTTGAAATTTTTACCTGCTCCTCTATCTTTGAGGATAGTTTGGGTAGGATTGGTATACATTCTATTTTTAATGTTTGGTAGCAACAGTGAAGCCATTGTGCCCCTGGCTTTTCTTTACTGGAAGACTTTTTCTTATGGCTTCAATCTTACTTGTTATTGGTTTATTGAGGTTTTGGATTTCTCCATGGTTCAATCTTGGTTGGTTGTATGTTTCTAGAAATGTATTCTTTTTTATGGATTTTCTAATTTATTGGCATATCATTGCTCAAGTTAGCCACTAATAATCCTTTGAATTTCTGCAGTGTCAGTTGTAATGTCTCTTTTTTTTATCCATGATTTTATTTATCTTTTGTTTCTCCCCTTTTTTTAAGTTAGTTTGGGTAAAGGTTTATCTATTTTGTTTATCTTCTCAAAAATCAACTTTTGGGGGCTAGGGATGGTGGCTCACGCCTGTAATCCCAGCACTTTTTGGGAGGTCACTTGAGGTGAGAAGTTTGAGTCCAGCTCGGCCAACCTGGCAAAATCCTGTCTCTATTAAAAAAGTAGAAATAGAAATAAATCACTTTTTTTGTTTTATTTGATCTTTTGCATGGTTTTGTTCATTTCAAATTCATTCGTCTCTGCTCCAATCTTTAATATTTATTTTCTTCTACTAATTTCAGGTTTGGTTTGCTCTAGATCTTCTAGTTCTTTAAGAGTCATGCTTAAGTTCTTTATTTGATGTTTTTCTTCTTTTCTATGTAGGCATTTATAGCTATAAATTTCCCTTTTTATGCTGCTTTGCTGTATCTCATAGGTTTTGGTATGTTGTGCTTCCATTATCATTTGTTTCAAGAATTTTTTCAATTTCCTTCTTAATTTCTTAACTTGGTAATTAAGAAGCATATTGTTTTATTTCCATGTGTTTGGAAAGTTTCCAAAATTCCGTTTGCTATTGATTTCTGGTTTTATTCCACTGTGGTTGGAGAAGATGCTTGATATTATTTCCATTTATTAAATGTTTTGATACTTGTTTTGTGACCTAAAATAAGGTCTATCCCTGAGAATAATCCACATGCTGAGGAGAATAATGTGTCTTTTATACCCAGTGGATGAAATGTTCTGTTAATCTCTATTAGGTCCATTTGTTCGACAGTGCAGATGATGCCTGATGTTTCTTTGTTGATTTTCTGTTTTGGAGATCTGTGCAATGCGGAATGTGTGGTGATGAAGATGCCAGCTATTATAGTATTGATGCCTGTCTCTTTTTCTGGCGCTAATAATATTTGCTTTATATATCTGTGCGCTCCAGTATTAGGTACATACACATTTACAATTGTTATATTGTCTTGTTGAAGGGACAACTTTATCATTATGTAATGACATTCTTTGTGTCTTCTTTTGTCTTATCTCTTCTTGTCTTATCCCATGAGTAACCTTTCTACTGCTATCTCTTTCTCTACCTCCGCTTTAAGGCAAATAATTCTTAGATTTACCCTTTTAAGGCTATTTCCTAGATCTTGTAGGTGTACTTCATTATTTTTATTCTTTTTTGTCTCCTCTGACTGTGTATTTTAAAATATCCAGTCTTCAAGTTCACTAATTCTTTCTTCAGCTTGGTCAGTTCTGCTATTAAGAGGCTCTAATGTATTCTTCAGTATATACATTCCATTTATTAATTCCAAAATTTCTGCTTGATTCTTTTAAATTACTTCAATTCTTTGTTAAATTTATCTGATAGAATTATGAATTTCTTCTCTGTGTTATCTTGAATTTCTTTGAGTTTCCTCAAAACAGCTATTTTGAATTATCTGAAAGGTCACCAGTCTCTGTTTTTCCAGAATTTATCCTTTGTGCCTTATTTGGTTCATTTGGTGAGGTTGTGTTTTCCTGGGTGGTCTTGATGCTTGTAGAGGTTCTTCAGTGTCCAGGCATTGAAAAGTTGGGTATTTATTATAGTCTTCACACTCTGGGCTTGTTTGTACCTGTTTTTTTTTTTTTTTTTTTTTTTGAGAAGGCATTCCAGATATTCAAAAAAATTTTCAGGTATTAGAAGGGACTTGGGCCACAGCCCAGTAATGCTTTGGTTTTTGCAGACTCATAGAAGTACCACCTTGATGGCCATGGATAAGATCCAAAAGAATTCTCTAGATTACCAGTCAGAGACTCTCATTCTTTTCCCTTACTTTCTGGCAAACAAATGGTATCTCTCTCTCTCTTTCTCTCTCTCTCTTTCAATCTCTCTCTTTTCTGAACTGCTTAGAACTGGGAGCGTGGTGATGCAAGATTCCCTGTAACCACCATCACTGGGACTGCACTCGGTCAGACCGGAAGCCAGCACATCACTGAGTCTTGCCAAGACCGCTGTAACCTGTAACCACTACCTGGCTACTGCCAATGCTTCCTCAAGACGCTAGGGCTCTATGATTAGCAGGTGGCAAAGCCAGCCAGGTTCGTTTTCTTCCCTTCAGTGCAGTGAGCTCCCCCTGGTCCTGGGCAGGTTCAGAGATGCAGTCTGAGTTCCAGGAATTTAAGTAAAACACTTTTGAAATTTATCTTATTTTATATTTTACTGTGACTAAGCTGGTGCACAAGCACCACACGAAGTCCTTCACACTCTTTCTTTTGTTTTCACATGCAGAGGAGCCTCTCCCTGCGACCACCACCGACACCACTGGCCACCAGTGATGTTCACTTAAAGCCCAAGGGCTCTTCTGTTAGCCTGTGGTGAATGCTTCCATGCCTAGGACTCATCCTTCAGGACGGTGGGCTCCCCTCTGTCCCAGGGTAGGTCCAGAAATGCTGTCCAAGAGCCTAGGCCTGGACTCAGGGACCCCAAGAGCCTGCTTGTTTCTCTACCTCACTGTGGCTGAGCCTCTACTTAAGGTGCAAGACAAAGTCCCCTTTACTTGTCTCTCTGTTTTTCTCAAAAAAAAAAAAAAAAGGAGTCTTTCACTGTAGCCACTACAGCTGGGAGTATGCTAGGTCATACCTGCAGTCAGCACATCTCAGAGCCCAAGGCTTATGGTGTATTCCCTGGGTATTGTTATTGGTTATTCAGGGCCCAAGGGCTCAGCAGGTGATAAATCCTTCCAGGACTGGGTCCTTCCCTTCAACGCGGTAGGCTCTCTTTTGGCCCAGGGTGTGTCTAGAAATACCATTTGGCAGCTTGGTCCTGGAATGGGGGTCCTCATGACTCTGCCTGGTACCCTATCCTATGATGGCTGAGCTAGTATCCAAGGTGCAAGGCAAAGAACTCTTTACTCTTCACTCTCCTCTCTTTAAGCAGAAGTTAGGAGCTACATTCATTGCTGTGAGCTGCGCTACCTGTGGTTAGGGGAGGAGTGTTGCAAGCACTCCCTTAGCCACTCTAGCTGATGTCTGCCTAGGTCACGTGTCATCCTAGTCCACTGACTCTGAGCCTAGCCCAGTGCGAGGAGTTGCCTGGGAATTGCAATTTTTGTGTGTTAGGCAGCTTTTCAAGTTTACCCAGGATCCCAGAGCACTTTGGCTACAATGATGAGGATTGCCAAGAGACTGAAGTTCTGACTGTTGGGTTGAGTGATTCCCCTCTGGCTAAGTCAGCTCCAAATGCTCCCTTCATGTGCAGGCATTGGCTGATAACAGCATGACTTCTCTCAACTGTAACAGGGCAGCACTTAGTCCAATTTAAAGTCCCTCACTTGCTGTGCTCTCCCTCTCCCAGGTTGGCAGACTGTTTGTGCTTCTCATCCTCTTCTGGGGGATGGGGGAGGATTGGCATCAGCTATTTAAGACTGTCTTTCAAACTCTCTTTAATACCTCTTTTAGGGATATAAAGTTAAAACCAGGTACTGTTATTGCTTACCTGATTTTTGGTTCTTTTAACACTGTTTTCTGTGTGTAGATAGTTGTTAAAACCTGGTGTTCTTGTGAAGGAGATGATTGGTGGGGACTATTCTTCTGCCATATTACTCTTTCCCCTAGTTTATACTTTTCTTATGTGCTCTTGTAGAAGCACATTACTTCAAGCACTTAGTGTCAATCCATGTGATTATTTGGTTGTCTCTCTTCCCATCAAGGCTCTAAGCTTTATGACATCAGGCATAATACCTGCCACTTAGTAGGTACTTAATATTTTTGATTGCATGAATGAATAAATGAATGAATATACCAGTGACATCATATTTTGCACACTAAAGTTTAAGAATCCTTATTGTAGAAATGCTACTCTTCTTTCTACTCGTTTGCTTCCATATTAATTAAGGCTACATATACTGCTAATGTCTTTCCTAAAATCAGACCGGTCCTAGTTGATAAGGCTCACATTTATAGATGGACTATATTAGTAAGTCTGTCAATATCAACGGCTAGACAGAATGGATGAGCAACAGGAAATCACAAATTATTGCTGAATGGAATGTAAATTGCTAAAACTACTATGAAAATCGTAAGTTTCTAATCCTGTGACCAAGCAACTTATTTGGTGTCCAATGAATCCTGGTTAGGAATTTCTACTGTAGAGAAATGTTACATAAGCACACTACAAAACATGCATAAATATATTAAAAGCAGCACTGTTCATATGAGTGAAAATTTTCAAACAATTCAAATGTCATCAACATTGAAAGAATAGATAAATTGTAGCATGTACCATACAATAGAATACCAATGATATGGTTTTCCTCTGGGTCCCCACCTGAATCCAATCTCCAATTGTAATCCCCACGTGTTGGGTGAGGGGCCTGGTGGGAGGAGACTGAATAATGGGGGCAGACTCCCCTCTCGCTGTTCTTGTGATAGTGAATGAGTTCTCATGAGATCTAGTTGTTTGAAAGTGTGTGGCACCTCCCCCTTCACTCTCTCCCTCTCTCTCTCTCCTACTCTGCCATGGTAAGATTTGCTTGCTGCCCCTTCAGGTTCCACCAGGATTGTAAGTTTCCTGAAGCCTCCCAGTCATGCTTCTCATTAAGCCTTCAGAACTGTGAGTAAATTAAACCTTTTTTCTTCATAAATTACTCAGTCTCAGGTAGTTCTTTATAGCACTGTGACAGTGGACTAATAAAGAAAATTAGTACCAGGAAAGTAGGGCATTGCTATAAAGATACCTGAACATGCAGAAGCCACTTTGGAACTGGGTAACAGGCAGAGGCTGGAAAAATTTGGATGGCTCAGAAGAAGATAGGAAGATGAGGGAAAGATTGGAACTTCCTGGAGACTTGTTGAATGATTCTGACCAAAATGCTTGTAGTGATATGGACAATGAAGTCCAGGCTGAGGTGGTCTCAAATGGAGATGAGGAACTTGTTAAGAACTGCAGTAAAGGTCATTCTTGCTATGCAAAGAGACTGGTGGCATTTTGCCCCTGCCCTAAAATTAAAACTTATATTTTAAGAGGAAAGCAGAGCATAAAAGTTTGGAAAATGTGTAGCCTGACCGAGCAGTGGGAAAAAACAACAACAACAACAACAACAACAACAACAACAACAACAAAAACATTTTCTGGGGAGAAATTCAAGCTGGCTGCGTACATTTACGTAAGTAAAAATGAGTCTATTGTTATTAGCCAAGAAAATGGGGAAAATGTCTCCAGGGCATGTCAGAGGCCTTTGTGGAAACCCCTCCCATCACAGACCCAGAGGCCTAGGAGGAAATAATGGTTTCCTGGGCCAGGCCCAGGGCCCCACTGCTCTGTGCAGCCTCAGGACATGGTGCCCTGCATCCCAGCTGCTCCAGCTTCAACTGTGGCTAAGAGGGGTCAAGGTAGAGCTCAGGTTGTTGCTTCAGAGGGTGCAAACCCCAAGCCTTGGTGGCTTCCACATGGTGTTGGGCCTGCAGGTGCACAGAAGGCAAGAGTTTAGGAAACTCTGCCTATATTTCAGAAGATTCCTGGATGTCCAGGAAGAAGTCTGATGCAGGGGTGGAGCCCTCATGAAGAACCTCTACTAGGGCAGTGCATAGGGGAAATGTGGGGTTGGAACTCCCACAAAGATTCCCCACTGGGGCACTGCCTAGTGGAGTTGTGAAAAGAGGGCCACCATCTTCCAGATACCAGAATGATAGATATACCGACAGCTTGCACCGTGTACCTGGAAAAGACACAAGAATGCAATGCCAGCCCATGAAAGCAGCTGCGTGGGCCATTCCATTCAGAGCCACAGGTACAGAGTTTCCCAAGGCTGTTGAGCCCACCACTTGCAGCAGCGTGCCCTGGATATGAGATACAGAGTCAAAGGAGATTATTTTGGAGCTTTAAGATTTAATGACTGCATTGATGGATTTTGGAATTGCATGGGGCCTGTTGGACTTTTGAGGTAATGCTGGAATGAGTTAAGGCTTTGGAGGACTGTTGGGAAGGCATGATTGGCTTTGCAATGTGAAAAAAAATGACATTTTGGAGGAGCTGGGTAAGAATAATATGGTTGGCTCTATGTCCATACTCAAATCTCATCTTGAACTGTAATCCCCATGGGTTGGGGAGGGGCCCGGTGGGAGGTGACTTAATCGTGGGGATGGACTTCCTCTTTGCTTTTCTCATATGGTGAGTGAGTTCTCATGAGTTCTGGTTGTTTGACAGTGTGTGGAACTTTCCACTTTGCCCTTTCTGTCTCTTGATCTGCCATGGTAAGACATGCTTGCTTCCCTTTCACCTTCCACCATGATTGTAAGTTTCCTGAGGCCTCCTAGTCATGCTTTCTTTTAAATCTGCAGAACTGTGAGTCAGTTAAACCTTTTTCTTCATAAATTATCCAGTCTCAGATAGTTCTTTATAGCTGTCTGAGAATGGACTAATACAACCAATTAGCAATCAAAGTGAGCGGAATAAAGCTATACACAGCAATGTGTATGGATCTCACAAACATAATTTGAAATTCAGATCTGTATCACTAGATACACAAAATTATTTTGGTCTTCTGTTTCAAAAGTAAAAATAACTAAATTATAATAATTAAAGATACATACTTAGGTAGTAGAACTGTGAAGAAAATAAGGAAGCTAATCACAATAATTATGATAACATTATCTCTAAGCTTTAGAACCTTTCAGGAAAGGAGAGGTTTGTAATCTACTAGGGACACATGAGAGACTATTGAGGTGCTGGCAATGCATTATATATTTTTTGGCTTGAGATAAGACTACACGTGATTTTAAAAATAGCTATTTATTAAAGTATAAATTTGTGTTTTGTACATTTCTAAATACATATATTGTATAACTAAGGAATTAAATACCTATTGATTAAAAAGAGTCATTCATTGCCTTGAGACCTGCTTAAGTCCACAGTAATTAAGTCAGAGTCCCAGAGCATGGATCTAATGTACTTGTTGAGCCTATTGGACTCTTTCTGAAGATTCTTAAGCCACTTTGATATCATTTATTTATTCATCTGGCCATTCACTTATTTATCCACAGACTATTAGAAACAGAAGAGAGTTTGAAGACCATTCAGTACAATTCTCTTACATGGCAGTGAAAATTATGGTCCAAAAATAAAAATTGGCTTGCCCATGGTCAAAGAGCAGCTTAGTGAAAAAGCAAACACTCTCACTGTAGAGATTTCAGGTAACCATTATTGCAATGGGCTGTTAGTTTGCTTCTAACATCTGTTCTCCCTTTTTCTATAGTAATAGAACTTTTGTCTGAGCACATGGCTGCTCCAATTGATTGATTAAATTTTCCAAACTCCCTAATAGTTAGATGTGATAATGTGATGATGTTCTGGACAACAGCGAGTATATAAAAATGTCATATTTTGTGGCTGTTCTTAAGAACTTCCTGTAAGAAATGGCTGAAACACCCAGTCTGTCCTTGTTCTTTATGTCTTCCTTTTTCCTGTTGCTTGGAATACAACTATCATCTTGATCTATGAAGGTACAGAAAGGCAGAGTATTGAACTGGAATAAAATTGAGTTCCTGTGGACCTAATGGAGCACAGGTGACAGGTCAAGCCAGGACTGCCTTCCCCTCGGACTTTTATATGGAAAAAAGGTCTGCAGTATTTATATTACTGTTCCTTTGGGATTTTCCTGTTAATTGCAGTCAAGCCAATCCTTATGGATACAGACAACAAATGAATATGTATTAAATTAAATTGGTCAAAGTTTTTGGTGCATGGGGCCATGTTCTTTCTACCATACTAGTGTGCTCTTTTTGCATACTGTCTCCTAAAATAACAAAATCTAAAGTCTCCATGTTATGTCAACTCTGTGTTTTGAAAATCTTCTCTAGCTCTGTTATCAACATTGGATATGAAAAGGATAAGATTATTTAATTTAAAAACATGGTGCAAACCAAGCCTCAAACTCATAAATAACTTCATTGTGGACATGGAAGGTATACTGAAGATTTAGAGATAGGCTAAATTACTGTACATAAATCCAGAAAATTCAGCTGATAGTTGCTCAGATATTGTTTTCAATAAAGGTTATTCTAAGTGAAAATGCGTTTTTGAGGGTGCAGCAGTTAGGTATCATATGTCTATCTCCAAGGACGTTATGAGGTTGGTAAATAGTTTCTTGTTAAGTGCCTTAAGCATTTAGGAGAAAAAAAAAATCTGTAAATGTAAAGCGCTATTGGGATCTCTACAAATTGAAACATGAAAAATGAATGCATATTAACATCTATCTTGGGCATTGTTTAGCAAATCCAAGCTGAAAATTAGAAATCAATTGTATATAATGTAAAGGCATCTAAGTTTTAAGATGAAAGATAAATAAGAAATATGAATGTACACAACTAAGTAGGGAGAAAGAGCAACTTGGGAACACAGGATTCACTCACAATTTTGGACTCTTGGGCTTGTGAGGAGTTTCCCTGCAAAGCAGCTGTATGCTGTATATGAGACATAGATCCCACTGAGACGCAGAAATTTGGAGAAGGCATAAATGTGTTTTAAGTCACTCTGGCCTCATTCTCTAGAGAAGGATTGAGCAGTTGTGAAGCAGTTAGAGCTTTGGGTTTTTTTCTTGTGGGTTTTGCTTAGAATCTACACTTAAAAGGGTTTGTAGCAGGTGTTGTGAGAAGCAGCCTACTGAATGTCAGTAAAGATCCCTTACAGAAGAAATGAGGTTCATTAGAAAACTCAACCTTGTGTTAAGTTGGCCTGAACTTGTCAGGCAGGAAAGAGAGACTAACAAACAGAAGAGGAAATTGGGATGACGCAGTGTTGCAGTTGGCCAGTGTTCAGCAGATGCATATTGCTGCTGGGGCAATGACTCCCACAGCCTACACTGGGTCTGATCCAGATGCATTCAGCCTCCCCTTTTGAATAGTAAATCTAGTTAAACCCACCAGACTTCTCGTCTTTGCCAAGCTGTATACTGCTCCCTGTGCAGGTATTCTTTCAACCTGTTCCATCACATTCTCCCCGTCCTGCTATGACCCTTCATCCCCCTTGACTAACCTCTGCTTCCTTCTCCCAGAAATTCTTTCTTTGTGCTCTTGACAGTTGAATTGCTTTGCAAGTTTAACCCCTTAATTATGCATTTCTTTATCTTCTGTCTTAACTGAAAACCAGCTGTCCATTGAGTCCATCTGCACGTCCTACAGCATGATGTGCCGCCAGGATAGCAAGTGAAATCTGTATTTATTTCCATTTCCAATGTCATTTCCATCCTCTTGTAAAATCTCATGTGTTCTATATACACCACGTTGTATTCTTCTGTGTTGCTATTATCTATGGATTCTGTGGGCTAAAGACTTGGGTACCTGGCCTTCTCCTTATTCCAAATCCTGTCACTTATCTATGTGACTCCACATCTATGTGTAAAATATATCCAATGCATAGACCTCTAGGATTCTTACTCATCTCTAGTGACTTTCACGTCCTCTACACTCTCTTGTCACAGTCAGATTATTGTCTTCAACCAGAATATCTCTACCTTTTATCCTTTTATAATAGAATCATATTCTCCACACACTAATTCCAACCAACCATATTTCTAGTTTCTTTACTACTTTGTTTCTTTTCTCTCTTTTTTTTTTTGACAGAATCTCACTCTGTCGCCCAGGCTGAAGTGCAGTGGTGCCATCTCAGCTCACTGCAAGCTCGGTCTCCCAGGTTCACGCCATTCTACTGCCTCAGCCTCCTGAGTACCTGGGACTACAGGCATCCGCCACCACGCTCGGCTAATTTTTTGTATTTTTTTTAGTAGAGACAGGGTTTCACCATGTTAGCCAGGGTGGTCTCGATCTCCTGACCTTGTGATTTGCCCATCTCAGCCTCCCAAAGTGCTGGGATTACAGGCGTGAGCCACCGCACCCGGCCCTTTACTCCTTTGTTTAGAAAGTTTAGAAAACCTTTCTGCCTTTTATTTTCATTTACTCTGAGTTTAAAGACTTTCTCTTTCCAACCTAGACTTCATGGTCAATCACTCAAACAACTCTCCTACAAAAATTTTCAGATGCCAAAAATATTCACAGTTGCCTGAAGACTCTAGGTTTTCCTTTGCCTTATTTTCTTTGTCTTTGTTATTTCCACTGTTGGTACTTCTCCAAATTTTTTCCTGGTTAATTCATACTCATCCTTCAAGACTCAGTTGCATTCTAAGGGTTGCTTTCCTAGACATTTTGCCTCCTTCCTTCTCCCCCATTCTTCAGAAAATATCCTCCTTCTGTGCTCTTTTGGTACTCTGCTATTTCCATTCCAAAGTGCTTATCACACTGTATTAAATTTCCATTTAGCTGTCTGTCTCTCTCAATAGACTGCAAGATTCATGAGTTAAATATCTTGTCTGTCTCAACTTTAACTATATTCTTAATACCTAGATCTGTTCTTGGCACAATTTCAGTGCTCAGTAAATACTTAATAAATAAATCCTCAAAACAGCCATATCTTTCAAATTTTCATGCCTTTTTATTTTTCCCTCAGCTTATATTATATTTTGCCTCTATCCAGTTCTTCACCTGACTAAACCTCAGCCCAGGTTACACTTCTTCCATGAAGTCTTCTCTGATCTATCTACCTTTCTCTGGACTTCCATAACAACCTGTACATCATTATGTCATTTTTCATAAAATATTGTAGTCTAACTGTTGATGACAGACATTTTTTCTCCATAAAAGACAGTGAATTATAAAGAAGAAGGACTACAACTTATTTATATATATTCCGTCATGAACGAGAATGAGGTCCAGCCCAGAAGACCTTAATAAATGTTGATTTAAATGTATGCAAAATTATATTTTATCTGTATAAAGCCATTTATTTCATCCAATAACATAACTTTTGACCTCAATCAGATGATCCCAATTACCTATTTTCTCTCAACAGGCTCTGGGAAAACCCCAAAGGAATGGATTTATTCTTAAGTGAGACTCATAAACGTCTTGATCTGTGAACTTAGATGTTTCCTGCTGCTAATATTTAGTATACAGACATTTTCTGCCCATCCCATTCCCAAATATTTGACTAGATTATTAAATATCTACATTTCTGTGCCTCTTCTGTTTCTACAAATGTTAACATTTTTGACTGCCTAAGTTTTTGACTCCTCACTTGACTTTGTTATCTTGCCTGTCCACCTGATTTCTGAAACATCCTCTCTCTAGACGTTCACTCTTAACATGAAAGCCCTAAGCCCTTGACCTTGAATCCAGTTTGCAGTTAAATTTGCTTTTACTCAAACATCTGCAACAAATGCCTTTATTTTGGCAGAGACAGCATTATGTAGAAATTAATGCCATAAATATGTTTTTATATTAAAGAATGTCTTAAAACCTGATACCTTTGTGAGGATCTCTCTTACACCAGTCTCAATGGAAAGAACAGTTATCAAATTCTCTGATGCCAAGACCCCTGTGTTAGCTCTAGTGAGGAAGAGCTTCAAATCCTGCCAAATTCACCAGTGTTCCAAAAAATCCCATCTGGGACCCAGATGGAAGGCATGAGCCTATGATCACAGTCCCCGAGGGTTTTGGATATGATATGTGTCAGCTTTCTGTGCTAGAGATCAGTCTAGCACTGTCATGGCCTTTGCATAGATTTCACTAGAGAATTCCTGAGCAACAAGCAATATCAGACTTTTTTTTTTAAGGTGTAGGCTCTCAGGAGAATTGCCAAGATATTGTTAAAGATCTTAGTTCAAAGCTATCGGTTCTGTTTGATTCTGTCTTGAATCCCGCTTTCACAATCAGTTTGCTTTCACTCCATTTTGCCTCAGATAACTTTCTTGAATTGGACTAGGTACTGATTCTTCTGGCCTCTAAACTCAAGTTATTACCCCTGGTAGTTTCCACCTTTCCCTTAACCATAATCTGTCAGTCAGTTCATCAGAGAGAAGAGCAAAAGCCAAAAAGACAAGAGAATAGCTGTATCACCATGACCACCGCCAGCACACAACAACAAATGCTGTAGTGAGCTACGCAGAAGAAGGAAATGCAGAAGGAAATATAGGTTTGAAATATCAGTAATTGTAATAACTAAAAATGGATCAATTACTAGCAAGTATATAAAGCAAAGGAAAATCACCTAGGTATTTTTTACTAAATTATTTTTAATGGTACTAAGCACTATTTTTTTTTTTTTTACAAAAGTTATTCTGATTGCTCATCAAAATAATTGGTGAGGTTTTTCAGCATATGAGTAGGTGGTCATATCCAACCCATAGTCTCACTCAGTAGGTCAGGGATAAAGCCTCAAATCAAGTAGTAATGTGAGATAGATAGTGTGGTATAATATAAAGGTAATAGGGTTTGGAGTATGACATACCTGTCTTTGAACATCAGGTTGGTTACCTACTAGTTGGGTGTGATCTTGGACAAGTCATTGGATCTCAATAAATTTTAGCTTGCCAGTCTGTAAAATGTGGCATCTTATTGCCTATTTCAAAGAGCAAAACAAAAACAGTGGTTAAAATAAAATACAAGTATATTTTTCTCTCATGTTTATCTCTGTGACCCTCCAAGTCTTATGGGTCCATATATGACCACAGAGTCTACAAACACTGTAAAATGCTATGCAGAATGACATAGGTATGATTCATTCATTTATTTTCAATATAGGCTCCACCCTATTCTAAATGCTTAACATACATTAACTCAGTTCATCTTCACAAAAACTCTGTTACGTTTGCACCATTTTTATTATGCTTCTATTGCAAATGAGGTAACTGAATTGCAGAGAGATGAAGTAACTTCCTCAAGGTCATAGTGTCCTGGCAGAGCTGGGTTTCAAATTCAGGCAGTGCGTCTCTAGAGTCTACACACTTAAACTACTGCTGTATGCTACTCCTGCACTGCCTGTGGCTTGAATCCAGAACTTTAATGGGACTTTTAAAGGTTTCTGTGACATCAGATAGGGCTAAGAACTCAGTCTTGGGGGAAAGGACACATAGAAACTAATAAGTAGACTAATGTGACACATGCCATAATAAAGATTTATGGCTGGTGCTATATGAGGGAGCATTAACAAGACAATATTCAAGTATTACTGAATGAGTAGAAAAAGGGGAAAATAGAGAGAGCATTATTCTATCAACATTGAACACAAGTGTAAAATTTTAGTAAGTTTCCAAGGGTATTATTCTTGTGGCTTAGATAGAAGGACAGCATAAACATAGTCATGTGATTTTATTGATATGTAATTGACATTCCTAGGCTATTGTGGTGTTATTACAGTTTAACATTGGAAGCATTGGAGTTGGGAGGTCTGTGGTGTTAAAGACTGACTAAAATGAGCCACCAAGCTGTATGATCACCCATAATATCAGTTTTAACCCTGGCACCAGGCCCAAAAGCCTTCTACTCCCCAGGGTCTTAGCATATGTATTTCTCCTACAAGTTAAGGTTGTTACTCTATCAGACATTTTGGGTTATTCTCGGTTTATGTTGAGCTTGTATTCTACATTGTTGTTTTACTTTTCCATTTTTCATGTGTAAAACATTCTCACATACAGGAATAAAGCATGTGCATTGTGTAAGGATGTTGTTACTCTCTGTGAGGTTTACCCACGAATCAGGATATGACTTAGATTGACATTTTTCTTTTGTTATTTGTGTATGTGTAGCCTTATATGGGTACGTTTATACATTTAATGAACAGAAACAGCCCACATATTTTTGAATGTGGTAGCTTAGTAACACAACTCTGTTTTTGTAGTGAAATATATATACACATACATACAGAGAGAGAATATTCTTATTTCTAATAGATATTGAGAAATGAGTTTACATCAGTTTAACCTTATAATTTTTCTTCACATTTTTTCATTCTTTTTACCTGTTGTAAAACTATAATTTCTTTGTGATATAAAATTAAATAATTGTTCCCAACACAATTCAATAATTAACTTGGACCTTGCTTAGTAAATATTTTCAAAGATTATTTTATAAAGGACTGAGTTTGGTAGATTCCTCAATCTTGGAATTCTTTATCAAATAGAAAGTTTAGGTTCAAAATTAATATAGTTATTTTTTGACATGTTTCATTCATTCAAAAGGGATATCCTAGGCATTGATTGCATGTAGGGCAATAAGGAGAATAAAGGAAAACCTCTAAGAGTCTCAGACTCTTACAATCTAGTTGTGCTGTCAAGACAGACCCACATGTGAAATAGTTCAAGACTCACCTAGCATAGTACGTAATTAAATACAATCTTGGGTAAGAACCACAATGAGTGACCTGGGTTTTCATAGAGTGCAAAGGATTTCAAGAAACAGCGAGTGAAAGAAGTATAATTTGCCCTATCATTTAAAATTGGTAGGATTTGAACATGAACAGAAAAGAAAGGAAATTATTCCAAGTACTTGGGGTTGGGTAGGGGTGCATTGCTGCCTTTTAGTTGGCAAACCCACCCATGACCAAGGCTAGACCTTGGGCACCTAATAAAGAAATAACTTCTAACACTTTCATAGTCATTACCTACCAAACATTGTTCTAGGTCACCTAAATGGCAAACTCATTGAATCCTAATGATCTAATCTGATCATTAAACTGATAGATATAGAGGCTAATAACATGCCCAATTAACAACTAGAAAGTGGTAGAGCTGGGAGTCAAGCCCATATAGTCTGTCTTGAGAGTCTGTGCTCCTCCTAACTGTACCTCTGGCATTTCTCAGACTTTTTGGTCTCAGCATCTCAGTTCACTGACAAAAATATGTGAATGTCCCAAGGACCTTTTATTATTGTGAGTTATGCCCACCAATCATTTCCACATGAAAAATTAAACTGAAATAAAAATGCTTATTTATTAACTCACTGAAATTGAGAACAGATTCAGGTTGCCAGGAGCTATGCTTATTTATTAATTCATTGAATTAGCAGAAATACTGTTATTTGTGTTAATTTCTGAATTGGTTCTCAGAAATTGAGAACCGATTCAGGTTGCCAGGAGCTACAGCAGAGGAAGGGAAATGGGTGTGGCTATAAAAAGATCTCCATTTTTGTGGTTCTGCATATCCTACATCTTGATTGAATCCATGTCAATATCCTGGCTGTGATATGATACTACAGTTTTGCCAGATCATCAAGGTAAATGAGGTAAAGCATACACATCATCTTCCTTCATTATTTCTTACAACTCCTTTCATGTGAATATACAATAAATCATCTAAAAGTAAAAGTCTTAATTAAAATAGCTATAACAAAACCATTACATCCACACATGCAGAACATTTTAATGGAAAAATTACATTCTCCAAAAATAAATTATTGAGAAAAGTGCTATGGCTTCACATTATCACAAATCTCTTTAAGGCCCTGTTTGATAGATGGTCGGACCCTCATATCTGCTTCTACATTCAGCCTATTGCGATGTCACATGCCATGGAGCATTTGAAACACTTTACACTTGTTAAAGAAAAAGAATGCAAAAGGCATGGGAGATTTTAGTGTTATGGAAAAGCTTTGATTTCGTAGATCCTTTAGAAAGATCTCAGGGACCACCAGTCACCTCTAGACCACACTTTGAAAACAGATATCCTACACTATACTGTCTCTTGATATTAATGTTTGATGCTGGTGTAATATTAATTGTGCTAATATTTCTTCTTCAGCTTCAAGACAATTATTGCTAAGTTACTCCCCAAATCTCTGGTGAAGTGTTTGAATGCAGAACTTGTTTTGCAGCCTGACAGATCTAAAAGCTCCCAAATGAGCAGACAGTAAGCAAAACAAACTGTTCGAACTCTTGCAATTTGCTTGCTCCCTCCCTGCTGAAGATTTCTGGCTACCTTACTTCAAAGGGAACACAGTGTGAGGAGAGCATCTGTGGGAAGAAGATAGCAAGACGAATATGGCAACTAAAGAAACTTCGACTTGAAACGTTTTTGCAAAATGCCACGATACTTATGCACTGGGACATGGTGTCATTGGGATGGGTAAAAAGAAACCAGAACACTACAGTTGGCAATGATGTCAGAACACCTTAACCCATCTGAAGTCTTTTCTGCTGCTTTTTTCCTAATCTGCTCTTGTACCCTACCATTGGATAAAGTTAAAGAGAAAACTCTGACATTTGAAATAAGTCTGAATCAATCACCACTTTTAGCTTTGCAGTAGATTCAGTCTCAAACTTTACTACAAATGCTCACCACTAAATTGAGGAATTTTCTCTTTAGCTATGGCTAATATCAAAGCTAGGGAATTGACAATGTGCAATAAAATACTATAAGAGACTTCATGAATATATTAGATTTAAAACAAAACTGGATCAAATAAGCGTTAAACATTCAGCAGAGCTAATGGGAAAAAATCAATCAATTAATAGTATAAGAAACTTGAAGACCAGACGGAAGAAAAGACTCTGAAAGTTTAATTTTGTGGATGGAATTAAATCAAAACTGAACATAATTAATTTTTCCTTTGCATTTTATAACCCAAATAATTTCCCAAATCTAGTTTATATCTCTGAAACAGGTATTCCTATACTTCTCAATTTTCGTTTAACCTAGTTTAATAATAGCTACTGTTTATGGAGGACATAACATTTGTCAGGGACTTTAACACGCACTTTTTTACATTCTCTCTATTTTTCATAAAATTACTGAAGGAAAGCTGTCATTATTCCTATTTTATAGCTTGGAAAATTGAGGCTCAGAGCTATTAAGTGCCTTGACCAAGATCAGATGTGAGAACATAGAGGAAATAAGATTCAAGATTCAAGCCTGGACTGTTCATTTCCAAAGCCAAGGTATCGTGTTGCTTCCTCCTTACATTTGTGCATTTGGGATGACTTTGAACGGGGCTTTATACAATTTTATTAATTTATGCTAAAATTTCTAGCCTTTCTTGACTGTAAAGGTATAAATCATGAATGGCAAATAATGTTCTTATTTCCTTTGATGCTTTATGCTCTAAGATTTGACCTAGGTTTGTTTTAACTCCTTAACTTTTATCTGTGGGAAGTCCTTCAATTGCATTAATGAAAGGTCAGGCACACAAATTTTACCAAAGAGTACTATCTACGGCAGAAATACTTAAACATGCAAATAACAGCCATGCTTCCTAGTTTTCTAAGCCAAAATCCTGCCTAGCAATTAGTATGAAGTATATACTTCAAAGGAAAACACTTCCAGAGCTGTGGCAACATAATCGCTTACTAGGGCTGCCATAACAAAGTATTACAAACTGGGTGGGTTAAAACAACAGAAATCTACTCTCTTATTGTTTTGAAGGATAGAAGTCTGAAGCCAATGGATGGATTGGGTCCTCTTTCCTCTGAAAGGTCCTAGGGAAGGATTATTTTTTACCTCTTGTTAGCTCTCGCGATTGCTGGTAATCCTTAGCATTCCTTGACCTGCAGTTGTATCACTCTAGTCTTTGCCTTAGTTATCACATCTTCTTCCACCTGTGTGTCTCGGTGTCTTCATATGGCATTTTCCTCTGTGTGTGTCTGTATCCCAATTTCCCTCTTCTAATAGACACTAGTCAGTTGATTAGGGCCCACCCTAATCCCGATGAACAAATTCTGGGGAAACACTAATCAAACCACTATAGACAGCTCAGATAATTAAAGGAGAGAAGGCCTCAAGTGAAGGATTCCTATAGCATTTGTTTCTTGGAAGTTCCAGGAGTGGGCTCTAAGAACCTGGCTATCATTTCATAAATACTCTTCTTTGCAAAGAAAATTAATTGTTGAGTAATCCCCATGTCAATTTTTGTCACATCAAGATAATCACCCTGTCCTATACTCTTCCTGGGCACATGTCTTTATCTGAATAATTTTATTTGATTCTTAGTCCATTATTGTATCTCTCTCAACTAGAAAGTAAGTTGTTTGAAGGCCAAAAAGAGTACCTGGCACATAGACACTCGGTAAATGCTTGGTAAATGATTGGATGGATGCTGAGATGAATTCTGGCTTTTAAAACGTGACCTTGATTAGAGTGTTCACCCATGCTGTTCTTTCTACCTCCATTTACTAATTCGCCAAACACTGACTGATCATATGCTATTTACCACGTTCTACATTTAGCACTGAGGATACAATTGCAAGCAAAAGCAGATTTATATTCCCATATATCCTAGAACTTGCAGGTTAATATGGATTGATCATTGACACTCTAAAGGATTGCTCATAAACAAAATATTTGCAGGGCATCTGCAATACATCTAGATCTATGGTTGTATCATGGGTACATACATAATCATAAGACTTAGTCCTTGTCCATCTGCTGCTTAGAAACCACCTTTGAATACAAAACTAAAATAAAAGTTAAGAGCTAAATAATGTGAAATGGTGCCTACATTCAAAGTGACCAAAGAAAAATAGACATAGTCTTATTTGTTGGTGAAAATGGGACTGGAAGTTAATATTCTGACTAGGCAGAGGGGACATTCTGGGACTACAAATCTGACTTGGGCAATGGGATCAACTATACTTAAATGTCAAGTTAAGTAAGTCAAATATAATGATTTTACATATTTTGACTGAGCAAATGATATTTAAAAGGGAGTTATTTTAGAGATGATTCCGTGATGGTTTACAGAATAGAGTGAAGACAAAAACCAAGATCCATAATGATCCTAACAACCTGGACTGATAGGCTGAATAAAATAAACAAGATAAATTCTAAGAATAATAAATTAATTTTTTTATATTTAGATTGCTTACACGAAATAGATTTTCAATCAATGACTATAAGGTGAAATGGAGGAAACTCTTTGTCTGACAAAGTTAATCACAATATCCAGTGGTGTTCTCCAGTTGTCTTCTTAGCATCCAATGCAAGTAGCTGCTACAATAATAAAAAGTCAGATCTCAGAGTATTAAATTAATAATTCTTCTGTTATTGTGACTAGTCAGGCCACAGTTCAAAGACTGTTTATACCTGAGCTCTGCCTTTTAAAGGGCATGTACATATTGGAGTGCATCTAGATGAGAAAAGCCAGGATACTGTGTAATTGGGAAATTATAAGGGAAACGGTTAAAGAAAATGAACAAATATACTGTGAACAAGTATAAGTAAGGGTGATTATTATTATCAATATTCAAGAGGCATTATGTGGAAAAATAATAGATGTGTTGAGGGTTTTTCCAAAAATGTAGAGTTGTGTATGCAAAAGGGCATGGCCTCCAGAACCAGTCAGACATGAATTCCTGCTTCTACTATTATTAGCTGTCATAATTGAGATAAATTACTAAACTTACTTTAAGTTAGATTAGTTTCTTAATCTATAAATTAAATTAAAAAAGTGAGCATGCCTTTCTCCCTCACAGGGTTGTTGGATAATTAAAATAAATAATAAAATGAAACGAAACAAAACAAAAATAGGGAAAGCTATTACATTTAAGACAAAAACAAATATGAGGCAGATTTAGTCAACAAAGTAAGAATACTTGAGCAATCTGAGCTTATCCAAGTCCATACATCTATTCATTCATTCAAAAACAATTTTATAATCTCCAATGTGACTAGTACAATACTAGGCCCTAGTGATGCAACAGTAAATAAAGCAGACCAAGATGCTGCCTTGATAGAGCTAACATTCTAGCAATGGAAACAGACAATAAACAACCATATATAAAATATAATTCCAGGCAGTGATAAGTGCCATGAAGAAACTAAATAAGGGTAAAGGTCTCGGTGCTATAAGAACATTTTGGATTGTATGGTCAGCATAGGCTTCTAAGGAGATGACATTTGAACAGAGTTATAAATGAAGTGACAAAGTGAGCCAATGGAGTATCTGGGAGAGGTGCTTTAGCCAGAGAAAGACCTTCATGTGCATAAACCCTAAAATGGGAATAAGCTTCGTGTGTTGAGCAACAACAATAAGGACACTATGGCGAAAGCAGAGGAGTCAGTGAGGGCATGTTGATAGAAAAAGGTAAGGAAGATTGCCAGGGGCCAGATCATGCAGGGCTTTGTAAGCTGCTTAGGAGATTGTATTTTACTGTGAACAAAGTGTTGATGAGATATGATCTGATAAATATTTTAAAAATCTCAAGCTGTATATTTGGATGAGGGTAGCAAAGATCCCAAATAAGATAGTTGTTTATTTCTTTCTGAATTGAATGTGTGGGCTGGTGTCCTAGCTCTGCTCCATTAAATTGTCAGGACTGGTACGCGTGTGTGGTATTCTTTAGTGTCAAGGAACCAGGATCATTAAATCCTGTGGCTTTCACATACTTAGGAAGTTGCCTTCATCTTTGTAATTGACAACATTATGAACAAATTTTACAGAAACAAAGAGGTGAAGAGGTGATTAAATCTTCCTGAGAGACTAGAGGATATTTCAAAAAGCAAGAGATGATTTAGATTGGGCCTCTGAAGGTTAGAATTTCACAGGGTGGGGAATTAAGAAACAATTATACTTAGATGTATATCAGTGCATGGTGGGTGGGGAGAGAGACATCTATTATGGCCACAATAAAAGTTACATTAAGAAGTGATAGGAGACAAAGCAATATGCATTTTTTTTTTTTTAGTTTCTGTTATGTTTAAAGTTCCATGATAAGAAAAGCGATATAAATGATAAAGGGATAGTTTCAATAAAAACGGATTTAAGCATAATAGAGGACATATATGTGTGCATATCATTACAACAAAGTAAGGTATTCATCATTATGGAGACACAGAAGAGAGAGAGATTGTCTATCTTGTTTACGTGTTGCTTTTTTTTGTTTACATGCCTTGACCTGTTCACTTCTATGCACCTCACTAGAATGTGAGCTCCTTGAAAGCAGGGGTCATTTATTAACACATATTTATTGAGGTGACAAAAATTGTTTTAGGTGCTGGGATGTATCAGGAAATATAATTTCATTATTTTAAATATGTAAATTAATTTTTAAATTATATTGCCTTTTTTATTATTTAGGCTTTCCACATTGGAACATGAGAACAACCCCACTGGAACATCCTTTTAATCAAGTCACCTTTTATATGCCAAGGAAGCATTTTGAGTTTCTTCATGTAAATCCTAAATTTATTCCCAGATGTTCCAATGGATTTGTATATATTTTCTCTTTATAAAGGTACTCTAAATGTAATTGCTTTTTGAAAATTAATTATACTCATATAATCACACATTCATTCATTTAATAGTCAGTGACTTCTATGTTGTACCAGATACTTTTGTGGGTGGTATAGATACAGCAGTGAACAAAATAAAAAGAAAATATGTGCAGCTTACCTTCGTGGAGCTTATATTCTAGTAAGGTTCAGAAAAATATATTCAATGAATAGGTAAAACAGGGTGTGTGTACAGTGCATGTACAATGATATGCTTCAAGGAGCAAGAAAAAGGGAAGAGGGATAGAAGTGGCAGGTGTGCGTTTGTGTTCGGGGAGGCGGGAAGGATGTTGGTGAGAGTGGGAGTGTTTTATTTTTTATTTTATTTTATTTTTTTTATTTTTTTTCATTTTTTTATTTTTTTTTATTATTATACTTTAAGTTTTAGGGTACATGTGCACATTGTGCAGGTTAGTTACATAAGTATACATGTGCCATGCTGGTGTGCTGCACCCACTAACTCGTCATCTAGCATTAGGTATATCTCCCAATGCTATCCCTCCCCCCACCCCACAACAGTCCCCAGAGTGTGATGTTCCCCTTCCTGTGTCCATGTGATCTCATTGTTCAATTCCCACCTATGAGTGAGAATATGCGGTGTTTGGTTTTTTGTTCTTGCCATAGTTTACTGAGAATGATGGTTTCCAATTTCATCCATGTCCCTACAAAGGACATGAACTCATCATTTTTTATGGCTGCATAGTATTCCATGGTGTATATGTGCCACATTTTCTTAATCCGGTCTATCATTGTTGGACATTTGGGTTGGTTCCAAGTCTTTGCTATTGTGAATGATGCCGCAATAAACATACGTGTGCATGTGTCTTTATAGCAGCATGATTTATAATCCTTTGGGTATATGCCCAGTAATGGGATGGCTGGGTCAAATGGTATTTCTAGTTCTACATCCCTGAGGAATCTTTTGACCATATAATTTGGTTTTATTAACTTTAAGTAACAATTAAAAAATAGAAGGCCAGGCGTGGTGGATCACGCCTGTAATCCTAGCACTTCGGGAGGCCGAGACGGGAAGATTGCCTGAGCTCAGGAGCTGGAGACCAGCCTGGGCCACACAGTGAAACCTCCTCTCTACTCAAATACAAAAAGTTAGCCGGGCGTGGTTGTGTGCGCCTGTAGTCCCAGCTACTCAGGAGGCTGAGGCAGGAGAATTGCTTGAACCTGGGAGGCGGAAGTTGCAGTGAGCCAAGATCGCTCCACTGCACTCCAACCTGGGCGACAGAGCAAGACTCCATCTCCAAGAAAAATAAAAATAAAAAAAAGGTCTCATGGGAATTTTAAAATTGACTACAAAATAAATAACGAAGAAAACTGACAATAGAACAGGTCAAATGTTAAACAACCAGTATACAATACAATCAATTAACAAAGGTGATCAAAATTTAATTCTTTCATGCAATGTCTCAGCATTTTTTTCCAAACATAAAGCCAGATTAATTCAAATTAGCCCTCTTAAGAATATATATTAGTTCATACTTCCTTCTGAAATTAATATTTGGATGGAAAATATATTAATAACTTGTAGACTATACTACTGAAGTTCACGACTCCACCATGTGATGCTCACATTTAGACAAATGCTAGAATTATAACACACTACCTGGTGAGTATTTCAAAGGATAAACTACAGGTAAAATCTAAAAAGAAATAAATAATAAAAAATGTTTTCTAAAAATGATGTAGTAAATATAAATGAATTAACTCAATAGTACCTACTTACACATAAATTAAACAAAACAAGAAAAAACAACCTTCAGAAGATACAACTTCAGTCCTGATTTTACCATTTAACAGAAGCAAGATCTTAGCTGGTTCATTTTGTTCAAGGATGACTTGAAAATTTACAATACCACCTTAGCTCCCACGTATAAAACACACTTCAAGGGTTTTTTCATATGAACTAGAAGTCGGGGAAAACAAAATATGAGAAATAAAATGATGATAGGGCCCCTCACACATACTAAGACCCAGAACATGCCTAAATTTCCATTTTTTTATATTTTTTATTTAATTTATTTTTTTTAGACGGAGTCTCACTCTGTTGCCCAGGCTGGAGTATAGTGGCTTAATCTTGGCTCACTGCAAGCTCCTACAGGCGCCCACCACCACACCCGGCTAATTTTTTATATTTTTAGTAGAGATGGGGTTTCACCGTGTTAGCCAGGATGGTCTTGATCTCCTGACCTCGTGATACGCCCGCCTCAGTCTCCCAAAGTGCTGGGATTACAGGCGTGAGCCACTGCGCCTGGCCGAACAAGCCTAAATTTCCAATGATGTAAGTTAGAATCTTCTTGCCCTGAAAGATACCCCTTTATCTTTTATCCAACTCTTACCCATAGTACTCTACCTCATGTGGGGCATGGAATCTCATGACACTCTACCTAGACTACAGGATAAATAAATAACAACCTGTCTTTTATGTGGTACCACCCGACTAATACCTAAGTATGCACAGGATTGATTTTAAAGTTGAAAAAACAGTATTTCAATTCATTAAAGAAAGTAAAACTTAGAAATTACATGCTTAGTCTACACGAGTTTAATTACTTTAGTTATTTAGTAAATTTCAAATTAATTCCCGTTGGTGGTCAATAGAATACTTTGTATTTGGTGTAGAAACCAAATAAACTAGGCTAGTACCTTGACAGGACAAACAATGTTTGTGGTTGTAAAGCAAAAATTTTATATACAAATTAGTTAAGTAAACTTTAAAATCTGTTTGGAGCAGTGGGCTGCATCTTTCAACTGCCTGCGCTAGGATGTGAATGTTTAATCCTACTGGCCCAAGCTCACTAGAGGGTTGCCACTCACTTTAAAGCCAAGACTACCACTGTCACTGCAATCCCACAAAAGCGAAAACTGGACAAGCTCTTTTAAAAGAATTTGAGTAGCTTTTGTCTTAAAATTTCTCTCTTTCTAGGTGATACCACTAGCATTATAAATCAACGGTATTGATTGTGAGGTAACTATACAGTTTTAAGATGCTGTTAATGAACACTATGGACAATTGATGGTGTAGCGAGTTGATACACTTCAGCTGTTTTCTTTTCGATTAGAGGAAAAAAAATCAGCAAAATAACAGCATATATTAAGCTTATTTAGAAGTCGGCATCCAAAGTAAAAGAATTATCTATCGCACTTGATATCACTGTCATCTTTTGATACTCACCTACTCTCTTCTCAAAGAACTTAATCTTTCCTTGCAGTGAAATACTCTCCATTAAGTCTTAAAACCCAGTTCCAACATAAGTCTGTCGGCCACAAACTCAATGTATTACTTCATTAAAGTGCAGTTCATCCTAATGAGCTTCACTGGCAAGTCCTCAGTGAGGAACTCATGTTCTATCCTAGCAGCTTTGATAATTACTTACTTTACTATCTGCTTTGATGGTCTGTCATGATATTTGGAAAATGTAAAAGAAAGTAGAGGTTTCTTTCTGGATGGCCCAGGAGGTGGACCTGTCCAAGGACATTTGGCACTGGGAAGCCCTGAAGCCTGAGTAAAGATATTTTATATCCCATATTCTGGCTTTCTTTGCAGCATGTGATGGGATAATAGATGAAAACTTGGTGGAACAATTTGTTCAAGAAGTTCAGATTACAGAAACCTTCTGCTTCTATGGCTTCCAAATTGCTATAGAAAACATACATTCTGAAATAAATAATCTCCTTATTGACACATATTAAAGATAACAAAGAAAGGGAATTTCTCTTCAGTGCCATTGAAACGATGCCTGTGTCAAGAAGAAGGCAGGTTGGGTCTTGTGTTGGATTGGGAACAAAGACGTTACCCATGGAGAACGTGTTGCATGCAGCCTTTGCCCTGGTGGAAAGCACCTTCTTTTCTGGTTCTTTTGCATTGATATTCTGGCTCAAGAAACAAGGACTGATGCCTGGCCTCACATTTTCCAATGAACTTATTAGCAGTGATGAGGGTTTACACTGTTACTTTGCTTGCCTGAGTGGGTGTGTTTTAAAGTTAGTCAGTAATGCCTTCTTGAGTAGAAAATATTTGGGCAATGACTTAAAGAATGTGAGAGAGTCAACAATTTGAATAATATCTAAGGGAGGAAGAGTGTTTTTAACAGAGGGAACAGCAAGTGGTGTCTCCAGACAAAGGTTTGACTGGTCATTTCAATAAATAGCAAGAAGGCCATTGTGTCTTATGCTGAGTGGGGATGAAGTGGGAAGCTGTAAGGGATATGGACAGTGAAAAATTTATGGCAAAATTCTAAGGGCCTTAAAAGCTATTGTAGAAAACTTTGGTTATTTTGTTGAGATGGGTAGCCAGAAGAGAAATCTGAGCAGAAGAATTACATGAACGTATGTTCATTTGTAAAGGATCACCTGGCTAATGTGCTGAGAATAGACATTGGAGAGAGTTTTAAGTACAGAAGCAGGGTGACATTAGAGATGCTATTGCAATAATCCAAGAAAGAGAGGATAGTGTCTTGGTCTAGGCTGGTAACAGTGGAGATGATGATAAGTGGCCATATTATGTATATGATTTGAAGCCAGAGACAATAAAATCAGCTGATGGATTAGATGTGAGATACTAAAGAAAGAATGAAATCAAATATGAATGCCTCCCAGGAGTTTGGACTGAATTATTAGAAGAATAGTATTGCAATTACTTGTAATAGCCAAGTTGGGGGAAGGATCTTATTGGGCAGGAAATTTCTGGGGTTTGATTCAAGATAATACTTGGGTTCTCTCATCATTACCTTTACAGTGCAAAGGAAGATAATCATTAAATGATTTGTAAAACGCTTGTAAAATGAAACTGAATGTGCAGGAATTCATGAATGTATTAACGAATCAGACAATAAACAAGAGTATGTGCCCTAGGCTTTGCTGTAATTCATGAGTGTTAACTGATCCACATCATGAGCCAGAGTCAGATGATACATCTGGGTATGACGAAAATAGCAGAAAGATTAAACAAAAAGTTGAGACCATAACCAAGCCCAGTAGAGTTTGTCATTGACAACATATCAAATCAAGAGACAGTTAAAAGAGAAAACCAAGAGCTCACAGTAGAAATGTTGCATATGAGTGTATGAGCAGTGAAGCAGTAACAACAACAGCATGTGAAAGAATGATACAAAATTACCATCCCACAGATGTGGTTTGACCTTCAAGGATACTTTTGATGTGCCATAGAAATAATTTCAGCTGTTACACTGTAAGACAGCTAAAATGGAGGTAAAATTCCGAGAATTAAAAAAAAGAAACAGAAAAACACAGGAAATCAGTATACTGAAGAGATATCTGTACTCTCATGTTAGTTGTGGCACTGTTCACAGTAGCCAAGATTTGATGGATTACTATTCATCCAGAGTATATCATCCTCTTCAGAAGCCTCATCTATTTGTTTCAGGTGGTAGAACATCATGGTGAGGATTTGTAGCATGAAAATTTCTAGAGACCATTGGTCTGGGCTGGGCAAATATTTTTTAAGACCTCACAAGTACAGGAAATTGAAGCAAAACTGGACAAATGGGATCACATCAAGTTAAAAAGTGTCTGCAAAGGCAAGGAAACAATAAGCAAAATGAAGAGACAACACACAGAATGGGAGAAAATATTTGCAAACAACACATCTGACAAAGAATTAATTACCAGAACATATAAGGAACTCAAACAACTCATTACAAAAAAAGAAAACAAATCTGATTAAAAATAGGTAAAAGATCTGAAGAAGCATTTATCAATAAAGAACATAGAAATGGTGAAAAGGTATATAAAAATGTTCAAGATCACTAATCATCAGAGAAGTGCTACAACGAGATATCCTGTCACTCTAGTTAAAATGGCTTTTATCACAAAGGCAATAACAGATGCTGGTGAGGATGGGGAGAAAAGGGAAACCTCGTACACTATTGGTGGGAATGTAAATTAGTACAACCACTATGAAGGACACTTTGGAGGTTCCTCAAAATAATAAAACTAGAGCTATCGTATGATCCTGAAATCCCACTGCTGGGTATATACCCAAAAGAAAGGAAATCAGTATATTGAAAAGATATCCGCACTCCTGTGTTGGTTGCAGCACTGTTCAAAATAGCCAAGATTTGAAAGCAACCAAAGTCTCCATCAACAGATGATGAATGGATAAAGAAAATGTGGTACATATACACAATGGAGTACTATTCAGCCACAGAAAAGAATGAGATCCAGTTATTTACAACAACATGGATGGCATTGGATATCATTATGTTAAGTTAAATAAGCCAGGTACAGAAAGACAAATGTTGGATGTTCTCAGTTACTTGTGGGGTCTAAAAAAAAAAAAAAACTATTGAACTCATGGAGATAGAGAGTAGAAGGATGGCTACCAGAGGCTGGGAAGGGTAGTGGGGGCTGTTAATGAGTACAAAAAAATAGTTAGATAGGATGAAAAACACCTACTATCTGATAGCAAAACAGAGTGACTACAGTCATTAATAGCTTAATTGTACATTTTAAATTAACTTAAAGTTTGCAATTAGATTGCTTGTAACACAAAGGATAAATGCTTGAGGGTGTGAATGCCCAATCTTCCATGATGTGATTATAATGCGCTGCATGGCTATATCAATACATCTTATATACCCCATAAATATATACATCTACTAGGTACCCACACAAATTATAAATAACAAATTTACAAAAAATAGAAAATTAAAAAACACATTCTCAAAATCATCAAAAGCTATTGACTGTTGCTACTGCTTATTGTGTGAAAAAGATCTTCGTGGTAAAATAAATGGGCTAACCTTTAGAAAATCAGGCAATAACAAAAGCTGGAGAGGATGTAGAGAAAAGGGAATCCTCATATACTGTTAGCAGGAATGTAAATTAGTACAGCCACTATGGAAAACAATATGCAGGTTTCGCAAAAAACTAAAAAGAAAACCATATGGGCCAGGCACGATGGCTCACGCCTGTAATCCCAGCACTTTGGGAGGCCGAGGCGGGCTGATCACAAGGTCAGGAGATCGAGACCATCCTGGCTAACACGATGAAACCCCATCCCTACTAAAAATACAAAAAAGTTAGCCGGGCGTGGTGGCGGGCACCTGTAGTCCCAGCTACTCGGGAGGCTGAGACAGGAGAATGGCGTGAACCCGGGAGGCGGAGCTTGCAGTGAGCCGAGAGTGTGCCACTGCACTCCAACCTGGGCGACACAGTAAGACTGCGTCTCAAAAAAAAAAAAAAAAAAAAAGCAAAAAAAACAAACAACAACAACAACAACAACAAAAACATATGATTCAGCAGTCCTACTGCTAGGTATATGCCTAGATGAAATCAATATATTGAAAAGGTATCTGTACTCTCATGTCTGTTGTGGCATTATTCACAATAGCTAAGATAATGAAAGCAAACTAAGCATTCACCGATGGATGAATGGATGAAGAAAATGTTATATCTATACATACATACATACATATATATATATATATATATATATATATATATATGAACATCATTCAGCCATAAAATGATACATAACAAGATGATAATAAAAATAATATAATCCTGTCATTTGCAAATACATGAACAGTACTGGCAGTCATTATGTTAAGTGAAATAAGTCTGGCACAGAAAGACAAATATTGCATGTTCTCATTCATACATGGGAGATTTAAAAAAACGAACTCATGGAGATAGAGGATGAAATAATGGTTACTGGAGCTGGGAAGAGTGGTAGGTAATGGAGGATAAAGAGTGGTTGGTTAATGGATACAAAGATACAGTTAGATAGAAGGAATAAGATATAATGTTTGGTAGCACAATAGGGTGACTATAGTTAACAATCATTTATCATACATTTAAAAATAAATAGACAAATGGGATTGGAATGTATCTAACAAAAATAAGTGATAAATGTTTAAAGTGATTCATATCTCAGTAACCCTGATTTGATATTACATATTGTATGACTACATCAAAATATCCCATGTACCTCATAAATATGTACAACTAATATGAATGCATAAATATAAAAGTTAATAATCAAGAAATAATATTTCTTACCTCAAAGTGTTGTTGTAAGGCTTATGTGTTGAAAATGATAACTATCATTTTATATTTCTATTCAGCATAAAACTTGCAAATATTGCTGAGTTTAGTTATTTAACTTTGGAATAGGTACTGTAGTACAGCTCCAACAAGCAGATATTAACTGCAAAAGGCAAGAGTGTGTAGGTTAAGAAGAATAAAAAAGTTAAAGTTAACCCCAAGGAAAAAGAAAAAGGCTTCTGTTATTTGCACCCTTTCTTTCAGCATTAATCAAATATTATTTTTAATTCAGGTACGATAAATAGTTTTAATATGTTGAATGGGGAGTCTGTGTGACTGTCTGTGAGGATATTTGTGTATATCTTGAGTTCTAGTAAGTACCTGATGTTATCCACAATATTTTAGGCAAGTCACTTTAATTCTTAACCTCTATGAGTATCAATTTATTCAACAATGTAATTAATTGACCTAATTATTATCAGTTATCTAAGTATTTCGGGTTTTTTGTTTTTGTTTGTTTGTTTTTGACAGAGTCTCACTCCCTTGCCCAGGCTGAAGTGCAATGGCACGATCTCGGCTCACTGCAGCCTCCACCTCCTAGGTTCAAGCAGTTCACCTGCCTTAGCCTTGCGAGTAGTTGGGATTACAGACATGCACCACCATGCTTAGCTAATTGTTTGTATTTCTAGTAGAGACAGGGTTTCTCTATGTTGACCAGGCTGGTCTTGAACTCCTGGCCAGTTATCCAAATATTGCTAAGATTTCTTCTTCTAAACATTCCATGATGATATGATTTAAATGAATAGGGCCCAATGTGTCTTAGAATGACAGGATCACAGTTTTAAAAAATCTAAATGACTAGACTAGCACTATGTTTTTATTTCTTTGTTATTTCCTTTTTCTCTAGAGATGGTGACATGGATTCTCCTTTGAGAGAAGGAAATATCTTTGTTCTAGGGTAAGATAAAAAAATGAATGATCCTTTTAGTTTTGCAAAATTAAAACTAGATCTCATTATAAAATGGAATGCCAAAGTGTCTGGATAATACAGAAATAGCAAGGTAACATCTATGCAGCTCATAAAACTAAATTGATTATATCTAATCTCGAGGATTTGGGACGAGGTTAGTAAAGTAGGCGAACCATAATAAGACCTACAGGAAAATGTTGGCAGGCCAGGGGATAAGATGAGAAGAGGAACGTAAGATTACTTGGCTGGACTCTATGAGCAAATATAGGTAACATGCAGTTTTAGGACAGTTTATGAAGAGTAATTTATTTGTGTTATACTCAGTTCTGCAGTAGATATTGTTAAATATTATAATCTGGTCTTAGCTATAACACTGGTAAATTGAGACAAGGATTTATGCCCATTCAAGTTTCAAGGCAGTAAAGGGGATAGCAATAGATACCAGAAGGCGTACTGTTATTAGATAGCTTAAAAATTATATGTAAATTAAAATCAGGTAAATTTCAACAAAGAAAAGACCAGAAATGAGTGAATTATTCCAAACACTTAAAGAACATCTAATACCAATTCTTCAAAAACTTTTCCAAAAAATAGAACATGGAACACTTCTCACTCCATGAGGCCAATGTTATTTTGATACCAAAGCCAGATGAAGACATCAAAAGAAAAGAAAACTTGAGATGAATATCCATTTTGAATATGTGTAACAAATCCTAAATTACACAGTAGCAAACTACATTCAGCAATAAATAAAAATAATTATGTATAGTGACCAAGTAAGATTTAGCCCAGAAATTCAAGGTTGGTTTAATATCCATAATTCAAATAGTGTAATACAGCATATTAAAAGAACAAAGAACAGGAATTATATCATCATCTCAATAGATGTAAAAAATATATTTAATGATATCCATTTTTTGTTTAAAAAATACTAAACAAACTAGGAATAGAAAGAAACTTCCTCAACCTAACAAAGGGAATCTACAAAAAACTCAAATATAACATCATACCTAATGATGAAAGAATGCAAGTTTTTTCCCCTAAAAACAAGGAAAAAATGAAGATGTTTGTGTTCACCACTTCTATTCAAAATTGTACTGGAAATAATAGCCAGGAATATTTAAAAATATAAAAGGTACCCGTATTGGAAAGTAGTAATTGCAAATATCTTTTAATTTACATATGACATGAGCTGTATATAAAAAATCCTTAGCAATCCAAAAAGAAGCAGTTCAACCAGGTTGCAGAAAACAAGATTGATGTAGAAAAACCAATGATATTTCTCTATACCAGTAAAAATGTAAAAAATGAAATTAAGAAATAATTTTATTTACAATCAAATACCTAAAATAAACTTAACAAGAGAAGTGTAAAGCCTATACACTGAAAACTATAAAACATCATTAAAATAAATTGAAGAGGGTAACTTTGAATAGAAAAATATTCCATGTGCATGGTCCAGAAGATTTAATATTATTCACATGGCAATACTCTTCCAGTGGATCTACACATTTAACACAATCCATATCAAAACCCGAGCTGGCTTTTTTTTTTTTTTCAGAAAATGATAAGCTGATCTTAAAAATCATATAAACATGTAAGCAATCCATAAAAGCCAAAAGAATCTTCAAAAAGAGTAACAAACATAGAGGACTCATACTTCCTCATTTCAAAAGTTATTATAAAACTACAGTAATCAAGATATTGCAGTACTAGCATAAGAAGTTTCAATACAGATATACATATACATATACATGTATAATCAACTGAATAGAATTTAGTGTCCAGAAATAAAATCTCACATTTATAGTAAACTGAATTTTAATAAAAATGCCAAGATAATTTAATGGGAAAAATATTATCTTCAATAAATAGTATTATAGCAAGTGAATATCCAAATGCAAAAGAATGAATTTAGACCTTTACCTCAAACCATATAAAAAATAACTCAAGGCCAGGTGCAGTGGCTCATGCCTGTAATCCCAGCACTTTGGGAGGCTGATGTGGATGGATCACTTGAGGTCGGGAGTTCGAGACCAGCCTGGCCAACATGGTGAAACCCCATCTCTACTAAAAATACAAAAAATTAGTGGGCCATGGTGGCGGGTGCCTGTGATCCCAGCTACTCGGGAGGCTGAGGCAGGAGAATTGCTTGAACCTGGGAGGTGGAGGTTGCAGGGAGCTGAGATTGAGCCACTGCACTCTAGCCTGGGTAACAGAGTGACTCTGCCAAAAAAAAAAAAAAAAAACTCAAAATGGATAAGAAACCGAATGTAAGAACTAAAACTATGAAATCCTTAGAAATTAACATAAGTGTAAATCTTCATGACCATAAATTAGGCAAAGACTTATTAGATATGATCCCAAAAGCACAAGCAAAATCATAGATGAATTGAATTGGACATTATAAATAGTAAAAACATATTTCTTTCAGAAAACATCATCAAGAAAATGAGAAGACAACCCACAGAATGAGAGAGTATGCTTGCAAAGATATATCTGCTAAGAACTCTTATAGCTCAATGTTAAATAGACAAAAAATAACCAATTAAAAAATAAGGAATGTATCTGAGTAGACATTTCTGTCAAGAAATTGTCAATAAGCATATTAAAAATGCTTCACGTTATCAGCTGTTAAAGAAATGAAAGTCAAGACCGTCACACTACTAGGATGGCTGTAATTAAAAGTAGACATTAAAATTAAAATATTGATGAGGATGTGAAGAAACTGGAACCCTCATACACTGCTGGTGTGGATGTAAAATCACACAGCCACCATGAAAAACAGTTTGGCAGTTCCTCAAAAAGTTACACATAGAGTTACCATGTAACCCAATAATAATACTCCCAGGTATACATCCAAAAATATTTTATTAAATAACTCTATTGGTTGAAAAATGGTTAGTTTTTCCAGTTTAAGGTGAAAGTAAAATCATTTAATGTTTTGCTTCCCTAGACTAGTTGATCTTTATACAGAGGCACAGGTTCACAGTATAAAGACAAAATAAGCTTTAGAACTATTGCTAATATCTTTTCAAAACCCAGTGGGTAAGAGCCGCAACCCAAAGCACACTACCTCTCCACAGAGTACATGATATATATTGTAGATATTGGGATGTGTTTTCTTTCTTTTTGAGGTGGAGTCTTGCTCTGTCGCCCAGGCTGGAGTGCAGTGGCGTGATCTCACTGCGACCTCTGCCACCTGTGTTCAAGCTTTTCTCCTGCCTCAGCCTCCCATATAGCTGGGACTACAGGCACGCACCACCACGCCCAGTTAATTTTTGCATTTTTAGTAGAGACGGGGTTTCGCCATGTTGGCTAGGCTGGTCTTGAACTCCTGACCTCAGGTGATCAGCCCGCCTCGGCCTCCCAAAGTGCTAGGATTACAGACATGGGGATCTGTTTTCTTATAAAAAGTCTTGGATGTTTTCTTCTTTGGCCAAATGAGAGCCAGCATTTCTGATACGAGATATGAACATTTGTACTAACATCAGCACAAGCCTTGTGTCTGTCTTACTGCCTAAAGAAAAACAAGAGAGTATGCCACTGAGGTCTCAACTTCTTATAAAGTCAGTTGAATGTAGTCCTCTTGTTGAAAATAGAAAGGGGAGAAAGAAAAAGAGCAGACAAATTATTCTGATTATGACCCGCTTGTAATTTCCAAGCATATCCTCATGGCCAGACATCCAAGGATTGAGCCACAATAGGCAAAAATAGCTCACCAGTTCTCTAAATACACAGAGCTAGATTCTAACCAGACATTTACATTTTAACCACAATATTACATTCTAAATTCAAATTGTTTGATTCGACTAAGTTGCATTCACCAATGTTATATCTTAGAAGTAGATGATGTAATTACTCTAGAAAATAGCCTAGTGACACAATGACCAAAGAATGAAAGTTTTGACTCCAGTGTGTGTGTGTGTATGTGTGTGTGTGTGTGTGTGTGTGTGTGTGTGTGTGTGTGTGTGTGTTGTCCTGTAGGGTTCGTGACCTAAGATTGGGAATTTTTCTCAGAAATTACTTACCAAGAGTTTACCACAAATGGACACATGTGGAGTGGGGGAGAGAGAGTGTAATAATATCTGTCCTTAGATTTATTAGTAAAAATTTAGGGTCATAATATAAACCCTACAGTTAATTTTAAATACTATGGTTTTATTTTCTCCATATGCAGCCTCTGATAAAGAAATAGGGATATATTATTTAGAGGAGTCAGACATTCTTCAAACTAAGTGAATTTATGGGAAGCAGAATAGAAAGATCTCTAATCTGACTGCAAGTCCAAAAATATGAAGGCACATTAGGAAGATCACATGCCTGGATTCCCTTCCTTTATAGAAACAACAAATAATGTGTTTGATATTAGTGTACATGGAGAATAGCATTAGATACGGTGGTTATCCAAGAAATCTCAGCACAGAAATCTCTAGTATAAGGCTTGATGACCCAAACCGAACAGGCTATTTACTACCTTTACTACTGGCTGTATAATTTCAATTATTGAACTGACTGGCTAAACAAGCATTACTGTACAGCTGAAAAACCCTAAAGAAATTACAGACAGGCTATTAAACTATGATTTATGAAATCAGCTTTTGTTCAGCCAAGTGATTAGAATTTAATAAGTTGGCCTACTTAGCTCTGAATTGGCCACAACCACTCAGAAGAAAAAACAATTTTATGATAAATAAGCTTATGCAAGGATTCATATCTCATATCCTAATAGGCCATTTACTCAATTATAAAACAGTTCTTCAAATTTCAGTGATAGGTACTTCAGGGAAAATAAAATAGTGTAAAATGTGGGCCCTGACCTCAGGAAGCTTATTTGGTTTAACATGTGACCCAACTGTGTACACCAATACTTACATCACAGCGCACCATTGTGGCATGAATACAACACTGTGGAGGTCAGATGTGGACAAAAATTCTGTCATCTGAGAAGCTAAAAGAATATTTCAAAAAAAGTAGCACTTTATTAGGCTTTAATAGTGTGTCTTGTTTGGGTATAAAGGAACTGAGAGTTGCATAAAATATACATGGAATAGAAGACTAGGCAACTCTATTAAAGTCCACTAAGAAGAGTACAGGTAAATAAAACCGGATTTAGAAAATATAGGGTCAGATACTGAACAATAGAGATGTGACTTCTGAAGTGGGAATATCACAATATGTGGTGGCTAATAGTTTTAATTGGATTTAATTAACCAAATACTTGTCAGGTGCCTAATATGTGCCAGATGCAGGGAATTATGGGGCAGAAATAGTTAAGGCAAGGAAAGAAAATAGACAATTGTTATAGTCAAGGTGTGTGGTAATGAGGATCAGCATGAGGGTGCAAATTAGAGAAGTCAAAGATTGAAAAAAAAGGCCAGGCACATTGGCTCATGCTTATAATCTCAGCATTTTGGGAGGCCAAGGTGGGCAGACCACTTGAGCCCAGGAGTTCCAGACTAGCCTTGCCAACATGGCAAAACCCCATCACTACAAACACAGAAAAACAACCAACCAACCAAAAAATAACCCAGGTGTGGTGGCACTTTCCTGTAGTCCTCCCAGCTACTCAGGAGGCTGAGGTGGGAGGATCACCTGAGCCTGGGATGTCAAGGCTACAGTAAATCAGGAAGAGTTCATGTCCTTTTCAGGGACATAGATGAAGTTGGAAACCATCATACTCAGCAAACTAACACAGGAACAGAAAACCAAACACCACATGTTCTCACTCATAAGTGGAAGTTGAACAATGAGAACACATGGACACAGGGAGGGGAACATCACCCACCGGGGCCTGTTGGGGGGTGGGGGTCTGGGGGAGGGATAGCATTAGGAGAAATACCTAAGGTAGATGACAGGTTGATTAGTGCAGCAAACCACCATGGCACGTGTATACCTATGTAACAAACCTGCACGTTCTGCATATGTATCCCAGAACGTAAAGTATAATTTAAAAAAAAAACACAGAAACCCCATTACTGAGTATATACCCAAAGAAATAGAAATCATTCTATTACAAGGACACATGCATGCACATATTCACTGCAACACTATTCACAATAGCAAAGACGTGGAATCAACATAAATGTCCATCAACGATAGACTAGATAAACAAAATATGGAGGTTGCCTACTTTTCTCCAATTTTTTGTCAGATTGTTAGGGAAACTTGGTTCTATGGGTTGCATTGTATCTGCCCAAAAATGATATGGTGAAGTCATAACTCACTCCTAGTACTTCAGAATGTGAGCTTATTTAAAAAGAGGATCTGTTTAAGTATTATTAGTTAAGATGAGGTCTTACTGGAGTAGAGATGGCCCATAATCTAAAATGACTGACTTCCTCATAAAAAGACTGCCGTGTGAAGACACAGACATACACAAAGAGAATGCTATGTGTTGATAAAAACAGATATGGGAGTTATATAACTGCAAGCAAAGAAACATCAAAATTTGCCAGCAAACTACCAGAGACTAAAACCAGAGACGGAAGGAAAAATCCCCATTGTTTAAAAAGTGTGTGGCGATTCCTCAGGGATATAGAACTAGAAATACCATTTGACCCAGCCATCCCGTTACTGGGTATATACCCAAAGGATTACAGATCATGCTGCTATAAAGACACAAGCACACGTATGTTTATTGCGGCACTATTCACAATAGCAAAGACTTGGAACCAACCAACCCAAATGTCCAACAATGATAGACTGGATTAAGAAAATGTGGCATATATACACCATGGAATACTATGCGGCCATAAAAAATGATGAGTTCATGTCCTTTGTAGGGACATGGGTGAAGCTGGAAACCATCATTCTCAGCAAACTATTGCAAGGACAAAATCCAAACACGGCGTGTTCTCACTCATAGGTGGGAATTGAACAATGAGAACACATGGACACAGGAAGGGGAACATCACACACCAGGGCCTGTTGTGGGGTGGGGGGAGAGGGGAGAGATAGCATTAGGAGACATACCTAATGTTAAATGACGAGTTACTGGGTGCAGCACACCAACATGGCACATGTGTACATATGTAACAAACGTGCACGTTGTGCACACGTACCCTAAAATTTAAAGTATTAAAAAAAAAAGTACCATGGCTTCTGACACCTTGGTTTTGGACTGGTAGCCTCCAGAACTGTGAGACAATAATTTTGTTTGTTTTAAGCCTCCCACTTTATGGTACTCTGTTACACTAGTCCTAGTAAACTAATACACCTGGTAACTCTACCATTAAAACACATTCATGATTTAATAACCTTTCATCATCTGCATTGCTAAGTCCTTTATCTAATGGGTTTCATATAAGCTTTTTTGATAAATATAATATACTCCTGGAAACCATGCATCTACATGAAAAACCATTGAATTTCTAAAATAGTATTAATTTAAATAGTAAAATAATTATGCATTCTACGCCAGCCAAAAATATCTCAACATTTATCACAGAATAAATAAAAGCTGAGCAATGAAATTCAAGTTCATGTAAGTAATGCATACAAATTTCAATTTAAATGAAGATTTTATACGTTAAGTGTGATGCAGTGAGGATTTACTATACTCACCAAGGGAAGAAGAAAAGACGTGATAGTGGGTGGTGATTGGTTGAGAAGGAGAGGCACAATATGTCTTTAGAAAGTGGTGAGAACTCAGATGACTGACCTTCAGGTAGGCATTTAATATCTTCTTATACCCAGTAGGGTGAGCTAATCCCAAAGAGAGGTAAATATTTTCTTTCCACATCTTTTCAAGCCTCTTCATCACAACCATATTTTACTTAATGCCTAAAGCTTTTCTCATTCATTTTATTTTTTTCCTGTGCTATTTATTCACCAAGTTTTCAAACATTTGGGAATTTATAGTATTCTTGCACTATAATTGTATTAAAAATAAAGTTACAATATAGAATAACATTTTAGGTTGAAATGGAGGTTGAACATGGGGGCACTTTCAATTCCATGGAAATAGTTAATGTGCACAATAGACTAAAGAATAACAAAATATGCTATATTTTCATCCCACTCATGTGGTATGCCTACACCAAGTAAAAGTTTTTAGGTTCATCCAAATATGATACACAACTCAAATGTATTCCACATGACATATGCTGACTAGAAACTGTTGGATTGACTAAATGAGTATATCCTTCCCTTGAAATCAAATGGCAAAAATGCCATTTCTTATGTACTTATTTATTGTGTTATTTGTGAAAATTCTTTATGTTTCTGCCTCATACTCCCCACTGCCTCTCCCAAAAAAGCTTACCTGAAATGTGCTGCACACTTTTTAAGGGTTTTTTTTTTTTTTTTTGGCTTTTTTTTCTTTTTTGAGACAGAGTCTCGCTCTGTCGCCCAGGCTGGAGTGCAGTGGCAGGATCTCAGCTCACTGCAAGCACCGCCTCCCGGGTTCATGCCATTCTCCTGCCTCAGCCTCCCGAGTAGCTGGGACTACAGGTGCCCACCACCACGCCCGGCTGATTTTTGTATTTTTAGCAGAGACGGGGTTTCACCGTGTTAGCCAGGATGGTCTCGACCTCCTGACCTCGTGATCCACCCGCCTCGGCCTCCCAAAGTGCTGGGATTACAGGCGTGAGCCACCGCACCCGGCCTTAAGGGTTCTTAAGGCAAAATCGTGAACTGACTGTTATTACGTTAGCTAAATCTGTTTTGTTCAGTGTCACTCACATCATGTGACTCTAAATATTTCTTCTTTCTGACAATGTCTTGCATATCTCTACCCTTTAAAGGTCTATAGGTATTTTAAGAGTTCTCTAGTCAATAGCTTTTTTTTTTTTCCTTTTTCCTTTTTCCTTTTTCTTTTTTTTTTTTTTTTTTTTTTTAGCAGAGAGTACAGTTCTTCTTAGAAAATTATTAGATCAGATTAGGGAGATTTCAAAATATTTATCACCTTTTAATTTCTTTAAAGAAATTCTAATCAGACTGAATATCACCAAGATCATAGGCATGAAGGCTTTGAATTAATATGTTCTACTTGCACAGGAAAATATATCAGTTCATTTGAGTGAGGGTACTGTCTCAGACCCCATGCTCTATTGGGCAATCCACCCTTATTGACAGAGTTGCCAGATTTGGCAAGTAAACATACAGGATGCCCAGAAACATTTAAATTTCAGATAAACAACAAATAAGAAGAAAAAAAGAGAGAAGAATCAAATAGACACAATAAAAAATGATAAAGGGGATATCACCACCGATCCCACAGAAATACAAACTACCATCAGAGAATACTACAAACACCTCTACGCAAATAAACTAGAAAATCTAGAAGAAATGGATACATTCCTCGACACATACACCCTCCCAAGACTAAACCAGGAAGAAGTTGAATCTCTGAATAGACCAATAACAGGCTCTGAAATTGTGGCAATAATCAATAGTTTACCAACCAAAAAGAGTCCAGGACCAGATGGATTCACAGCCGAATTCTACCAGAGGTACAAGGAGGAACTGGTACCATTCCTTCTGAAACTATTCCAATCAATAGAAAAAGAGGGAATCCTCCCTAACTCATTTTATGAGGCCAGCATCATTCTGATACCAAAGCCTGGCAGAGACACAACCAAAAAAGAGAGTTTTAGACCAATATCCTTGATGAACATTGATGCAAAAATCCTCAATAAAATACTGGCAAACCGAATCCAGCAGCACATCAAAAAGCTTATCCAACATGATCAAGTGGGCTTCATCCCTGGGATGCAAGGCTGGTTCAATATACGCAAATCAATAAATGTAATCCAGCATATAAACAGAGCCAAAGACAAAAACCACATGATATTCTCAATAGATGCAGAAAAAGCCTTTGACAAAATTCAACAACCCTTCATGCTAAAAACTCTCAATAAATTAGGTATTGATGGGACGTATTTCAAAATAATAAGAGCTATCTATGACAAACCCACAGCCAATATCATACTGAATGGGCAAAAACTGGAAGCATTCCCTTTGAAAACTGGCACAAGACAGGGATGCCCTCTCTCACCGCTCCTATTCAACATAGTGTTGGAAGTTCTGGCCAGGGCAATCAGGCAGGAGAAGGAAATAAAGGGTATTCAATTAGGAAAAGAGGAAGTCAAATTGTCCCTGTTTGCAGATGACATGATTGTTTATCTAGAAAACCCCATCGTCTCAGCCCAAAATCTCCTTAAGCTGATAAGCAACTTCAGCAAAGTCTCAGGATACAAAATCAATGTACAAAAATCACAAGCATTCTTATACACCAACAACAGACAAACAGAGAGCCAAATCATGGGTGAACTCCCATTCACAATTGCTTCAAAGAGAATAAAATACCTAGGAATCCAACTTACAAGGGATGTGAAGGACCTCTTCAAGGAGAACTACAAACCACTGCTCAAGGAAATAAAAGAGGACACAAACAAATGGAAGAACATTCCATGCTCATGGGTAGGAAGAATCAATATCGTGAAAATGGCCATACTGCCCAAGGTAATTTACAGATTCAATGCCATCCCCATCAAGCTACCAATGACTTTCTTCACAGAATTGGAAAAAACTACTTTAAAGTTCATATGGAACCAAAAAAGAGCCCGCATTGCCAAGTCAATCCTAAGCCAAAAGAACAAAGCTGGAGGCATCACACTACCTGACTTCAAACTATACCACAAGGCTACAGTAACCAAAACAGCATGGTACTGGTACCAAAACAGAGATATAGATCAATGGAACAGAACAGAGCCCTCAGAAATAATGCCGCATATCTACAACTATCTGATCTTTGACAAACCTGAGAAAAACAAGCAATGGGGAAAGGATTCCCTATTTAATAAATGGTGCTGGGAAAACTGGCTAGCCATATGTAGAAAGCTGAAACTGGATCCCTTCCTTACACCTTATACAAAAATCAATTCAAGATGGATTAAAGATTTAAACGTTAGACCTAAAACCATAAAAACCCTAGAAGAAAACCTAGGCATTACCATTCAGGAGATAGGCGTGGGCAAGGACTTCACGTCCAAAACACCAAAAGCAATGGCAACCAAAGCCAAAATTGACAAATGGGATCTAGTTAAACTAAAGAGCTTCTGCACAGCAAAAGAAACTACCATCAGAGTGAACAGGCAACCTACAACATGGGAGAAAATTTTCGCAACCTACTCATCTGACAAAGGGCTAATATCCAGAATCTACAATGAACTCAAACAAATTTACAAGAAAAAAACAAACAACCCCATCAAAAAGTGGGCGAAGGACATGAACAGACACTTCTCAAAAGAAGACATTTATGCAGCCAAAAAACACATGAAGAAATGCTCATCATCACTGGCCATCAGAGAAATGCAAATCAAAACCACTATGAGATATCATCTCACACCAGTTAGAATGGCAATCATTAAAAAGTCAGGAAACAACAGGTGCTGGAGAGGATGTGGAGAAATAGGAACACTTTTACACTGTTGGTGGGACTGTAAACTAGTTCAACCATTGTGGAAGTCAGTGTGGCGATTCCTCAGGGATCTAGAACTAGAAATACCATTTGACCCAGCCATCCCATTACTGGGTATATACCCAAAGGACTATAAATCATGCTGCTATAAAGACACATGCACACGTATGTTTATTGCGGCACTATTCACAATAGCAAAGACTTGGAACCAACCCAAATGTCCAACAATGATAGACTGGATTGAGAAAATGTGGCACATATACACCATGGAATACTATGCAGCCATAAAAAATGATGAGTTCATATCCTTTGTAGGGACATGGATGAAATTGGAAACCATCATTCTCAGTAAACTATCGCAAGAACAAAAAACCAAACACCGCATATTCTCACTCATAGGTGGGAATTGAACAATGAGATCACATGGACACAGGAAGGGGAATATCACACTCTGGGGACTGTGGTGGGGTCAGGGGAGGGGGGAGGGATAGCATTGGGAGATATACCTAATGCTAGATGACACATTAGTGGGTGCAGCACACCAGCATGGCACATGTATACATATGTAACTAACCTGCACAATGTGCACATGTACCCTAAAACTTAGAGTATAATAAAAAAAAAATCATTTATTAAAACAAAGTTTTTATATTTTTATAATAGTGTTTCACTTGATAAATATTTTTGAATAAATGAATGAGGAAATTAAAGAAAAAAAAAAAAGAAGATACGCACTATTTGGATGCCATTTTTGGGACTTAATATGTGGTATACACTTTTATTTTAAAATATTTATTTACTTGAAATTCAACTTTAACTTGGTGTCCTATATTTTATCTGGCAATTCTATTGCTATAAGATGGGGCATCTGTTAAAGAATTGTATCTTAGCTCATGAGAGGCTGCCAAGCCACCTGAATTATTCCTTACATCACTCCCCTGAGGCACACAATCCTTATTCACCATGGGCTCTACAATAAGCAGTTTATTCAATACACATCTACATAAACTGATAGATCACTTACTAAGTACTGGGCACTGGGGTCACACGGTAAATAAGGCCCACTCCCCACCCTGGAGAAGCTCACTATCCAGGGAAGGAGGTAAACCTGTAAACAAATTCTTACAAAACAGTATGCTTAGAATAGCAGAGAGTAACAGTTTCTGAGGAAGCATGAAAGAAAAAAAAAAAAAGCCCATAACAAATTGTTTCTGAAACCATAACTAAGATGTTCTGAGTTTATAACAGTCTGTAATAATAAGAGAAACAGATGTATACAACTTCGCTGTAGACGATATACACATCTAATTGTTAAAACACCTCTTTGCATCCTTAAATGTTGGAATATTGCTGGAAAACCCAGGCCCTTGACTAAAGAAAATGACATTCTCCTGTGTTAAAGACAGATGGTTTAGGCCTCTTTAATCCATGCAACCTATCTAAATATATCTTTATTCTCAGTGTCTATGCACACTGCTGGTTTATGGTCCTTGGTTGGAATGTTAGCCAAGTCATTTTGTGCAAAAAAGAAACTGCGTAGGCTAAAGCTTGGATGAGCTCACTAAAATTACTTTCTATTTTGGGTCTCTGAGTGACTGTGGTTTGGGGATCATAAAAGAAGATGGTTTTGTCTTTGGTCACAGCCCGTATAAGTTTTACATACAGAGAAAATCGAGAAGGTTGTGTAAACAATAGCTGGAGAGATTATTTAAAAAAAAAAGAAGCGTTGTGAGAAAAGTCCATTAAAATTGCTTTTCTCTGTTTTATTGGCCAGCAGGTAGTAAAATCTTGAATTGATTAAGCCCCACTTAAACAGGATAATATATTGATTATCATTTATCTTAAAATTTGGTTTACATGTCTTGCTTTTGTTATTAGATGAATATGGATAAACTAAGAAAATCTACGGAATACTGCTGTTCCAAATATCTCACAGTCAAGAATAATAAAGCTATAGCAATCTACATGTTTAGGTCCAGTTGCTTTAGTTTTTGTTTGCAGTAATGTGAAACATATTAAATAACTAATAATTAATGTTAATAATTCAGAGTTGACGATCAAATTCACATTATTTCCATAAATCTTAGTTAACAGGTTCAAAATAAGGTTTGTCATGATTCATTCTGCAAAACATGAGCATTGCTATGCTAATCTTTCTCTCTTTTCTGTTATTTCTAGCAAAGGCGCTCATGTCATAAGGAGCTTAGGTAAGATTTAGAGGGGTAACTGAAATCAGTTTGGCATTAGCTCCCACCCACAACATAGAAACTGCTCCTTTAGAGACACCCAGGTGCTTGCAGCCATTCTGATCCCAAGCTTCTAAAAAACATTCAGTAACAATGAAGAGGCAACAGTGTCTCTGGAAGATACGACAATTCAGTGACACACATACCCAATTCACATACACGTATATCAAGTTCCTTAAAATCTATCTTTTTCTACTTGTTTTGATTCAGAAATCAAACTCCAACCTTTAGGAGGTAGTCTCCATCAGACCTGCACTTGGGACCAGTGTGATTATCAGAATTATGTGCATCACCTGAACCCTAAATAAAACCAATTTGTTCTCTGAGCGCATTTATTTGAAGGAATAGCTCTGAGAGAGACTGTAAATTGATATATAGCTTTCTGGTCATGTCCTGACATAGTCTTTCTGTTACTTTTCTTCTCTATAGATCATATCTATATTTTTATTAACATAAAAATGAGAATGCATACTCAAATAGATCAAATGTAAAAAAAAAAAGTCAATTCCAAATGTTTAACTTCAGAGATACAGATGCAATTTAGTTTTTAAGTCTTTACTAACACTCAAGAAAATATTAATGTTTCAGGTCTGACTCATTCATTCATTCAACAAATGTTTATTTAATGGCTACTAAAGGGTTAAGCATACTTTAGAATCAAAATAACAAACAAAATATACAAAGGTTATTTGGTTAATACAGACAATATTAAAGATAATAAATCCATGAACTCATGTTCAGGATTATAAAACATTGTTTTACTATAACAATTAAATATTTTGCTAAATAGCTGAACACCTAAAATGAGCTTGAAATTGCCTAGATGGTAGAGAAGATATTATTCTTATAATATATAAGAAAATATTAGAGAATACAAAATAAAATCACCTAGATCCTTTGGGAGAATGGAAGCTCATTGGGTTTACTATGTAATGTGTGTGTGTGTGTGTGTGTGTGTGTGTGTGTGTGTTTTTAAGTGGTGTCTACATTAGAATTCTTAGTTTAACCCATTTACTTCCCTGTACCTTGCTCCTGACTGGATGGTTATCGTAATGTTTAGTTCCCCCTCATTTAAGAGTATGTACATAGCCACCAAATGGGAGAAGTGATAAGCTTATGTTGTAATTAAATCAGAGCAAGGGACATTATAGATAAAAAATTGGGCATAGTAATTCAATCACTGTACAAATCAAGAGAAACTACTGAAACAGAAGATTTGGAGATCCTTAGCTATGAATAAATAAATGACTCATACATTTTACTTCACAGAAAAAAAGAAGGGGATATATGAGACACATTGAAAGCAAAAGATTTTAAAATTAAATTTAAACAATTTATGTACGTATGAGATAAATATACATTTGGAAAAGGTAAAAACATCACTTTCTGAGGGTTCAAAGGCAAAATAAGACATATCATGGTAGTCAGGAATTGTTTTATAGAAGAATTAGGATTCCGCTGGGCGCGGTGGCTCAAACCTGTAATCCCAACACTTTGGGAGGCTGAGGCAGGTGGATCACCTGAGGTCAGGAGTTCGAGGCCAGCCTGACCAACATGGCGAAACACCGTCTCTACTAAAAAATATAAAAATTAGCTGAGCATTGTTGCGCATGCCTGTAATCCCAGCTCCTCAGGAGACTGAGGCAGGATAATCGCTTGAACCCGGGAGGCAGGAGTTGCAGTGAGCCGAGATCACGCCATTGCACTCCAGCCTGGGCAACAAGAGCGAAACTCCATCTAAAACATAAAAAAATAAAAATAAATAGGTCTCAAGAGCGGATAGAATCCTTCAAGTAGAATTTTGGGATAGCAGAGAATTCTATCAAATGTAATAACATAAGACAAATTATGCACGTGGAAAAGTATAGGGTATATTTAGAGTGAAAAGAGTTGCCCATGTGATGAGAAAAGAATTACAAGGAGGAAGAGTCAGTATAAATCTGGAAAGATAGACTTGAATAACATATTGTAAAGTACCTTGAATCATAGGGTAAACAGAGTTATTTAAATTTTTTTTTATATATAAAAAGAAACATTGAGATGATGGCCAAGTTCTGGTATACAAGACTGCCTCTGTGGTTCTTGGAATTTTTTCAATGGTTTCAGTTTTGTGATGAATAATAAATTTCCTTATAATATAAAATTAGATCTAAAAACAGTCAACTGATCTTTACCAAAAGTGAAAATTACAATTCAATGGAGAAAGGATGGCCTTTTCAATGAATGGTGCTGGTACAAGTGGAAATTCACAAACCCATGCCATAGGAAAAATGAATCTAGATACAGACCTTATACTTTTCACAAAAGTTAGCCCGTAATGATGAAATTTTAAGGCATGATGTCTAAGAGAAAGTCAGAAATCATTTGCAAAACTCTTACCTACCAGGAAACTGATCAAATATTTACATCTAATGGTTGGGAAAAGCTGAGGCACACGTAGGCATGGACTTGCACTTCCTGAGACACCTCATCCAGCTCACTCCAGCAATAACCCAAGCTCTATTAATTCCTCCCTAAAGGAGTTGTTCACACATTGATTGCCCCAACTTGTACAGCTTCCAACTGAGGGACTACATTTCTAACTTCCGAAATCTGGGAAAAAAGAGCTTTAGGTATATACAAGTCTCTTTAGGACAAAGGGGAAACATGATGTTTTTGTGTGGGCATGAAAGTGAAACAGGAAAAGTTCCCTTGTCCCCTTCACAGAAGGAGTGTTGGGGATGTGGCTTGCTTCTTTGGTGCCCTGCTAATGAAACCTCTAGGAGGAGCATGCAGACCAGCAGGTTGTGGGGCTCTGGCCCCACATTTGCATCTGGGTAAATGCCTATAGGTCCTGAGGCCCCAGTGTGTATGCGTTACAAGGGTGCTTTTTCAGTTTAGCCATCTATAGGGGGCTTGTGTTAGTCAGCTCAATGAGACACCCTGCCTTATCGCAAGGACAGAGGGCTTTCTGTATCCCAGGGTTTCTTGCCTTGGTGTATCAGGAGAATCAGAGGACAAGTGGGCTTGGAGAATGAGTGCAAGGTTTTATTGAGTGGAGGTAGCTCTCAGCAGACGGGGGAGCCAGAAGGGAGATGGAGCGGGAAGGTGCTATTCTTTTGGAATCGGGCTGCTCAGTGGTCCAGTCTCTCCTCCGTCTGCCCCAGCCAAACTCCATGTCATTCCTCCTATCAATGGCCTGTCGGTGAGCTCTTCCGCAGGTGTCCTCTTGATGTCCAGCCACTGTGTCTTCTTCCACTGATGTGTTCCTCTCAACTTCCAGCTGCTTGTGTCTCTGCCTGCTAGGGTCTTGGTGTTCTTATAGGCACAGGATGGGGGTGTGGCAGGCCAGGGTGGTCTTGGGAAATGCAACATTTGGGCAGGAAAATAGAAATGCTTGTCCTCACCTAGGTCTGTGGGCACAGATGTGGTGGTGGAGCCCTAGCCAGGGACCAGGCCCTTCCCTTCCCAGCACTTCCCTGCCCTGCCCCCCTTACATATTATTTTCTCCCTCTGAAGAGGTATATTTAGCTGCCATTAGAATATGGATGACTGGTCTTAGCTACTTCCTGCTGACAGGAGGCACTGTTTTATTGAAATTGGCCCTCCCAGAGGTCTATCTAAGGGTTCCTAGCAAAGGGGAGCCATTGTCTGAGGCTCCCGTGGTCTGAGAGTTTGGAGTTTGATGGCTTCTAGGTGTCAGAGAAAAACCACGTTTTACAAGGCTAAGTATGCATGGGTTAAACATATGTATTATAAAAGGAAATAATCTAGTGCCGAAGGTTACAGAGCTAAGAAGTAAAATATACTAACAATAACATTGTACCCCGAGCTGTTTCAACCCGGTGAAAGAAAGTAAACCTTGCATGGGAGCAGATAAACTTTTAGAATGAGATAACTGTTCTTGACATGTCTTTAGCAGTTAACAGGTGCACCCTGGGAATTCTGGGGTTTGTGGGCTTTCATGATGGCCACTAAAGCTTCTGTCTCTTTCCTGTATTTCCTCTCTCGTTCCTGGGCCTCCCTGTCTCTATTATAAAAGACTGAGGGCCAGGCATGGTGGCTCAAGCCTGTAATCCCAGCACTTTGGGAGGCCAAGGCAGGCGGATCACCTGAGGTCAGGAGTTCGAGACCAGCCTGATCAACATGGAGAAACCCCATCTCACTAAAAATACAAAATTAGCCGGGCATGGTGGCACGTGGCCTGTAATCCCAGCTACTCAGGGGGCTGAGGCAGGAGAATCACTTGAACCCAGGAAGTAGAGGTTGCAGTGATCTGAGATTGCGCCATTGCACTCCAGCCTGGGCAACAAGAGTGAAGCGCTGTCTCATTAAAAAAAAAAGAAAAAAAAAAAAAAAGACCAAGGTGACCACTTTCAGGAGCGTCCTCTAATGTGCTATCTGGTCCTAGGGCCAATTTCTGCAACTTCTTCCTGATGTCAGGAGCTGCCCGAGTAATAAATTTTTCCTTTAGAATTAGGTGTCCCTTGACTGAATCAGGAGACAGAGAGGTGCGCTTTACCAAGTCCTCTCTTAAGCTTTCCAGATAAGCAGTAGAATTGTCATCAAATCCCTGGTCAATAATGGACAACTTAGCATAATTGAGAGGCTTGGTCTTGGTCCTACATAAACCCTCCATTATGCACACCTGAAAGTGTCTCCTTTTCCAGTCTTCCATCTCGTCATTGGGATCCCGTTTAGAGTTACTCACTGGTACTCCTTCTCTTCCAGATGGATAATAGTCACCCCCTTCCCTGATGCTATACGTGATACAAAACTCATTCCCAAATCTCTCTGCTGCTTGCAGAGTGGCCTGTTTCTCAGTGTCCATCAGGTTCTGATTCAAAAGCAAAATAACGTATCTCCAGGAGAATTCAAATATCTTGGTGAAATTCTGGAAGGCCTCTATATATCTATGAGGGTCATCTGAACACTTGCCAAGGTCCCCCTTAATTTTCTTTAAGTTCTATAGGGAGAAAAGGAACCCGGACCTTACTGGGTCCAAATTCACTGGGCATCTGTTGGAGGAGCAACAATAAACTGGGGCTTGTTTAGGGCGAGGACTTCTAGGAGAGGGCAAGTGAGAGGCTGAAGCTGGACAGGGAGGTTGGGGTGGACTCAGAGGAGCTGGGCTGGAGAGATCTGGCTCCTCTGCTGCGGAATCAGAGGATTGGTCTGGGACTCACATCTTTAATTCCCTGGGCTTGTCCCTTGCAAAGCCTTCTTTGAGATTGCAAACAGAAGGGCTGGATCAATTCTACATTGTCAGCAAAAATGTAAATTGCTTTGCAAGTTATAGAAAGCCTGCACGTATGGGGTCTCAGACCATCTGTCCTCATGTCTACAGAAAAGTTCCAACTGCCATATAGCATGGAAATAAGTGGCTCCTTCCTGAGGCCAAGCCAGTCCTTCCTGTAAATCATAATTTGGCGAAACCTTTGCACAGAGAGCAATGAGGCACGTTTCCTCTAGATTCTGAGGGTCTAAGCAGTTCCAATGTTTCAAGATACACTCCAGAGGAGTATAAGCTGGGGGTGGTGAAGAGAACTGGTTGCCCATTCTGAAAGACAAGGAATAGAGGCGTCTCTCATTCCCTTCTTTCTTTCAGTGAAAACTCACAGTGAGATGGAGAGAGAAAGCGAGAGTCCTTTCTTCACTTTCCACCTCTTATCCCTTAGCCCCGGCAACCTTGACAGGTGCTGGCCATAGGTACTAATGCGGTATGTACACATGAAGCAAGGAAAACCTGGAGAATAGGAATTAACCGCCCTCGCCTCTGCCTTCCTTTCTCCCAGCTGTCAGCAGACTGAGTTCTCTGGGCCTGTTTATGCCATCAAGCATGGCCTCCTTCCATGGGGTGGGGGGGTTTAGTTGGCAGGAATTAGTTTTGCCCATTTACATTGTACCTGTTGCCTGGCTTTGGATTCCTTTGACCTCGTCTTTCTTTCTAGGGCCCCAGCCTGAAGCTTCAAATCGAATTTGGGACTCAAAAGCTTATGTTATTTTATTTTATTTTTATTTTTTTGAGAGGGAGTCTCGCTCTGTGGCCCAGGCTGGAGTGCAGTGGCACGATCTCGGCTCACTGCAAGCTCCGCCTCCCGGGTTCACGCCATTCTGCTGCCTCAGCCTCCCGAGTAGCTGGGACTACAGGCTCCCACCGCCACGCCCTGCTAATTTTTGTATTTTTAGTAGAGACGGGGTTTCACCATGTTAGCCAGGATGGTCTCCATCTCCTGACCTTGTGATCCGCCCGCCTCGGCTTCCCAAAGTGCTGGGATTACAAGCGTGAGCCACCGCGCCCGGCCTCAAAAGCTATTTTAAAGGCTGTTTATATCTGTTTAGAGTGTCTCAAATAAGCCCTGCTGAATTTGCAGTTATCAGCCGGCAGGGGTCGCTCCATCACTAACTTTCCTATCAGAAACAGAGCTGGGGGTGGGGCGGGGGGTGGCTCTCACTTAGAAAAGGGAAAAAAGAGAAACATAGTTTAAGGGGCAAAAAGGGGAGATCCTGGGGGAATAATAGCTTGGTTAGTGCAAGTGCGCCTTTCTAATCTTTATATCTTTCTTCCGATTCAGATCTGATTGGATTCTTTGGCTAGGGGAGAAACGTTCCATTGGTGCTGTGAGAAGCACCCATCCATTATCCCTGTGGGGTCTTGGCTACTGCTGCAGCTTTCTCCCGCCTCCACCCACCCCCCCCTCCACCCCTCCCCCCTCCACCCCTCCCCCCTTCTTCAGCTGTTGGGTGTGGCCTTTGCCTGCTGCGGGCAATCCCAGGAACCTCAGCTGGGAGGAAAAAGGATAACAGGAGGTGCCCTGAGTCATGCGTGCCTGTGGCTGTCAAGATGGAGGCATGGACCATACCTCTAAGAACAGTTCTTCTGATTTGCATCTTTGGCAGTTGAGCCAAATGCTCATTTTATTTAGTAACATTGCCACAGCCTGTAGCAAAACTCTTAACATTATAAAGAAAGCGATAAGAGCCATTTCAAAGTATGTGAGAGAGAAAAGAGCTGAAGTCTGGGGGTTTTGACCCGCTGGGTTAGGGCGGAGTTTTCGAAACACTGCAAAAGGAAACAGAACCCTTACTGACGGGAAAGAGAGAGAGGTGGCAGGTTTTAGGAAGAGAGGCAGACCTAACAGTTTCACATTCACTCACACTCACCTTTGGAGATCCTGGCGAGGGCCCAGTTAAAACAGGAAAACTTCCCTTATCCCTCTGGCAGGGCATGTGCATGGAGTGTGGCTCGCCTCTTGCGTGCCCTGCTCCTCAAACCTCTAGGGGGAGCATGCAGACAGGCAGGTTGTGGGGCCCTGACTCCACTGCAGTGGCTAGGGGTGAATGTTTACAGCTGAAGCCCCAGTGGGCATGTGTTACAGATGGCTCTCTTAGGTTGGCTTGTGTTAGTCAGCTCAGTTAGACCTTCTGCCTTATTGCAAGGACGGAGGGCTTTCTGTATCCTGGGGTTCTTGTCTTGGTGTACCAGAAGAATCGCATCACACGTGGGCTTGGAGAATGAGTGCAAGGTTTTACTGAGTGAAAGTAGCTCTCAGCAGATGAGGGAGCCAGAAGGGAGATGGAGTGAGAAGGCGGTTTTCCCTTGGAGTTGGGTCCTTCAGTGGCCCAGGCTCTTCTCTGACCTCCCCGGCCAAACTCCACATCATTCTGCCAGCCAATGGCCTGCCATCCTGCCGGCATCTGTCACTGTGCTCTTCCGTCAGCATGCTCCCCTCGACGTCCTCTTGACATCCAGCCACTTGTGTGTTCTTCCTCTGATGTGTTTCTCTCGACGTCCAGCCACTTTTGTCTCTGCACACTAGGGCCTCAGGGGATTTTATAGGCACAAGATGGGGACAGGGCAGGCCAGGGTGGTCTTGGGAAATGCAATGTTTGGGTAGGAAAACAGAAATGCCTGTCCTCACCTAGGTTCTTGGATACAGGCCCGAGGGTGGAGCCCTAGCCGGGGACCATGCCCTTCCCTTCCCAGCACTTCCTTGCCCCCTTTCCATATCAGAAGTACTTCCAGAGGCTTCTTCCCCCAGGAGCACTGCAGAGAACGGGCTTTAAAAATGCAGCTCCCTGTTTTACCCCAGAAGATGTTTATGACAGACTCCCAATGACTACTTGAAGGCTGCAGTTTTAACTAACATGCATCAGAGAGTTAAAGAGGCATTGGAACATTACCCTGCTGCCAGCCTGATAAGCCGACTAGCACTTCCAAAGATTTCTACCCTAACTTACCCTAGTGATAGTTCCCAGGTTTATTAAGCTCTCCTGGAAGAAGTTTTTCCAGGCATTGAGCACCCTAACTTTTATCGCTTACACTTGAGGAACTGCATGCTAAACCTCTTAGCTATAAGAGAAGAAGACACTGGGCATGTGTGTATCTCCTTAGATTACAGAACATAGTGTAATTTTTAAAAAGTAAGCAAGTACTCATAGGGGTTACATCCCCACCCCCAACTGGAGCAACGCAGAGAATGGCCTTAAAAAGGAAGCTCCCCATATCTCCTCAGAAGGGGTTTATGGCACACTCTTTCAGTGGCTGCTTGATGGCCCGCCTTCTAACTAATCAGCATCAGAGACTTTAAAAGGTAATCAAAATATAGTCTTCTGCAGCCTGAGCAGTAACTCAGCACTCTTAAGCTCTTTCTCTCAGATCAGCGGAGAAATAACTTCTGGCTCACCAATCACTTCTGGAAGGTGTTCGTCCATTCACGGAATATCTCAACTTTTATAGCATCCACCTGAGGGACAGCATTCCAAACCTCATATCTGGAGAGCAAAAGGGACTAGGCATGTGTGAGCCTCCTTAAATCATAGAAAAAGATGTGGTTTTAAACAGATGCACAAACACTTCCAGGAGCCACACATTTTAAGAACAGTGTCGAAAAGAGACTGGGATGAACTGTTCCCATTTTCATTCCAGAAAAGTTTTACTGCATACACTTCCAGTGGCTACTTGGTAGCCAGGCCTTTAACAGACTTCCATCAGAGAGCTAATGTTGAAGACAAACAGCAGCCCGGAGGCAATCTGAGCAGGAACTTGGCATGTCCTTACCCTTTTCCTCCAGCTCATTTGGTGATCAATACAGGTTTACGCATTTTTTACAAAGGAGTTTGCCCATGCACCAAATGCCACAACTTCTATATCTCCCATCCAATGAATTGTATCTTTGAAGACCTAACTTTAAGAGCCAATTATTCCTGACTCCTTAAACCACATAAAACAATGAGGTCAACATACAATGGGTCCACTTCCAGCAGCAATTTTCCAAAATGAAAGGGTCCAGCACAGAAGTGACCACAGATACTTGTCACAGATGCTCTCCCTGGCTAAGTGCAGAGAAAGTAGGAAAATAATACCCACACTCAGTTTCAACATGAGGATAGAAGGAACTAAAATCTAACACCTCAAGATTTCCAGCTACATCTAGAGCATCTGTTTTCTGCCTTACTAGTTACAGTGTTCTGAGAGTACATAACATATCTTAATCTTCAAGGGGCCACAGAAATATAGACAGCAGTCTGAACAACCAGAATGATTTGAGAAGCATCTTAAAATCTCTGGCCAAGTGTATTGGCAAGATTATTCTCCTGTACCAGGATAATCTGAAAAGACTGGGAGAGGTGGCTACTATATTTTTTAGAAGAAACCAACACACAGAGTCAACAAACATTAAGAGACAGAGAAATATATTCCAAATAAAACAAAAAGATAAATCCACAGAAACCAACCTGAGTAAGTTTGAGATATGTGACTTATCTGATGGAAAATTTAAACTAATGAACATAAGGATGCTCAGTGAGGTTAGGGAAGCAGTGCAAAAACAAATTAACACCCTGAACAAAAAAACAGAGAGTATAAAAAAGCACCAAACAGAAACCATAGATTTGAAGAATATTATAATTGAACTAAAAAATGCAATAAAGATATACAACAGCAGACTAGAACAAGCAGAAGAAAGAACTAGTGACCTCAAGGGCAAATCACTGAAGTCATCCAACATGGGGAGTGAAAAGAAAAAAAAAATAAGAGAGAAGATAGCATTTGGTACACCATCAAGAAGAACAATTTACACATTATCAGCTTGCCTGAAGGAGAAAAGAGATAAAAAAGAACAGAAAATATATTCAAAGAAATAGTGGCAAAAAACGTCAAACTTGAAGAAGAAGGTAAAAAGCCAAATCCAGGAAGCTAAAAGGAAACCAAGTAAGATGAATGCAAATAGCCCCACACTAAGGCACATTATAATCTATTTGTCCAAGTTAAAGACAGAGAGTGTTTATAGTGAGAAAGGAATGGTAAATCATCACATATAAGTGGAAATCTATACAACTATAATGGGTTTCTCAGCAGAAACCTTGCCAGCCAGGAGATGAATGTTATATTCAAAATCCTGAAAGAAAAATAGCCTGCCAACGAAAAATACTGTGCCCATTGATACTGTATTTACAAAATGAAGTAATAAAAATTTTCTGAAACAAATAAAATCTGAAACAGTTTATAGCCACTGGACCTACATTACAAGAACTGCGAAAGATGATAAAGGAAGTTCTTAAAGCTGAATAAAGAGGACGCTATTTGGTAACATAAAAGCACATGAAAGTATAAAGCTAACTGAAAAACAAAAGTACGTTGTTAAATTTGAGTACTTTGATACTGTAACATTAGTGGGTAAATTAATTCTATCTCTAATATCATGGTTAAAAGGCAAAACTATTAAATACAACTGAAGCTATAATAATTTGTTAAGGGATAAAATGTACAAAAAGATGTAATGTATGAAATAAAAAATATAAAATGAGGGTGATGCTGGAATAAAATTGTAGAGTTTATATAAGCAACCGAAATTAAAGTTATTAAATCAAAATAGCCCATTATAAGTACAATACTGTTGTCTCGCCAATGCACCACACTATAGCAGTCTCTCATTGTCTGAGATAATACTCAGAATTCTTTTTCTTACATTCAAGATGATTAAGGAGCATGGACACAATGGTGAGGTTGGGGCAAAAGTTTAATAAGTGAAAGAAGAAGGCTCTCTGCCAGTAGAGAGGGGGGCCTGAATGGGTTGCCCTTCATGAGGTTGGGTTCTGGGGATTTTATGGCTTGGGAAGTGGAAGAAAGACGCGTAGTCCATGGGCTGTTTTGGAGAAAGCATGATTTAGCTTGGTCCAGGACCTTGGCCCAGGACCAATTAGGAGCTGAAGTAATGATTCATAGGGGCTACTCAGCTTGGCCCAGTACCTATCAGGAGCTGAAGTGAAAGCTTGGCCCAGGACCAATTAGGAGCTGAAGGGATAATTCATAAAGGCTGGGCTCACAGTCCAAAAAACAAACAAACAAAAAGGACAAGTGCCTACCAGAACCCACCAGAGCCCACAGTGTTCATGCCCAGAAAAGAAAAATAAATTTGTTCCTGGCGGCTTCCTGATTACACAAAGGACAAAAGCATTTGTGTGTCAGGCCTTGTTCCCTTACCTGAATGAGCTGGAGGTTTGTGCAAGTTTTTATCTGAGTGGGCTGGAGGTTCTCCTATCTGTGCAGCCACAGGCATGTCTCCAGGCACAACACCCTGTGTTACTTCCCTTATCAATGCCACAGCTTGATTTTTTTCCTGGGCTGCTTTTTATGTTATATGGGAAAGAGGCACTGACTCATGGGTCAGGGGCTCTCCAGAGACCCTTTGCTTGCTGTCTACCTAAGGCAAGCTAGCTAATTTCTCTCAATGTCTTTTATGTAAACCTCAGGGTAACCACTATTATAATTATAATTAGATAACTATGATATCATTATCATCTATTATAAGCAAAAGCCTATAATATACACAAATAATTATTAAAATATTCAAAGTATTATAACTACAGAAAGTCATCAAACCACAAAGGAAGAAAGCAACAGAAGAAGAAAGAAACAGCGTTCAAAAACAAAACCCAGAAAACAATTTTTAAAATGGCAGAAGAGTATCCTCACCTATGAACAATTACTTCAAATGTAAATGGATTACATTATTCACTCAAACCCAGAGTGCCTGAATGAAAAAAAAAAAAAAAAACACGACCCAACTATATTCTACCTACAAGAGACTCAGTTCACCTTAAAAGACCCATACACTGCAACCAAAGAGATAGAAAATGATATTCCGTGCAGATGAAAACCAAATGAGATTAGAGATAGTTATAATGATTTTAGGCAAAATAAACCTTAAGTCAAAAATTGTAGCAAGAGATAAATAAGGTATTTTCTACTGCAATAAAGTGGTAAATTCATTAAGAAAATACAATTGTAAACATATATGCACCCAACATCATAGAACCTAAATATATAAAACAAACATTAAGATATCTGAAGAGAGACATAGACTGCAACGCAATAACTTGGATAGGGTACTCCAATACCCTACTTGCAATCATAGACACATCATCCAGACAGAAAATTAATAAAAATACAGTGAATGTGAACTTCACTTTAGACCAAATGAAACTAACAGACATATACAGAACACTTTATCCAACAGCAACAGAATACATATTCTTCTATGTGCATAGGGATCATTCTCCATGACAGATCATATGTTAGGCCAAAAAGTCTTAACAAATTTAAAATCAAAACCATCTCAAGTATCTTTTCTGACAACAATGGTATGAAAATAGAAATCACTAACAGAAAAAAAATAAAAAATACACATATGTGGAAATTAAGCAGTATGTTTCTGAACAATTATTGGGACAAAAAAAATGAAATAAATAATAAAAAATACCTTGAGGAAAACTAAAATGGAAGCACAACATACCAAAAATATGAAACTCACCTCCTTTGAAACACACACACACACACACACACACACACACACACAGACTGAAAGAAATAGAAAAGACATTATGTGCAAATGGAAAGCAAAGTGAGTAAGAATAGGTATACTGATAGCACATAAGACTGCTTTCAAGTAAAAAAACAGTACAAACAGACATAAGAAATCTCATTATATAATGATAAAGGGATCAATTTTGCAAGAAAATATGATTATAAACACATATGTTCCCAACACTGTAGCAGAAGATATGAAAAGCAAATATTAGGCCGGGCATGGTAGCTCATACCTGTAATCCCAGCACTTTGGGTGGCCGAGGCAGGCAAATTACTTGATCCCAGAAGTTTGAGATGAGCCTGGGAAACATGGTAAAACCCCATCTCTACCAAAAAAAAAAAAAAAAAAAAAAAAAAAAAAAAAAAAAAATTAAAAAAAATTATTAGCTGAGCATGGCAGCACATGCCTTAGTCCTAGCTACTAAGGAGGCTGAGATGGGAAAATAGCTTGAACCTGGGAGGTGGAGGATACAGTGAGCCGAGATCATGCCACTGCACTCCAGCCTGGGCAAAAGAGTGAGACACTATCTCAAAAAAAATTAAAATTAAAAAAAAACAGCAAATATTATTAGATCTAAAGGTGGAGGTAGACGCTAAGACAGTAGTAGTTGGGAAGTTTAACACCCTACTCTCAGCATTAATCACATCATCTAGACAGAAAATTAATGTAGAAATATTGGATTTAAATTGCAAATTAGACTAAATCAATCTAACAAACCTTCACAGAACATTTTATCCACACATTATTTTCATCAGCACATGAAACATTCTCCAGGATAAAACATATGTTATGACACAAAAAAGTCTCAATAATTTTTTAAACATCAGATTAATAGAAGAGAAACACAAGATCAAAGAATAACTTATTAAAATAGAGACTAAAAGCACAATATAAAAGATCAATAGAACAAAAAGTTTGTTTTTGAAAGTATATATAAAAAAATCTTCTAGTTAGAATAACAAGAGAAAAGCTACCTAAATAAACAAAATAATATATAGACAAAGTAGGAATTACAGTACTATGTTGAATAATGGTGGTGAAAGTAAGCATTCTTATCATGTTCCAAATCTTAGTGAAATGACTTTCAGTTTTTCCCCATTCAGTATGATACTAGATTTGGGTCTGTTATATATGTCTTTATTATGCTGAGGCATGTTCATTCTATATTTAGTTTTTAGTGTTTTTATAATGAAGGAATGTTGAATTTTATCAAATGCTTTCTCAGCATCAATTGAGATGATAATCATATGATTTTTGCCCTTCATACTGTTGATGTCATGTATCTCATTGATTTACATATGTTGAACCATATTTGCATCTCTGGTATGAATCCCACTAAGTCATGATGAGTAATCTTGTTTAATGTTTTATTGCATTCAGTTTGCTAGTATTTTGTGGACTGTATTTGCATTCACATTTATCAGAGATTTTGGCCTATAGTTTTCTTTGTTGTTGTGTCTTTGGTTTGGGCATCAGGGTGATACTGGCTGTGTAGAATGAATTTGGAGATAGTTCCTTCTCCTCTTTTATTTAGAATAGTCTGAGTAGGATTGGTATTACTTATTATTTAAATGTTTGATGGAATCCAGCAGGGATTCAATTGGGTCCCAGATATTTCTTTTTTTGCAAGACTTTTTATTGTAACTATGATCACTATGCTTTGCATTGGTCTGTTCAGGTTTTGGATTTCATCCTGGTTTATTCTTGGTAGGTTGCATATGTCTAAGAATTTATCCATTTTTTTGAGATTTTCCAATTTATTGGCATATAGTTGCTCATAGTAGCCACTAAGGACTCTGAATTTCTGCAGTATGAGTTGCAATGTCTCTTTTTATTTTTATTTTATTTATTTGAATCTTCTCTCATTTTTCCTTAGTTAGTCTGGCTAAAGGTTTGTCAATTTTGCAAAGCTTTTCCAAAAAAAAAAAAAAAAGGGCTGGGCGCCGTGGCTCACGCCTGTAATCCCAGCACTTTGGGAGGCCGAGGTGGGCGGATCACCTGAGGTCAGGAGTTTGAGACCAGCCTGACCAACATGGTGAAACACCATCTCTACTAAAAATACAAAAAATTAGCTGGGTGTGGCAGCGTGCACCTGTATCCCAGCTACTCAGGAGGCTGAGACAGGAGAATTGCTTGAATCCGGGAGGCAGAGATTGCAGTGAGCCGAGATCACACCACTGCACTCCAGCCTGGGTGATGGAGCAAGACTCCATCTAAAAAAAAAAAAAAAAAGTGTTTCATTAATCTTTTGTATTTTTTTCATTTTTATTTCATTTATTTCTACTCTAATCTTTATTGTTGTTTTCTTCTAGTTTGGTTTTCTCTTGCCTTTCTAGTTCTTTAAGATGCATTGTTAAACTGTTTATTTGAAGCTTTTTCTCTTTTTGGATGTAGGCATTTATAGCTAGAATCTTACCTTTTACTTCCTTTGCTGTGACCCATAAGTTTCAGTATGTTGTGTTTTTATTATCATTCTTTTCAAGAACTTTTTCAGTTTCCTTCTTAATTTATTGACCAATTGGTCATTAAGAAGCATATTGTTTAATTTTTCTGTATTTGTATGGCTTCCAAAATTACTTGTTATTAAATTCTAGTTTTATTATATTTCTGTCAGAGAAGGTGCTTGATATTATTTTAGTTTTTTGAATATGTTATGACTTATTTTGTTACCTGCCATATGGAGTACCTTTTAGAATGATGCATGTACTGAAGAAGAAAATGTGTATTCTGCAGCCATTGAATGAAATGTTCTGTAGATATCTATTAGATTCATCGGGTCTATAGTCCAGATAAAGTCTGATGTTTCTTTATTTTCTGTCTGGAAGATCTGTACAATGCTGAAAGTGGGGTGTTGAGGTCTCCAGTTCCTATTGTATTGAAGCCAATCTCCTTCTTTAGCTCTGATAATATTTGCTTTATTTATCTGGGTACTCCAGCATTGGGTGAATATATATTTGAAATTGTTAGATCCTCTTGCTGAATTGACCCCTTTACCATTATACAGTGACCTTTACCATGATACAGTGTCTCTTCTCATAATTTTGGTTTTATAATCTATTTTGTCTGATATGAGTACAGGGACTCCTGCTCCTTTTTGGTTTCCATTGGTATATAAGATATTTTTCTATCTCTTTATTTTCAGTTTATCTGTGTTTTTATAGGTAAAGTGTGCTTTTTGTGGGCAAAGTATCAATGAGTCTTTTTTATTTAAACATGTAGGTACTCTGTGTCTTTTGATTGGGAAGTTTAGTCCATTTACATGTAATGTTATTATTGATAGGTAAGGACTTACTCTTGCATTTTGTTATGTGTTTTATAGTCGTTTTATGGTCTTGTCTTTCTTCTTTCCTGTCTTTCTTTAGTGAAAATAATTTTTATTATATCCTTAGTTTCTTGATTTTTATTTTTTGTGGACCAATTGTATGTGTTTTGGTTTGAAGTAACCATGAGGCTTACAAATAATATTCTAAATCCTATTATTTAAACCTGATAACAACTTAACACAGTTTGCATAAACAAAAAAAGAAGCAAAAAGAAAACGAATAAAAACACTACGCCTTACCTTTGTCACCATGCTTTTTAACTCTTTGTTGTTTCTATTTATACCTCATTGTACTAAATATGTCTTGAAAAAAGTTGTAGTTACTATTTTTGATTGGTTCATTGTTTAATCTTTCTACTTGGGATAAGAATAGTTTACACACCACAATTAAAATGTTATAATATTCTGTCTTTTTCAGTGTACATAATATTACCGGTAAGTTTTGTACTTCCAGATGATTACTTATTGCTCACTGATATCCTTTATTTCTGATTGAAGTACTCCCTTTTAGCATTTCTTATAGGACAGGTCTGGCATTAATAAAATTTCTAAGCTTTTGTTTCTCTGGAAAAGCCTTTTCTTCTCCTTCATATTTGAAGAATATTTTCACTGGATACTATTGTAGAATAAAAGTTTTGTAGTGTTTTAGTTTTTGTTTGTTTGTTTGTTTGTTTGTTTTTTCTTCAGCACTTTAAAATATTCATGCCACTCTCTCCTGGCCTGAAAGGTTTTCAGTGAAAACTCTGCAGCCAGATATTTTGAAGTTCCATTGTAAGTTATTTGTTTCTTTTCTTTTTCTGCCTTTAAGATTCTTTCTTTATACTTGACTATTTTGAGTTTTATTATTAAATGTCTTCAGATAGTCTTCTTTGGTTTAAATGTGCTTAGTATAACCTTCTTGTACTTGGATATTGATATCTTTCTCTGCCTTTGAAAATTTCTCTGCTATTATTCCTTTCAATAAATTTTCTACTATTATCTCTCTCTCTACCTCCACTTTGAGGTTAATAACTCATACATTTGCCCTTTTGAGGCTATTTTCTAGATCCTGTATATGTGCTTTATTGTTTATTATTTTTTATTTTGTCTCATCTGACTGTATATTTTCAAACATCCTGTCTTCAAGCTCAGTAATTCTTTCTTCCTTTTGATCAGTTCTGCTATTAAAGGACATTGGTACATTCTTCAATAAGCCAGCTGCGTCTTTGAGCTCCAAAATTCCTGCTTCATTCTTTTTAATTATTGCAATCTCTTTGCTAAATTTATCTGATATAATTATGATTTTCTTCTCTGTCCTATCTTAAATTTCTTTGAGTATTCTCCACATAGCTATATAGCTATTTGGAATTATCTCTCCCAAAGGTCCCATATCTGTTTCTCAAGGACTGGTTGCTGGTGCCACTTTTTTTTTTTTTTTTTTTTTTTTTTTGGTGAGGTCATCTTTTCCTGGATCATGTTGATACTAGTAGATATTCTTCATTGTCTGGGGATTGAAGAGTCATTGTAGTCAGCATTGTCTGGCCTCGTTTATACCCATCTTTTTTAAGAAGGCTTTCCAGGTATTTGAAATGACTTTGATGTTGTGCTCTTAGCTTGAGTGCTTTATGGGGCACCTGTATTAGTCAGGGTTATCTAGAGGGAAAGAACTTTCTCTATATGAGAAAGGCCTCATATATATATATGAGAGTTTATTAAGTATTAACTCACACAATCACAAGGTTTCACAATAGGCTGACGGCAGGCTGAGGAGCAAGGAGAGCCAGTCTGAGTTTCAATACTGAAGAACTTGGAGTCTGATGTTCAAGGACAGGAAGCATCCAGCATGGAAAAAAGATGTAGGCTGGGAGGCTAGGCCAATCTCTCTTTTCACATTTTTCTGCCTGCTCATATTCTGGCCACGCTGGCAGCTTATTAGATTGTGCCCACCTAGATTAAGGGTGGATCTGCCTTTCCCAGCCCACTGACTTTGACGTTAATCTCCTTTGGCAACACCCTCACAGACACACCCAGGATCTATACTTTGTATCCTTCAATCCAATCAAGTTGAGACTCAGTATTAACCATCACAAATCCACCCCTTGTCAACTTGAACCCATACATATCTCCTGACATCATACATAGTCTTCAAATAAAGACAATAATAAGGTCATAATTATGCCTAACATAATACAACTATCTTTTGTACAAGCGGAAATGCACCAATCCCCAACCCAAATAATATTACACAAAGCTAACGATTCTTAAATGCTAATGTGAAGTCAATAAATCTTATGTCACATGATAAAGGAGAAAGGAAACAAAATGAAGATTTTTTTTTAGTACAAATGTATACATGCACGAACATGTTTTTAACAAAAAAAGAAGGAAATACTCATGACAATTACCATCCTCATTTCTGCAGCTCCTCATGTGGTTGTAGCTAGTATTGATGACTACTTTCTTCTACTACCCATTCTGTATTCCCTTTGCCTTTGGCAAGCATTTCATCGGGTCCTGTTTTTATTTTTTATTTTTCCTGGTGGAGTGACACAAACCTTTATTCTTGAAGGGTCTGAGTCATTTGTAGTCCTGCCTGGATTGGGCTGTTGTAATTTCCCACTAACCTTAATCACAGGGCATGGCAATACTAAGAGAAGCCCTAATAGACCTTCTGTATTCCATGCATACTCTTCTTTAACTCTGTTACTGTCTTAGTAGTGGACTGATTTCATCTTGTAAGTCCGAGTCAATTATCCCAGCCAACACTGTAACACCCTTCTTAACGGGTTGGCTTAAAGGTAGGAGAAGCCCAAAGTGTCCAGGTGGCAATCTTATCTTAACTTCCAGTTTAATGGAATTGTTTTGTCTCCTGGTGGCAGCATTCCTCCCTCTGGAACTCAGATCTCTAGGCCAGCAGAACTTAATTTAGTGGAAACAAGAAGCAAAAATTTTACTAGTGGATCACTAGGGGAGATGGTGAGTGGTGCCATTTCCACTTCCACCCCTTGATTCCTGGAACCATAACTCCTGGCTATGGGAAAAATGGTACCATATATTGGATGCTAATTCAGAGCATACATGGCCTTCTAGAGAACATTGCCCCAGACTTGCAAAGAATTGTCACCTTGTTGGCATTGTAATTGTGACTTCAAAAAGCCATTCCACCATTGTCTCAATCCAGCCGCTTAAGGATGATGGGGAACATTGGAAGACCAGTGAATTCCATGAGCATGAGCCCACTGGTGAACTTCTTTAGCTGTAAACTAAGTGCCTTGGTCAGAGGCAATTCTGTGTGGAATACTATGATGGTAGATAAGGCATTCTGTGAGTCCATGGATGGCAGTCTTGACAGAAGCATTGCATGCAGGATAGGCAAACTTATATCTGGAGTAAGTGTCTATTCCAGTCAGGATAAACCTCTGCCCTTTCCATGATGGAAGAAGTCCAATATAATCAACCCGCCACCAGGTAGCCGGCTGATCACCCTGAGGAATCATGCCATATCAAGGGCTCAGTGTTGGTCTCTGCTGCTGTCAAATCGGGCACTCAGTGATGGCCGTAGCCAGGTCAGCCTTGGTAAGTGGAAGTCCATGTTGCTAAGCCCATACATAACCTGCATCCTTGCCACCATGGTCGCTTTGTTCATGGGCTCATTGGGTGATGACAGTGGTGGCTGGAAAAATAGGCTGAGTGGTATCCACAGAATGGGTAATCCTATCCAATTGACTATTAAAATCCTCTTCTCTGCTGATGTCATTTTTTGGTGGGTACTCACATGAACTACAACTATCTTTGCTGTTTTTGACCAGAGATGTCCAGCCACATACCTCTTCCTTAAAATTTTTGTCACCAATTTTCCAATCATGCTTCTTCCAAGGCCCTGACCATCCAGCCAAACCATTGGTTATAGGCAATGAATCAGTATATAATTGCACATCTGGTCATTTCTCCTTCCATGCAAACTGCAAACCAGGTGCGCTGTTTGAAATTCTGCCCACTGGGAAGACTTCCCTTCACTGCTGTCCTTCAGGGATGTCCTAGAAAGAGGCTGTAATGCTGCAGCTTTCCACTTTCGGGTGATGCCAGCGAATCATGCAGAACCATCTGTGAATCAGGCTCTCTTCCTCTTTCAATTGATCGTAGGGAACTCCTCATGAGGGCATTGCTGCAGGCTGGCAGAGAGAAGGCAGGGTGGCAGGAGTGGAGACCATGGGCATTTGATCCACTTCCTCATGTAACTTACTTGTGCCTTCATACCTGCTCGAGCACAGTCACGTGTATACCACTTCCATTTGACGATGGAAAGCTGCTGTGCACGACCCACTTTATAGCTAGATGGGTCAGAAAGCAACTAGTTCATGATAGGCAGTTCAGGTCACGTGGTGACTTGATGACTCATACTCAAATGTTCAGTTTCCACCAAAGCCCAGTAACAGGCCAAGAGCTGTTTCTCAAAAGGAGATTAGGTATCTGAAGAAGATAGCAGGGCCTTGCTCCAAAATCCTTGAGGCCTCCGCTGTGATTCACCTATTGGGGACTGACAAGGGCTCCAAACAACATCCCTATCTGCCACTGAAACCTTAAGCACCATTGAATCTGCTTGGTCACATTGCCCAAGTGCCCGAGCAGCTTGCATGGCAGCCTGGACTTGCTGCACAACCTTCTCCTGTTCTGGACCCCACTCAAAACTGGCAGCCTTCAGGTCACTCAATAAATGGGCCAGAGAAACACACTCAATTAAAGAATGTGTTGCCTCCACAATCCAAATAGGCCCACTAGGTGTTGTACTTGTTTCTTGGTTGTAGGAGGGGCCACATGCAGCAACTTATTGTTCACATTAGAAGGTATATCTTGACAGGCCCCACACCACTGAACCCCTAGAAATCTTACTGAGGTAGATGGTCCCCGAATTTTCGTTGAATTTATGTTTGATTATCTTGCATGCAAATGCCTACCAATAAGTCCAGTTTGTTTGCTACGTCTTGCTCACTGGAACCAATCAGCATAATTTCATCAATGTAATGGACAAGTGTCATATCTTGCAGAAGCAAGCGGTGATCAAGGTCTCTCCAAATAAGATTATGACACAAAGCCGGAGAGCTGATATACCCCTGAAGTAGGATAGTAAAGGTATATTGCTGGCCTGGCCAGCTGAAGGCACATTGATTCTGGTAGGCCTCATGGACAGGAATAGAGAAAAAGATATTTTCCAAGTCAATAGCTGCATACTAGGTACCAGGAGATGAGTGAATTTGCTCAAGCACTTAAACCACATCTGGTAGAGCAGCTGCAATTGGAGTCACCACTTGGTTAAGCTTACAATAATCCACTGTCATTCTCCAAGATTTATCTGTCTTCTGTAAAGGCCAAATTGAAGAGTTTAACTGGGGTACAATGGAATCACCACCCCCGCATCTCTCAAGGCCTTGATGGTGGCACTAATTTCTGCAATGGCTCCAGGGGTGCAATATTGTTTTGGTTTACTATTTTTCTAAGGTAGAGGCAGCTCTAATGGCTTCCATTTGGCCTTTCCCACCATAAAAGTCCTCACCTACCAGTCAGGGAGCCAATGTGGGGGTTCTGCCTGCTCTACGTATGTCTATGCCAATTTTGCATTCTGGCACCGGGGAAATGACCACACAATGAGTCTGGGGACACACTGGACCCACTGTATGTCAGACCTGAGCTAAAAATCTATTAATTACCTGGCCTCCATAGGCTCCTATTTTAACTGGAGGCCCACAGTGAGTTTTCTGTCCCCTGGAATCAATGTCAGCTTAGAGGGGGTGTTCAGTAGTCCCCAAAATGTTTGATCATTTCCCTTTCTCCAATGCACAGTTGCTCTGGTAAAGGGCTGAAAGTCTCCTTGGAGAAGAATGGGAGAAAGATTCACCGCATAAATTATCGGTAATGTAGTGAGGTCCTTCCTCAGGGCGACCTGGCCTCCCCTTCATTCAAGGGGTTCTGGGTCTGTAAACTGGCTCAAGTCTGGAAATTGATTGAGGGGCTGTGAGTCTCTGTTTTTATAATTCAAATTAGTGTTTTTTACATCCGACCTAGAAGTTTTCTGCTTGTATAAATTAAGTAGGAATGCAGTAGGCCTCCTATCTATCTATCTATCTATCTATTATCTATCTATCTATCTATCTATCTATCTATCTATCTATCTATCATCTATCTACATTTAAGTATTAACTCACATGATCACAAGGTTTCACAATAGGCCATCTGTAGGCTGAGGATTAAGGAGAGGCAGTCCGAGTTCCAAAACTGAAGAACTTGGAGTTCAATATTCGAGGGCAGGAAACATCCAGCAAGGGAGATAGATGTACCTTGGGGAAGCTAGGCCAGTCTCGCTTTTCACATTTTTCTGCCTGCTTATATTCTAGTGGTGCTGGCAGCTGATTAGATTCTGCCCACCCAGATTAAACCCAGCACACTGACTCAAATGTTAATTTCTTTTGGCGACACCCTCACAGACACACCCATGATCAATACTTTGTTTTCTTCAATACAGTCAAGTTGACACTCGGTATTAACCATCACAGCACCCGATGTTCAGTAATGCTGTAGTTTTTATATTTTTGTAGAGGTACCACTTGGTTGAATAAGATTCAGAATTCTCTGGATTACCAGTCAAAGACCCATGTTCTGTTTTCTTACTTTCTCCCAAGCAAACAACCTCTGTCTCTCTGTTATGAGCCACCTAAACCCGGGGGTGGAGTGCCACAAGCACCGTTGTGGCCGCCACCAGCATAGTTGTGTTGGGTTAGACCTGAATCCAACACAGCATTGGGTCTCACCCAAGACCTGTTGTAACCACTCCTTGGCTACTGCCTATGTTCACTTAAGTATCTGGGGGTTCTACAATCAGCCGCTGGCAAAGCCAGCCTGGCCTGTGTCCTTCCCTTCAGGGAAGTAAGGTCTCTCAGGCTCTGGGTCCAGGGTTGTCATCCAGGAGTCTCAACTTTCACTTGGTGCTGTTTTTCTCCCAGAGTTATGATTTAAACTTGCATGTAGTGTTTATTGGCTAGGCTTAACCTGTACAGTTATTCAAGGTCATACATTTTACTGAGCCCTGTTGTAGAATGAACATAGTAAGGACACAATAAAACAGCTTTATAGGACCAAGGTCCCTTTCTCTTACCCTAGGAGACAGAGAAGCCCGAGTGGCAATAGTTCAATGAAGACTCTTGAAAGAGATGAACATCTCTTTGGAATTCTAGGTCAAGTTAGCCCATATTAATGTATCACTCAACAAAAGATTAAAAGCTTCTAGATAAATTTCTTCTTTTCTTCATTTGCTAATTCATTTTGCCATGCATTTATTCATGGCAAGTAGTAGGCTACTTGTTATGTACCAATTTTTGAACTACATGTTGGAGAGAGTGAGATACATCAAAGAAAAGTATTTCTTGAGTAAACTATCAAATTAGTGGAAGAGAAAAACTTCTTACTTATAAGTAAATACTTAAAATCAGATGTGAGGAATGCTACTGTAGGGGAATACAGGGTACTGTTAGAGCACATGAAAACAAGGTAACTTAATCTAGACTGGAGAAGTCATGGAAGGCTTCCTGGGAAATGTGCCATCTAAGCTGGACCTGGAGGATGAATTGGGAGTTACACAGGCCAGCAAGATAGAAAACCTGGCTCCTGAGGAAAGAGCAGTGCACAGGCCTGGGGTTAAAAGAGTGCATGGAGCTACTGGGAGACCATGCGCTTGGTCCCTTCCTTCTGACTGAAGCACAGAGAGCAAGCAGAGAAAGTGTCAGGCTATGAGGTTGGAGAAGTTGGCAGTCTGAGATTATAAAGGACTTTGTACGTGGATAAAGTTCTGAATGCTATCCTGAGAACAAAGGGAAAATCATTTCAGAATTTTAATCAGGACTTGAGAACCACAAGGAAATGATAAATGTTTGAAGTGATAGATGCACCAAATATAATGATTTGATCATTACACAATGTACACATGTATTGAAATATCACACTGTTCCCAATAAATGTGCATAATTATGTGTCAATTAAAAACAAAATATGTTTTATGTTTTTTAAAGAAAATTTTTAAGCTGGAAGATGATACTATCTGTTTCATTTATTTATTCGTGACTGTCTCATAGAGAAGTGATTCATTGAAAAAAAGGGTGGATCTACACACTGAGCACATGGAAATCAATTAAATGAGATTAATTTACCAACTTCTCAAAAGGTTTAGCTCAGCCTCAAAGTGACTCTGAAGACCATCTGTCATGCCGTATCATATTAGAATGAGAAGTCAATCAAAATGGTTCTGTGGATGAAAACCTTCAGTTGCCTTTAGAATCTCTTAGAAAAAAAATTTTCCCCAGGATGTATGTTGAGTATGTTGAGCTGTGCACATCTTTCCTTAAACTGGTAGACCACATACCTGAGACTTTGGTCATGACCTTCTGTCTCTTTGCCTTAACTCATGCCCTTCTAATGTTGACCTCTAGACACCTCTTGCCTGAAGCAACTCCTGTATTTTCTTAATTTAATGCCCATCTAAGTAAGACACCCTACCATGATGTATTGATAGTCTAATTTTGACAATACTCTGTGTCACATCCCAAGCTGCCTTAACCAAGACCTGATGTGGTCTATGAAATAAGTTGTAGCTTGAAAAACACATGCTTCATGAATATAAATCTTCTGAGTTGGTTCAAGGTACAAAATTGCCAGCTGGGAGAAGAAAAGCAGTGGTTTAAGAGTGTTAACATACCAAAATGCACCTGTTTGGAAGACAGAGAGAAGGATCTCCTTAAGATTCACTGTTAATTATTCACAATGGAAGACAGGAAGTTGGTGTACCATTTGTCCCACAGCTAAAAGAGAACAGATGGCTTCCATACAAGGTTTCTAACAAATCAAGCTTGCCATTCTTACCGGTTGAAGAGAAAAATGTTGAAGGAAGGCATTCTGGCTCTCTAAAGAGGCACTTATTTTACCATTTACTCAAAAACAATTATTCTAAAAGAGGGAAAATGCAACATAAATGGTTAAAATTACAACAGAAAGGTAAATTTAATTTTTATAACTCGGAAATACACATTTTGCTCTTGTTCAGGGTGGCTTTATTGAATGATTAAGGGGATCTGATGGTTAACAAACCACAATACTGTGGGCACTGACTTTACATCTTTCATGATTATATTGAAAGATATCTTGCAGGGAATGTTCCTGAATTAAATAGCAAAGTCCAGGTGTGCTCTCCCAGCAAGAGAAAATGCTTCCATTTGTTACTTATTCTCTTAATATACCTTTCAAGAGGTGGGAAGAGCCTGTGCCTGCAAAATAGAGTCTGCTATTGAACTGCTTCCTGATTCAATTCCCAAGGACATGGATGATGTTGGAAGCTAAAAATGATGCAAATAAACAGCTGTAGTACACCCTGACAAACCCTTTAGATTATTGTCAGGGATTATGATGTTTTCCTCACACTATTGGCTAAGTACCATAATTTTAGTACTAGCAGCTTTTGTGCAACACACACTGCTTAAATCAACTTCTATACTGTTCTATTATCCATGTGTTTCAAGTATGTGGAACAAGCACAGTTCCATTTACAGTACAGAAGAGGGGCATTAGGCTTTTCTCTTCTTTGAACTCCTTACAATTAATGAAATATGTAATATTCATAAAGCATTTCCAACCAGGCACTCTTATAGGCATAGCTCAGAGATATTACAGGTTCAGTGTCAGACCACCATGATAAAGTGAATATCACAATAAATTTAGTCAGACAAATTTTTTGGCTTCCCAGTTAATATAAAAGCTATGTTTATACCATACTCTAGTCAATTAAGTATGTAATAGCATCATGTCTAGAATGCAATGTATATACTTTAAATAAAAAATACTTCCTTGTTTAAAAATGCTAAAGATCATCTGGGCGTTTTGCAAGTCATAATCATTTTGCTGGTGGAGGGTCTTGCCCTGACGTTGATGGCTGCTGACTGATCAGGGTGGTGGTTGATGAAGGTTGGAATGGCTGTAGCAATTATGAAAATTATGATAAAAATAAAGTTTCCCACATTGACTGACGCTTCTATTTATGAAAGATTTATTCATAGCATGTGGTCTTGTTTGAAGCATTTTACCCACAGTAAAACTTCTTTCAAAATTGGAGTCAATCCTCTCAAACCCTGCTATTGCTTAATTAACTAAGTTTATATAATATTCTTAATCTTCCATTGTCATTTTAACAATGTTCATAGCATATTCACCAGGAATATATTTTACCTCAATAAACTGCTTTCTTTGCTCCTTCACACAAAGCAACTTCTCATCTGTTCAAGTTTTACCATGAGATTAGAGCAATTCAGTCAAATTTTCAGGCTCCACTTCTAATTCTAGTTCTCTTGCTATTTTCACCACAACTGGCATTACTACTTCTACTATGTCTTTAATTCCTCAGTCATCCATGAGGATTGGAGTCAATTTCTTCAAAACTCCTGTTAACATTGATATTTTGACCTCCTCTCATGAATCACAATTGCTATTAATGGCATCTAGAATGATGAACTCTTTCCAGAAGATTTTCAATTTACTTTGACCAGATCCATCATAATAACACTATCTGTGGCAGCTGTAGCCTTATGAAATGTATTTCTTAAGTAATAAGCCTTGAAATTCAGAATTACTCCTTGATCAGAATGGATGCTGTGTAGCAGACATTAAAACAACTTTAATCTCCTCATACATCTCCATGAGAGGTATTGGGTGACCAGATACATCGTCAATGATCAGTGATATTGTGAAAGGATTCTTTTGTTCTGAGCAGTAGGTCTCAACAGTGGGCTTAAAATATCCATAAAACCACACTTTATACAGATGTGCCATGAACATTTTTTGTTCCATTTATAGAGCACGGTCAGAGTAGATTTAGCATAATTCTTAATGGCCTAGGATTTTTAGAATGGTAAACAAAAATTGGCTTCAACTTAAAGTCACCAGCTTCATAAGCCTCTTATAAGAGAGTCACCTTGTCTTTTGAGGCTTTAAAGCCATGCATTGACTTCTCTCTAGCTATGAAAGTCCTAGATGGCATCTTCCTCTAGCAGAAAGTTGTTTCATCTACATGGAAAATCTTTTGTCTGTTGTAGCAACTGTTGTCAGTGATGTTAGCTAGATCTTCTGGATAACTTGTTGCAGCTTCCACCTCAGCACTTGTTAGGTCACCTTGCGCTTTAATGTTATGAAGACAGATTCTTTCCTTAAACTTCTGAAAAAAAAAGCCTGCTGGTTTCAAAGCTTTCTTTTGCAGCTTCCTCACGTCTCTCAGTTTTCATAGAATTGAAGAGCCTTAGAGCCTTACTGTGAATTGGGCTTTGGCTTATGGGTATGTTGTGGCTCATTTGAACTTTTATTCAGACCACTCAAACTTTCTCCATATCAGCAATAAGGCTGCTTTGCTTTTTTATCATTTATGTTTGCTGAAGTAGGACTTCCAATTTTCTTCAAGAACTTTCCCTTTGCATTCACAACTTGCCTAGCTATTTGGTGCCACAGGCCCAGCTTTGGGCCTATCTTGACTTTCAAGATGCCTGCTTCTAAGCCTAATAATTTCTCATTTTGTATTTTAAATGAGACATGTTTGACTTTTTCTTTTCACTTGAACACTTAGAGACCATTATAGGGTTATTAGTTGGCTTAATTTAAATATTGTTGTGTTTCAGAAAACAGGGAGGCCCAAGGAGAGGGAGAGATACGGAGAATGGTCAGCTGAGCAGCCAGAGCACACAACATTTATTAAGTTTGCTGCTTATATGGGCGCAGTTCATGATGCTCCAAAACAACTATAAAAGTAACATTAAAGATCACTGATCACAGATCACCATAACAGATATAATAATAATAAAAATCTTTCAAATATTATGAGAATTACCAAAATGTGACACAGAGACATGAAGTGAGCATATTCTGTTGGGAAAATGGTGCCCATAGCCTTCCTTGCTCAGGGTAGAATTACTGAAAACATTCAATTTGTAAAAAAAATGTGACATGCGAGAAGCATCATAATGCAAAGCACAATAAAATGAGATATGGCTACATACATAATTTCAGTACATTAATTCAGTACATTAATTCATTTATTCCTCAAAGTGATTGTATTGGAAAGGTACTACTTGTGTTCCCACTTTGCAGATGAAGAGACTGAAGCATGAAGAGATTAAGCCACTTGTCCAAAGCCTCACTTAGTAAGTAGAAGAGACGAAGTTTAAAATACTACCTATAGTACCCCTTAACTTGTTACCTTTATTCCTGTCCTTTTTCCCCCACTGAGATGAATGTGCATTATATTTCCTCAACTGTACTCAGATCTCTTTGATGTTTTGAGATTCTTTTTACTTTTGTACATAGTGCCTAGAAAAGTATTATTGTGACATACATAGTTTGGGGAATAAAGTGATTACTTTTTAATGTCAAATATTTCCTTACTTACAAAAGAAACCTTGCATCAGTTTGGATGTGAGAAGTGTATATACTCCAAAATAGTGGTGTAAAATATCTATCCATTAGCACACCATTAAACCAGATGCTGATCTTGATGGAGAGAAGACACACAATGTTGTGGCTGTAGAGAAAAGCCTGCAGCAATGTGTAGTGATTTCCAGTGCTACAAAGAAAATATTTGAAAAAGCAAGGCTATTTTTGTAAGTTAAATATTGCCAAAAACTCTGAAAATAAAGGATATATGTTTAAAAATACCTATGCAAAGACTTTGAGTTTTCTCTCTTAAAGGCATGATAGGAATAGCAAACCACAGGATATAAGTGCAATACAAGACACTTAAATAAAGATGCAGTCTCTAACAGAAGTCTTTCCACAGCCAACCTAGTTAAAATTATTAGCAATCGCTTAATCAGAAGGAGTTGTAGGTGACAAAGAGAACTTGTCTATCTACCAGTTGTTGAGTTTGTGGCATGTAAGTGTATATTTTAAACTGAATAGAGTTTTTATTCTACAGTGGCCTTTTTCCTCTTCGTATTATAAGGTTTTTGTTTGTTTGTTTCATTGGTTGGTTGGTTTCTTTTGTTATCTTTCCAATGACTCAAGTTCAAAAGAGCACTTGAATCATGTCAAGTATAAATTACTGAACTGGAGTGGCGGTGGTGGTCCTGCCTGAGGAATGAAGTCAGATGCTAGGGACCAGACAGCAAGACCAAGGAAACCATGGCAATTTCAGAATTTGCTTCTTTACCAGAGAATGTAACATGTTATCTTGATAGTCAAGAGTCAATCAGTGCTTGGTAACTAGACTTGTAGAAACTCTCTAACTGACCCTTACATTATAGCTCATTGTTCTGGTCACTAACATAATATATCGTTTGAAACAACTTGTAATGGAAGTTGTGGTTGGAGTTAATGTCTCTTTCTACCGCTTTATTTGACAAAAAAATTTTAAGCAACAAGGAAAAAGCATTGTGTTATTTATTTAAGTAGATAATAATAAGAGCTAACATTTTATTTGAAAGTACAGATTTTATGTATCCAATGAATTAATAGCACATTCCCTTAAAATAAATTCTGTGGTTCCAGATAATGAATGAGATAGCCAGAAATGGGTTAGTGTCTTGCCCAGGGCCATTCTGTAGTCAGTGACAACCACAGCTTTGACACTTTGCCCTAAGAACTGTCTCTAAATATGCATTTGTGATCTTTAATAACAGCCAAATTGCTGGAGAAGAAAACCTGTGCCTATTTCAAGATACTGAAAGAATTAAATTTAAAAAACCTGCCAGATTCTGACATCTTCATTTAGAACATCCAAATCTATGTTTATACCCAAAATGTATTGTTAACATTTAGTGGCATGACATTCTGTAATCTATAGGAAAATATTGTGATCATGGTAAGAACATAGAGTAAATTTTCACAGTAATTGCTCAATAAGTGCAGTTAGAATGCTTTCTAGTTTTTAAAAGTCAAGGTAAGACTTTTTGTTGAACTTTTATTGAACAGTAATATCATCTAAGGCATTTAGCTCAATAGCTCGATTAAGGTGAAAGGGAGACTTATACACTGGATACAGTCCCAAGTTTAGTTAACTTTAGCATCTACACAAATATCTCACCAAATCACCTGAGGCACTTTTAAGAAAGACATTCTCGGCCAGGCGCGGTGGCTCACGCCTGTTAATCCCAGCACTTTGGGAGGCCGAGGAGGGTGGATCACGAGGTCAGGAGATCGAGACCACGGTGAAACCCTGTCTCTACTTAAAATACAAAAAAAATTAGCCGGACGTGGTGGTGGGCGCCTGTAGTCCCAGCTACTCAGGAGGCTGAGGCAGAAGAATGGCGTGAACCCGGGAGGTGGAGCTTGCAGTGAGCCGGGATCGCGCCACTGCACTCCAGCCTGGGCGACAGAGCAAGACTCCGTCTCAAAAAAAAAAAAAAAAAAAAAAAAAGAAAAGAAAGAAAGACATTCCCATACCACTTCCTTGACCTAGTAAATCAGCACCTCCATGGGAAGGATATAGGAATATATAAACTTACAAAGTTCTTCCATAGCCAGCGTCTCCATATTTAGATTATTCCTAGTTTTCAATAAGTTGATTATTAACTGATTGTAGTTGACTATAGGGTTCTATATGGGAGATGCAAACTATCCTTCCTACTGAAAGACCACTTAGAAAGTAAGTCTGAGGTGTCACATTCACTCTGACTGTGGGAGGAGACTACGGCAAAGTCTTCACGGGAAAAGAAAAAGTCGTTCTTTCTCTTTGTTTTCAAGCAGTATGGTGTAGTGGTTATAAGCGTAGACTCAAGGACCAGACTAGTTTGGATCAAATTCTGCTTTTGAACCTTACTAGCCAGCCAGAGGACAATCCAGTGAACGTCTCTGTGCCACACTGTTTCCATTTTATAAATGGTAACTGACATTTTATTTGAAAGTACAGACAAGGATAGTACCTATTTCCTAGGGTTACAATGTGGCTCTCATTAAAATTCTTTGTATGTTCCAAGTACTTACAAATATTATATTAGCTTCTGGTGTATAGCATTCATAATTTCGAGAAATATATATATATATACACACACACACATATATATGCATATATATGCATGCACATATTTCCTATATAATAGGTTGTATCTATCATTCCCACTCTTGAAATAAGAAACTTTATGCAAATAAATTGTTTTTCTCACGTTACTCTAAAGTTTCATGGAAGACATGATAGTAAACACAAACATCTTGCCTTCTAGCCTTTTTCTCTCTCTGATATACGCATGGCTTTCCTTTATTTCCAATTCAACATCTTTTTGGACTATGAGTTGTTACTATGTAGACTATGTAGACTATAGACCATAAGAACAATAAATTAAGTTGTTTAGTACATAACTTTTACTAGTATATACTGAAGCTCAGCTCATATTTTTCTGCCCCATAAAATAATGGCCATCATATGCAAACCCTTAGTTTGTTAGAAACATGAAGGGAAAGAGTTACATCCTGAAGGTATCAAAGAAATCCAGGAATGCATAAGTTTGTTACAAGATTTTAAAATGTCATTATTTTTCACTTTACAAAGTGAGATGCTCAAGTACCAATAAAGAACATACAAAGGGGTACCTAAAACCCAGCTTCGCAACCATTAGCTGGCCACCTATCTCCAATGTATTGGAACTTGAGAGGCTGAAAGTAGAGTTGACAATAAAAGGAAGTGAATGTCCTGCCCCTGAACTGTGTCATGGGGGGAGTCAGTCAAGGGCTGCTTCTCTGTCACCATAAGCCTTGTAAGGGGAGCTTCAGAGAACTGTATATACATCCTCTGGATACTGAAGAGCACAGGAGATCAGTTTTCAACACAGGCCAAGAAAATCTAAAGGTGAGAGGCTGTGATCAGCCACTTGAGGTGTTAGGAATTTAGCAAAACCACATTAGGAGCTGTATTTCAACCTATGGTTGGGTCAATAATGTGTAAAGTTTTCTCTTAGACCCAATGTGGGTCATGTAAGCGAGACAAATAGCCTGAAGACATTTCAGCTTCTCCCTAAAAAGACTTCCTGAAGGGACAAGGTGCTTTTCAGGAGTTCTGGGGGCTGCAGATAAAACACAAATGGCCAGCCAAATACGCACACGTACTCATACACATACACTCACACACGCTTTTTTTTTGCATGTATTTGGCCTGGTTCTCAGAAAATTCAGGCAAATATTCAAACTTGACATTTTGGAAAAACATACCAATAACCAATATACCTAAAACATAAAGGTAGCTTTGATCGCCCTCCAAATCCACAGAGATGCTTTAAACGTGTGTTATAACCAGAGGAAAATATTATCAGATTACATTAATGATGTTTATCTCTTCTTACCTCTTCTCTCTCCTCTTCCTCCAAACCTAGAGTGATCAAAAATTGAAATATATAATGAGGACTTGTCAGAGCAGGGAAGAAAAAGAATCAGCAGAGTCAAAACAAGAAACAAGTAGATTATTCTCCTCTGATTATTACTTAAAACATCCAGCCATAAGCCAGTCTATCCTTGAGGAAGGGAGAAGCTTTAATATTAAAGACTGGAGTTCTGAATATTATAGAGGGCCAAATATTTCAATTAATAAGAGGTGACTATTAGGGATTGAAATAATTTGTCACTAGTACATCTACCCCAAGGAATGCCTAAAGGAAATTCTTCAATGAGAAGGGGAATGTAAAGGAAGGCATCTTGCAGAATCAGAAAGGAAAAAAGGACAATGGAAAGATGAGAAATATACGTAGTGTTTTTGAATTATATTTGATGATTGAAATAAAAATTATAACATCATCTTATAATAAAGACATCAATATTTAAAAGTAGGAAAGGTGCAAGGGCCTAAGTGGAGGTAAGATTTTCACACTTCACTCAAGGTGGTAAAATGTTGATACTATTAGATTGTGATAAGCCACATATGTATATTATAATACATGCAGCAACCAGTATGAAAGCCACACTCAAAAACACGCCGAAAAATCTAGATGGAACCCTTAAAAATGCTCAAATAACCCATAGGTGAGCAAGAAAATAAAAGAACAATAATAAAGAGAGGAAAAACATAAAACAAACATAAAATGGCAGAATTAAGCCCTAAAATATAATTACCTTAAATGTAAGTGGTCTAAATACAATAATTGAAAGGCAGAAATCGATAGAGTGGATTTAAAACAAGAACTACCACGCAACTACATGCTGTTAAAAAGAAACTCACAGCAAATTAAACAATCTAGTTGGGTTGAACGTAAAGGGATGACAATGATATAGCATATAAACATATTAATCACACAAGTGAGAGTAGCTGTATTAATATCAGATGAAATAGACATCAGTGCAAAAAAAAAATCACTACAAACAAAAAAGGGATCCTCACAGATCCCCTTTACCTGACTGGTGGCTCCATGATCTCACTGCTGTTTCAGTTGCTACCTCTCCCAGCTACTTCCTTTCCCCAGAGAAATGCTTTCAGGTGGATAGAAGCTGCTTTTTTCCAGTAGATTAGGCACCTGTAATCACCACTACCACCGATACTTGAGGAGGAGCCCTCAGCAAAAGCCTGGGTGACTTGGGGTACAAAAGCCTTCCCCATGGACATAAGGTAGGGCCAATTCCGTGGCACAATTTTGACTTAGAGATTCCCACTGAATCATTGAAAGGGAAACTCCAATTGAGATTGCATTCTCACTTAGCTCTTTCTTCTGCCCTCTCCTGCTTTCTCATTCTTGTTTTCCTGAGAGCTCTCCCCCAGTAAATCAGTACACACGATTCTATCCCAGGTGCTCCTTCTAGGCACTCTCATCCTAAGACAGATGGTACTCTAATTTGTCCTGGGAAGACATTAAGGATGGGATTCTAGTGCTGGATCACTGCTTGTTTGGCTGGCACTAAGAACGTCATCACTGGTGGTAAGTGGAGTACTGTTAGTTGCTGCCATGTGGTAGCAGTGCAATTGTTAGGACTTTCACCTGTTGTAAACAAGGTAAAGATAAAGGTGGAAGAAAATGCATTGTCTCTGACAATATCTCTGGCATTTAGGAGAAATAGTAATTATAAAAAAGCATGGATCTGGATGGTTGTTCGTAATTTAAAGAGAAAATATAATGACAAAATCCAGGCATTTGGTTACCATTTTAAAGCAAAAATGACAATTGTAAACCAAAAAAAAAAAAAAAAAAAAAAAACAAAAAACTGAAACAGGTCCTAGTCAATTTAGAAGTTTATTTTTCCAAGGTTAAGGACATGCCCATGACAGTCACAGAAGGTCCTGATGATGTATATTCAAGGTGGTCAGGCTACAGCTTGGTTTTATGTATTTTGATGAAACATAAGACATCAATCAATTCACAGAAGATATTCACTGGTTCCGTCCAGATAAGTGGGACAACTCAGAGTGGGAGGGCTTACAGGTCATTGGTGGATTCAAAGATTTTCCAATTGGCTACTGGTTGAAAATGTTTATCTAAATACCTGGAATCCATAGAAAAGAGTGTCTTGGTTGAGATAAAGGGGTTTGGAGATCAAGGTACTTATTATGCAGATGAAGCCTCCAGCGAGCCAGCTTCAGAGAGAATAGATTGTAAATGTTTCTTATCAGACTTAACAAGATTCCAGACTCTTAATTTAATTCTCTCCTGGATCAGGGAAGAGACCTGGAAAAGGAAAGAGATTATCTACTGAATGTACATTTTCCCCACAAGAGACAACTTTGCAGGGTCATTTAAAAAATATGTCAAATAAATATATTTGAGGGTAAAATAATTTGATTTCTTTCAGGGCCTGTTGTCATGTGATACTATACTAGCGTCAGGCTTACATTTGGTGACATTATTCAAGTCCTTAGCAATATCTGGAAAGTATTCCCAAGAAAGCGACCACAAATACTACAAATAAGGCCAAACTGTGAAGAGTCCAAAAAATGCCTGACTCCTCAATTTCCAGACATGGACATACATCTACAAGTATCAAGAGAATCCAGGAAAACATGACCTTACCAAATGAACTAAATAAGGCAGTAGGGACCAATCCTGGAAAAATAGAGATAAGTGCTCTTTCCGACAGATAATTCAAAGTAGATGTCCTGAGGAAATGCAAAGAAATTCAGGATAACACACAGAAGGAATTCAGAATTATATCAAATAAATTTAACAAAAAGATTAAATAATTTAAAAGAATCAAGCAGAAATTCTGGAGATGAAAAATGCAGCAGGCATACTGAAGAATGCATCTCTGGGTCCTTTAATAGCAGAATTGATCAAGCAGAAGAAAGGATTAGTGAGCTTCAAGATAGGTATTTGAAAATCCACAGTCAGAGGAGACAAAAGAAAACAAGAATAGAAAACAATGAAACACACATACAGAATCTAGAAAATAGCCTCAAAGGGGCAAATCTAAGAGTTATTGGCCTCAAAGAGGTGATAGAGAAAGAGATAGGGGTAGGAAGTTTATTGAAAAGGATAATAATATATAATTTCCTAAACCTAAGGAAATATATTAATATTCAAGTACAAGAAGGTAATAGAACACCAAGCGGAATGAACCCAAGGAAGACTATATCAAGTCATTTAATAGTCAAACTCCCAAATATAAGAGATAAAAATAGGATACTAAAAGCAGCAAGGGAAAAGAAACAAAGAGCATACAATGGAACTCCAATACAGCTGGCAGCAGACTTTTCAGTGGAAGTCTTAACAGGACAGAAGAGAGTGCCATGACATATTTAAAGTACTGAAGGAAAAAAACTTTTACCTTGGAACAGTATACCTAGGGAAAACATCCTCAAAACGTGAAGGAGAAATAAAGATTTTCCCAGAGAAACAAAAGCTGAGAGATTTAATCAACACCAGACCTGTCCTACAAGCAATGCTAAAGGGAGTTCTTCAATCAGAAAGACAAGAACATTAATGAGCAAGGAGTAATTGCCTGAAGGTACAAAAGTCACTGGTTATAATACATACACAGAAAAACACAAAATGTTATAACACTGAAACTGTGATGTGTATACTACTCTTATACTAAGTACCATGACTAAAGGGTAAACCAATCAAAAATTATATCTATAACAACATATCAAGACATAGACAATGCAATGCAATATACATAGAAACAATGAAATGTTAAAAAGTGGGATATGATGTTAAGGTGTAGAATTTGTGTTAGTGTTCTTTTTGCTTGCTTGTTTTTGCAACAAACAAGCAAATCAAGCTGTTGTTACCAGCTAAAAAAAATTCGTTATAAGATAGCATTTTCAAGCCTCAAGGTCATCTCAAACCAAAACACAAACAAAGGATACACAAAATAAAAGGCAAGAAAATAAATTATATTGCAAGAAAAATCACTTTATTTATTTTTTTTATTTGCTGGAAGCAAATAAAAGCCTTAACTGGCAAATTGAAGAACGTCACTGAGTGAAGAATTGATTAAAACACTCACACAAATAGACTTTTGAATACTAGAATAATATGTCTCAATTTCAGGAATAAAGATGAAATCGTACAGCTCTTCAAAAGGAGAAAAAAAAAAGAAATCAAACTAGCACCAGACTTGTCATCAGCAACACTGACAGAGGACAGAGTACGTCTAAGAAAACAATTGGAATAAGATGTATATACTGCTAAGAAAAAAACATTACAACCCAAGAATCTTGTATTCAGCTGAGATTTCCACTCACCAATTGGGGTTATAGATAGATATTTATAGGATTTTAATCATTCAGAAATATTTGTAGATCACTTTAGTGATTCAGAGAATATATCACATAAATAAATTTTTTGAGAAAAATACATGAGAAATTACTCTAATCCAAACTGGCCTGTGGGCACAATTGGGCCAGCCATCTGCTTTTGTTAATAAACTTTCATTGGAACACAGCCACATCCATTTGTTTCCATATGGCTACTTTCACAATACAACTGCATAGCCAAACAGTTGCAACAGAGACCACATGGCCCACAAAATCTAAGATATTTAGTGTCTGGCCCTATACAAAATATTTTCTGACTCCTAGTCTAAACAAACAAATGACAGACAAATTAAAAACAAGAATTATCAGGGTAGAAGAAGATGAAGCAAAGATGAAATTGTGATTGTCAATTATATGAAAATAAGTTTATATTCCACCCACTAGAACCTTTTAGTTTATACGTAATCTAAAATTTACATATATATGTGTATACATACATATATATACACACATTCATATATAGTCACACACAATGTGCATACACATATACATATAGACGTGCTTATGCATTTGGTTCTAATTTCATTTCCAGTGTTTAACACTTTTCCTTTCTTTGCTGCAATTTCTATTTTGAGGGCCAATTCCTCCTTCAATTATCTATAATGTCACATTTATCCCTGAGTGATAAGGAGGCAACACAACCACACACTTTTCTGTCTGTACACGAACAGCTGTCCAGTGAGCGACCACTGACAAACTTGAAAGAAGTGACATAATTCACGACTGTTTATTATGCACGACTTTGTATTTATGTAATGATTTGTGGACTGAAGGGTTATTAGTGGAGTATTTTATGCAATTACTTTCAGTTAGTATATCATGGTGACTGATATTTGAACTATGTTGTTGGGGAACTAGAATTATTTAAATAAAACCATGATAACCAAAAATTGTGCATATCGGAACTGTGAAAATTGTTAATTTGTGACTAAAATTATTAACCATATCAGCAAAATCTAGATGTTGGAAGTAAGAATTGAAAGCATTTTGTAGATCTTAAAGATAGTATCTTCATAGGGTTCTAGCGGGTGGAAGAGAACCTCAATTTCATATAATTGAAAAATATATGTTAGATTATTCAGTTCAGGAAAGGAAAAATAACAATCGCTGAGATGGAAAACCAAGGTTAAATTTTCAAACAAATAAGATAGAAAGGGAAATAATTGGATATTATTATTAGGTCAATTGGTGCATTTATTTTATAGCTATCTTTAGCTCACTTTCTTACCTTCTTCAGAGCCTTGCTCAAATGTCACTTTGTCAATAAGGACTTCCCTGCAATTATATATAATTGAAACCCTAATGTCTTAGTTCAGGCTGTCATAACAAAATACTATACATTTCATGGCTTACAAATAACCAAGATTGACTTCTCACAGTTCTGGAAACTGAGAGTTCAAGATCAGGATGCTAGCATGGACAGGTTCTGATGAGGAGCCCCTTTTAAGTTGCTTATTGCCAACTTCTTATAACATCACGTGGCAGGAGAGTGAGAGATCTTTCTGGAGTTCCTTTTCACAAAGGCACTGATCTCAGTCATGAGGGCCCCACCCTCATGACCTAATGATATCCTAAAAAATCACTTCCTAATATCATCACCTCAGGGGTTAGGGTGGCAACATGAATTTTTGTTGGGAAACAGATATTTAACACATAACACCTAAGCCTCAGTATATTCATCTATCAATTTTGGAAAACTACCACAGAATACTCTCTTGGGGATTAAATGAGTTAATATATACAAAATCTCAGCATAGTATCAGGCATATATTAAATTCCTAATAGAATCAGTTCCCTCTAGGAATTTCTTTCTCACCCTTTTCTATGTGGCCATGATTTCAACACAGAGTTCACAGAATTCACAATACTTTTTTCTGTGAATGAGAAAAACACGTTAAGATATCATTAATAAAATCTCTGCCAGGGCAATTTGCACTTTAGAATAGGAAGTCGGGGGAGAGAGCAATGCTTAGCCAAAATAACTGAATGTCTATTAATGGAAGTCGATGTGTATTCATCTGTAAGTTTGTGGAGACATCTTTGATTAAGTGTTCTCAACCCAGCCTCAAGCTCTCTATTCAAGCATCTACTCGTGATCCATGCTGCTTTTCTGTATGCTGTGTGCTGAGGTCCTATATATCAAAATGAGGTCTAGCCATATCAGAAGACAAGGAAATAAATATGTAATATCCTGTGTTGATTTCCACACAGCCAGAAGGAATTATGCATGAGTTCTGCATAGTAATGAAGTATTAGGAAGAGGGAGAACAGGCTGGGTGTGTAGACTCACTCCTGTAATCCCAGCACTTTGGGAGGCTGAGGCAGGCCAATCATTTGGGGTCAGGAGTTCAGGACCAGCCCGGCCAACATGGTAAAACACTGTCTCTACTAAAAATACAAAAATTACTCGGGCGTGGTGGCAGGCGCCTGTAATCCCAGCTACTCAGGAGGCTGAGGCAGGAGAATCGCTTGAATCCGGGAGGCAGAGGACGCAGTGAGCTGAGATCGTGCCACTGCACTCCAGCCTGGGTGACACATGGAGACTCCATCTCAGAAAAAAAAAAAAAAAGAGGGAGAACAAATAGGAGAAAAAGAAAAGACAAAGAAACACAGAGGCAAGGCAAGACACTGATAAATGTAGCTAATGAGAGAAATAAGTAGCAGTAAAGCCGTTGGTCCTAAATGTTATGAGGAAATGATTTGTTCATCACTTTAGATATAACTTGGCATATATTTCTTTGCAGAAATATGTGTTTAGTGAAATTCTTTGTAAGCATACCAACTTATGCAGTTTCTGTAATTTATTATGTTCTTTTAGATTTAAATCCCATTATATTTTAAAAATCACCCCAAGAGCAGGGAAAAGCCTCTCAATCACACATGTACATTTTTAAGGCCAAGGTCTCCAAATCCCCTTTCAACCCCAGGGTGTACATGGAGGGAATTGGGTCCTAATTTTTAAGAGTTCTCATTGGAAAGTGGGTTTTCCAAGCCTGCCCTTTGTTCCCAGTGTTGGTCTTTACTTTTAAGTGTCATGGGAACAGCAAAAGTCACATCACCATATGTATCTTGTTATATTTTATCGGATAAACTCACATGAATAACAATATGTATAGATTCATGTAAACGCATAGGAATTGGGCTAGAAGATGGATTCAAACTTAAATGGTTATTTTACATTTCATTTTGAATATTTTTGCACCGTTAAAGCTATCTATAATGAGAATAATTGCATATACTATTATTGCAATTCTTTAAAAATATAATCAGAACCATTAAATGTTTCAGAACTTATAAGAATATTTCATGAAAAAAGAATAAGGAAGGACCTCAGCAACCAGATATCAAAACTGGTAGGTCAGTGTATTGGCAAAGGAAGAAACAAATAATCTATCCACGTTGCAGAACTAAGACCCCAAATTCCATATATATTTAGAAATAAACAACTTAATAAGTCTGATTATACAAATATTTAGGGGTAAAGGCGCATACAATAAATAGCATTCAAATAATTTGATATCCATTTAGGGAAACAAAAAACTTTGAAGAGTACTAAAAGGAAATATACACACACATGGAAACAGTGTGCTGTAGCTTTGTCATTTAAAAGCACGCAATCCTGTGGAGAATGTACTATTATGCAGGGCAATTTCACAAATAAGAAAATGGAGGAACAGAAAAGTTAAATAATTTGCTCAAGGCCATGCAGCCAGGCAATGGGATACAAAAACTTTGAAACCAAGTCTAACTGAGTCTTCATCTCTGTATTACCTTTCCCCACTAGAAGTATACAATGTGGTATCTGCCTTCAAATGGCTAACGATCTAGTTTGAAGAACTCACAACAATGGGCTAAGTATGAGAGGAGAGACATACACAGAGTATGGAATGATTACTTTTATTTCAGCAAATCACAGATGACCAGGCATTTATCAAGCAGACAAGGATTCTACAGGCATGTCAGAAAAAAAAAGAAAAAAAAAAAAGAAAACTAAAACATTTCCATGTTATGGTTTTCCTTACAGACTGGAGCAAATAGATAAATGTACCCCAGAATGTCTTAAGCTTTGCCAAGCTTTTCTCATTGATAATCAAGTATTAGTTGAATTGACGTTCAATGGGAAGAAAACCTGTGAAGTTAAATTTTATGGATTATTTCCTGAGTTCTTTACAAGGCTTTGACTTTGGGGTGGTATGGAAAAAGTTTTCTCTGTTACATTCTATATTCTCTCATGAACGATAATAAGAGTAATAGAACCAGGTTTCTTGGTTTCTGCCTTATGTTCCAAGCTATCTACTGGCTCAGTATTCATATTCAATGGGTACATTAATGTAAAGTCTTTTCTAGCCTGCTAAGTTAGTGTATAGGATCCAGTAGCTGCATCAGATACAAGCCCACCATTTTTCTGGTAGCCATGCCCCTAATCCAAAAAAGATTCATTGATGAAGAACTTTAATATTTCCAAATCTTTTCAATTTCCTTATGAGGATTAGGGTTATAATTATTCTACTGTGTTTTTTTCCTACCTCAATAAGATAATTTTTCCTCTGAAAACAAAGCACCCTGCAATTCTGATTATTTGACCATTGATCTCTGTTACATTTCTGTGACTGAAGCTTAAGTCTGGTTTTCTATAAACTAAAATAAAGATCATGTAAGGAGGTGGTTTCTATAGGTTCAATCTAGAGAGCTGAAAAGAGAAAAAACAAATTTATACCAAGAGTAAAATGCTAATAAATATAAGACTAAGTGAGAGGGGAGCAATTAAGACCTTACTAGGCTGTGGTGTGGTTGATTGGGGGCCAAATTAATCTAATATGGGAGAAGATATTCTTTGATTATTACAAATTTTTTATTTTGAATATTTGCAGCTATGTTTCTAAGTGATATAGCACTCATTTTCCTCTTTATTAAGATCTGTGTTTGATTTGTTTATCAAGTTTTATAAAATTAAATAGGGTGTATTCCCTTTTTCTATATTTTGAAATCGTGTAAGAATGGGATTACTTTCTTTCTCTGATTATTTGGAAGAAAGCTGTTTTAGAATGTCTGTGTCTGCTGTTTCCTTTGTGGGAAGATTCCTAATTACGGATTCTTTTTTAAATGTCTCTTTTGTAAAACTGACATATAATTAACATATCATAAAATTCACCTATTTAAAGTGTACAATTTGGTGGTTTTTCATGTACTCAAAAAGTTATGTAACCATCAACATTATCTAATTCCAGAATATTTTCACCACCAAAGGAAACCCTGCACATATTAGTAGTCACTTTCCATTCCTGCATGTACCCCACCGCTGCTCAGTCCCTAGCAACCGCTAATCTGTTTTCTGACTCTGTGGATTTGCCTAGTGTTGACATTTGAAATAAATAGAATTGTGCGATATGTGACCATTTGTGTTTGGTTTCTTTCACTTAGCATAACATTTTCAAAATTCACTCATGTTGTAAAATATACTAGTACTTTAGTCTTTTTGACATTTAAATGATATTCCATTGAAGGCATACATGTGAGCTTTTTATACTTTATAGAGTATGGATAATGCTGCTGTGAATACTTTTGTACAAGGTTTTATATGGGCATATGCTTTCATTTCTCTAGGGTATATGCCTAGGAGTGGAATTTCTAGATTATATGGTAGCTTTATGTTTGACTTTTTGAAGAGTGGTCACACTGTTTTCTACAGCAGCTGTACCAGTTTCCATTTCTACCTGCAATGTATGAGGCTTCTAATTTTCTTACATGCAAACACTTCTGAAATTACGTTTTTGTTTTTTGTTTTGTTATAACCAGACATGTGGATATGAAGTATTATCCTCATTGTGGATTTGCTTTTCATGCCCCTAATGACTAATGATGTTAAGTATCTTTTCATGTGCTTACTGTCCATTTGTATATCTCCCTGGAGAAATGTCTATTCAAATATTCTGCCTGTTTTTATTTGGGTAGTCCTTTTATTATTGATTTCTAAGTGTTCTTTACATTTTAGATAGTAATCCCTTATCAGATATATGATTTGCAAAAATTTCCACCAATTATGTGAGTCATCTTTTCACTTTCTTGATAGTATTCTTGGAAGCAAAATGTTTTAAAATTTGATGAAGTCCCATGCAATATGTCTGTAAACATGCATACATGCCTATATGCATGTGAGTGGGTTTAATGTGCATGGGTTTCCAGTGATTTTCTATATATAAGATTATTTCACCTGAAATACAGATAGCGTTACATCTTTCTTTTCCATCTGGATGCTTCTTTTGCTTGCCTAATTGTCCTGACTAAAACCGCTAGTAAAATGTTGAATAGAAATGGCAAAGGTGGGCATCCTGATCTTAGGGAGAAATCTTTCAGTCTTTGAACATTAAGAATGAAGTGAGCTGTGAGTTTTGCATAGATGCACTTTGCTCCAGCTGACAAAGTATGTTTTTCTATTCATAATATGTTAATTGTTCCACTATAGAATGCTGTTGAATTTAAAAAATGTTTCTGCAGTTAGAGGAACATGTGATTTTTTTCTATTAGTATATTTTATTATATTGATTCATTTTTATGTGTTGAACCGGCATGCATTTCTGTGATAAGTCCCATTTGCTCATGATAAATAATCTGTTTTATATGTTTGCTGGATTTCATTTGCTAGTATTTTCTGACAAATTTTATGTCTATACAGATTAAGGATACTGGCAGAAACCCCTGAGTTTCTTTTCTTATGATTTCTTTGGTTTTGGTATCAGGCTAATACCAAAGATTAGATTAGATTTCACCCTAATATCAGGATGCTCACCTCTGCCATTTCTATTCAACATTTTACTAGTGGTTTTGGCCAGGACAATTAGGCAAGCAAAAGAAGCATCCAGATGGAAAAGAAAAATGTAACACTATCTGTATTTCAGGTAATCAGCTTGGAAATGCTTCTTCTCCTATTTTTTGGAATAATTGGGAAGGATTCGTGTTAATTTTTAAAAACTTTTAATAGAATTCACCAGTGAAACTATCTTTTTAGAGAATTCAAAACCATAGCTCTTAAATATCTTCATTCCCTCCATCTTTGGGCTGTTATTGTCATATAACTGGTCTTTTAAACTGTATAAACCTTAAAATAGATTTTTAAAATATATCATTCCTAGATATGGGATTTTTGGTTGACATTTTCTGTTTGCTTTTATTTAAGCACTTTGAATTAGTTATCCCACTGCATCCTTCTGCTCTCTCTCTCTGCTGAAGAATCAAGTGTTAAAATTATCAAGGTTTCTCTGTAAGTAAAGAATAATTTTTCTCCAGCTACTTCAAAGATTTTCTCCTTGTTTTTGGCTATTGGCACTTTTACTATGATATGTCTGTGTGTGGATCTTTTTATATTCATTCTACTTGGAGTATATTGAGCTTGTTGAGTGTGTAGAATAATGTTTGTCATTCAATCTGGATTCAATCTGGTAAGATTTTGTCATTACTTCCTCAAATAGTCTCTCTCTTCTCTATCTTGTCTTTTCTGAATTCTAATTTTAAATATGTTTGCATGTCTGATGGTATACCAAAGCTTTCTGAGGCTCTATTTATTTATCTTCTTTTTTTTCTTTCTATTGTATCTCAGTCTGAGTAATCTCAATTAACTATCTTCAAGTTTGTTGATTCTTTCTTCTCAAATTCTTCTGTGCTCACTAGGAATATTGTTAGAGAAGAAAATGAACATTCTGTAAACTCCCCCAAGTTGCGTGACAGAAAGCTGAAGAATAAAATGACATGGTATGGATAAACTTCAATCTGAAAACTTCACATATCCCAATTTGACTCAGATATTTTTATTAATAGAACTGCATTTCCACAGTTTTTAACTCTTGAGCTGTAGCTATTATTAGCTTATTTCAAAGACAATAGTATTCTTGAAAGCATTAACATGACAATGTGAATAAATTAGCCCAACACTTAATTAGTTCTGTACAGGTGGATCTCATAATTAAGAACAAATTTCATGCCTTCCGCCCAACTATATAGCTGTCATTCTGAGCCCTGTAGTAATCATATTGGTAAAGATTCCTACAATAAGATGGAAATATATATAACTCATAAAAAAGGCATACAAAATTTAAAGCTGGAATATATATATATATATATATATACACACACATATATATATATATACACATATATATATATATATATATATATATATATATTCACTCATTTTTATTGATGTGCCTTGAGTCTAAATCTACTGGATGAATGTACCATGTTGAAATACCTGATCAAGCAAATATAACAGGCATGTGCTGTGTTTATTTGCTTCAAACATTAACTTGAAACTGTGTTCTTTTTTCCCTTCCCTACAAACACTTCCACTTGGATAGGGAAGAAAAAAGAAGGTAGGTTTTAAATTTCTAGATTCAGAGAACATATCTGATTATGAGAATTAGAAACAGAGAGAGAGAGGGAGATGTGAACTGAGAAGAGAAAATATATAAGCTGAAAAGTAGGAAATACAGTATTTTTAAGATAAACAGAAGAAAAACTGCAATGCCTTTTAGCATTTTTTTTTCCTTCCCCTTCAAAAGAAGTGATGGCTGTAGAGTGAGAAGGAAAGACAGATGGTATTCCAGCGAAGTTTGAGGGATCAGAGGTATAGATCCTTATTGCTAATTTCTTTACTAATCAAATTAACTGTTACTAATTTATCGCATGGCTGTAGTGTGTGAAAGAGTAGCCCTAAGAAACTCTCTATTACATTAACGTATGGGGAAGTCAACAGAAAGCTGAGGAAGTTATACACTTAATTTACAGGGAAAAATCCGGCTTCCTCTCCAGTTCCTTAGAGAGCTCATTTTGAAATAATAAGCAGGCAGTAGTCTTTAGCTAGGAGTGTCAGCCCTCAAAACATCATAGAGATGTGAATAGGCCTCTTGTTCGGCATTAAGAAATAGAAAACAGCTGTGTTTTTAAAAGATCATCCATTAAAGGACATCCTCCAAGAGTTCTGTTTACTATCCACATATTACCCAGTGCCACTTAAAATATCCAGCCTACGGTGCTTTTGTGAAGATAAACGACTATAAGTTCATCATGACTGTGTAACAGAGACCTCTAGGTCCCAGCATGAATGTTCAATTCCTCTTCCTATCGGGTAAGATGAAGTACACCTGAAAGTGTCAAGACTAAATTTGCTGTTGTTGGTGAAATTGCAGGCAGATAAAGTAATTTAAAGCTAGTTTTATAAATAAAGAGATTCCATATATTAACTCCCAAGTTTTTTGGGCTGTTGTCACTGGGAATCATCATATAGGTTATAGGCACACATACATATTTCAATATTTCTCCCAAAATTATCTAGTAGATTTTTTTTACTTTTACCACATGAATTTCTAGGCATATATACTTATATACAATTACTTTATTTATTAATAGAGAAATTTTTGGCAGAAAATGTTGTGTACTTGAGGAGAGACACTTTAGTATTATGGAAAGAGCATGCTAGCAGATAAGCCTGGCTTGGGATTATGTCTAACCTTGTAATTTATTTGCTTGTAACTTGAGCAGGTATCCAGTTCTGGTTACCTCTCTTTTCCTTTTCTTTCTTTCTTTTTTTTTTTTTTTTTTTTACTGTTGAAAACAATAATAGCAACTTATTGCAAACAACCTCTGTGCCAACCATATGTAAGACTGTTTAACTTGTGTCAATTTACTTATTCCCCACAGAAAATCTATAAAATTGGTGTTACTCAATTTTAAGATGAGAAAATAGGCTCAAAAAGTGAGGTAAATTGTCCAAAGTAAATGATTGCATTACATCTTAAGATCAGGTTTGCCTTATCTTGAAGTCCTTACTCTGAAGTACTTGACCTTTCTAAACGTCAGTGAACTCATTGATAAAATAGGCATAGTTGCACTCCTCACAAGGATTTTACACATATTAAATACAAGAATGTATGAAAATATCTAGCACATAGAGAGTGTCAATAAATGTGTATTTCTTTTTACTATGTGTCTTAATCTATTTGAGCTGCTATAACAGAATACCACAGAGTTGGTGGCTTATAAACAGTACATTTATTTCTCACAAATCTAGAGGCTGTGAAATTCACAATTAAAGTGCCTGATGGTTGGGTGCCTGGTGAGAGCGTACTTGCTGATTCATAGATAGCCCCTTCTTGCTGTGTCTTCACATAGTGAAAGGGGAGAGGGAGCTCTCTGAGGTCTCCTTTATGAAGGCACTAATCCCATTCATGAGGACTCCTCCCTCATGACCTAATCATCTCCGAAAGGCTCCAACTCAAAGGTAAGGAATTTAACATGAGAATTTGGGAGAATCACAAACATTCAGATCATAGTACTATCCCCTTCCTATAGGAAATCAGTTGATTTGAGGGTTTTTTAATTTATTCAGGCAAACAAAAATGGAATTTTGAAAATTGCAGCAAAATTAGCCAGGCATGGTGGCACATGCCTGTAATCCCAGCTACTCGGGAGGCTGAGGCAGGAGAATCGCTTGAACCCCGGAGGTGGAGGTTGCGGTGAGCCAAGATGGCGCCATCGCGCTCCAGCCTGGGCAAAAAGAGCAAAACTCCGTCTAAAAAAAAAAACAAAAAAGAAAATTGCAGAGGGTGATACAGCTCATAACAAGCATAAGAGCACTTTACTTCCCTAGAAACCCCTTATCTAACAAGTTCAATGCTCTGGAACACAGGCAAGAGCCAAAAGTTAGTAAATAAGCCTTATAGTAGTTACAGAATAATATTAAAATGTGAAGACATTTTTATATGGCCCTCTTCTACATGACATTTGTCAGTATCATTTTATTATATTTCTATTGTTTTACTTTTTTAATTTTCATTGTAAGTTTAAGGGTTTGAGTGCAGGTTTGTTTTATAGGTAAAGTCATGTCATGGGGCTTTATTGTACAGACTATTTCATCACCGAGGTATGAAGCCTAGTAGCCATTAGTTATTTTTCCTGATCACCTCCCTCCTCTCACCCCCATCCTGCGTTAGGCCACAGTGTCAGTTATTACCTCTGTGTGTCCATGTGTTCTCATTATTTAGCTCCAACTTATAAGTGAGAACATGTGGCACTTTGTTTTCTGTTCCTGTGTCAGTTTGCTAGGGATAATGGCCTGCAGCTCAATCCATGTTCCTGCAAAGGACATGATCTTATTCTTCTTTTGTGACTACATAGTATTCCATGGTGTATATGTATCACATTTTCTTTATTCAGTCCCCACTGATGAGCATTTAGGTTTCTTTTATGTCTTTGCCATTGCAAATAGTGCTGCAATGAACATACGCATGCATGTGTCTTTATAATTGAACAATTTATATTCCTTTGGCTAAATACCCAGTAATGGGATTCCTGGGTCAAAAAGTAGTTCTGTTTTTAGGTTTTGAGGAATTGCCACACTACTTTTCACAATGGTTTTACTAATTTACACTACTAGCAACAGTGTTTAAGTGGTCCTTTTTCTCCACAACCATGCTAGCACCTGTCATTGTTTGACTTTTCAGTAATAGCCATTTTGACTGGTTTGAGATGGTATCTCATCGTGGTTTTTCTTTGCGTTTCTCTAATGATCAGCGATGTTGAGCTTTTTCTTAAGATGTTCGTTGGCCACATATATGTCTTGTTTTGAAAAATATTTGTTTATGTCCACTGCCCACTTTTTAAGAGGGTTGTATTAGTTGCTTTTTACACTGCTATAAACAATGACCAGAGCCTGGGTAATTTATGAAGAAAAAAGTTTTAATTCACATGCAGTTCCAGAGGGCTTGGGAGGCCTCAGGAAACTTCCAATCAGGTGGAAGGCAAAGGGGAAGCCAGGCACATCTTACATGGTGTCAGGAGAGAGAGAGCACTAAGGGGGAAGTGCCACTTTTAAACCATCAGATCTTGTGAGAACTCACTCACTATCATGAAAACAGCATGGCAGAAACCAACCCCATTATCCAATCACATCCCACCAGGTCCCTCCCTTGACATAGGGATTATAATTTGAGATGAGATTTGGGTGGGGACACGGAGCCAAATCATATCGGGGGTTGCTTGTCCTTTCTCTTATAAATTTGTTTAAGTTCCTTACAGATGCTGAATATTAGACCTTTGTCAGATGCATAGTTTGAAAGAAAAATTTCCCATTCTATGGGTTGTCTGTTTATTCTTTTGATAGTTTCTTTTGTTGTGCAGAAGCTCTTTAGTTTAATTAAATCCCATTTGTTAATTTTTGCTTTTGTTGGATTGCTTTTGTTATCTTTGTCATGAAATCTTTGCCTGTTCCTATGTCCAGAATGGTATTGCTTAAGTTGTCTTCAGGGTTCTTATAGTTTTGTGTTTTACGTTTAAGTCTTTGATCCAATGTGGGTTGATTTTTGTATATAGTGTAAGGAAGTGGTCCAGTTTCAATCTTCTGCATATGGCTAACCAGTTATCCTAGCACCATTTATTTAATAGAGTGTCATTTCCCCATTGCTTGTTTTTGTCAGCTTTGTAGAAGATCAGATGGTTGTAGGTATGCAGCCTTATATCTGGGCTCTCTGTTCGGTTACATTGTTCTATGCGTCTGTTTTTGTAGCAGTATCATGCTCTTTTGGTTACTGTAGTCCTGGAATATAGTGTGAAGTCAGGTAGTGCACTGTCTCCAGCTTTATTCTTTTTGCTTAGAATTGCCTTCACTATTTGGACTCTTTTTTGGTTCCATATGAATTTAATTTCTTTTTCTAGTACTGTGAAGAATCTCAATTGTAGTTTAATAAGAATGGCATTGAATCTATAAATTGCTTTGGGAAGTATGGCCATTATTACAATATTGATTCTTCCTATCCACGAGCATGGAATGTTTTTTAATTTGTTTGTGGCATCTCTGATTTCTTTGAGCAATGGTTTGTAGTTCTGATTGTAGAGATCTTTCACCTTCCTGGTTAGCTGTATTCCTGGGTATTTTTTGTTTTTATGGCAGTTGTGAATGGAATTGTTTTCCTGATTTGGATCTCAGCTTGACTGTTGTTGGCGTATAGGAGTGCTAGTCATTTTTATAGGTTGATTTTCTCCCCTGAGACTTAGCTTAAGTTATCAGCGGAAGGAGATTTTGGGCCAAGACTATGGGATTTTCTATATATAGAATAATGTTGTCTGGAAAGGGATATAGTGTGACTTAGTAGCTTCCTATTCAGATGCCATTAATTTTTTTTTCTTTTACCTGATTACTCTGTGCAAGACTTCCAATACTATGTTGAATAGGAATAGTGTTCTTCATTTTTATCCATATTCGGATTTCTATTTCTGTCATTTCAGCCATCTCAGCCTGCTTCAGAACCCTTTCTGGAGAAGTGGTGCTGTCATTGGGAGGAAAGAAGTAATGCTGGCTTTTTGAGTTTTCAGAGTTCTTATGCTGGTTCTCTCTCATCTCTGTAGGTTGATGTTCCTTAAATCTGTGAAGTTGCTGTCCTTTGAATATGTTATGTCCATTTTATGACCTTGAGAATTTTATTGTGATATAAGGTGTATTCAGTTGACTGGCTTCATTTCTGGAAGATTTTAGGCAGCTATGGCTCAGGACATAACCGTGTGCTGCATGCTCTGACTCTGGAAACTTGTATTGGGCTCCAATTTTTTTTTCTGGCTCCCTGAGTTTAGAAACCCACTGTGATGGGGATGCTGAAGAGCTGTCAGACTTCTGGTCAAGCACTCTGATGGGTTGTGCTGGGCAAAGAATTTTGTAGGGTGGTGGTAGCAGGATTGGTCCTTGTTCACACATGCCAGCAGCAGTGACAGCCTCACAGTGGCAGGGTGCATGCTCATTGGCTGCAGCAGAGTTGAGCAGATGCTGGGGTTCCTGCCTCTGTGCAGGTGTTCAAAACAGCAATGGAGGCAACACAGCTGGGGGGAGGCAGTGGGGACTCCTATTGGTGACTGTGCGTTCTGTGTGCTTGTGGTGGTGTTAGTACTGGAGCAGGTCACTGGCAAATGCAGATCTGTGTGCATCCTCTGTGAATATTTATGCAGGCAAGGGTGACAGCCCAGGATAGGGGAGGTTCCATTGTTTTCTTTGTCTAGTTTCACTTTGGCTGCAGTGTTGGCACTGGGTGGAGACATTGGCGGGGGCAGTTCTGGTGGCCTTTGTGCCTGCCTTTGTTCTTGTTCACACACGCCAGCAGCAGTGGCAGCATCATTGTGGCAGAGTGCACACTCATTGGCTGCAGCAGGGTGCTAGCAGATGCTGGAGTTCCTGTCTCTGCACAGGTGTTCACAGGAGCAATGGAGGCAGCACAAATTCAACATGGCCAAACTCCATGTTTTGAAAAAACAATTCATAATAAGACTACTCAGTTTTTTAATAAGTTACTAATATGGTTTGGATGTACCCCTGCCCAACCACACCTTAAATTGCAATAATTCTGACATGGCAACAGTGGGGCCAGGTGGAGATAATTGAATCATGGGGGCAGTTTCCCCCATACTGTACTCATGGTAGTAATTAAGTCTCACAAGATCTGATGGTTTTATAAATGGGAGTTCCCCTGCACAAGCTCTCTTGCCTGCCTCCATGTAAGACATGACTTTGCTCCTTATGTGCCATCCACCATGATTGTGAGGCCTCCCCAGTCATGCGTAACAGTGGGTCAATTAAAGCTCTTTCCTTTATAAATTACCCAGTTTTGGCTGCGTCTTTATTAGCAGTGCGAAAACAGACTAATACAGTAAATTGGTATGGGTAAAGTGGGATGCTGCTGGAAGTGACTTTGGAACTGGGTAACAGGCAGAGGTTGGAACAGTTTGGAGGGCTCAGAAGAGGGCAGGAAAATGTAGGAAAGTTTGGAACTTCCTAAAGACTTGTTGAATGGCTTTGGCCAAAATGCTGATAGTGATATGGACAATAAAGTCCAGGCTGAGGTGGTCTTGGATGGAGATGAGGAACTTTTTGGGAACTGGAGCAAAGATGACTCTTGCTATGTTTTAGCAAAGAGACTGGGGGCATTTTGCCCCTGCTCCAGATATTTATGGAAATTTGAACTTGAAAGAAATAATTTATGGCATCTGTCAGAAGAATTTTCTAAGCAGCATAGCATTGAAGAGGTGACTTGGGTACTGTTATAAGCATTCGGTTTTATGTATTCACGAAGATGTGGTTTGGAATTGAAACTTATGTTTAGAAGGGAAGCAGAGCATAAAAGTTTAGAAAATTGGCAACCTGACAATGCAATAGAAAAGAAAAACCCATTATCTGAGGACAAATTCAAGAGAGCTACAGAAATTTGCATAAGTAACTAGGAGCCAAGCATTAATTGCCAAGACAATGGGGAAAATATCTCCAGGGCACTCAGAGGTCTTCCAGGCCATCCCTCTAATCACAAGCTAGGAGGTATAGAAGGAAAAAATGGTTTCGAGGGCTGAGCCCATGGCCTTGCTGCTTTGTGCAGTCTCGGGACTTGGTGCCCTGTGTCCCAGCCATAGCTAAAAGGGGCCAATGTAGAGCTCAGGCCGTTGCTTCCGAGGGTGCAAGGCCCAAGCTTTGGCAGCTTACACTTGGTATTGGGCCTGTGGGTACACAGAAGTCAAAAATTGAGGTTTGGGAAGCTCCGCCTAGATTTCAGAGGACATATGGAAATGCCTATATGTCTAGGCAGAATTCTGCTGCAAAGGCAGAGCCCTCATTTTACCATCTCTGTTAGGGCAGTGCAGAAGGTAAATGTGGGGTACAAGCCTCCACATACAGTCCCCACTGGAACACTGCCTAGTGGAGCTGTGAGAAGAGGGCCACTGTCCTCAAGACACCAGAATGGTAGATCCACCAACAGCTTGCTACTATTATAGTAGATCTATAATGGTAGATCTGTGCACCTGGAAAAGCCACAGACACTCAATGCCAGCCAGTGAAAGCAGCCAGGAGGAGGGCTGTACCCTGCAAAGCCACAGGGGCATAACTTCCCAACACTATGAGAACCCACCTCTTGTATCAGCATGACCTGGATGTGAGAATTGGAGTCAAAGGAGATCATTTTGGAGCTTTAGGATTTGACTGCCCTGCTAGATTTTGGACTTGCATTGGGCCTGTAGTTCCTTAGTTTTGGACAATTTCTCCCATTTGAAACAGGTGCATTCACCCAATGCCTATACCCTCATTGTATCTAGGTAGTAACTAACTTGTTTTTGATTTTACAGGATCATAGGCGAAGGGACATGCCTTGTCTCAGATGAGACTTTGGACTGTGGACTTTTGAGTTAATGCTAATATAGGTTAAGACTTTGGAGGACTGTTGGGAAGGCATGATTGGTTTTGAAATGTGAAGTCATGAGATTTGGGAGGGGCCAGGAGTGGAATAATATGTTTTGGCTGTGTCTCTACCCAAGTCTCACCTTGAATTGTAATAATCTCCATGTATCAATGGTGGGGCTAGGTGGAGATAACTGAATCATGTGGGTGGTTTCCCCCATACTGTTCTCATGGTGGTGAATAAGTGTCGCAAGATCTGATGATTTGATAAATGGGAGTTCCCCTGCACAAGCTCTCTTGCCTGCTGCCATGTAAGATGTGACTTTGCTCCCCATTGACCTTTGCCATGATTGTGAGGACTCCCTAGCCATGTGAAACTGCGAGTCTATTAAACCTCTTTCCGTTATCAATTACCCAGTCTCAGATATGTTTTTTTTTTTAGCAGAATGAGAACAGACTAATACAGTTACAAAATCTGAGATAAGGGTTACCCATAAGATTAGTAGCAGACCCATCAATGACTTCAAGAGTTCTTATGTTTTGACTCATCTATTTAATAAGGCAAGAATAAATATTATAAAATTTATTTCTTAAAATTCTGTGAAGTAGTTAAAACAAATTATTGACACTTAATAGGGCAAGTTTAACTTATCTGCAAAATTTAGCTAATCATAAATACATATTTTCCAGCCATGTGATTCAGGGAATATTTTCAAGCTTCACCATGGAAAATCACTCTGTTATTAATCTAACATTGTATTAAATCAACAATTTCTGGGGCTATATTTGACAGATCATTGGCACTGGCCAGGCAGGTATGACCTTAGATAAGTAAAGGAGATTTGAAACAGATTTTGAAAAGTGAATCTCAAACTGTCCTTTCCCTATAGTGTTGACTTTTACAGAGAGTTAGTTGGAAAATAAATGAGTTAATATCTGTCTTCCAACTACAGTCTGATAGCAAGTCACTGTCTTCAACATTGCTCCTGCCTGTGTGATCAATGCCATTGTCTTAAATAAGTTCCTGACTTACCCTATCCAGAACTTGGCTAGATTACAAGGAGGGTTGGGCAGTTCCATTTAGTTCCATCTGAAGGGAGTCTTACAGCAGTATAAGTTAGCCAGTTAGAAACTTCTCTCAGGTTGGCTCTGTTGTCAACCCAGTGCTCCAGAGGACAACAGACAAACAAAAACATTAGATGTACCTACATACAGATATCTGCCCAATCAACTGGGGACTACAGGACTGGCAGAAATGCTTGTCTCAGTTTATCTATAGGCTACCGTTATTATCCCTTCAATCGTAATAACTAAATTATTATAACCTTATTTAAAAATATTTTGTCATTGTTGCTCACAGTTTTTAGTTTACCTGGAATAGAATGTTTTGTAAATTTAAGGATATATTTAAAATATCAACATGAAGGAAACTTTCATTTATAGCTTGCCTATAACAAACATACACACTGTCCGTTTAGAAATATTATACTAACAGATCATCAACATACACAGCAATGAAAGAAAGCTAAGAATTGAATACTTATCAGTGTTAAACAGATACAAAGAGGTGAGAAATATTCAAAAGTCTCATTTGTTAAAGATGAATATGCCTAAAAGATTCATGTCAAAAAACCTAAACTCATCCCGGCAGACCACTTTTCTATGTAGCTGCACTGACGGTCTTCAAAGAACTAAATGGATCAAACTGAATATGACTAAAAGGAAATGAAATTCATTATTTTGTTCAAAGGAAATGCAGAGTAAACATTACTAAAGGCAAATGTAAGGGTGTCTGTCTGAAAAGACAGTATCATCTAATTATGCTAGTCAAGATATGAGGGAGGGGAAAACAGTGATACAATCCACTGCTGCTTTTCAGCTCCACATTCAGTCCTGACTGACACTAGAGAGAAGCAGTACAGATGTTTACCAGATTCCTCAGTAATGTGGCCAGCAGCACCTTTTTTATCCCCATACACAAATAAATTCATATACTTCCAGCAAAGTGCATTCAATCTAATAATCAGGTGCTACAGTGGGTGTCAGGGAAAGGTAAATGTTCCACTTCAAGCAGCAAAATTTCCTTAGAAGAACCTTTTTAAAAACTGCAAGCTGGTCTGTACATTATTTATGAAAATGTACAGTGTTTTACTGGACCACCTATTTTATATCTTGGTTCCTGAGCTTCAGCCTTTCAGTTTGAAAAATACAGTATAAATTCAGGCCAATTGAATTAATATGTCAGTATTACTTCTCCTCTGAATAGCATGTAGATTGAATATGTTGTAGTATGAGCTACCAAGAACAAAGTACTTCTCACTGGGCTTAGAACAGATTCCCATTGCCATTTACTTCTAAATTAAGATGGGGTAGAATAAGACTTAGGCAAAACGTATATACCTGCTTTAATGGCAGTAAACGTTTTTGAGCTTTAGTTACAAATCAGAACAGGGATAAACTATACCTCTGAAGGAGCATAAAACAGATAAAACTATTAATTACTTAAGCAGCCAGAAGCCACCATGAAATTTCTATAAGTGCTTTTAATCATGACTCTAGTGTAAGAGAGAAAAGAACATAAACATTTGTTTGGGCCCTGCTGTATATGTTTCAAATACTAAAGTTTCAGTGAATGGTTATCGCTATCTCATTATTCCTATGACTATTTCATTCAGTTCTTACAATCACCCCGTAAACAGGTCAGTAGGTATATTTATCAAACTTATTTTGCCATTATGTACCACAATAAGTATACAAAGTTGTATGTACAAGGATTCATTCACACATTTATTCTGTCATTTACAAAATGATGCTGCAAAATGACATGTGATCTATGCTACAATTTGAGTGATATAGATAATAGACAGATAGACTTCATACACATATAACATTCCTAAAAAGATGATACACATGCACACACACACCATAAGGTGTGTTGTGATGTCTACTTTCCATTCTCCTAACCACCACCACAGAGGCAAACAGGAAACCACTTTCCTTATTTCTATTCCTCCAATCCCTAGATTAGTTTTGCCTAGTCTTCAAATTCATGTAATTTATTTTTTGCAGAATGTACTCTTTTGTGTCTGGCTTCTTTCTTTCAGGATAAAACTAAGAGTAATTAATATTGTTGTTTGTGTCAGTAGCTTATTCCTTAAAATTGATTAGTAGTACTCTATTGTATAGATACACCAATGTTTATTTATCCATTCTCCAATGGGCATTGGGATGTTCCAGTTTGGGCCTATTATACATAATGCTGCTATAAACATTCGGATAAAAGGCTTTCTTCAGATATATGTTTTCATATATTTGAGTTAAATGTCTAAGAATAGAAGTGCTGGGCTCAAAAAGTAGCTGTGTGCTTAGTTTTAAAATAAGCTTCCAGACTATATCCTAAAGTAGGTGTACTATTCCACATTCCCACCAGAAAAGTATGATAATTACAGGTGCCTCACATCCTGGCCAACACTTGTTAAAATAAGTCATTTGGAATATTTCATCCCAGTCTTTGGCTTACCTCCTTTTCATTTTCTTAATGGTGAATAATAGAACTTCTAAATTTTGTAACGTCCAGCTTATAATCTCTTATTCATTTGTAATTATTGTTGTATTCTGTCTAATAAATATTTTATTAACCAAAGTAGCAAAATGTTATCTTAAAATTTACTTGTAGGAACTTTATAATGTAACTTTTACCTTAATTATGTCTAGAATTAATTTCTAGTTAATTTTTGTGTGTGGCCTGACATATGAGTGATATATTTTTCTTATGAATATCAGCTCTTCCTAAGCCATTCCTTGAAAATACTTCCCTCTCCCTATTGAATTGCTTTAGTGCCTTTGTCAGAAACGACTTATCCATATATGTGAGGGTCTCTTTTTGGACTTTTCTTTCTCTTTTACTTATCTATCTATTTGTCCTTGATGTCAGCGTATAGCTACTACTATTGCTATTTTTTTTAACTACTATTGCCTTATAGTAAGTGTAATCTTAAAATCAGGTAGCAAAATTCCTCCAAGGTTGTAATTTTCCAAGGTTGTAATCTTCCAAGATTGTGTTTTCTATTCTAGAACTTCTACATTTGCACAGCAATTTTAGCATATTCTTGGAAATTTCTATAAAACAATAGATATTGGGGTTTGGATTGTCATTGATTTCAATTTATAGATGAATTTGGGGGAAATTAACATGTTAAAGATGAACCTCTAATGTGTTTATGTAGATTTATTTTTCTGTTCAGGTTGTTGAAGTTTTTGGGTAGAGGTCTTGCACATTTTTGTCATATTTATCCCTAAGTTCATTATTTTTTGATGCTATTATAAATTACATTTTAAAAGATCATTAATATTTGTTTTACTGTTAGTAAAAAAGAAATGCACGCTATGTTTATATACTGATCCTGTATCCTGAAACCTTGCTGAGTTCATGTGATAGGTATCATCTTTTGAATTTTCTATACACACAATCATATTGTCTGTGGATAGTGACAGGTTTACATTATCTTGCTCAATAATCATGCCTTTTTTATTTTTATTATTTCCTTGTTATTTAGGTAAGGACCTTCGGTACAATTTTTAATAGATATATGAGAATATTCATTGACATTGGTGTCTGCAGTAGGCTTTATAATGGATGCTCTTTGGAAGGCTGAGGGAATCCTCTGCTGTTCCTATATTACTGAGTGCTTTTTCATAAAAAGGTATTGGATATTATGAATAAATTTTTGCATCTATTGCTATAATCATATACTATTTCTCATTAATTTTGTTAATGCTATTAATCACATTGTTTAATTTTCTTTTTCTTTTTCTTTTTCTTTTTTTTTTTTTTTTTCGAGACGGAGTCTCGCTCTGTCCCCCAGGCTGGAGTGCAGTGGCACGATCTCAGCTCACTGCAAGCTCCGCTTCCCCGGTTCACGCCATTCTCCTGCCTCAGCCTCCCGAGTAGCTGGGACTACAGGCGCCCGCTACCACGCCCGGCTAATTTTTTGTATTTTTAGTAGAGACGGGGTTTCATCATGTTGGCTAGGATAGTCTCGATCTCTTGACCTCGTGACCCAGACGCCTCGGCCTCCCAAAGTGCTGGGATTACAGGCGTGGGCCACCGTGCCTGGCCCGTTTAATTTTCACATGTTACATTAACTTTAAATTCTTGGGATAAGCTCGCTTGGTCATAACTCATTATCCTTTTTTGTATTGTTATATTTGGTTTACTAATATTTTGTTAAATATTTTTGCAACTGTTGTCACAAGAGATATGAGTCAGTAATTTTCTTTTCTTGTACTATTACCTTCAGGTTTGGTATTAGGGTACACTGGCCTCTGTATAACAAATTGGATTTTTTTCTTTATGTAATGGAAGCGTTTGTGTAAAGTGGTATTATTTTTCATATATTTGATAGAATTATGCAGTTGTGCCTTCTGGATCAGACACTTTATGGTAAAGGTTTGCAATTTTATAGCAACTCATGCGCCAATTTTAATAAGAAGAGAATAATGACAGATATATTCTCTATTTCATTTTATATGCCTAAGAAAATCTTGAAACCAAAATCTAACAATGATATTTTAGAAAAGAAAAATATAGGCCAATGACATTCATGCTCATAGATCTAAAAATTATTTTAAAATAGCATACCAAAACAGCAATAGAAAAATAAAATATATCATGACTTAGTTAGATTAATTCCAGGAAACAATTTGGTTTAACATTAAATAATATTCATCATACTAACCAGTACAAATGTAAAAATTTGATTACCTCAAAGATAGAGATAAATGTATGATTTTAACCCATTTGTGGTAAGTACAAAAAAATTCTTAATAACCTAATAATGAAAAAGAACTGCCTTAATTTAATAAAGGGTATCTATACAAACCTAAAGATAAATATTAAATTCAATGGTTAAATGTTGAAAGCTTTCCCTTGACATCAAGAACAAGACAAGCATGCCCACCACAATTATTTATATTCAACATTATCTTAGAGTCATTAGCTGTAGTAATTCGTTTTCATGCTGCTGATAAAGACATACCTGAGACTGGACAATTTACATTTAAAAAAAGTTTAATGGACTTACAGTTCCACGGGGCTGGGGAGACCTCATGATTATGGCAGAAGGCAAGGAGAGGCAAGTCACGTCTTAGATGGATGGCAGGAGGCAAAGAGAGACAGAGCTTGCGCAGGGGAACTACTCTTTATAAAATCATCAGATCTCATGAGGCTTATTCACTATCACCAGAACAGCATGGGAAAATCTTGCCCCCATGAATCAATTACCTCACACCAGCTCCCTCCCACAACATGCGGGAATTCAAGATGAGATTTGGGTGGGGACACAACCAAATGATATCATTAGTCAACATGGTAAAGTAAGGAAAAATAGTATAAGAATTCCAATTTTTTTAAAAAAGTTAATCACTTGTAAATGACATTTTTGTCTACATAGAAAACCCAAAATACTCTACAACTATATTTGTACATTTAACAAGTACATATAGCAAGTTTGGTAGATTAGATTAGCAATTTACAAAATCAATTGTATTTTTCATATCTGGCACAAACTGTTAACAAATCAGTTTTTAAAATGTAACTATTAAAAGACATCAAACATATAAAGTGCCTTGGAATAAATCTAGAAAAAGATGTGCAAAACTCTAGGTAATATTAGGAATCTTATATCTTATTGAATGAAGACTTAAAGGAGAGATCCACTATATTCTTGAATCGGAAGACTCAATTTTATCAACATTATCTCTCAATTAACCTAAATATTTGATGCAATTTTAATTAAGATTGCAACACATATTAGTGTATTTTCAACTAAAAAATCTAACTCTAAATCTTTAGCACCATGCAAAGCATCTCAGTATAAATTTTCACAAAATTCATGCATTCCCGCACTAGCAAGTACATACAGTTACACTTATAGCAACACATTTTTAATGCCCCTAATTTGAAAACAACCCACATATCCATAATATGGATAAACAGTTACATATTTGTAATTAAAATATCATATAGAGATGAAAATGAATTAACTACAGCTATAAGTAGTAATATGTTTCAATCTCACGAGCAACACTGAAAGAAAAACAACAGAAAATTATAATTTCGTTTATATAAAAAGTAAAACTAGCTAAAACTAAACTGTATTTTAAGATGTTTGAAAAAAATAGTTAGTTAAAAAGTTAGAAGAAGCAGGGAACTAATTAAACACTGTGATTTGAGAGACCAAAATAGATGTCCCTTTATTAATTAAGACTTACCCTAATGTTAAGGGAAAAAACGTTACCTAAGATTAAATGGTTCAAGGCTTGGCTGGCATGGCAACTCCCTAAACTCTTACTGCTGCAAGAAAACCTACACTCTTGCTAAACTCTCTAACAATTGGAACTGTCAGGCAAATTATCAGACACCTCCTCACTCCAACTTACAACCCAGACTGCTATAACTGTACTTAAACAGGCAACCAGCCTTACATTCTTTTCTGATAAGCAGCTTGCAGACCTCAAGCCAGTTTCAACCAGCTCATAGAGACTGTGCACAAACTGTCTGTGTCCTCTAGTTCATCTTTTGGTGTAAAGAGCCAAATTCCACCTCATTTCAATGCTAAAACCCCACCTCAAACTGAATATTGGATATATATTACATATATGTTTGCCCATTGCACATGCACTTGACCACCCTCATAAATATATATAGCCTTTCCATAAAACCTGTTGAATATGTATGACTCTATTGCATGATACAGGCCCTGTGAGGCATAGAACCTGACCTGCCATTTACTTCCAAGACAGAACATCTTTGGCACACACCAGAGACTTAGTTTCCAGTTTGCAAGCTGAGTTTCCAGTTTGCAAGCTGATTATCATGAGTACAACTCTCCTTTCTATTACTTAGCCATCCTAGTGGTCTTTTGGACAACATCAGAAAAGTTAGGATCACAGTTATTTTCTAGGACTGGGGGATTGGATTGTAATGATGGAGAGACATGCAGAGTGTTGTGATATACTACCAATGTTCCCTTTCTTGACCAGGGTAGAGCTTAAATAGATTTGCACTTTATAACTGTATTTTTTTAACTTTTATTTTAAGTTCAGGAGTATATGTGCAGGCTTGTTATATAGGTAAACTTGTGTAATGGGGGTTTGTTGTACAGATTATTTAATCACCAAGGTATTAAGCCTAGTACACATTAGTCATTTTTCCTGATACTCTCCCTCCTCCTATGCTCCACCCTCCAATAAGCCCTAGTGTGTATTTTCCCCCCTCTGTGTGTCCATGTGTTGTCATCATTTAGCTCCATTTATATTCACTTTATAACTGCATGTTAATTTGCACATATGTTTTATGTATCTATCTGCTTGTATATTACATTTAAATTTAATGCAAATTGATTTAATATTAAATACCTATAGTTACATATATATTATTTATAAGATAAATACATTTATATCATGAAAGTACTAAGTACATTAAAAGACATACATTAATAGAAAGATAGAATGAAATAATATCACAAAGATATATATTTTCCCTAAATTAATCTACAAATTCAATTTAATTCCAACCAACATTCCAAAAACAAATTTCTGGTGCTACTCACTGATTCCCAACTTCTATGGAAGAGGAACAGTTCAAGGATAGCTGAGACGATTCTAAAAAAAAAATGGAGAGATTGTTTCTGTCAGGTTTGGGATATATAACATACATCGTATAACTATAAATGATTGAGACACAATGGTATTGGTATATAAATAAAGAAAAAGAACACACAGTACAACAAAAACATAAGTTAGAAATAATACGTCTAAACATAAATGGTATTTTGATAGAAAAATTGTATGACATAGAGGCTAAACATAACGGATTCTGCAACCAAACTGCTTTGTTTTCAATATCAACTCTGCCATTTAATAACTATGTAGTTTGAGGCTACTTAGTTTCTCTTCTGTGCTTTAGTTTACTCAACTACATAATGGAAATAATGGTAGCATCTATCTAATGTATTATTGTCAATAATATATAAAGTATTTAAAACGGTGTCGGGTATTTATTAAATGGTTATTATTTATTATGATGGTTGTTTTTTATTATTTCTATTATGAAAAATCAATGGAAACAGAATGATTAAACTAATGCTTTTACAAAAATAAGCTTTCCATAAATTAGAGCTCTAATCAAGGTGGATTAAAATGTAAACATTAGAAATGAATCTTTTAAAAAATAGCAAATATCAAACTTTATAATACGAAAGGAAGAGTTAAATAAAATGCAAAAACATCAAGAAAATATATCCACGATAGAGAGTAGAATGGTCCTTCAGGAACTGGGGTAGTGAGGGATGGGGAGTGTTGGGGAGCTGTTGGTCAAAGGATACAAAGCTTCAGTTAGATAAGAAGAATAAGTTCAAGAGATCTTTCTACAACACGGTGACTATAGTTAATAACATTGTACTGTATTCTTGAAAATCACTAAGAGAGTAGATTTCAGGTGTTCTCACCACTAAAATAATTTCGTGAAGTGGTGTATATGTTAATTAAGTAAATTTAGCCATTCTACAATGTATGCATTTGTGTACATATATATTTCAAAAATCATGTTGTACACAGTAATCACGTACAATTTTATCTGTCAACTAGAAAGAAAATATTGATGTGTCTTACATTTAATATAACTATATTTATGTATGATAATGGACACCATAGCAAAGTTAGTTAAAAAAAAAAACAATAGTCTTGGAGAGTGTACTCATATAACCAAGGAAATATCAGCACTCAAACCATATAAAAATCTTCTACAAATCACATAGAATAAGACAATAAATCCAACAGGCAAATGCCTAAAGGACATGGGCATGAAATTCATACAACACTACAAAAGAAAACACATAGAGCTACTAAACATATGAAAAAGTCTAGTGTTCACTAATAATCATGGAAATAAAAATTAAGCAACAGTAATATAATATTCACACATACTACATTAGGTGAAATATGATGGCTTTTTTATGAAGTGTTTGAGTGTGTTGCCAAGAATGTAGGAAAATAAAATTATCCATGCCATGCTGGTGTTGTTTACGCTTTAGAGAGGAATTTGGTGATAGCTAGTATATTTGGAAATATGCATATCCTATCAACCATTAGTGTCTCACACTAGTACACAAGACAGGCAGATCAATGTTTATTGCACTATTGTTTATGCTAACAAAAAGTACCAAAAACAAATGGCTTTCAGTAAGACATTGAATAAACTGTGGTATGCATTTACAGTTAAATACTACATAGTGATTGAAACAAAAATCTCTCTGTCTCTCTCATATGTATGTGTATATATATGTATGTGTATATGTGTGTATCAACATAAATATACCTCAACAATTATATTGAATGTGAGAAGCAAGTTTTGGAACATATGTAAATATGTATATAAGTAAAATAAATATGTATATATGTAAAATAAATCATAATACTTTATATTGTCTATAAAGGTACAATATGTTATACAATGATAAAGACATGGATTAGATAGACACATCGTAAGAGTATGGTTATCTCATGGAAAGAGGGAAATTGGGAAAAAAGAGAGAAACGAAGTATTCAACTTTATAACATTAATTTTCTACCTATTTTAAATCATTTCAAAATATATTTTAAAAATTAAAATGTCAACTTTGGGGAATAAAACTGAGAAATAGGGAAGAGTTGTTTTATGTCTATGTCAAAAATCTTTTTGCCCTTTTTTGATTTTTTGCTATGTTACTTTGATTAAATAAAAACTTAAGAGCAACACTGAAATTTTAGAAATAGGAATTTCTGCTTTGGCCATAATGTAGTAACAGGGATCAGCTTTGTCCTCTCACTTTAAACAACTAAAAAAACACGACAAACAAGACAAAAAAAAGTACATACTGCAATATTAAATTTATATGTACTTATGGAATTAAATTTATATAAATTTGAGAAAGTAATTTATAGTGACAACAGGTCAGTGACAGCCTTGAGGTGGGAGTGGACGGAGACATGGAATACAAACAGACTTGAGGAAAATTTTAGTGGTGTGCAAATATTGGTCATTTTGATTGTAGTGATAATTTTGTATACATATGTCAAAACCAATCAAATTGTATAAGAAGTTCAAATCATCCAAAAACTATTAACTATACTGTACCAAGCACTGTGATCTACTTCTTCTCAATCATGTATGACCTTATGAAATCTTGCTGTTTTACTGCAAATCACTTATGCCAATTTCTAATTATGTATTTATTAAACAATATGATTAATATCTGCCGCTACCACTAGTCTGTAGAATCCATGATGGCAACAAGCCTGTCTTCTTTTCCTCATTATCATTTCCCAGTGCTAGTATATTGGCTGGCAAATTTCAGGTATTCAATAAGTATTTACCAAAATAATACTAACAGTAGGTTCTCCAAGATGTACAGGACACAGTCCCTAACCTCAAGAAGCTCATAATCTTAGATGTCAAGTTTTACTGAATCCACTATTAGTAGTAAGAAGAGTAAGGTATAAAAGTGACATTTGAATTTGTCAATAAGTTAGACCCTCATGACCTTAAAAAAGAACTGTAATATGATAGATAATTAGATACCTCAACTGTTATGTTGAGAGGATGCTACTAGATTGAAATTAAGTCTATGTTTTCACTTGTGCAAAAACAAAACAGCTTTGATTGGTGATTATAACACCATAACAATTCAAAGCAGCTGCAGCATTAAGAACAGATAACCACAAGTTTGAAAGTTCAGGAGGAACCAGTTTTTGCTCCTGCATTTGTTTTCTTAAGCCTAATCTGTCACGATACTGGCACAATGTTCTCACAAATATAATTATGAAAATGGTACTGTCAAAAAAAAGAACAAGTAGAAATTAAAAGTTGCCCTGACTATCCTTATATACTTCATAGTCAGCATAGACTGTTAGTCTATGAATAGTTGATTTCTCCATAAACGTAAGAACACAGTGTATATGAAGCTTTATTTCATCATGTCATCTTGTACAAAATCCTGTCTCTGTAATTGCATTTTACATTTTTTCTGGCACTGGCTCATTTTCTATTTTTTACTATTTTTTCAACCTTTCTGGATATATGTGTCATAATATACTAGGTTATGCTTTAGTAGCAAACATTCCCACCCCAAAATCTAAATGGCTTACATCAGAAAATGTTTATTTATCACTCGCGCAATGTATCTCTAGAGGGTTAAATATAGCATTCTGATCCTCTATGTTGTATCAATGTCATTATTAATCAGAGGACAGGCTAATGGCAAAATCGTCATTTTGAGCATTGCGGTTATCAATGACAGAAGAAAACACAAACTTTGCTTTATCATAGCACAGCTAATACTGTTTTTAAAGCTTCTACATTAAAGTGGAAAACATTGCTTCTACTCACATTCCATTGGCCACATCAACTGATGATATGACCACTTCTGAGTTCAATAGGGTAGGAATGTATAATCTTTCCAGAGAGGGAGACACTGGATATTGATGAACATAAATAGAGTCTACTACATTGAATTTTCACCAAGCTTAATCAGGTACGTTTACTAAATGAGCAGTTATTATAGTTGTAAAGTACCAAGAGGTTGTGTAGAATAAGAACTCAGGCTCTGTAGTATATCTCCTCAGGGTTAAATCCTGCCTCTGCCATTTAGTAGATGTCTGACCTTTGGCTAATTGCCCTTTCTGTACATCCAGTCTTTAATTTTGCAAAACAATGATTATAAAAATAACACCTGGCCGGGCACAGTGTCTCACGCCTGTAATCCCAGCACTTTAGGAGGTGGAGGTGGGTGGATCCCTTGAGGTCAGGAGTTCAAGACCAGCCTGGCCAATGTGGTGAAACCCCATCTCTACTAAAACTACAAAAAAAAAAAAATAGCTGGGGGTGGTGGTGGGCGCCTATAATTTCAGCTACTTGGGAGACTGAGGCAGGAGAACCACTTGAACCCGGGAGGCAGAGGTTGCAGTGAGCTGAGTTAGCACCACTGCACTCCAACTTGAGTGACAGAGTGAGAGTCTGTCTCAAAAATAAAAATAAAATACCTGCCTTGCAGGACCATTGTTTTAATTTAGAGAGCAGGTGTCATACACATAGAAAGCATATTTCAGATGTGGTAAATGCTCAATAAATTTTTTTTCCTCTGCCTCTTCCTCTCTTCCTTCTCCTCCTCCTCCTCCTCCTTGTTCTTCTTCTTCTTTTTCTTCCTCTAACTATTCGTGTTAGGTTATTCTCATATTGTTATAAAGAAACACCTGAGACTGTGTAATTTACAATGAAAATATTTTAATTGCCTCACCATTTAGTAGACTGTACAGGAAGCATGATGCTGGTATCTGCTCAGCTTCTGAAGAGGCTCTAGGAAGCTTACAATCATGGGAAAAGGTGAAGCAAAGCAGGCATGTCACATGGCCAGAGCAGGATCATGAGGGAGATGGGGAAGGTGTCACACACTTTTAAATGACCAGATCTCCTGAGAACTCACTCACTATTATGAGGACAGCACCATGGGAATGGTGCTAAACCATTAATGAGAAACCTGCTCCATGATTTAATCTCTTCCCACCAGGCCCCACCTCCCACACTGGGGATTATAATTCATCATGAGATTTGGGTGGGGACACACATTCAAACTATATTATTATTATTTCATATCAGGTATTGGTAAACATATCTCATTTAATTTCCAAGATTCCTAACAATTCTTTGAGAGAGATATTCATATGCTAATTTGAAAGATGAGATGGCAGAAGTTCAAGGTAATGAAGTAAAATATCTAAAGTTACACATTTGGCAAGACTACAATTTGAATACCATCCTTCCTGACTACAAGCTCTTTGCTGGTTTCCACAGCTTTTATCTATTTGTTGATATTCTGTTGTTCTATAGTTTTACTTGAAACAAAATTCAATTTAATATTGGTGATTTCTCCAGCTATCACATAGGTAGTGTTATCATGCTTTGCAAAATTGTTTTTATGGCCAATACTTCTAAGCTCTACATTTTCACAGTTGCCATTTACAGCTTTTGGTTATAAACACGCGGGACATCTTTTCTCGCCTCCAAACCTGGAGAGAGCCATGACATTTCAGGGATGGAAACTGGAAGCACCTCTCCACAGCTCCTTGTAATCAGGCACTCAGTACTCTAATGGCTTAAAAGTACACTTAGGTTTTTTTTTTTAATGATTTTATGCATCCCTTCAATCTTTGTTACTGAGATCTCCTTATTGAATAAATTAACTTTTACAGACATTTATTTTTTTCACACATATCAACGATATTCATTATGTTGTGTAAGGCCATAAATTTGTCTATACATATTTATTGAATATATGTATATATTTATATTTTAAAACCAACTGTAACTCAATGTTGTTTTGATTATCTTGTTACCATACTAGTAAAACATATTAATCCATGTATTCACTCAGCAAATTATAAAGTAGCTACTCTGTATTTACAATGTTACATAATATATATTCCTTGCCCTCAAAGAGTTTATAATCTAGGGCAATCTAGGATTATCAACAACATAGTTATTGGAAGTGCTTGTTAAAATGTAGAACTCTGGGCTTCACCCAGACCTAGAGAATCAGAATCTCTAGGAATGGGTTTCAAGAATCTACATATTAATAATATTCCTCAAGTAATTTTGATTTAGAATAAAGTACAAAACCTGTGGGTTAGTGTCTAATTCAAATTACATCAAAACACAAGATCAAACATTAGCACTTATAAGTGAAAAATAATTTAGTGATCTTTTGGTGTATCATAAAACTACATTTAACACATGAGAAAACTGAGATACAGAAATTAGATTGTGCAAATTTGCTTATCCTGTAGACATATCTGCATCTAGAAACTAGATCTCTTCAAATTTAAGAGAGAAAATATGTATTATTATTAAATACATTGAGAGGAGGAGGCTGAGCAAGATGGCATAATAGGAGGCTTCACTGATCATACCTGTCCCCACAAAGACACCAATTAAAAAACTGTCTACACAAAAAAGCACCTTTATGATAACCAAATATCAGATAAGAACTCACAGTACCTTGTTTTAAATTTATATCACTGAAAAGTCACTGAAGAGGTTAAAAAAAAAAAACAGCCTTGAAGCACCAACATCATCCCTCACCCAGGACCCTATAGCAGGGGCATGGAGCAGAGAGCGTTTCTGTGTGCTGGGGGAGGGAAAGTGCAGCAATCATGAGGCATTAAACTCAATGCTGTCCTGTTATAGCAGAAAGGAAAACCAGACTAAACTCAGCCTATTCCCACCCATGGAAGGAGCATTTAAACCAACCCTAGCCAGAGGGAAATTACCAATTCCAGCAGTTGGATTTTGAGTTCCTGCAAGCTTTGCCATCATGGGCTAAAGTGCTCTGGGTCTCTAAATAAACATGAAAGATAGTGTAGGTTGCGACTCCAAGTGAGTCCTACTGCTGAACTGGGTCCAGATCCAGGGGACTTGGAGTGGGGGGTGGGGTGTAACCTACTGAGACACCAGCGGGGGTGGCTAAGGAAATGCTTACATCACCTCTCTCCTAACACAAAGTCGCAGAGCCCTTGGCTCCAAAAGAGACCTAATCTTTCCATTTGAGGAGATGAGAGGAAAGAGTAGGGAGGACTTTGTCTTGCATCCTAGATACCAGCTCAGCCACTGCAGGATAGAAAAATGGTCAGAGTTGTGGGAACCCCTCTCAAGGCCCTAGCTCCAGGATGACATTTCTAGATACACCATAGGCCAGAGGGAACCTGGTGTATTGAAAGGAAGTACCCATTTCTGGCAGTATTCATCTCTTGCTAACTGAAGATACTTTGGACACTGAATAACCAGCAGTGATACCCAGGTACTACGTGGAGGGCCACGAAGAGATCCTGAGACTTGTTGGCTTCAGGTGAAACTCAGAACCTTCCTATCTCTGTTAACTATGGGGCAAGACTCCATCTGCCCCATAGTTGAGAAAAGCAGAGGAGAAAGTAAAGGAGAATTTGTGGTGCACTTTAAGTACCAGCTTGGCCACAGGGTGGTAGAGAACCAAGTGGGCTCTTCAGGTGCCTGATTTCAGGATTTGGCTCTTGGATAGCACTTCTGGTCCTGCACTGGGCCAGAGGGGAGCCCATTGCCCTGAAGGGTGAGTCACAGACCAGGTAACATTTACCATAAGCCGAGTGGAGGGCCCATAGGCCTTACGGGACCATCAGTGGTGGTCTGACAAGACTACCCATGAGCCTGTGGTGGCGGTGGCCACAGATGAGGCTCCTAAGCCTTTGGAACAGGGAGGGAAGAGTAGGAAGAACTGCATCTTGTGGTTTGAGTTCCAGCTCAGCTGCAGTACCATAGAACACCAAGTAGACTTCTAAGGTTTTTGACATGAGTCCCTGGCTCCTGGACAGCACCTCTGGAACTACCCTGTGCCTGGGGAAACTCACCACCCTGAAGGGAAGGACATAAGCCTGTCTGGCTGTGTCACCTGCTGAAATTAGAGCCTCAGGGCTGTGGGCAAATGTACACAATAGCCAAATAATAGTTCAAGCAAACATTAAGCAAGACCCAGTGTTGTGCTCACTTTAGGTCTGACCCAGAACAGCCATAGTGGGGCTGGTCGCATAGGTGGTTATGTCACATCACCCTACACTTCAGGGGGCTCAAAAACAGAAAGGGAGAGAGACTCTGTTTGGGAGAAAGTAAAAGAAGAGAAAAAGAGTCCTTGCTTGGTAGTCCAGAGAATTCTCCCAGATCTTGTCCAAGATTATCAAGGTGCTATCTTCAAATGTCTGCAAGAACCACAGCATTACTGGGCTTGAGGTGCCACCTAAAGGAGATACAGCTTTGATCACAATATTCAAGTACTTTTGAATATCTGGAAAGCCTTCCAAAGAAGGACAAGTACAAACAAGCCCAGACTGTGAAAAATGCAATGAATACCTAAATCTTCACTTCCCAGACACAGATGAACCCCTGCAGGTATCAAAACACCAGTAAAACATGACCTCACCAAATGAACTAAACAAGGCACCAGGGACCATTCCTGGAGAAACAGAGCTACATGACCTTTCAAATGAAGAATTCAAAATAGATATCTTGAGGAAACTCAAATAAATTCAATATAATACAGAAAAAGAACTCAGAATTCTATCAGATAAATTTAACAAATAGATTGAAATAATTTTTCAAAATCAAGCAGAAATTTCAAAGACGAAAATGCAATTGACATTCTGAAAAATGCATCAGAGCCTTTTATTAGCAGCATTGATCAAACAGAAGAATTAGTCATCTTAAAGACAATTTCAAAATATAGTCAGAAAAGACAAAAGAATAAAGAACATAAAACAATAAAGCATGCCTACAGGACCCAAGAAAATAGCTTCAAATGGCAAATCTAAGAGTTACTGGCCTTAAAGAGGAGGTAGAGGACAAGATAATGGTAGAAAGTTTATTCAAAAAGATAATAACAGAGAACTTCCCAATCTAAAGGAGATATCAGTATCCTGTACAAGATTATAGAACACCAAGCAGATTTAATCCAAAGAAGAGTATCCCAAAGCATTTATGAACAAAATTCCCAGAGATGAAGGATAATGAAGGAATCCTAAAAGCAGCAAGAGAAAAAAAAAATAACATAAAATGGAGCTCAAATATGTTTGGCAACAATAATATAACTAGTAAAAAGATTTCTTAAACATGAAGTTGAAATAAAAACTTTTCCAGAAAAACAAAGGCTGAGGGATTTCATTGTCACCAGTCCTATTCTACAAGAAACACTAAAGGAAGTATTTCAATCAGTAAGAAAAGGACATTAATGATCAATAAGAAATCATCTGAAGGTACAAAACTCACTGGTAATAATAACTACACGGAAAAACACAGAATATTATAACATGGTAACTGTGGTGTGTAAACTATTCTTAAGTAGAAAGACTAAATGATGAATCAATAAAAAATAACAAATACAACAACTTTCAAGACATAAATAGCAAAATAATATATACAGTTAAAAAGCCAGGAGATGAAGTTAAGATTTCGTTTTTGCTTAGTTTTTTAGTTTGATTAGGTTTTTTGTTTTTTTTCTGGCTTGCATGCTTGTTTGTTCATACAAACTGTTAATTTGTAATCATATTGAAATAATGAGTTAGAAGATAGTGTTTGCAATGTCATGGTAACCTGAAACCAAAAAACATACAATGGCTACACAAAAAATAAAAGCTAGAAACTAAATCATATCACTAGTAAAAAAAATAATAACTTGAACAGACTACTAACAAGTAGTAAGATCAAAGTCATAACAAAAAGTTTCCCAGTATAGAAAAGCATGGCATCCGATGACCTCACTGCTGAATTCTACCAAACATTTAAAGAAGAACTAATACCAACCCTAGTTAAATTATCCCAAAAAATAAAAGAGTTGAGAATATTTCCAAACTCATGTATAAGGACAGTATTACCCTGATATAAACACCAGACAAAGGCACATCAAAAAAATACAAAAGACCTATATCTCTGATGAATATTGATGCAAAAATCCTCAAGAATATACTAACAAACTAAATTCAACAATGCATTACAAATATTATTTATCATGACAAAGTGAGATTTATCCCTGTGATGCAAGGATTGTTCAACATATGCAAATCAATCAATTTGATACATCATCTCAACACAATGAAGGACAAAAAATGTATGTTCATTTCAAATGGTTTGACATTTATTGATGATGAAACTCTTCAAAATCTGGGTAGAGAAGAAACATAACTCAACCTAACAAAGGCCATGTATAACAAAATGTTGTACATTTTCGCCTCTGTTAGTGTCATAATGAATTGGGAAAAACAGAAAGTCATTCCTCTAAGATCTGAAACACAGCAAGTATACCCACTTTCACCACTGTTGCTGAACATAGTCCTGGAAAGTCCTAGCTAGGGCAATCAGACAAGAGAAAGAAATAAAGGACATACAAATTGCAATCAAAGAAGTCAAATTAACCTTATTTGTGGCTGATATGATCTTATATTTGGAAAAATCTAAAGAGTCCACCAGAAAACTACTAGAACTAATGAACAAATCCAGGAAATTTGCAGGATACAAAATAATTCTATAAAAACCTGTAGCATTCTTATAAGCCATCAGTGAACAATCTGAAAAAGAAATAAAAAATGTAATGCCATCTACAATAGCTACAAATAAGCAGGAATTGACTTAAGCAAAGATGTGGAAGATCCCCATAATGAAAACTTTAAAATACTGATGAAAAAAATTGAAGAGGTCACAACAAATTAAAAGTACATTCTATGTTCATGGATTGGAAGAATCAGTACTGTTAAAATGTCCATACTACCTAAAGCAATCTATAGATTTGATGTAATCCCTATTAAAATACAAACAACATTCTTCACAGAAATAGAAAAATGCCATCCTAAAGTTAATATGGAATCACAAAAGATCCAAAATAGGCATAGCTATCCTGAGCAAAAAGAACAAAACTGGAGGAATCACATTACCTGGTTTCAAATTATACTACAGAGGTATAGTAACCAAAACAGCATGGTACTGACATAAAAACAGACACATATGCCAATGGAATGAGATAGTGAGCTCAGAAAGAAACCCACACAGCCATAAATGAACTCATTTTTGACAAAGTTGCCAAGAACACACAATGAAGAAAGCACAGTCTCTTCAATAAATTGTACTGTGAAAACTATTCATACAAAGAACAATGAAACTAGACCTCTATCACTTTCCATTTACAAAAATCAAATCAAAATCGATTGAAGGGTTAAATCTAAGATCTCGACCTATGAAACTACTACATGACAACATTGAGGAAACTCTCCAGGACATTGATCTGGACAAAAATATCTTGAGTAATACTGCACAAGCATAGGCAACCAAAGCAAAATGAACAAATTAGTTCAGATCAAGTTACAAAGCTTCTGCACAGAAAAAAAAATCAAAAAAGTGAAGAGACATTCCACAGAATAGAAGACAATATTAGCAAACTACCCACTTGATAAAGGATTAATAACCAGAATATATCAGGAGCTCAAACAACCCTGTAGAAAAAAATCAAATAATTCAATCAAAAAATGGGCAAAATTTTTGAATAGACATTTCTCTAAAGACATATAAATGACAAAGATCCACATGAAAGGGTCCTCAACATCATTGATCATCAGAGAAATGCAAATCAAAACTACACTGAGATATCATTTCACCTCAGTTAAAATGTCTTATATCCAGAAGACAGGAAATAACAAATGCTGACAAGGATGTTGTGAAAAGGAACTCTTGTACACTATTGGTGGGAATGTAAATTAGTACAACCTCTAAGGTAAACAGTTTGGAGGTTCCTCAAAAAACTAATAATAGAGCTACCATACAATCCAGCAATCTCACTGCTGTGTGCATACACTAAAGAAAGGACATCAATATATCAAAGAGATATCTGCACTTCCATAGTTGTTGCAGCACTGTTCACAATAGCCAAGATTTGAAAGCAACCTAAGTGTCTATCAACACCTTCTGTCCTTTTTTTTTTTTTTTTTTTTTTGACAGAGTTTCACTCTGTCACCCAGGTTGAAGTGCAGTGGCACAATCTCAGCTCACTGCAGCCTCTGTCTCTCAGGTTCAAGCTATTATCCTACTCAGCCTCCTGAGTAGCAGGGGTTACAGGTGCCGCCACCACTCCTAGCTAATTTTTGTATTTTTAGTAGAGACGGGGTTTCACCATGTTGGCCAGGGTGCTCTTGAACTTCTGACATCAGGTGATCCACCCACCTTGGCCTCCCAAAGTGCTGAGATTACTGGCATGAGCCGCTCTGGCCACTTAATCTTAGTGAAAACATATTTCCCCTCTTCTAACACAGGAAAGATGTAATCTTTACCTTCTCAGGTTACATTAGTAATCCATAGTAGAGTACAGGTGTTAAGATTTTAGAATCTGGAGTATTATAGACCCGAGTTTTGATTATGACTATATCATATACTAGATATCCGACATTGACAAACTCACTTAATCTTCATGTGCCTCAGCCTCCTTACCTGAAAAATCTATTTTTGAAGGTTTAATGAGCTAATGTAAGTAAAGCAATCAGTAGGGTGTGTAGCACATAGTAAGCACATATATGCTTTTAATCATTATCATCATTAATGAAACTCACCACACAGATCATTTTTAAACAGTTTTGCACAGGAAATACATGTAGGAAGACTAATTAGATTATCAGACACTTTAGAACAAAGGCCATTATTTGTATTAACTTTGTGGTTTGGACTTCAAACCAAAGTTTGAATTCTGACTTAGCTAGCAATTAGCTGTATGCCTTTGGGCAAATTACTTCACAACCTGTAAACCCCAGTTTTCTCAATTGTAAAACATAAAAATGCTAATAACTGCATTATTTTCATGTTATAATTTTTAAAAATCATCAACAGAAGTAATTTCAATAGAATCTTGCTTAGTAGGCATTCAACAAATATCAGATCCCATTATTACTCTTACTAAATATATTATAGATCATCAATGTTTGTTATTTGATTGGTTTTAAAAAGAATAAAATTAACAAAAACATAAAGTTTAGAATGTTTGATAAATATTCTTATTTAAAACCAGATTTTAGACTGGCTGGTTTGATACCCATATTTCTTTGTTCTGTTGCATGTCCATAAATATAGCTTCTGGCTCTCCCATTCAATTTTTTTTATAACAAGTGAAATTGGACAAATGCAGAAGTTGAATTTTCAGAATTAGTTACTTAAAATAAATAACCAAATGTTCATCCTCAAATAAGCAGTGAGTCTTTTTTTCTGTCTTTTTTCTTTTTCTTTTTGGTAAAATTGATCCATAAGGTAAAGTTATTTTTAGAAGTACAAACCAAAACATGCATTCCTTCAAAAATGGCTAATCCTTTCATTTCACTGGATATCAGAATAACCCACTTGCAATCAACATTTTATCCTCTGAATATTTTAGCAACACTAATGAGATAATGAGAACTTAACTAGAGATTATAAATTTTTGAAACGTGTATTTAAAAAAATTTGACTACAACTCAAGGTCAATGAATGAAATCATTAACAAACCCTCATTACTTAGCAGTGACCTCTAATAACATTCATTTTAAATTTGCCTTTGGGACTTTTAATTGTTCTTAGGAGGCTGTGGTTAGTCATTGCTTAAATATCATACATGTCACTATAATCATTAAAAGTATCATTCAATGGAAGATTTCAAGGGTGACATTATAGTTGAGACCTGACCTTCAAATGCTATGTTGTGCATCTGATGGCTTGGATTGATGCACTTCTCATAATAGAGGGTGTGGGCTATGTGCGTGGGCATGTATGAATGCATGTGTATGTCCAATGCCCTACTGTATGTAAAAGACATTTTAACCTCAAACATTGAAAAGAAAAGCTACATTTGAATAACTACATTGATAATGATCAGTTTGGTATATAAAAATTCTACTGCTTATTCATTCTCAATAATATATGAGCTCAGAGTTGCTTTTCTAGAATGAGGAGGATTTTTCACAAATCCATGGCAGGGACCTTATAATAGTAACTCTCTTCTAATAAGGAAGCATTGAAAAGTCATATGATCACATGGCAGTTGTACTTTCTCTCCCTTGGGGATAGAATTCCCCTTAAATAAAGTTAGGAAAGTTATTCCAAAGAAATAATTCTGTAAACACATAACATTTCTTTTAAAACTTAAGTTTTAGAAATATAGGATGGATTTAAAATTGTGTTTCTTCATCTGGCTCCTCCTTTCAGCCAGTTAATGTTTTGCTCTTATTATAATAACTTTATCTGCTTCTTCTCCCTCCTTCACCAGTACTGCTGTAAGCATGGCCTCCAGATGAACAGCTTCGGCATACTTCACTTGTTCTTGAGAATTCCAAATTGGCCAGTTATTTCCTCACCCTGTCTTTTGGACTCTGGGTTGAAGTTCAATTCAGAATTCACACTGAGTATGTCACCAAGAAAATGTGCTAGCACCCAATTCAATATAATCAGCTGATCATCACACAAAAGGCAAAACCAAAAATACCTAGGAATCCAGCTTACAAGGGACATGAAGGGCCTCTTCAAGGAGAACTATAAACCACTGCTCAATGAAATAAAAGAGGATACAAACAAATGGAAGAACATTCCATGCTCATGGGTAGGAAGAATCAATATCGTGAAAATGGCCATACTGCCCAAGGTAATTTATAGATTCAATGCCATCCCCATCAAGCTACCAATGACTTTCTTCACAGAATTGGAAAAAACTACTTTAAAGTTCATATGGAACCAAAAAAGAGCCCGCATCGCCAAGTCAATCCTAAGCCAAAAGAACAAAGCTGGAGGCATCATGCTACCTGACTTCAAACTATACTACAAAGCTACAGTAACCAAAACAGCATGGTACTGGTACCAAAACAGCATGGTACTGGTACCAAAACAGAGATATAGATCAATGGAACAGAACAGAGCCCTCAGAAATAACGCTGCATATCTACAACTATCTGATCTTTGACAAACCTGAGAAAAACAAGCAATGGGGAAAGGATTCCCTATTTAATAAATGGTGCTGGGAAAACTGGCTAGCCATATGTAGAAAGCTGAAACTGGATCCCTTCCTTACACCTTATACAAAAATTAATTCAAGATGGATTAAAGACTTAAATGTTAGACCTAAAACCATAAAAACCCTAGAAGAAAACCTAGACATTACCATTCAGGACATAGGCATGGGCAAGGACTTCATGTCTAAAACACCAAAAGCAATGGCAACAAAAGACAAAATTGACAAATGGGATCTAATTAAACTAAAGAGCTTCTGCACAGCAAAAGAAACTACCATCAGAGTGAACAGGCAACCTACAAAATGGGAGAAAATTTTCACAACCTACTCATCTGACAAAGGGCTAATATCCAGAATCTACAGTGAACTCAAACAAATTTACAAGAAAAAAACAAACAACCCCATCAAAAAGTGAGTGAAGGACATGAACAGACACTTCTCAAAAGAAGACATTTATGCAGCCAAAAAACACATGAAAAAATGCTCACCATCCCTGGCCATCAGAGAAATGCAAATCAAAACCACAATGAGATACCATCTCACACCAGTTAGAATGGCAATCATTAAAAAGTCAGGAAACAACAGGTGCTGGAGAGGATGTGGAGAAATAGGAACACTTTTACACTGTTGGTGGGACTGTAAACTAGTTCAACCATTGTGGAAGTCAGTGTGGCGATTCCTCGGGGATCTAGAACTAGAAATACCATTTGACCCAGCCATCCCATTACTGGGTATATACCCAAAGGACTATAAATCATGCTGCTATAAAGACACATGCACACATATGTTTATTGCGGCACCATTCACAATAGCAAAGACTTGGAACCAACCCAAATGTCCAACAATGATAGACTGGATTAAGAAAATGTGGCACATATACACCATGGAATACTATGCAGCCATAAAAAATGATGAGTTCATGTCCTTTGTAGGGACATGGATGAAATTGGAAATCATCATTCTCAGTAAACTATCACAAGGACAAAAAACCAAACACTGCATATTCTCACTCATAGGTGGGAATCGAACAATGAGAACACATGGACACAGGAAGGGGAACATCCCACTCTGGGGACTGTTGTGGGGTGGGGGGAGGGGGGAGGGATAGCATTAGGAGATATACCTAATGCTAAATGATGAGTTAATGGGTGCAGCACACCAGCATGGCACATGTATACATTTGTAACTAACCTGCACATTGTGCACATGTACCCTAAAACTTAAAGTATAATAATAATAATAAAAAATAATAATAATAATAATAAAGAGCATGACACAAAATGTAATTGGTAAATTCCCTCCCTCTGTTTCAAAACTTACTTTACTTTTTAATTATAGCCTTTGTACAATAAGAAAAATCTTGCATTTGGATTAGTGTTTTGTTAGTAAAATCTCAATAAAAAATTACCACCCTGTTAAGTAGTTAATACGTTCACATTGTTGAGTCATATAGATCTTTAGATAGTAAAAGCTATCATAAGATTGATAATAAATAAACATCAAAAGATATAAAAGTTTTGTCCATAAAAATATGAAATATGTCTACATTATTGAAGCATCTGGTACATATAATTATCTAAACCTCTGAAGAAAATCAAATAAGTTACAACATAGAATTTATTTAGCTGTCAAAAATCATTTGTTTCTGGAAAAAAAAAAGGCTGCCTTAGAAGCAGCCACATACATTTCAGGTTTAAAATGATATAGGCACATAACCAAGAAGGTAAAAGACCTGTATACTGAAAACTACAAAACATTGAGGAAAGAGATCAAAGACACAAATAAATGGGAAGATATCACATGTTCCTGAATTGAAACAATTAATACCAGAACAATATTAATTAATTAATATTAATATTGTCCATGTCAATACTACTAAAAATAATCTACAGGTTCAATGCAATTCCTGTCAAAATACTAGTGCCTTTCTTCGCAGAATTTTTTAAATCCTAACATTTCCGTGAAACCATGAAAGAGCTTGAATAGCCAAAGCAATCTTAAGCAAAAAGGACAAAGCTGGAAGCGTCACATTACCTGATTTCAAAATAAACTATAAAGCTTTAATAACATATTTTTACCCACCCCTCAAACAGAGCTGGGCTTACTTGGAGCAGAGAAAGCTTACAGTGATTATCAGCACTGTCATAAAAAGCAAAAGATGGTTTAAACTACCAGTGTGGCAAAGATCAAAGAAATAGACCAAACACAATATAAGTAAATGTTGGCAAGGGGATGAAAATTTGTAGAAACTTTCTAGAGGGCAATTTTTAATATTAAAATTATTTAAAATCTACAAACACTTTGAACCTACAACTCACTTCCAGAGGTATAACTAAAAAAAAAAAAATGTCCTTCAAATGAGATTCCCCATATGCCAGGAAAAGAATCCTAACATTTTTCTTTAGATACTTGCTCCCTTTCTCTGTACCCTGGGAAAGGAGTGTGTCTTATGAGATAAGAGACAGAGGGTATGCACCTGTTGAAAGTTATTGTCTGCTTTGAGGCTCCCCAGAAGTCCTTTCTCTAGACAAGAAATTTATTTTGTTGCCAGTGTTGCCAGTGGAACTTTGCGCAAAATGAAATAAATTAATCCTGGTTTATTTGATTATTGCTCTAAAAATCATATTGAGTCTGTTGATGGTTACAGTTTAAAGAACATTGAGATAATTCTAGTCTAACCCACTCACTTCATCAATAGGGGAAATCAAGCACAGAGAAGAGAAGATGTTTTTTTATCAAGAATACACAGTAAATTAGTAATCAACCTGAGACTTGAATATATGTTTGTTTCAATTCTAATCAAGTACCTTTGCTTCCACTATGCCACATTACCTGTATTTCTTACTAATTTTAATCATTCACCAGCTTGCATACACCATAAGGGCAGACACCTGGTTTTAATCACCTTTACAGAACTACATATTATAGTACAGTATGGATCACAAAGCAGATGTTTGCTAAAATGTTATCTAAACAAAGTAGTCACCACCAGAGAGGTGACAACCAAAAGAGATGATACAGAGACAGAGAGATAATCAGAGTTTGAGGTTTGGGTATGTTCCCAGTTGGAAAGTAGCGTGAACAGAAAGAGCTAGTGAATAAGTGTTCAAAGAACTAGAAAAAAAGTTTATCATTGTCTCAAGGAAGCCAAGTTAGGAACTTGAAGGACTAGTTTATATAGCCCTGGAGAGCAGGGACCCTATTAACTTGTTTTTTTGCAATGTTGTCATATTTGATTCATATAACCCTAAGCCTCTGGATCTAGGCCACATCCAATTCATATTTTGAAGAATTTTTTTCTTAGTACCAGCAAATATTTGACCTATCTAATAATTAACAGAACTGTAAATTGCAAAGATTTTTTTCAATGTAAGCAACTCAGGAACTTTCCTCCATGCTGCCAACGCTATGAATGAGTTTAGTCAGCATTTCTTGATGCTGCTTATAAAAGTTGTCTGGGAATATTGTGCTCTTAAGCAGAGATTACCGGAATGAGTCTTGGGCTTACAATAATCAAGATACCTGCAACCAGAAAAATAACTGAGGCAGCAGAATCCTCACCAAAGCTCTGAAGTACCACATCAAATAGATTCCTTTCAGGAGGAATTTGGCCTTGGCCTTAATTACTGTGTAGTATACAATATATTAAGTAGTGATACTGATATTGCTGCTGATAATAAACCAAGTAAGACCCCTATATGAGTGTATTATTTCAAGATACAGTAATTAGCATCCAACTAATAAACATACTTAGGATGCTTATTTCTAGGTTCTGAAATTTTACATTTATCTGTAAAATGAATTGTTTACAAAAAAAACTGAAGTGGTAAAATAAACATTGTTGATCTTCCCCCAGAAGTACAGTGATATGGTTTGGCTGTGTCCCCACACAAATCTCATCTTGAATTGTAATCCCCATAATCTTCATGTATAGAGGGAGGGACCCAGAGAGAGGTAATTGGATCATGGGGGTGGTTTCCCCCATGCTGTTCTCATGATAGTGAGTGAGTTCTCACAAGATCTGAGAGTTTTATAAGGGATTCTTCCCCCTTCACTTTTTTTCTGTCTTTCACCTGCCACTATGTAGGACGTGCCTCTTCCCCTTCCACCATGATTGTGAGTTGTTTTCGGAGGCCTCTTCAGCCATGCAGAACTGTGAGTCAATTAAATCTCTTTTCTTTATAAATTACCCAGTCTCAGGTACTATCTTAATAGCAGTGTGAGGACAGATTAATACATAAAAGAAGGAATCTAGGAAATTCTTATCCTGTCTACTCCTCATCCTCTATTGCTGCTAACAAGCTTTACAGGAAAGCAGTTCCCCTGATGCTAATAAATTGAAGTTAAAGGTAAAGCCTGTAAACTACTATATTTACAAGCCTAATGTAAGCTGTATGAAATTCAAGAATACTGCTTCAAAGAGCTAACAGTATAAGGAATATGTATCATTTTTTCACTATTTTTATTTAAACACCATTGAGGTAAAATGTTTTATTAATACATAAAAGGAAACCCACTTAATAAGCATGGTGTAAATTACTTGGATAGAGACTTAGATAATTACATAAAATAATTACATTTCCAGAGACATGCAATCTGATAGAATGGTGAAATAATGCTTGCAAGAAACATATTCCACAAGCGTTTGGGTAAGTCATATATTATTTGACACTTTGGAAATAAATTTCTTGTTAAGTGTAAAGTAATTATTTAGTTTACAGTAATTATACACAGACCATGTAATTAAAACATAATAATATTTCAACTCTTAAAAAGGGGTTCTGTTTGGAATTTAACATTGTAGAAACCTGTAGATAGCATGAAGTATAAACTTATTTTTAATCATTTTTTAAAAATTCTAATTAAAGAGATGACATGGTTCTGAAGACAAAATATATCAATAATGTAATAAAAATCTCAGGTGACTGAATAAGGAATACATAACAGAGAGATAAAAGAACTTTCAATGCTATAAAAATACCGCATTCTGAATCATACCTCCTGTATATTACATAGAGCAGAAGACCTGCAAATATAATTCTTCAAAATAACAGTTAAAAAATAATACACATTTGTATTCTGAGAATTCACAACTTTTTAAGTAAAATATTTATCTATAGCTTAAAGAAGACCTTTATGAAGAATATCAACTTAATTCTATTTAACAAGTATTTATTGGAAGCCTACCCACAGTGAAGTAGACACTGGAGGTATGAAAAGCAATAAGAACAAGAGTTCTGGCCCTGAGACGCTGTATCAAATGGAAGCCAGATGTATAAACAAATATTTTTAGAAAATAGGATGACCGCTATAGTCTACCTATGCACACAGTGTTGTGAATGTACAGATTATGGTTTAAGGGCTCCAAGGGAAGCTACAGAGAGAAAACACCTCATATCAGTCTTCAGAAAAGAGATCACTGGGTAGGGAAGCATGGAAAGGACATTCTAGAAATATGACATCATGATCGAAGACATGGCAGGATTTTGTGTGCTTGAAAAAGAGCTTGACTGGAACTTAAGACATTGATTCTCCTACTGGAAGGGAGAGAATCAGTCCCATCAAAATATCTTGTGGAGTTAAATGAAAATGAGTGATTCTTAGGTTCTACTTCTAAAGATTCTATTTCATTATGACTAGGATGTGGCTTAATCATCTCTTTGAAATTTTCTCAACTAATTTTGATACTCAGTATTTTTAATTCAGTAGCTCTAGATTGGTGACATTTTAAAGGAGAATTATATTTTATCTTGATGGAGATGGTCCCTGGTCCATATTACAGCAAAATAGGCTTAGTGTGTTAGGAGATAAAATGACTTAGATCAAGGCTAAAATGCAGAATATTTCATGTATTTTATGTTAGAGAGTTTGGTCTTTAGTTTTGGTTGTATTTTGGTCTTTATTCAGGCAATAAGAAGTTACAAAAAAAGTGGCCTAAAATAACAATACATTATTTGACTCGCTATGCTGAAGATTTGCTCTGCTAGATGTTTTCTCTGATCTTGGCTAGAATTCCTCATGGATCTGTGGTCATTTGTGCATCAGGTATATAGCTTTGCTGATCTGTGCTAGCTGTCCCATCTCTGGTGCTTCAACTACGACAATTGGGCTAACTCAACTCTGACCCATGTGGCGTCTCATCTTATAGGAGTCAAGCCTAGCTTATTGAAGTTACAGGGACAGGATGCCAAAAGAGCAAGTGGAGGCACCCAGAAATTCTGGAAGATGAACTCTGCCACTTTCTTGCAGTCAAAATATGGCACAAGACCACCCATAATCAAGGGGTGAGGATGTTCTACCTCTTGATGGAAGAAGGTGAGAAGCCATTGATCATGGTCACCATTGCCTCCCAATTCACCACAGAAGTCATCTCAGGTCTCTGTTTGTTTTTATTTATTTGTTTTTGAGGGATCCATCACCTTGAGTATTTATCATTTCTACCTGTTGGGAACATTTTAAGACCTCTCTTCTACCTACTTTGAATACAATAAATTGTTGATAATTATATTCACCCTACTCTGCTATAGAACACTAGAACCAATTTCTTCCTTCTAACCGTATGTTTGTACTCATTAACCATCCTCTCTTCATCGCCCCCTACCCACATACACACACTCATCCTTTTCAGCATTTCTTAATTATTGTTGTACTCTTTATCTCCATAAGATCAACTTTTTTAGCTCCCACATATAAGTGAGAACAAACAGTATTTGTCATTCTATGCCTGGCTTATTTGACTTAACATAATGACCTCCAATTCCATTCACATTGCTGCTTTGAGGGTTTTCATCATGGAGGGATGTTGAATTTATCAATTCTTTTTCCCCAACAGTTAAAATTATCATATAATTTTTATCCTTCATTCTATTAATATAATGTATCCCATTGATTGATTTGCATATGTTGAATCATTTTTGCATCTTGGGGATGATGAACTTGATAATGATGAATGATCTTTCTATTGTATTGCTGAATTAAATTTTGTAGTATTACGTTGAGAATTTTTGTATCATCATTCACCAAACACATTTGCCTACATTTTTATTTTTTATATGTCTTTGTCTGGTTCTGTTATCAGTGTAATATGGGCCTTGTAGAATTAATTTAGAAATATTATCTCTTCCTCTTTTTTTGAAACATTTGAGTAGACTTGGTGTTGGTTATTCTTTAAATATTTGGTAGAATTCAGCAGTGAATCCATTGGGCAACAGGATTTTCTTTACTGACAGACTTTTTGTTACAGCTTCACTATTGCTACTTGTTATTTATTTGTGAATGTTTTGGATTTCTTCATGGTTCAGTCTTTGAAGGTTGTATGTATCCAGGAATTTATACATTTGTTCTTCTGACTTTTCCATTTATTGGTATGTACTTGCTTATAGTAACCACTAATGTTCCTTTAAATGTCTGCACTATTAGTTGTAATAGCTCTTTCTTATCTCTGGTTTTATTTATTTGGGTCTTCATTCTTTCTAAGTCTGGAAAAAGGTTTGCCAATGTTGTTTAACTTTTCAGAAGACAAACTTTTTATTTAGTTGATCTTTTGTGTTGTTTTCTTTATTTCAATTTTATTTGTTTCTGCTCTGATTATTATTATTTTTTCTCCTAATTTGGGGGTTTATTTGCTCTTGCCTTTCTAGTTATTTCAGATGCATTGTCAGGTTATTTGATGTTTTTCCTATTTTTCTGATGTAGGCACTTATAGGTATAAAATTCCCTCTTAGAGCTGCTTTTGCTGTATCTCAAAAAGTTTACTTTGTTACATTTTCATTATCATTTGTTTAAAAAATTTTCAATTTTATTTTTAGTTTTTTTATTGACCCACTGGTCTTTCAGGATCATATTGTTTAATTTCTATGTATTTGTATAGTTTCCAAAATTTCTCTTGTTACTTTAGTTTTATTGCACTGTATTCATAGAAGATGCTTGATATTATTTTATTTTTGTGAATGCTATATGACTTGTTTTGTGTCATAACATATGGCCTGTCCTTGAGAATGATCCACGTACTCAGGAGAAAAAACTGTCAATTCTGAAGCATTTAAAAAAGTTTTCTTTAAGTATCTACTAGGTACTTTTGTTCTATACTGCCCATTAAGTTCAATGTTTCTTCATTGTTTTCCTGTCCAGGAGATGTGTCCAATGCTGAAAGTTGGGTGTTGAATCTCTAGCTATTTTTGTATTGGTGTTGATCACTCTCTGTAGCTCTAATAATGTTTGCTTTGCATATTTGGGTGCTCCACGGTAGGGTGTATATATATTTACAATTGTTTTATCCTCCTGTTGAATTGATCACTTCTTCATAGTAAAATAACCTACTATGTCTCTTCTTATATATTTGTCTTGAAATATATTTTGAAATATATTTTGTCTGATGTAACTATAGCTACTCATGCTTTTTTCGTTTTTGGTTTGCATTCACACGGAATACCTTTTTCCATCCCTTTATTTTTAGTATATATGTATCCTTACAGGTGAGGAAAAGAAAATATGTTCATAAATACTAGAGGGATTATTGTCCAGGCTATATATGTTATATTAATTATAACCATATCCAGGGAGATTGAGGAGAAACTTTTAAAGAAAAAAAGTCAAATTGCATTCAGGTTGTTTTAAAAGTTCAATAGTTACAGGGGATTGTTACATGTGATAATGTGTGTACAAGCCATTGCTAGGAGAGTGTCTTCACAGGAACAACCCTGACTGCAAGGTTGCAGTTCAGTAAGGTTACTTTCAAGGTTGTGGTTAGGACAGGCTTTTACTAGAAATAAGTCCTCACAGAAATAAGTCCTCATCATCTTTAACTGCATGGTTGTGTTTTTGGCAGAGTCCTTTGATGATAGCTCCTGTTGTCAGGCAAATAGGCATGAGGACCCTGCCTTCATGGCCTTGTGACTCCATTTTGTTAGGGTTTGACATCAATAACTCCATTGTGATAAGTCTCACACACACAGGACTTTGAATTCACAAAATATTATGTGTAAAATATTATTGTATTTCAAGGTTTCTCATTAAATATCATTGCAACCTATATATTTTTTTTATTTTATCAAAGGTGGAATTAAAGTGTTTTCTTTTTAAGATTAATGCTATTTCCCAATACATTTTTAAAAATATTAATTTATTATAAGATTGTCTCCCTATATTCTCCTCTCCTTAATTTTCATTCTAACAGATGTTATACTCTGTGCGTTATGTTCTTTAGAAATGGACATACATTTGGCTGGGCGCCGTGGCTCACGCCTGTAATCCCAGCACTTTGGGAGGCCAAGGCGGGCGGATCACAAGGTCAGGAGATCGAGACCATCCTGGTCTAACTCGGTGAAACCCCGTCTCTACTAAAAATACAAAAAATTAGCCGGGCGTGGTGGCGGGCGCCTGTGGTCCCAGCTACTCGGGAGGCTGAGGCAGGAGAATGGCGTGAATGTGGGAGGCGGAGCTTGCAGTGAGCCGAGATGGCGCCACTGCACTCCAGCCTGGGCGACAGAGCAAGACTCCGTCTCAAAAAAAAAAAGAAAAAAAGAAATGGACATGCATTTGCTGAGAACAGTCATAGATGTTAGAGCTCTTCAAATTAAAGAAAATAGTAATTTCGGAGAAAAATCTGGGACAGAGGGGCTTCCCCAAAGCTAGAAAAAGTGATTGACTCCTGTGATAGAGGAAAGCAAAAAATCAGGACATCTGTTAAGGAAAATTTGTGCTCTCTACGCTTTTGACACCTCAGGAATAGAGTAGGGCCTCAGCACGAATGGATGCAGGGTATAGGAAGCTAGATCCTAGGCCTGGGACTCCAAAAATATGGCAGGGTACAGCAGAGGGCCCTCAATGGCATGCAACTTATATGACATTGAATGGAGGGCTGTCTTACAAGCAGGCATGTCTTACAAGGTGGCAGGTGAGAGAGAATCAAAGGGGAAGAATCAAAGGGGAAGAGCCCCACACTTACCAATCAATCATATCTCGTGAGAATTAATTCACTATCATGAGAATAGCATGCGGGAACTGCCCCCATGATCCAATCAGCTCTCACCAGGTCCCTCCCTCAACACCTGGGGATTACAATTCAGATTACGATTCAAGATGAGATTTGAGACAAACCATTATCAGAGAGTGATGTTTCTTGTACACTCAAGTTGGTGGACTGAGAATAACAATCATAAGTAAGTTTTAATTTATGTATTTTATATTACAAAAATAGCATTTATTTTAAGTTATTCAACATAAAATATTATCAATTCTTGAATTTTGCAAATTATACATGCTACCAACTTCTGGCCCTAAAACTCTGATATCCTTACTCCCCAAATTCTTAATATTTAGCAGCACCAAGAACAGAATCTAGGGCAACAATGAAATTTAAGAATGTAAACAGAGGGCACATAATTTGCAAAACAGACAGAAAGACAAACTAGCAAGACAAAATAAGCCAGAGAATCAGTAATTAGTGCCTGCTACTGCTTAAGTTTTTTTGAAGGCATGAGACTAATGTCTGTTAAAAGCAAAACTTTAGACAGATTATATTTAAGAGTTTAATTGAGCAAAAAACAATTTGTGTATTAGGCAGCCCCCAAAACCAGACTAGGTTCAGAGGCACTTTGGTGCTTCCATGTGGTCAGCAAGGATTTATAGACAGAAAAAGGAAAGTAACATCAGAAAATGGAAGTGAGGTAAAGAAACAGCTGGATTTGTGACAGCTTGATGTTTGCCTTATGTGAACACGGATTGAACAGTTGGCCATTTTTGAATGGCCAAAACTAGAGTGATTGGTAGGTTACAGTCTGTTTACATATCCAGTTAGGTGAAGTTCACTACGCACAGAGAAACCTTTAGACTAAATTTGAAATATGTAAGGAAGCAGCTTTAGCCTAAACATAATATAACAAGTTATTGGCAACTGTAGGGCATCGGGAAATATAAATGTAGATAGAAATGCGGGGAGAGAACTATATACACAGTTTTTAATGGCTTCTTTTGGAAGGAAAGAGGTCTGGCATTTTCCCATGATTCTGAAACAGAGGACACAAGGGTTAGTTGAAGGAAAAAGCTGTCATGCCACTCAGTTAGGCACTTATTGGAGTGATGAGGCATGCACCCAGAAAATGGTGCAAGACATATGCATGGTGAAGGTCAGAGATCCAAAAGGAGACAGCTGCCTTTCTCATAATACTCCATGCAAGGACCTGGTACAAGGATGAATTCTGCTCTAGAAAACTACATGAATTACCTATGTAGAGAACACATTATTTATAGAAATTACAACCTTCAGGTACACCTTGTGTGGATTGAGAATATGGGTGCATCCCTTCTGCCCTGCTTTCATTCAGAAGTACATATAGCCAGCTCTAAACATTAGTTTCTCCAGGGTCTAGTCAGGGGCAAAATGTTGACATTAGCATGAGGAGAAAGATCAAATGCAATAAATGAGAATAGCTGCTCTCCTGACACACATAGTTTTTAAAAATTGAATCTCACTGCACCTACTGTTTTGTCACCTGCTTCTTCATTATATATTACCAGTGCCTGTCAGTGCCATTATGTACACTTCTTCCAAATAATTTTTGATAGCTTCATAAAATGTCTTTGACTAGAGGCATTGTATTTTAGGTAATCTTCATGTGGGAGAAAAAAAAAACCTTTCTTTTCCTTTTATTATTTGTGTGTGTGTTTAAATAGTTTTATTCTGTTATAAAGAATACAGCTCACACTTGATTTTTACAATAAATGTTTAGGAGCAAAATAATTGAGTTAAAGATTATGGGCAATTTTAAGACTCGTAAGACACTCTGCTAAGTTGCTGTCCTAATTTGTATTTCTGCCAAAGGAGTAAGATATGGTCAATTTCCTGGTACCTTTACTGCCACTAAATGTATTATTTATTTATTGCTGCATCATAAATTACCACAAACGTAACAGCTTAAAACAACACATATCTATTATCTCACAGTTTCTGTTTATCAGTAATCTTGGCTTGGTTAAGCTATATTCTCTACATCAAGATTTCACTAAACTGAAATCAAGATGTCAGCTAGACTGTATTCTTTTCTGTAGGTACAACTGGAGAACAATTCACTTCTAAGCTCATCCAGATTCTTGGCAGAATTCATTTCCTCATAGCCAAAAGACTGAGAATTTCCTTAAATTTTTCAGCTGGAAGTCTCCCTTAACTTCCCAGCAATGTGTAATCCTGTATAAGCAGTCCACAATATGACATCTTACTTTTTTAAGGTCAATAGAAGTGCAAGGTAATGCTGGCTAGCAAGAGATTATTATATAACATAATCTAATCATGGGAGTGACATCCCATCACCTTTGCCAGTCTCTTAGTTAGCAGTATGTCACATATCCAACCCAAATTCTAGCAGAGGGTTTTGTACAAGGGTATGGACATCATGAGGCAGAAGTAATAGCAGGACAATTTAAAAGCTGTCAAGCACACTAGATATTATCATTTTTTTTGCTTTTTATAAATCTAATATGTATTACTTGTTTTCATTTACACTTTAATTTGCACTCATATGGTTTTGATGATTAAAATAAGTTTTAAAGGAAAAAGTGGTCAACAATATTAAATGCTGCTTACAGAAAAAATAACATATAAAATTCACAGCTTTAACTGAAATTAACCACAGATTACCTAGAACTCTTTCTGTACTGACTTCAACATTAACCAGGCATCAAAATAATTTCCAGAGAAGTAGTAATGTTTATGAGAATGCTATCTGGAGCTAGAATGCCTAAGTTTAAATATTAGCTCTGTTGTTTATAAGCTATGTGATGTTAGCCACTTACTCTCTCTGAATCTTAGTGTTCTTATTTGTAAAATCTGGATGATATTAATAAATGTTTAACTTTAGTGAGAACTTTCTAAGCACATTAGCATTATTTAACCTATGTAAATCTTAGTAACTTTATGAAATAGAAAATTTTAAATATATTACCCTAGGCTGTGGTGAGGATTCACTTAGTTAATTTAAGCAAAGACATTAGAACAGTGCCTTGCATGTAATAAGCACAATAAATGTTAGTTATTATCATTACTATGATATACATAGTATTGTATTCATATTCACGCTCTCAATGATAGAAATATAATGTTTAAACCCTCCCCCAAATTATTAAGAGAATAACACATACACAGGAGAAAAGTGAATTCAGAATCACAGATACTTAATTAGTTACCTTATGGTCAAGTGACATATGTAATGTTTAAGTTCAGAAACTAACACAAGAACAGAAAACAAGCACCGCATGTTCTCACTCATAGATGAGAGTTGAACAATGAGAACACGTGAACACAGAGAAGGGAACATCACACACCGGGGCCTGTTGGGGAGTGGGGGGATAGGGGAGAAATAGCACTGGGACAAATACCTAGTGTACATGGTGGGTTGATGAGTGCAACAAGCCACCATGGCACGTGTATACCTATGTAACAAACCTGCATGTTCTGCACATATACCCCAGAACTTAAAGTATAATAAAAAAAATAAAAAATAAAATAAGTTCAGAAAATCGAGGAATCTCTCTTAAAAGAAACAAGCCATAAAGTATTTTTTAAAAATTGTTAGGATTTTGTTCCAGATAAAATTGAGAGACGAAAAATTACAAATTAATGAAGTAGTGGGTTCAATAGTAAGAAATGGCATGACCAAAGCTAGTCTCTAAGAACAAATTAAACAATATATATAACACAAACAGGTGCTCAGGCCTGACAGGAAAGTTCACACCAGAATATAGTTGCTCTTGATATACTGCATTAATTTGTGAATATTAATTCATCCACATATCTTTCCTGTTACTACATATTCAGCAAAATGGTGATTTGTCATAATGAACACAGTAGCTCAATAAGAACATCATATCCAATGCTGAATTGTATACTTATGATCCCTATGAGGAAGGAAACAATTGAATGTCCTCCAGCTTTCATTTCCTCTAATTTACCATCAATTCATCCCTCAAAACCTACTTCATTCACAATACCTCCTCAGACATTCACAAGCTCCTGAAATGTCTGTTATCATTTATCGTACAAAGACATAGCACCTTGCATGTTTACGTAAATATCAAGAATATAAATTGTGGTTTTCAATAAGAGGGCAGGCTCCTGACTGGGGAGGAATCCGGATTTACAGCAGGAAAAGAGATTATTATTTATTGAGCACGTCATACACTTCTGACGCTATGCTAAGTGTGTTCACACATATTTGTGCATTAAACTCTCACCAAGACCATTCACTGTAAGCCTGACTAACAAGAATCCAGTGATCTCGCTATTCTGATTAGAACGGTTTGTGCTGATGAAATATACATATTCTCTTTTCACTGATGTATCTAAAATATGATGACAAAAATGACAAGAAGTGGGCCTTACAACTTGTAGCTCATTGTACCACACAAGCACAGACAACATCACCCTTAACTCATTAAATTCCAGTGATTTAAAATGAGTTGTGTATTGGATATGGCAGAGGTATCCCTCTGAGAGAATGGACACTATACTGAAAGTCAGGAAGCATAAAGCCTCCATCCAGGTTGTAAGCCTTACCCTGCTACTCATATAGTCCAGAAAATAGCAAAAATAAAATGTATTTAGTGAATATTTCTTATAGCCAGACACTCTTCTAAGTATACCTATGAATTCATTCAATCTTCACAACTACATGAAGTAAGTACTATATCAACGATGTTGTATATATGAGAAAACTTGTCCTAGTAGATGACAACTGAAAAGCTTCACTTCAGGGGATCTCTTCGCTTGTTTGTCAATTTTGAAATGTAATTGGTTTCTCCCTGCCCCCTGCCTTCTGCCCCAGCCCTTTGGGTATTTGAGAACCAAATTATAGAAAGAAGCACTTTGTTTTATCAATAATTTTTCTGTATAATACACTTAGTCATCTTTACTTGTCAACATTTCTTAATAATATGAATAGTAACGAGTTTCAAAACATCCGGAATATTACCTAACTCTGTACTTCAGCCTATAAACCTAGAGAATATCAATGCAATTCTATAAATCTTTAATTTACAGGGAAATTATAATGTTATATGGTGGCTATAGGAGTGTTTTAAGAAATTTAAAGTGCTCTACATGGGTAAAGATTAACCAAGTAGAATACTTGCTAAATGCAAGAACTTATTTCTGTTTGCCTTTGATTCGTTTTCTTAAAAAGCATGTTTACCTCAAAAACAATTCTATCTTTTTCTCTTCCTATTGCCACTGCATCAGACAAAAATGTCTCTACCCTTCTTTAACTGGGCCTTCCTGCTTCTCTGGTTCTTGATAATAATTAATTCAAGTAAAAAGAGGTTGCTTTTGGTGTTGTACATTAAAATGGGCAGTCACAGAATGCATGGAAAGGCAAGGGGAGTATGGGAGTTTAAAAAGGTAGAAACTAATGTTCACACTGCGGTATAGCAGTTATGCAGAAAAGAAGCAAGGAGCAGAATTTGAAGAAGTCAAAGGAAAGACTTGAAGAATAAGTCTACCAGGGCAGTCCCTCTTGTCACTGAGAGCCCCTGAGAATTCTCAGCAGAAGCAATGTAAGAGAAGCAGATTTGGCCCTATATAGGGTAAAATATTCAAGAAACTCAAGTTTGAGAATAGGGAGCATTACTCCCAGAGGGGAATGTGCACTCATGCTGCCGTAACTTGAGAAAGTTGTTTTTAACACAGACAACTACACTTTCTTTGTAATTCTCAAGCTATAATTAGGCATATGTAGACAAAGCAATTGTGTAGAATGTTCAAAAATGTCAATTCATCATGTTTTTATTTTCCACAAAGGAGAAATGTTTTTTTCTTTTTTGATGGGTCTCTCACGTTAAAAAACCAAGTTGTGAGGATTTCAGCTTTCTCTGTAGCTTATCAGTATGTTATGAGAGACATGTTGCTAAAAATAACAGGGAAGTAAACCTAAGTCCATGTATTGGAAATAACACTAGGCCTTTCACCATTGATTTTCCTTTCCAAAACAGCTATACCAAGACTTAGATATTTCACTTAGAGACTTTACGATTTGAAAGATACGGACTCTTGTCGTATTGCTTCTAAAATACCAGTAAAAGTTTTATTCCAGGGGCTAGGTAGCCTCAGTGGGTTGATTCAATGCTTAAGACTCAAATTTTGATAAGATGATGCCCATTTTACAGATATCAAAGCTGATATTCAGGTTGCTTAGAAAAATTCACTTTATATACATATAATAGATAGAAATATAAACACACACACACACACACACACACACACACACACACACAGCTAATGTGAAGGTCAGCACATTGTTTGAAACCGTGGAAGGTTTGAAACCTTCCAAAGTTTATGTTTATGTTTCTTTTAAAACATAATGTTTATGTTCTTTTTCTACATAAATGGGTTATTTTTTTAATTTTATATTTTTATTTAATTTTTCCATAGGTTATTGGGATACAGGTGGTATTTGGTTACATGAGTAAGTTCTTTAGTGGTGATTTGTGAGATTTTGGTGCACCCACCACCCGGGCAGTATACACTGCCCCATATTTGTAGTAGCTTATCCTTTGCCTCCCTCTCACTCTTCCCCTAAAATCCCCAAAGTCCATTGTATCATTCTTATGCCTTTGTGTCCTCACAGCTTAGCTCCCACATGTCAGTGAGAACATACAACGTTTGGTTTTCTATTCCTGAGTTACTTCACTTAGAATAATAGTCTCCAGTCTCATCCAGGTCACTGCAAATGATGTTAATTCATTCCTCTTTATGGCTGCATAGGATTCCATCATGTATATATATATAATATCTATGTGATATATATCTCTCATATATATATCTATGTGATATATATAATATCTATGTGATATATATCATATATATTTGATATATATATGTGATATATATATATCAAATATATATAATATCTATGTGATATATATAAAATATATATAATATCTATGTGATATATATAAAATATATATATTTCTTTATATATATATTTTATATATATATACCACAGTTTCTTTATCCACTCGTTGACTGATGGACATTTGGGTTGGTTCCATGATTTTGCAATTGTGAATTCTGCTGCTATAAACATGCATGTGCAAGTATCTTTCTTGAATAATGACTTATTTTCCTCTGGGTAGATTCCCAGTAGTGGGATTCCTGGATCAAATGGTAGTTCTACTTTTAGTTCTGTAAGGAATCTCCACAGTGTTTTCCATAGTGGCTGTACTAGTTTACATTCCCACCAGCAGTGTAGAAGTGTTCCCTGTTCACCACATCCACGCCAATATCAACTGTTTTTTGACTTTTTGATTATGGCCATTCTTGCAGGAGTAAGGTGGATTATGTAGAAAAAGGTAAACATGTCCCAAATAGAGCAATAAAAATAACTAAAAGAATGGATAATGGGTTTCATGAGAAATGCTTAAAGAACCGTATGGCTTTCTTCACTATGAAAAATTAATATACAATGTAACCTACACATCTTCATATTACCAGTAACTAAAAAAGAGAATGTTGTTTCAAGTGCAATAAAAAAATGAAACACTTTAAAACATCAGAAAAGTACATCTGCTTTTTGAGTGCAGAAATCCTAGAGAAAAGAACCAGTTGAAGTGTCTGTTTCTGAAACACTTGAAGCAAAACACGAACAGACTCCCCTTTAACCTGGCCAAAGAGACATAGCTGGAGAAGATGCTCTCTTTATGGCCTTTTCTATGTTATTATCCGGTGATTCCATTACTTAACATTTTACAAATCATCAAAAGTCCATAGTACTTTATGATCACTCCATTTTTGCCTACCAGTAGAGTCAGGGGTGTGCAGAATTAAAAGATCTTGCCTGTTCCATGAAGTTAATCTTAACACAGTATAATGACATAAGACATGTTGATCTTTTTTTTAATTTAACAGGTCTAATAATGAAATGTCCTCAAGCAGCATTAGTGAAACTATTTTTCTCCTAAATGACATGTAGTTACGGAAGATCCTATTTAGATACACTCATTTATATAAACCTTTTTTGTCTTATGCCTCATAACTTCAATTCATCAGAGATGAATGGCATAATGGCGTAGTGAATAAAGATTTCCTTCAAGCCATAGGTCACAATGTGTGAAATAAATAAAAACATGTTATTACCCACAAATATCTTCTTCAATAACACTATTTTAATAGTATTTTCCCCTAGTCAACTCATCAGATTGCATTATTAGTTTGCAGCTGAATGTATTTCTCTCCTTATTCAGTTGAGATAATTTATTTGCTTTTCAAAGTTCAGAGCTTACTCTTCAAATTAGGCTGCTCATCTGCTCTAAGATTCCTCTTCTCTATAAAGCCTGCAAAACTAATATTTTTACAACCCTAGGAGTCAACTCTTATGTGAGGGCTAAATATATCCTCTATAAAATAATGAAATAATATATCACTGCAAACCCTAAAGGAAAGCAAATACATGGTATGTTGAGGCTTCAAGCATGGCTGGGACTGCTTGGGAAGAGGATAAGTGAGAAGTTAAAGAGACCTAGAAATATGCTTTGAAGAAATTCAGTATTGATGCTTTATGAAAATAATGCTGCATAAAATAAGGAGTTGGCTCTAACACTGAATAAGAGGAATAAGAGCATTATTTGTGAAAAATATTTATCCCGGAAAACAAGATAACATTTAGTCACAATCTAGCACCTTATTATTATTATTATTGTTTTTTTTGAGACAGAGTCTCATGCTGTCACCAGGCTGGAGTGCAGTGGCACAATCGTGGCTCACTGCAACCTCTGTCTCCCGGGCTCAAGCTATTCTCCTGCCTCAGCCTCCTGAGTACCTAGGATTACAGGTGCAAGCCACCACGCCCAGCTAATTTTTGTATTTTTAGTACGGTAGCGTTTCACCATGTTAGCCAGGCTGATCCCGAACTCCTGACCTTAGGTAATCCACCCCACTCAGCCTCCCAAAGTGTTGGGATTACAGGCGTGAGCCACTGTGCCCAGCAAATCTAGCACCTTATTAATATTAATCATAAACTAAATCCATGAATACACAGAGTATTTCTAAGACATTCTAAGCTTTCTGTGTGCCTTACAAAATTAGAACCTCTAAGCTTTTTCACTGTCCTGAATTTTATGTTAATTACTCCCTCACTTTTCTTCTGTATTTTTCCCAAATATGTATGCAATGTTGAAATATCTGTTTAGTTTTGTTGTGTTACTTCTACAGAAATGAAATGATAATGAACCTATTACTATGTGACTTAATTTTCTTCAATATCATTTTTTCAGATACATTAATGTTAATGCATGAAGATGTAGTTCATTGTTTACTATTGATATCTATTATTCCATCATACAAATATAATACATACTTATCCATTCTAAGATTAGCAGACATCTAGCTTGTTTCTAGTTGGAGGCGCCTATGAACAAGTTGTCTGAGTATTCTCTACATATATCTGAGATTATTTGTGTTAAGAGTTTCTGCAGGGGCACATATGTGTGTGTGTGTGTGTGTGTGTGTGTGTGTGTGTGTGTATTAAATTGATAGCAAAAGGGTTTGCTTATATTCATCTTTAACAGATAATATGAAAGAGTTTTTTCAATGTTGTTGTAACAATTTATATTCTCCCCAGCCATTTGAGTTTTAGGATGCCCCATATCTATTTTCTTTCAGTTACTGGGACACTGAAGTTCGTTATATATTCTGGAGACATTTCTTTTGTCAGTTTTGTGTCACACATACTTTCTCAAATTCGTGGTTTATCTTTCCATTCCTTTTAATGTGTCTCTTGATGAATATAAATCCGTAAGTGTAACTAAATTTACCAAAATATTGAGCTGCTTAAATAATATTTAAGAGATTTTCTCGCTAACCTACAGCAAGTGTCAGCAAACTATAGCCCACTGTCAAATTCTGGAATGTTGTAAGTTTATGGTCTACTAAGATTGTCTTTTTAAATACATATTATATATATATATATATATATATACATATTTATTTATTTATTTGTAAATTTATTTATTGTACTTATGGGTAAATTATATATAAACATATATAGTATTTATATTTATATATAATATAAAATTATTTATATATAAATATAAATAATAATCTATGTATTTATATACATAAATATAAATAATAATATATAATATATAATATATAAATAATAATATATAATATATATTATATATAAATATGAATAATATATAATATATATTATATATAAATATGAATAATATATAATATATTATTTATATATAAATATAAATAATATGTCATATTATTTATATATAAATATAAATAATATGTCATATATATTTATATATAAATATAAATATGTCATATATATTTATATATAAATATAAATATGTCATATATATTTATATATAAATATAAATATGTCATATATATTTATATATAAATATAAATATGTCATATATATTTATATATAAATATAAATATGTCATATATATTTATATATAAATATAAATATGTCATATATATTTATATATAAATATAAATATGTCATATATATATACAAATATAAATATGTCA